>NC_000016.10:85755682-86380682 GCF_000001405.40 Homo sapiens | reverse complement strand
AGTTGGATAAAATGATTCATGGCCAAGGTTAGTGGTGAGACCTTCCCAGCAAAGTCCAACGACTGTCTGTGCAGAATGCGAAGTGTGAGAGGTGAAAAGGGAAAGAAGTGTGTCTGAGTGCTACACCTGGAACACACGCTGTGCCTCCCTGTGGGTCTGTTTATTGCTTCATGAGATCAATTGTAATCCAACCTAAGAAGGCTACTAGGTTTTTAGGAGGGTTGTACTGCCAGCTAAAGACTTGGTCTCCCCACCTTCTGCAGGCGGGATGTGGCCCTGAACACTGTGCAGCTCCCCCACCCCCGGAGGGCCCCCAGTGTTCACAGGCGGCTCAAGAGGATGAAGGGTGAGGAAGAACCTCCCTGAACTATGAGGAAGAGCAGGCCAGGGTGCTCCTGTCACAGAGCAGAGCCAAGCCTGGTCAGGGCGCAGTTCCCACTCCAGGACGGCCCCTCCAGGGCTGCCCCTGGACTTCATGAGTTCACAGGCCAGAGGCACGTGCCCCTCCTTCCTCTTTCTGATGGGAATGTAACCAGGGGTGTCCCGTTCTCGGCACCATCTCGGCTCTCTATCTTCCCCTTGGGGCATTGGGTGAGACAAAAATCACAAGAGCTCAGTTTTAAGTTCAAGTCCTGAGGTTGCTGCTTGCTGGCTCTGTGACCTTGGGCAAGTTTCTTAACCTCTCTAAGTCCATGCTGCTGCATTTGAGTGAAATAACGTGATTATAGTACCTACGTCATAGAACTGTTAGGAAGTTTAAACACAGTAGTCCAGGTCAGCTCCCTGAGCAGGGTCTGCCCACAGGAAGCTCTCAAGTTTGGCATTTCTCATGCCTGCTGTTGCTTTTCAATTTTACACAGGTAAAAATAGAGTCTACACAGGCGACGGGATGCTCCTGGGAACTTGCAGCCAGCCCAGCCCTCCCTCCAGGATTCAGGCAGCAACAGCTTCCCCAGAGTCGGTTCGGGCTCAGCCACCAGCCCAGCATTTTCCTGGTGCCAAGGTCAGCTCCTCGGCAGGCCCTGAACTTGTGGTTTGGAGAAATAAATGACATGCTGATTACTTAATCCTAAAACAACAGGAATTTTCTCTTTTTTAAGGGGCAATGACAGGAAGCTGGCAACGTTGCAGAACCAGCCACAAGCATCTCGGGCTATGTTCCGGGGGACAGAGCGGGGTGGGGACTGTGCTGCAGAACTGAACCAGGGTTTAGGGCTGGCCTCTCCCTGCACCTTATGGCATCTGTGTCTGGAGGCTCTTCTCCATGCCGAGAATGCAGCTCTGCGCCGTCCACTCGGCTTGTCCCTCCTCCCAGCTCTCCTGGCCTCCTTGTGTCCTGGCGGCACTGGAGCCCTGGGGATGGGCTGCAACTTCGGAAGGAAATTCCCTTGGTGGGCTGCTTCCCTGGTCTCCAGACCTCAGCAAGCCAGGTCATTTGGACTTGACTTCAGGCTCCAAAAAAGTTAATGGTTCACGAAGGGAAAGCACCAAATAGCCGTGGCCGCGAGCCACCGAGTGTACCCGGAGGCGCAGAGACCATTGCCACTAAACTTTGGTTCTGTCAATCATTTGGGCCTTCTCTCATTGGATAATGATACCCCACACACCCACAAACCCTGGGCCAAATCCTGTGTGTGCCCCTGGGGACAGAGGGCTGAGCAGCAAGTGTGGCCCTCGTGGAGCTCAGGGTTACATGGAAGATGCAGGCTTAGGAAGTAACCAGGCAGCCCCAGGAGGAACGGCAGCTTCGAATAAACGAAAGCCAGGACTGAGAGGACATGTGACAGCAGGCCTCTCAAGCACTTCAGCCGCCCCCAGAGGGTGGGACGGGGACCCCCAAAATGTTCCCCGTCTTAACCCGCAGAACCTGTAAACGGAAACTCGCTTAAGACTAGGGTCTTCGCAGATGTGATTCAACTAAGGATCTCAAGATGAGACCATCCCGATTTAGGGTGGGCCCTAAATCCAATGGCTAGTGTCCTTATAAGAGATAGGGGAGGGACACTTAAGCCCCAGAAACCCAGAGAAGAAGGCCATGCAGAGTGGAGGCAGAGGCTGGGGTGAGGCGTCTGCAAGCCAGGAAACACCTGGAGCCACCAGTGACCGAGAGACAAAGAGGGACTCTGCCCTCAAGCCCTCAGGGGGAGCATGGCCCTGCCCACACCTTGACCTTGGATTCCTGTCATCCAGAAGTGTGAGAAAGTAAATTTTTATTGTTTAAGCCCCCAGTTTGTGGTCATTTGTCCCAGCAGCCCCAGGAGACCCATACAACGACCTAAAGAAGAAAATCCGTCTCCCATGCCAGCCCGTGTGAGCATGTCGTCTCTGCGAGTTTGTGCGAGTGTTGCATTGTTGCTGGTGCTGGTCCTCACCTCCCCTTGGTCTGCGAGGAAGACACCTGCAGACACTACTTCTGAGGGTGCCTCAGAGGTGAAGTCTGGAGAATGAGCCTCAGCCAGTTCAACCCTGTCCCCTGCCCCTCCTGGCACCTTCCCACCTGCGTGTCCTTCGGGCTTCCTAGGGCTGCCCATCTCCCTCCCAGAACTGGCTGTAGAATTGCAGGCTGAAAGAACTCAGCAATGATTGGTTCCACCCTCTCATGTTTTCAGAAGAGGAGACTGAGGCTCAGAGAGGCTAACCCATCCGGAGTCATTCAGCAGCGGTGAAGAGAAGGTCCAATTGCACAGAGTCCCTGGGCCACAGTTCACAAGGCCTCGGCCCTGTTTTGCATCCTTAAATCCCCTTGAGGTGGATCTAGGGCTGGGCTGGGCTCCTCTTCAGGCTGAGCAGGCCACCAGGGTTGGCCCCAGTTATCAGCCCTTTCCCAGGGCCGGCTGTTCCTTCGCGGCTCCTCACAGAGCAGCTGGGGGCCCTCTGGGCGGGGAGGACGGCTGTCATTGCACAAAGACCTCTGCGTCTTTGACAACTGAAATGCTCGGTGCTGATTGACAAACGAGCTGGTACCTGAGCGTCTCAAGCGCAGTAATGACACGGAGCGTTCGCTTGAGGGCCACAGGGCAGGCCAGATAAAAACAAAGGGCCCAGACGGACTGGGGGCGGCCCGCCGGCTCAGGGTCCACACTCGGACAGGGAATCAGTCACTCCCGAAGGCTCGGCCCAGGCCTGAGGCCGCGTGCTGGGTGGTCCCATGCAAGCTGCTTGTCAGCTCCTGCTTCTCCCACACCTCGGCTCCTTTCTTTGGGTTCCACACATGTCAGCGTTCCCACCCGTCAATCAGTCATCAACTCAAGTATTTGTTAAGCCAGACACTGCCCCAGGCTAGTAATAATAATAACAACAACAATGACCACAATAGTGAGGATCTTAAAAACTCCCTGGGCTCAAATGCATCCATAACCTCATTTAATGATCACAACAATTTTTTGAAATGGATACTATTGTTATCAGCTTTTATAGATGAGAAAGCTGGGTCACAGAGAGATGAAAGGACTCACGCATTGTCATGTAGTAAGTGTTGGAGGCTGAGTTTGGTAACTTACGTGAGCCCATCTGCCTAGCTCTAGACCATTTTGGCTCATGGAGGGACATGCGGGTGGAAAGTACAGAGTGCTGACCATCTAGGCTTAGTGATCTCAAAAAGAGACATGAAGAAACAGTTTGCCTTCTTCCATTGGAAATTATGAAAGCAGCAAATGACAGCTGGAACCATGGCAACCATTTCGTGATATGGAGGAAGTGGCTGACATACTGAGGATGGTCATTTATGGAAGGAAATGGGCCCAACTGTTTACACACAGCAGAAAAAAACAAGGAAGTGTAGGGACATAATTAATAAATAAAAATACAAAAAAAAAAAAAAAGAAATACAAGACTCTCTTGTTGGCCTTGAAGACACCAGCTGCTATGAGCTTTATAGCTTCAGGGGAAACAATTCTGCCAATAATCTGAGGGCACTTGGAGGAGAATCGTTCCCCAGTTGGGTGTCTGATGAGAATGTGGCCCAGCTGACACCCTGACTGAGCCTTGTGATACCCCGAGCCGGGCACCAGCAAAGCTGCACTCAGACTCTTGACCCACAGAAACTGAGTTAATAAATGTGTGTTGTCTTAAGCCACTAAATTTGTGGTAAATTGTTACACAGTAATAGAAAAACAATACAATGCTTATGGCTAGAACATTTAAACAGTACAGAAAGGAAGACTATGCGAGGTCCAAGTCTGGCTCGTCTCATTCCCCTCATCTCTCTGCAGTGCCTGATGTCCCCTTTCAGAGTCTCTCTAATGTGCATGATAGCCTCAAAGGTGGTAAGGGTTTGTTTTCATGTGTATGTAAGTGATTTCCCCCTTTTACTGCAATAGAATATGTATTACACATGCCTTAAAGAAACCTTTTTTTTTTTAATTTAGCAATGCATTTTACAGCTCTTTTTATTAGCTCTCTCAGGCCTCCTGGATTCTCATTCTTTAATGAAAATGGGTCTGACTAGACCTTTTCCTCCTCAATTCAGAGCATTTTCTCTGGAGAAATGGACTGCAACCAATCTTCCCATTCCAATTTCCGACGGGTGAAGGTTTGGTAGTACCGGCGATAACACTGACTTTCAGGTCTCTGAAAATGATTAGGTCAGCTGATGGATGCTTAGAGCCTATAAAATTCACGAGGCTTCAGATTGTTTCCAGACATTCCAGAGGGAAGAGCAGTGGAAGGATCGTGAGCTTCAAGGCTGTGCCCGCAGAGGAGGAAGAATATGTCACTTCATGGAGGCAGGAGAGGGAGAGAGTAAGTGACTCCACTTTGCTGCTGGGGTACTTTGGCAATTTGAATGCGTTTCGTTGGATTTGTTTTAATTACAAAAGGACCATATGATTCTTTAATTAGCCCAGCAATTCAGAAGCAGATACATTTTAAAAGACAAGCTAGAAATTTGCCTATATACTGGTGAAAGCACACCAAGGGATATGTTCAGGAATAGAATTGCAACATTGCTGGTCATCACCCCCAAACAGAAAGTCTCCCAAAGTCCATTCAAAGAGGACCAGTTAAATACAGCACTTTACTCCCGCATGTGAGGATACCGGACAGCTGTTAGAAACAAAGATGTGCTGGTGTTTAGATGTAGTGAAATATTGTGCAGCAGCGAGAATGAATGAGTCACAACCACAGGCTGCAACACAAATGAATGTCACCTACTCAATGTTGAGTCAAGGAATCTAGAAACAAAAGAACATACTGTATGATTTCATTTATGTATAAAAGCATGAACATAGGCAGAGGGAATGAATACTGTATGGAAGTCAGGATAGTGGTTACTCCGACAGGGCAGGTTTCAGAGAAGGGAGGGCTTCTGGGAGTCGGTGATGTCTGTTTCTCAATTTGGGTGCTGGTTACCTAGGTCACAGCAGCCCCAGGAGACCCATACTGTGACCTAAAGAAGAAAATCCATCTCCCACATGAGCCAGCATGAACACATCCGTGGCAAAAAACGAACATGAGCATGTTCAGTTGACAAAATTCATCCTGTGGCACATTTATGATACGTGTACTTTTGTGTATTTCAATTAGAAATTTTAAAATGTGGTACCTCTTGTAATGACAAAATGCGCCCACATTTGTAACTCAAAACATAGCACATTGTTACAAAATGGTACACTTAGAAATCCAGTGAAAATGGCTATGGATGATTCCAAGTCCCAAAATAAAATAGTTTCATTAAAGAAGGAATTCAGGAGGCCCAAGGGAGCTAATAAAAAAGGGTCATAAGACGCATCCTTAAATGGAAACAGCAGCTTGCGGCCAAACCAGGAAGAACAGAAAGAAGTATCAAGGAAATACAGGTTTGTGTCCTAGCAACAGCCCCAGCTCATATCTCTTTGGCTAGAATGGTGTCACATGACTACTTCTAGCTGCAAGAGAGCCTGGGAAATGTACACTTGCTGAGTTCTGTTGATGAGGAGACAACTGAAAGGATCTTGAGGACATAATGAACTGTCTCCACCACGCTCATAAAAAACAAGACTCACAAAATGCATCTGTTTTCAGTGGGTCACCAGGGATGAGGAAAAAAGGTGCCTTCAGGTTTGAAGTCTGGGTTCTCGGAGGCCTGCACGTGTCTTCTTGACCATCCCATTCATGGGTTCCAGCCACCGGGACTTTCAGGATTGACTGACTATTCAGAGTTATTAGGAATTAAAGCAATTAAGGGCAATTGAGACCAGGAGGAAGAGAAATGACCATTTCTCAAGTACCTCCTGCATGTAAAGCAGTGTGCCTCTGGAAGTTCTCACAATGCCACATGCACCACAAGGCCACATGCACCACAGCCTGGAAAGTGATTTTATAGACAAGGCTACTGGCGGTGAGCACCACGTGCTGATGATGGTAATTTTTATCCGGTGGGTCTTTTATCGGGTGGGTATTTCATGCTGGATGCCACACATCCATGCCCTGTGCCTACATCCCCATAACCATGGTTCTGTGAAGGACGTGACCCTTGGACAAGCAAGGAAAGGAATCCCAGAGAGGCTAACAGCCTGCACAAACTCAAACAGCAGGAATTGAGAACTCAACTCTGTCTCCAAATGTCAGCTCCCAGCCTGCCACCACCCCAACTATCAGAGGCAATTTAGCAGGTTACGGGCCAAGTGGGCAATGCCCTGGAAGACTCTGGAAGGAAACCGAGGACCCAAAAGGTTAAGGAAGCTGGATAAAGCCACACAGTTGCTGGCAGTGGGGGCCAGTACTGAAACCCAGGTCCACTTGATTCCACGGATCGTGCTTTCCCCACCGTGTTCCTGTACCTTTTTCTGTCCATTCACCTGACCCTGGTGGAGCCAAGCAAGCCCTCAGCCCTAAGAGCCATGGAGGGCCAGGTTCTGCATGGAGAATGAGCTCCACATTTCTGGTGCAATCAGTCCTTAGGCATATTAAGGGTCAACCGAAGGGCTCCCCAGAGAGACCCAGAGGTCTGGATTCACAGCAAGGACCCTGTGCCGCCTGCTCCTCCCTGGATCAGATCCTTTGGGCCTCCCATGGTCCAGGTTGCCACTAGGGCACATATGTTGTGCATGTCCACATGTGTGGTGCCTATGCTGCCCGCCACATCCGTCCTTGCTGAAAGATGCACCGAAGCTGGCAGAGACAGCACCTGCAAACGGACCCATGGTGTCCTCTAGCCGCTCTCGGCTGTCGGCTTTTGTCCTGGGCCGCCCTTGCTAATGAGGAGCCCAGGGAAGCCCAGCCGTCATGCCTTGTTATCTTCACTCCTTCTCCAGAAGATCTGGTTTCCCGTCATGTCTTGCCCTGGCCCCTCACAGGCTATTGTGGAATATACAGAGACGCAAAGCTCTTTCGGGATGATTTATGAACCCCTTGCTGGGGGCCCATCTGTCTCCAGGAGACCCCCACTGCTGAAGCCAGGTATTACTGGGGTCACGACCCCGGGAAGGCCACCAGAGGTCAGATAAGGATGGTGTTGAGTCTATCAGCGACCCCTCTGTTGGACAGACCTCGGCGTGATGGGGCTCTGCTTGAGGAATTAGTGAGATTTTTCAGGGGGTCTGTGAGGGAGAGGAGGGGGCATTGCTGGCTGGGGTCACAGGGTCACTGTGCCTCGGTGACTGGGTGAATTTTAGGTCATGAGCTTGCCCCGTGGCTCTGCCAGGCTGCTCACGGATAGGATGGTGCAGGGTCTAGCTTACCCCACAGAGCAATCCCAAGGAACTATGGAGGCAGGGGCAGGTGATTTGAGTTCAAGCTCTAGCACAGTGCCTAGCACAGAGTAGGTGCTCAATAAAGAAGAGCGGAATGAATGAATGCAGGCGTGAGTGAAGACCTTGCTGTATAACCTCGAGGTGGTGCCCATGACTGGTCTCGAGCTGCCCAGTCCCCCTCCACCTTCCTTTGGTCAGAGCACTCGATCTCCTTTAGGGGAAAAATTATCTCTTCTTGTGGATGAAGCCCTGTTCGCTCATGGCCTGCCCTCCCCACGACATGGGGTCCGCCATGACCCAAGCTTAGGCAGCGTGTCCTTCCCCCAAATACGAAATGGACTGTGAGCAGAGGGAAGGAAGAACGAGCAACAGTGGGAATATGTTTGTCACAGCGGGGGCACCGGGTGGTGTTCTTGTTGTGAGGCAGCCCCAGTGCATCCCCATGTCCAGACTCGGCTCTCCAGCCTTCCAGTTCTATACCCAGTGCGTTCCACCAATTATCCCTTTTCTTTTCTGCATCTCGAGTTGGTTTCTGTCGCTTGCAACCCTGAACAGTTATTCCCCACCCCCTTATACACATAAACGTAACATGTTCAGCTGGCTGAGCCACTTCACCTCCCTGGGCCTCGGTTTGCACATCTGTGAAATGGGTGTCACGAGTCCTCCTCCAGGGTCTTTAAGGATCTAGTCAGGGGATGTTCATGAAATTACCCTGGCTTGCACCCTTGGTGTGCAGTGCCTGTGGCGTGTGAGTGAGCACAGGCTGACCTCCTGGTGTGGGTCCTGATGCCCTGGGCAGCTGGTGCAGAAGGAGGTGGGTGGGGCTTGAGTGGCGTTTGTTGGGGCCCCGTCCCCTTCCCTGTACACCTTGCCTCCAGGGTGCTCAGTCCACAGACAGACCTGGAAGCCAGAAAGCTTGAGCCTCATGATTCAGAGCCTGGATTATGCAGCCCGATTACCTGGGTTCAAATCCTGTCTCTACCACCCGCCAGGGCCATTACTGTGGGTAATGAATTTAATCTCCCTGAGACTCAGTATCCCCATCCATAACATGGGAAGGACAAGAATGATAGCACATCCTGCCTCAGGAGGGGCCAGGATGGGTTGAAAGAGATGGCATTTGGGAAGCCGGTGCCACTCTCCAGAGTCCTTGGTGTTTGCAAACCAGAGAGGAGCAGTAGGGGGCAGGGAAAAGTTAACCCTCAGGGCCTAGACTGGGGACTCCTCAGAGGACAGACAACGCTAGGGCCCCTAAACATGCTTGCTGCCTCAGGTCAGGCTTCCACGGAGCACATGGAGCTCGAGGCAGGAGTCATTGACTGGGCGGTGAGTCCAGGAGGCTCAGGCAGGGGAGCAGATGAGACAGAGGGAAGGCAGGAGCCAGCAAGGCACCCTCCCGAGAGTTACCATGTGGGCCTCCGTGCTCAGCCATTTTGGGGGCTCAGGAACATAGCGCCTCACTCCTTCATTCATGGCTTTCACAGACACTGGCATTCCCTTCCCGGGTGCCACGTGCCCCGGGTCCTGGCAGAAATACAAATGGATCCAGAGTGAGCCCCACTATCCATGGGCTCATGGTCCAGTGTGGTGACACACAGGCCACGCGTAATCTGGTTGTAGCAGGGCCGACAGAAGCAATGGCTGTCCCGGCTCAGGGAGCAAGGGTGAGGGGCTGGGGTCAGGGATGGCAGCGCTGAGGGGCAGAAGGAAGGGCAAGGACACACAGTACCCGGTCTGGAGGAGTCCCAGGCTGTGTGTGGGAAGGGGGGTCTGGGGATGCCGTGGTGGGCAGGGGTGGTCTGTGGAGACAAGTGACTGGGCTGGAGAACGCAGGGCCTTTCCCTCTCAGCTGTGTTTTCTGCCCCTACATGACCCTTGACCTTCATTCAGAGACGTACAAAAAACCATCCAAAGGGAATTTTCATAGCCGGTTTTCCTATGTGCTGTTTTGTTTTCCTGGGGGGAGGGGCGCGTGGGGGCGGGTTAGGTGCTGAATAAGTGAGTCTCTTTCAAGGCTCACCCAGGACGCTCCTAAAACAGCCCCGCGGCCCTGCAGGACCCAGCGCACAATTCTTGGAATTGTCCCGTTTGCTCCATTATGTTACAGAAAGTGCGACACCACAGGCGTTTTCTTAAGAATCAAGATCTGAAACCAACATGATCTTACTCTCTTACTGTTGGCACAGGAAGAAACCGGGCCCCTGCCAAGGGCAACGTGTCAGCCTTCCAGCAAGTCCCCGAAGGTCGGAACCTTCGAGACGGGTGAATTTGGATTTCATCTTAGGAAAAGCTCCGAGTGTGGCACCAGGACGTGGTGAATATTTTAAGTAACTTTACATATTAAGGAACCCCCCCCCAAAAACAAACAAACAAACAACAACAATAAAAGGAGATTCCCTAGTTTCAAACCTCCAAGGGTGAAGAGGATGGGGCGTGAAAAACAAAATACAAGAGATTCCTCAAAATGCCATGCGTCTTCTCTACTCCCTGGGTCTTGGCTATACTCTCTGCTCCAGGCATATCTGCTCGACACCTGTCAATGTCTTATTTAATCCCTGTTATGCTGTGGCTACTGTGACAACTTCCTTGACCTCCTCCAGTGCAAATTGTTGACGCTCTTCTTTTCATACTCACACTGACTGGTGGCATAGTATACGGTGTTTATTATGACTCTTTTTGCCTGATATTATGATGATTGATGAGCACAGGGGTCTCCCTCAATGGTTCCCTGGTGACCAAGAGCTGTATATCCACCTATTCCTCTGCCTGGCACATTGCCAGGTTTATGGCAAGAGATCAATACCTGCTTGTTTCATTCATTCATTTAAAAAACGGGCTCCTCCATTCTCGACTGCAATTCCACTGGCCGAGAATCAGTAGCCACAGTACGCCTGTGTATTGCTTCAGTGTCTGTGTGTGCCTTTCTTCTGAAGGATCCACCAAATGTAAAAATTGGAGCTGGCTCACAACCTTAAAACATACACACCCCATGGGAATGCAGCGTTCGATGCTGATCAGAAAGAACTTAGAAGCACACAGATGGAGTCGCAGAAATCTGGAATGCATGAGGTCCTGTAATTAAACATTAAATTTTACTCTGAGGCCTGGCACAGTGGCTCACGCCTGTAATCCCAGCACTTTGGGAGGCCGAGGCAGGTGGATCACTTGAGGCCAGGAGTTCGAGACCAGCCTGACCAGCATTGTAAAACCCCGTCTCTACTAAAAATACAAAAATGAGCCGGGCGTGGTGGTGCATGGCTGTAATCCCAGCTACTTGAGAGGCTGAGGCAGGAGAATTGCTTGAATCCAGGAGGTGGAGGTTGCAGTGATCCAGGATCATGCCACTGCACTCCAGGCTGGGTGACAGAGTGAGACTCCATCTTAAAAAAAAAAAAAAAATTGTACTCTAAGCTTCCTGGCAGGCAAGACAAAATGGAAATTGTTCAGGATCATCTACATCTTCCTGTTACTCAGTTCTAGGAGGGTGGTAGAGAGTGGCAGTGCTTTTGACTTCTGTTTTGTTAAAGATATAAAACATTAGTCATATACTGTGTTCCAATCTGAGTTTATCGAAAGTAATATAAAAAAAGGACTCAGGAAAGATAGACACATGGAGGGCCCAATATCTTTGTAGCACTGTGGCTCTGACCTGGGACTGTGTTATAATTTTAAGGATTACTGGCTGCTGGGACAATGAGCTCCCCGAGTCTCAGGACAGTAAGAGGCAATTTCTTGCCCAGGTAAGAGCTGTATGCAGGTGGTGTTTGTCGGTTGCTGTTTTCCTCCATGAGGTGAGTCAGGGACCCAGAATCGTTCCCGTGGTGGCCCTGCCACCTCTTAAGCCCTGTGGATTTTATCATCCAACTGGTGGTTGGGAAAAAGGAGAGCAAAGCAGACACGCCCTCTTCTCAGCCTTTGACGGGAGGTGACTCCCTTGACATCCGCTCATGCCACCATGACAGCTTGTCCCAGAGCCCAGGGGGCTGAGAATTATAGCTCCTGGCTCTGCAGCTGCCCCCAGTGACAACTCCTTCTTACGTGTGGAGGGGGAGGGGTCACAGCTTTATATTATAATCCCCAAGGAAACATGTTTATAGCCCACATGCAGTGCCCACACCCAGGCATTCTAGTGCAGGGAGTCTGGCAGTCACGGGCATGTGTGTTTTGAAGGAGCTCTCCGGGTGAGGACGGGCCCTCAGATCATTCCCTCTAGCATTGGACACTTCTCTAACCACATATATTTGGTTGAATAGGGTCCCCAAAATCCATGTCCTTCTCAGAACCTCAGAATGTGACTTCATTCGGAAACAGGGTCTTTGCAGGTGTCGTTAGTTGAGATGAGGTTATACCGGGGCCAGGAGGGCCCTAGTTCAATGACTGGTGTGCATAGAAGAAGAGGAGAGGGACAGGCAGAGACACACAGAGGAGAAAGTCAGGAGACTGACAGCAGGGAGGCTGGTGATGATGGAGGCAGACACGGAGGTCGTAAAGCTGCGAGCCAAGGAAAGCCGGGGACTGCCACCAACAGCCAGAAGTTGACAAGCCTTCAGAGGGGGCTCTGCCCTGCTGGCACCCTGACTTTGGACTTCCGGCCTCCAGAACTGGGAGAATACATTTCTGTTGCAGCAGACACAGGAGGCCAATATACCACCTGACGCCATGGCCGTTCTGGACGGGGACCCACGAACGAAGAATTTGGGAAAATCGGACACTCTGCAGCAATGCAGGGTGGGATTCGGAGGATTTCCCACATGAAGGCAGGGTCCTGGGAGGGTTGGGTTGGAAATTAGAATCCAGACAACAAGCCTGGATTTGGCCTCGGATTCTTGGGGCGAGAATCTAAAAGCAGATTTTCCCACTTTTGGTTGACTTCTCCTCCACTCTGAGATGAAGGGTTTGGCCTGGGAAGGGAGTTCTCAAAAGGTAGCGCATGAACCAGCAGCAGCAGCAGCTCGTGAGGGTACTGTTGAAAATGCAGATGCCTGTGCTCCCCCGAGCCCCTTTGAAGCAGCATCATCAGAGATGCAGCCTGGAAATCTGCATTTTCACAAAGTCCCCGGTGATTTGAGAGCATGCACGTGTGTTACGCACTGACCTGGAAGAGGTTCAGCGTTTAGTGATAAATGAGTCTCTACAAATGTAAACACAGTCTCACTCCCTGGAAACACTCCCTGGAAAAGGGGAGCAGATGTGCAGCACCTTAACCTGGAAACCGAGCCCTTGGGAGTAAGGGCATGAGGTTGTAGCTGGGATCCTAGTACAATAAGGTGATTTTGGCACCCACTTTACAAAGAGCTTAAGCAAGACCCCTATAAGGCGAAGACTATCGCCCAAATGTGTCAGGGCATTTGGCCTCTGATTCCCAATTACGGGAAAGCAGTTTAAGGATTTAAGCAGTTATGTGTTTCTTTCCTTTATCTGGGACTGAGCTATGAAAACCTCCATGTGGATATGCTTAAAGAGATACCCTGATTAGGAGGGAGGAGAGGAAAGAAATCCCTTGTTACATTAGAATAACAATTTCAGCTGCCGTACCAAGCAAATCTGAGAAGGCATTTTTTAAACATAGATTCATTATTCAGGAAAAGAGAGTTAATAAACAAAACACAAAGCCTGAACTCAACTGGAATCTAAAAGCCAAGTTGAACTTTCTTTTTCTAGCATGGGTTATGATGTTATCTCATTCATTTATTTCATTCCTGGATTAACGTGGTTTTACTCAGTCTTAATCTTTACTAGATTTTTCCACCTCAGGTGGGAAAAAGTGGATTTTGCATACCTTTTGAATTTTATAGGTAGAGAAAGAAATCATAAAGAAAAAGATTAACATATTGGACTATGTAAAATCCTTTTATGAATCCATCACAAAATTAGAAAGTAAACAACAAATTGGGGAAAATGTTACCAACATCCTTGAAAGATGGTCTAACTTTCTCATTGGCCTTTGGAAGGCTAAGAGACCTATTGTAATGAAGGGATAAGGCAAATCACTGTCCTTAAAATGCAGATGACCCTTGAAAATCAGGAAGATAAAGTCGATCACCCTAAGAGGTGAAGGGCAAAAAGTATTATCAAGCAATTTATAAAAGAAGAAATCCCACTGGCCAACTAACATAGAAAACTAATCATCTACAATAACAAGAAAACACACAGAGACACAGATGTTCTTTCTTTTTTGTCTGCCAAATTGGCTAAGTTTTTAAAAATTACAGTATTCAATAGGAAACGTTTGAGAAAAGTACTCTTATCATATATTGCTGGTAAAATTGTAAATTGTTACAATCTTTTTGGAGGGCAATTTGGCAAAGGGTATCAAATGCCTTAAAAAGTGCATGTCTTCAAAAATAATCATATTTGTAGGAATTGGTTCAAAGGAAATACTCAGAGGTTCTGCAAATATTTACAGATAGAGAGATAGATAGATTTATTACAACATTAAATGTGTGTGTGTGTGTGTGTGTGTGTGTGTCCTAAAAATGGCAATTACATAAATAACTAGTAAACAGTAATTGGGCAAATAAAGGATGGGCCATATCCGCAAGTAAATGCTTTGTATGGTGAGAAATTATGTTCTTAAAATATTTAGCTGGGCGTGGTGGCTCACGCCTGTAATCTCAGCCCTTTGGGAAGCCAAGGTGGGTGGATCACTTGAGGCCAGGAGTTTGAGACCAGCCTAGGCAACATAGCGAGACCCCTGCCTCTCCTCTAAAAGAAAGAAAAAAATATTTAAAGTTGTCAGAAGTGTTTGCAAAACATAATTATAGGACAAACAGTTTACGAGGAAGTACGTGTGTCATGATTTAAAAATTAAGCGTTTTATTTGGTGATCTAGAAAAACTATGACCATTTGAAGTAAATTCAAGTGTAAATAATAACAACCTTTGACTTTACAGACACGCTGAGGTTATTTGCGGAAGGCGGGACGGAGGCGACTGAACCATCACTGCCGCGTCTGATTTTTGTTTCAGTTTAAGTGCTTGACTGTGGTTTCCAAATTTCCTACAATGAACATGTGGGGTTTTTCAAAAAAACAAATATGTGAAATCTTTCTCTGTCTAGTTCCTTCGCCTTTACTTTTCTTGATGGTTTGTGAGCTAAGGTGGGCTTTCTACATGGACTTGGAATATTTGAGGAAAGATGGGGCAAGGAAATAAGAAATAATTGCTGCTCTGTGGCAGAATAAACTGTGAAGGCCCCCTCCTGGCCTGCTTCACCTCAACAGGCCGTGGACCCTGGCACCCAGCTGCCTACGGACAGAAAAGCCTCTTGGGAGGTCCAGGCTCTGCCGCACCCTCCCCACAGCAGCTGCTGCCACAGCTACGCCTCTGTTTATCTGCTTGATGTATGCGGTGTTGTGGAAATACATTGGAACGAAGGGCTCTGTGGATTTCAGTGGTTTGAGATGTTGTTGCTCTGGAACATGAACCCATCTTTGATCCACCAAGGAGCACGGGCTAGCTCTCTTAGACTTGATGTTGAAAGGTCGAGAATCTAGAACCCCAAATCAAGACATGGAAGAATTCAAGTTCAAGGCCGCATTTATTGAGTGGGTGCCGGCCCTGTTTTTTATGAATAGCAGCTTTTTAAATTTTCACAATAGTCCTAGGGAATAGGCACTCTGATTATGCCTACTTTACAGAGGAAGAAACTGAGGCCCAGGTAACATAAATGGTAGAACCAGGACTGGAACTGAAGGCTGACTTCAGAGTCCCTGCTCTTAACGGGTCTAAGACTCATGCGAATCTGTGGGACCCAGGGACTCTGAGGGCAAGAGTGGAGAGGCTGCCACTGGTACCCGGAGGTGTGGATGATGTCACCTGGGGGTGGGTGGGTGGCTGAACTTGGGATCACTGGGTCATGCCCTGGAATTATGAGTTGGAGTGCTTCCTGGAAAGAGATGGACACCTGTTTGGATATAGTGGAGAGAATGGCAGCCTCCAGAAAGATACCTCCATGTCCTAAACCTAGAACCCGTGAAGCTGACCTTATTTGGATAAAGAGTCTTTGCAGATGTAATGAAATTAAGAATCTCAAGATGAGATCATCCCAGGTTATCCAGGCAGCCACTAAACCCGAAGATCAGAGACACACAGAGAGAAGACCAGGAGAGCATGCCAGGAAGACAGAGCCCAGACTGGAGCGATGCACCACGTGCCAAGGGGCGCCAGCAGCCAACAGATGCTGGAAGAGGGAAAAGGCGTCCAGAGGGAGCACAGCTCTGCCCACACCCTGATTTGAGACTTCTGCTCTCCAGAACCGGGAGAGAATACATTTCTATCGTTTGGAGCTCCCTTGGTTTTTGGTGGTTACAGCAGCCACAGGAGACTCATACCTAATAACGAGACCCAATAAGGCCGTTCTTGTACTTATTTGTGTTTCTCTGAACAAGGTTGTTCCAGCTCTTGGTGTCGGGGGAGAAAGCCTATGTCAGATGATGCCAGGCGGGACACTTCACTGTGCAGGAATCCACAGGTCTGTGCCTCTCTGAGCCTTGGCAGGGAGCTAGAAATAGCTCAGGCGCAGCACCCTTTTTTGGTTAATGGACTGGGCTTGCAGTGCCTGCCACTTAAACAGCTACGCCAGGCGGGAGGCTGCAGGGAGCTCAGCTCCTTCCCTCCCTGCCCCTCCTTATCATGATGGATTGCCTCTCAGGAGTGAGATGGAAACTTAAAATGCTTCGCTCTGCACAGCTCCGGGCAATGCCTGGCTGCTTTTCCTCGCAAATTCAGGGTCATAAACTTTTAAAAATAGGCACAGGGCTGCCAGTCTCATTAAAAGAGACTCTGATTTATTGAGATGCATGGGCATCGTTTTCAGATAGTTCTGGAACTTTTTGGAAAGATCCTACTTATGATCATCGTGAGTTTGCCCTCAGTCCTCCTTCTCCTCCTTGGAAGTTAGTTTTCTTCCCTGCAGGAGCAAAAAAGAAGCCAGCAGCCTTGAGGACTTTCTGGATACCCTCAGAGGAAGCAAACATCTGGTGCTCTATAAATGCTTCCCTAATGGTTTGAGCTGAAGAAGTAAAAACCACTCTTCTGAATGGCTTAGAGGAGCCAGTTGGATTGATGAGCAAGCAGCCGTGTCCAGTTATGTTTTTACTGAGCGTGTCAGGATGAAAACCTTCTGCAAACGGGGATTTTCCCAAAAAAAAGGTGGTGGGTGGGGTGGGGTGGGGGTGGACATGTGGCACCCATAGAGCCCTGTTGTTAAAAGTATATTTAGCCAATTTTGTTTGGATAATGGTGGAAGATAAAATTTGCCAGGGACCCAGCTGACCTCTTTACAACTGAAATCAGATCCATTAATCTGAGTACAAAATACAGAGGGTTACAGCTTACTGATCACGTTGTTCTTTCTTTTATCCAGGCAACAAACAATGAAGGTAGGTATCACGTATAATCCCGCTAAAGAAAAATGCCTATTAAATGTTGAATACAACTCCCTTTTAGTACTTTTTTTCTGTTTTGTATATTGTGTGTACTTAAAATCTGTATTCTACATGGCTATTTGTAACCCTTCATCCCACTCAATATGCTGTGAACATTTTAACATGCATTAAGTATTTTATGGCCTCATTGTAAATGAATAGTTTTCCATCATAGAAAGGTATCCAAATTCATTTAACGAGTCCCTGTTGTGGCATATTTGCTATAATAATCTGATTAAGCACTGGGTTTTTGTTCTAGGGGTTGAGCAAGAGGTAGATTCTGTTTCCTATAAATTCTTTTTCTCTGAGTACACAGGCCACGTTGGATGCCAGTTTTCGTCTTCCTGCTGGGATTACATGTGGTAGACAGGGAATGTTTCCTCACCAGCGTGGTGAGTTAAAGGCTGTCATTTCAGACCCTTCCAGGCAGGGGCTGGAGCATGCTGATGACAGAGAGAGACATGGAATTCTTCCAACAGCCTGTGGGTCCCTAGGAAGCTGGAACATTCTTTGTCTGATTAGAGGAAGAATGGCATTTCTGAAAGTGGGTTTTGTGGGTGCATAAAAAGCCCAAAAAAGGGTCTGTTCTGGAAAGTTGGCCATCAGAACCTTCCCTTGATGTGATGGAGTATATCAAAGAATCACATTTGGGTGCCACTAACAGAACCCCCCGACCTCACCCCACCCCCACCAGTTGGTGGCTTGAACACAGTTGGTACGAGTTTTTTTTTTCTCAAGTGCTGAGAAATCCTAAGGCTGCAGTAAATAGCATTGGTTCAATACAACGCTGTCAGAGTCGAGATCTTTTCCATTTTCTCTAACTTTCTTTTATTGTTACCTCATGGTGTCAAGATGGTGGCGACATCTCCACCAGCCCATCCCTGCTCCAGGTGGAAAGACGGGAGTAAGTGAAGGTCAAATGAACAGATTCTGTTTGACTCTAGGGGCAATGATGCGTACAGCCAGTTGGCTCTAATGGCGTCACATGATTATACCTATTTGCAAGGGAGATTGGGAAATGTAGTTTTTTAGATGCCCATTAAAACTTGGCTCTGTTAATAAGAAATAAGGGAAGAATAAATGTTGTGTGGATAATCAATAATTTCAGCGATGTGAAGCAAGCTGAGAATTGTTTTGAAAATGGACAGGCTGGGTATGGTGGCTCACACCTGTAATCCCAGCAATCTGGGAGGCTAAGGCAGGAGGGCTGCTTGAGCCCAGGAGTTTGAGACCAGCCAGGGCAACATAGCAAGACCCCATCTCTACAAAAAGAATTAAAAAATTAGCTGGGCATGGTGGCACATGTCTGTAGTCCCAGCTACTTGGGAGACTGAGGTGGGAGAATCGCTTGAGCCCAGGAGGTTGAGGCTGCTGTGAGCTGAGATTGCGCCACTGCACTCCAGCCTGGGTGACAGAGCAAGACCCTGTCTCAAACAAAAAAAGAAAAGAGTCAGATATTTAAAGGGTAGACTACAGAAGCAAAGTAATTCACCAGTCTGAAAATAAATGTTTTATTCACAGCATTGCCTCTAAATACAAACCACTGTGTCATCCTCAGGGTGCTTTAGATGGCTTTCTATAGACTTCAACCACGTTAGGGGACAGTTGGTGACCAAAGAAAGAACATCTGATTACCACTGGCATTGCTTAGTTTAAACAGTCTAAAATCAGTTCTGTAGAGGCAGACCATGATATAAGGATCCACATGTGGGTGGCTTATCAAGGAAGAAAGACTTCCCAGAGAGATGAGTGAGGGAGCAGTGGAAGCAGGACAGAGAAGGACAAGCTGAGCAGTTGCCATTTCAGGCACGGTCCCAGCCGGAGCCTTTTTCGGCAGCATTGCTCATTGTTCTTAAGGCAGCTGGGGCTTTATTGGCCCTGCCCTCGTCAGTCACTGGCCAGGGCCACTCAGGAG
Organism: Homo sapiens; assembly: GCF_000001405.40. Lineage (NCBI taxonomy): Eukaryota > Metazoa > Chordata > Mammalia > Primates > Hominidae > Homo > Homo sapiens. The sequence goes on along the minus strand of NC_000016.10, from coordinate 86,361,670 downwards.
GGTCTCAAGGTCCGAGGAGCCTCCTGTGCATCTACGAGTGAAGCAGCCCCTATAGCTCAAGAACAGGACTTCAAAGAGAGTCACAGGTGCAGGTCACCAGAAGCAAAGCACACAGAAGATGGGGGAAGTGGGGATGGATAAATAGAGGTAGCAACAGGGAGGACATTGTCTCAGAAATACTCTGGGTTATTTCCAATGACTTTTGCTGCAATGAACATCTTTGTATGCAAATCAATTTTCACATTTATGGTTTTTTCCCTAATAAATTCCTAGAAATAAAGTTCCTGGATCAAAATCTACAAATTACTCTCATGGCCTCTGGAAACATGTAAAACGTGCAACAATTTCTATTCTCCTCTCCGACATTGTGTATTAACATTGAAAAAAGTATTTGCCAAACTAATCAATGAAAAAAATACCGTTCTGTGTTTATTACGTGTGTGACTTGGATTACTGGTGAGAAGGGAAAGTTTTCTTCTATGCTGTCGATTTCCATGTTTTCCTTTATTGAATTGCCCATTTGAGGCGATGACTCAATTTTCTACGTGAGTTCATGATTTAGCTTATTAACAGCACTGCAGATGCTGATCAGAGTCCTTTTACCCTGCCTAAGGTCTGTCCTCCCACTGAGGGGTCCTGGTGACCGGGGCTCTGAGTGAGTGGGCTGCCTGCCCTGTTTGCAGACATTACACCCAGGGCCAGGAGAGACAGTGATCATCTGTCACCTGTGTTTCACCTGAGCTTCAGAAACCCTGCAGACCTGGGGTCCAGCCTGCAGTTAAAAGTGGGTCACTGGCCAGGTGTGGTGGCTCACACCTGTAATCCCAGCACTTTGGGAGGCTGAGGTGGGCAGATTACTTGAGGTCAGGGGTCGAAGACCAGCCTGGCAAACATGGTGAACCCTGTCTCTACTAAAAACACAAAAATCAGCCGGGCATGGTGGCGGGCACCTGTGACCCCAGCTACTCGGGAGGCTGAGGCAGGAGAATCAGTTGAACCCAGGAGGTGGAAGTTTCAGTGAGCCAATATCACACCACCTCACTCCAGCCTGGGTGACAGAGTGAGACTCTGTCTCAAAAATGAAAGAAAATTTTTAAAAATAAAAGCAGGTCACTGTTTTACTGGTTGCAAAACAAAAATCCCACGCGTGATCAAGAGGCTGCCCGTGTGCATGTGTGTGTGTGCACATGTACATGCGTGTGATTTTACATCAGACCGACCTGGTTTTCCATTCTACACAGCTATCACGTGCTAGCTGTGTGGTCCTGGAGAAGATCCTTCACTGCCCTGAGTCTCAGTTTCCTCAGCTGCGAAATGGGAGAAGCACAGTGCAATGCTGTGTGGATTCCACGAGCTGATGAAGACAAAGCTCTCGGCAGGCAGGAATCGTTTCAACCGTGTTAGCGGCCATGGCTACAAGCAGCCCTTAGTCCTGGAGGGGCCTGTGTCCCCAGAGTCCAGGTCTGTAGCTATAACTTGCCCTTCAAGGGGCTTCTAAAGTCTCTGTGTCTTCAGGAACCCACTGAGCATCCCTGACACAGGCTTTTTGTAGCCAAATAATAAATGGCATCTCAGAACAAAACAAAACAACATTAGGCCGGGCGCGGTGGCTCACACCTGTAATCCCAGCCCTTTGGGAGGCCGAGGCAGGTGGATTCTGCACCCCAGCAATTCCACTCCCCAGTGTGCACCCAACACGCATGCCTACATAAGTTCATCGAAAGTCACACACTAGAATGTTCAGAGCAGCTCTGCTTGCTCACAACCCCAGCATTCAAAATAAACCAAACGCCATTCACAGCAGAAGAGATAAATCACATGTTCATGCAAATGGATTGCATTAGCATTAAGAACAAATGGTCTATACCTGCATGCAATGGGAATGAGTCCCTTAAACATCAGGTTGCAGGAAAGAAGCCAGACACAAGAGACCCCATACTGTGTGAGTCCATTTATTTAAATTACAAAACAGGCAAAGCTGGTCGATGGTGTTAGAGGTAGGGTTGTGCTTTTTCTTCAAGGGTAGGTGATGGCGAGAAGGGGCTCAAAGGAAGATCCTTCCCTGCTCCGAGCCTCAGTTTCTTCATCTGTGAAGTGGGAGAAACGCCCTGTGTGGTCAGCGCTGCATGGATCAGGTGGGCTGATGTGCACATCTCCTAGGACGCTGGCCACGTTCTGTTTCTTGGTCTGGGCACTGGCTTCACAGGTGTGTTCAGTTTGTACAAATGCATTGAGCTTATCATATATGCACTTTTCTGCATGTATATCACATGACTTAAGAATTACGAATAAAAAGAACTAAAAGCCCAGAAGAAGGGCTTAAATGATCTCCCTCCCTCTCCCTCAGTCATCCCTGAGACCCTCAGTCATCCCTGAGACCACAGTGACTGGCACCCCGGCTCTGAGCCCCACACTTTCGAGGGCTCTGCTCTGACTGTCTCCAGAGCTTCATTACTCCCTGCAAATACGTGAGTGAGAAGGGAGAGAAAAAGAGAGAGGGAGACCAAGAGAGAAAAGAAAAGAAAAAAAGATACAGTGATTACCACTGCAGAGCATGAAACCCCAGTGGAGAGAGAAGCTGATACCACAGGTATCCCTTGTAGATAAAGAACCCCTCAATATGTGTGTGGTGGTATCTCCATGATACCACAGGTATCCCTCAAAAATAAAGAACCTCTCAGTGTGTGTGCAGTGGTATCTCCATGTTACTGAGCTCCGGGGGGAACCCAGAGCCAGGGTGGCCCCAGAAACCACTCAGCTGAACCTTGCTGCCCTTCCAGAGGTCACAAACCTGTGCTTTCACTGCTCCACACAGCGCTGTGGTTCATTTTTAAAAATTCAGTATCAATATTCAAAAATATGAAAATTGCACCTAAAGGTCTAGGTACTCAGTTTTGTTTTTTTAATTGTTGTTGTTGTTTGTTTGTATGTTTTGAAACACCAGAAAATCCAGCCACATTGGACTTTACTCCCGAAATGCCCTAGAGCCAAGATGGGGCTCTTTCCCCCCCTTGACCTTGGCTGCCCTTGGTCCCTGTATGATGCTGAGACCCTGTTCTATATAATTGAGTCTGAGAACTCGGTGAGTGCACTTTCATACATAACCATTCTCACTAATCAGTCCCCGATTGAATACATTTCCTTCAGGCAAACATATTCCAACCCGAGTTATTTGTCCATGGAGATTTGAGTGTGAGACCCCTGATCTTCATAATTGAGACTTGAGAAACACTCTAGGCACACATCTACGCGCTTACACAGGATTACCTGTGAGCCCAGGCCATTTCTTCCCGGGAACACCCCTAGCTCCCTCCTATGCTCTGGCATGCAGCATGCCCTCAGCTTTGTCTTCCATCCACCATTCCAGCCACTTCTGACTCTCAGGTGCCAACGGAGGCCGATGCCTGTCCATGAGGAGCAGGCTCCCAAGCTGGCGCAAGGGAGGGAGAGGGCACCCAGGAGGGCCCCTGTGCTTGTTTCCTGGAGCTACCTTAACAAAGTGCCACCGACTGGGCAGGTTCAACAACAGGAATTCATTGTCTCACATCCTGGAGGCCAGAAGTTCCAGATCCAGGTGTCAGCAGGACTGGCTCCTCCCGAGGCTGCAGTGGGGGAAGGGGTGGTGGGGCGGGGAAAGGGGTGGAGGGGGGCGGGGGAAGGGGTGGTGGGGAGGGGAAAGAGGGGTAGGGGGGGAGGGTGGGGACCGTTCCAGGCTCATTCCCTGGCTTCTGGTGGTTGCTGGTGATTTTTGCATTCCAGGCTTGTGGAAGTGTCACCCCAACCTCAGCCTTCATCTTCATGTGGCTTTCTCCCTGTGTGCATGTCTGTGTCCAAATCTCCCCTTTCTATAAGGACACAGTCATATTAGATTACAGACTACTCCACTCTAGTGCAACCTCCTCCTCACCCAACATTACATCTGCAATGACCCTATTTCCAAATAAGGCCAAGTTCTGAGCTGCCGGGGGCTGAGATTTCAACCCATAAATGTTAGAGGGGCAAGATGCAGTCCACACTAGCCCCCATCCCAGCATCAAGGAAGACAACATTCAACCTGGGAGATGGGCAGGAACCAGCTCAGCTTCTGTCCGTCTCCTAGGCTGTGAAAGGTGGACTGTGCTCCAGGCAGAAGCAACAGCACGTGCAAAGGTCCTGAGGATGCAGCAAAGAAAGATGTACCTTCTGGAATGATGTATGGGGAGGGGACTGAGACGTAAGAGGTAACCAGGACACGTAAGATGAGTGCGCATATAAGTGTGTCTTGTAAACTCCCAGACACATTCATATATCCTCAGGGAAAAGCAGTAGAGGGAAAGATCCTCCAGTGTTCCCAGGGACCATCCCTGGGTGGTGTTGGGGCAGCATTCGGGGCTCAGGGGTGGCTGGAGCGGGAGGAAGGGATCACATCTCTCAGTTGCTCCATGGGGCTGTGTCTCCTAATGCAGAATGGTCCAAGCTGAGCAATTATGAACACCCCTCAGTTGCTTCATGGGGCTGTGTCTCCCAGTGCAGAACGGTCCAAGCTGAGCAATTATGAAAACTTTTAAAGGCTTATGCAGCAGCCTCTTCCAGAACGCTTCACTTCAGCCCTCCTCGTAAACAGATTGTAAAGGTGCAATCAGCCCAGAGCCCACTCCGCTGTGATAATCTGATGTAAGCCAGGCACTGATTTATATGCGCCAGTCCAAACAAACATACCTGTAGACCATCAAACTGGAATTTCTTCCATACTTTCTTCTTATGCATTAAGGAACTGCTTTTGTTTCTCTTTTGCCGGAGGGAAGTGCTGTATTTATTTCACAGAAAGAGAGAAGCAGTGTGCAAGACACTAGGTAAAGGGGCTTGCGGAGGGCTGCAGGCTGGGTAGGGGCTACCATCTCTCTGTAGACAGGGCCAATTCGAAGGGAGAGACTGAAGAAGCCTACTGTCCCGTGTGTGCTTTATTTATATTTAAAAATGACTTGTGTTGTGTGTGTTGTATGCCAGGTGCTATTCTGAGCACTCACTAATAGTATGTCAGAGGCTCTTCCATCCCCATTTCAGAGATGGGTAAACTGAGGCAACAGTGATGTCCAGTTCTCCCCAGATGGAGAGCTGGGTTTTGGTTTCTCTCTGCCTTGTCCTCCCATGCCCCTGAGCTCTTAGGATGTGGATCTAGATGTGCCTTCTTCATCCTGGATGGTTAACATGTCTGACTCAACACACTACTGATTTCACCTACCTTTCAAGGGCATTGGCGGGAGCTTGATTTCCAGTTCCCACACCTCCTCCTCCCTCTTCCTCTCCAATAACATTCCTGCAATGCTCACGTTGACTGCAACATTGGCTGAAATTCCTCACCAGTCCCCAGATCCACTACCTTTGTCGTAAGACATTGCAGTTCCCCAGCACCACAAGGACAGAATGTATTTCCCCGCCTCTTAACTTTGAGCTCATCATGTGACTTGCTTTGTTCAACAGAAAGTGGTAGAAGCAGTGGCATGCTGGTTCCCAGCCCAGGCCTCAAGGGTTCCAAGCCCAGGCCTTAAGGGGCCTCGCATGCTGCTCTGGTGTGCCTCTGCTATTGCCATGAGAGGAACACACTCAGGTTAGCCAACTGACCCCAGGGGCAGGATGAGCCATCCCAGCTGAGCCCAACCTGGATTAGCATGCTGCTAAGATATTGTGGTTGTTTCTTGTGCAGCATTTTATGAGCCATAGGGAACTGCTACAATTTTTATTGTAGGAAATTTGATTATTATAGAATAGAATGAAGAAGACCAAGTCATTTGTAGTTGCATTACCCAGAGAGCATCTCTGAGCATTCTCGTGTTTTTTCTTCTGCTGTTTTTCTCTGTGTATGTGTGAATGCAACTGTGAGTCTACAAAATGAAATCCCACTGCATGCATATTTTATGGATGTGCTCATCTCATTAGTCTCCTCCACCACCCCAGCATTTCCACCCTCAGTCATCAACAAGGAATCTCTTGTTGAATTTCTTCAGATGCACCCGCACCCTCAGGACCTTGGCACGTGTTGCCTGGCTGCCTGGAACTCTCTCCTACCTCTTCTTTGCTGGTCTCTCAGGTCTTGCCCACTTGAGCGTTGCCTTCCCTGATCCTTTCAGTCTGGGCTGGAGCCCTCCAGTCCTCGGTGTGCCCATAGCTCCCTGTCCTCATGATTTCCTTAATTACCTGCCTTGTGTGTGCCTGGGGACTTGTCCAGATCCTTCTCTAGACTGTGAGCTCTGTGGGGGAAGGGACTATGTCTTGTCCAGCATTCCCTGAGAGGGCAGCCCCTAACACACAGAATGCGTAGGCACACGCTATTTGAGAAGTGGAGTTGTGACCTGATAATGTAACATGATATGGATGGACCATGATAAACTGAGCTATTTTTCCTGTCATTAAAGGCCAGCTTGCTTTTCAATGGAAAATTGCCCCGGGCTTTAAGAGATGCCTGGCATTTCATGTGGCTAGAGGGAGATCTTTCTGCCTGTTTTCCTAAGCCAGGGCTTGAGGAATACTTACAGAAAATGATGGGACGCTTTCCCAGATAAGCAGTTCTATGATTGTGCTCTGCTGTCTCCCACTCCCAACCATCCTGGTTGCCAATTCTTGCAGCCTAGAGCACTTTCCTCAGAGTGCTTCCCCTGCTCAATAAACTTCAATTGCTCCCCAGTTCCCGACAGAGTGTGTAGCCTGACTGATCACTTGGACAGTGGGTAGGAATGGAATCATGGTCAAGGTAGAAGCTGGGAGGAGACAAGATGAGCAGGGCTGTTCCTTGGCTCCTTGTGGTCACTGGCTCCAGGACAGGTCTTTCTTGGGACTGTGCATGCCTGCTGGGACTGAACAGGAAACAAGCCTGTTGTTTCTCTATCAGCAGGGCTGGGAGACCTCCAGAAAGCTGTGGTGAGTGCAGAAATGAGCAGCTGTTCTTCAAGAAGGCTGGCTGCTGCTGACTGTGAACCAGCGGCCCTGCTATGTGCAGGGTCCTGACCATGATGCAACCAGAACCCTGGTCCGCTCTGGCCTGTGTGCTCTGGGCCCCCAGTGCTCCTGCCTCTGACTCTGGGGAGCCATGGACTACCTTGCTTTAGTCTCATCCTTCTTTGTTCTTTACCGGGCAATCCTTTCAACCACAAAGTCTGCCTTCCTGGTGGGTTAGTGCCATCCTGACTCTGTTCTGCTGGAGGGCTTTCCTGGCCACTGCATCTGAAGGAGAGCAGTTGGGTGGGGAGTACTGGGGGCCTGGAGGTCTGGCTAGAATGCCAGCTCTGAGTGTACCTACCGTGTTCCCACCCCTTACTTGGCCTTCCCAGTGGATGCCGGCTCAGTGCTTCTCAAGCTGCCACACGCACACCCAGGATGGAGATGTCACTGAAATGCGGATTCTGATTCTGCAGGTCTGGGGTGGGGCCTGGGACTCTGCATTTCTATCAGGAGGCTGATGTTGCTGGTGCCTGGCTATTCATTGAGTGCCAGGCTCTGGCCCATTTCCAGCGACCGTGATTTGCACGTCTGGGCTTGAGGGCTTTTCCCCAAACCACACCAGGCTGCTGTGCCAACACCCAGTGCGGCAGGCCTCATGCTGTGAGGACCATATAATTCTCAGGCCTCATGCGGAGAGGAGCATACAGCTCTCGGGAGGTGGCCTGCGAGCACTCCTGCTCCCTCACCCCTTGGGCAGAGAATTCCAAGGCATGGGCTTTGCACCATTTTCCCATTTCCCTGCAGGAGGGAGCTCTCTTCACCCAGTGGGGCAGCCGCATGAACAACACTCTGAGTGCGGGGCTGGCTTCACCTCTGTGCTCACACCCCAGTCCCCTGGGGTGTCCCCTGCACCTCCCAAATAAATGACTTGTGCTTGAATTCTTGCCTCCTCCTGGAAGAACCCCAAACTCAGATGCTGCTAGGGATTTAACTGTGTCCCCCAACCCCAAATCTCCGTGAATGTGACTTTATTTGGAAACAGGGTCCTTGCAGCTGGAATCCAGTTAAGACGAGGTTACATTGTACTAGGAAGGGCCCTCAGCCACTGGCTGGTGTTCTCATAAGAGGTTTGTGGAGGCGAATTCTTAGGGAGTAAGAATGGTTTGGGAATCATGTAAAAGGCTGGGAAGATCTACATGAGCTGACAGAAAAGATGTTCATGCAGGACTCGGCAAGGGAAAAAGGAAGTTGCAGGAAATACATGCATGATGTGACACCATTTCTGGTCAAATAAATACCGTGCGGGTGTCTTTCCGTATGAATAAAACAGTAGGCAAGGCAGGACACACAGGCACTGTTGAGCAAGCAGGGTGCAGCTGGGGATGAGTGATGCCGAGTGTGGCTCCCTGCTCACTTGACTCACCCCCCTACTGTGTGAATTCATAGAGAGCACGACTCTCCTTACAATTTCCAGATCAATAGGGCTGGGCACGGTGGCTCGCTCCTGTAATCCCAGCACTTTGGAAGGCCAAGGCGGGTGGATCACTTGAGGCCAGGAGTTCGAGACCAGCCCGGACAACATGGTGAAAACCCATCTGTAGTAAAAATACAAAAAATTAGCCAGGCATGGTGCTGGGCACCTGTAATCCCAGCTATTTGGGAGGCTGAGGCAGGATAATCACTTGAGCCCGGGAGGTGGTGGTTGCAATGAGCCAAGATCGTGCCACGGTACTCCAGCCTGGGTGAGAGTGAGACTCTGTCTCAAAAAAGAAAAGAAAAGAAAAGAAATCAATAGAAAAATACAAGCGAAAGTGATGCCATAGACTTAAAAACCTAATGACACAGTTTCAAATTAGTATATAAAATTAAATTATACTCAATAACTCATTAATTTAGTAAAGTAGGTGGTAAAACAGCCTACAGAGTGATTCCATTTTTATACCATTTAGCGTTTGTGTGTGCATCTGTAAGCATGTATCTATCATCCATCTCTGTTTTGTCTTTCAATGATATCTATCTATCTATCTATCTATCTATCTATCTATCTATCTATCCACCTGTCTGTCTGTCTGTATTGATCTAGGGAAGAGGAAGAGCTTGGGATCTGCCTTTGTTTGCTCCCATATAAAAATGGGAACTGTGGTTTTCTGGATTCTTCTTTCAGTGCTTTTCTGCATTTAGATTTGTGCACAACGAGCATCTGGCACTTGTACACTTTTTACAAGCTCTTAGACCCCCCAGCTCCTGGGTGCAGGGCTGTCAGGCACCTCGGCAGGACTGAGAGTGGGAACACAGTCATCCTCCCGGTGCAGCCATGAGGGCAGCCATGGCCACTTAACCCCTGGGGCTTTTTGTGTCCACTGATGAGGGCAGATGCCACTCCTTGGCAAGCAGCTCACCCAGCTCATGCTCTCTCCGTACACAGGCTTAGGGTCCTGGGTCAGAAAGTAGCCTCTCAGTTCCCCCTCCTCCCTGCCAGAGATGGTTGAAGGTGGGGAGGAATGGGGTCTTTTGGGGAGAGCTTGTGGAATGAGAAGAGGATGAAGCTGACATGGTCAGGGACTTGCCATGTGGCAGGGGGAGGAAGGAGGAGTAATGGGGGGCAGGTGGAGAGGGGATAAAGGAAGAGGATGCCTCCTGCAGCCACGCTGGGAGCTGACCCTCTCCACCCATGCTTCGTGCACTCAGGCGCTCATCCAGGGATCATCCTGTACCTCAGACTCCGCCAAGAACTGTCCAGCCCCAGGGCCTTTGCAAGCGCTGGTTGCACTGCCTGGGATGCCCTCTCCCAGCTCACCACATGGCTGGCTCTTTCCCATTCATTGGCCTCAGCCCAGTGGCCTCCTTCTCGTCAGAGAGGCCGCCCCTGCCTGCCCTGGCTGGCCGGCTCCTCCCCTACAATGACTCTATGACATCATCATGTCCCTTCTCCTCGGAGTCCTCAGACCCTCCGAAATCCTCTGGTCTGTGTTTTGTTTCCTCTGTCTCTATCTCTCTCCCCACTAGAAGGCAGGCCCCAGGAGGGCAAGGACCCGGCCTGTCCAGCTCCCAGCCATAGCCCCAGGGCGGGACTGCAGTAGATGCTCAACAAGGCTTCTTTCCTCCCACCAGCCTCTCCTTCCCGCAGGGGCGACAGGACTTGGGGGTGTTGTTGGGGTCTAAACGACCCAAAGGAAAGAGACGCTGAAGTGGGTGAGCTGGCCTCGCACTGCACTTCCTGCTGGAGTTCAAAGTCAGCCCTGCCCCTGGAACTGCCATGGCCAGTTTAGATTGTTCCAGAATCCCGCTGCAGGCTGTTCAAAAGGCTCCCAGCTGCTATCAGGAAATAGCTCAGGAAGGTCTCCGTTAAACACTAAGAAACTGAGATGCAATCAGCTGGCCTGGAATTCAGGAAAGTGCTGGTTCTGAAATTGAGGACAGAAAGGACATGTCTCGGGGCGAGAAGATGTGAACCTGCCAACCAGCCTGTGTTCTTCTTCCACCTGTCCTGCCACGTGTTCTGCCACGTCCATGCCTCCTGTCCCGCCAACACCCCAGGAGTTGGCAGATTGGGACCCTACTCCGTGGGGAAGGGAACGCTCAGTGACTGCTGCCCCCTGCTCGCTGGCGTCCACCCGTAATCTCTCAGTTGTGGTCTCAAAGGCCAAACATGAACCAGGATTTTCCATTATGGTTGCAATTTTGGCTTGTAATTTTATCACTCGAATCTAAATCCACTTCAGAAATGCCATAAACTAATTGTCACTGAATAAACTGAAACTTTTGAGGAGTTTATAAAAGTGATTTAGTGGGAGAAAAAAAGGAAAATAGAAAACAAATGTTGCCCACAGAATTGTTGGCAAAAAGGTAAAAACTCTCTGTTTCTTTTGAAAGCATTCCCTCGTCTGGGAGCAATCCCTGCCCATCGTGGCTTTGGGGCCCAGTCCCTGAGATTGTGTTTGTCTTGGAGCTGGTGGGCTTGATTTCACGTTTGTCCCTGGGAAGCTGATTGAGGCAGCGTCGGCAGTGAGGGCAGGGGTAGGTTGCGTAGAAAGTAAATGGCCGCAGATCAGATCCAATCCTTATCCCACAGAATGAACCTTGTTTCCTTGATTAAAAATAATAATAATAACAAAATGAATGTTGGGGTTAAGTAAATGTGAGTTAATTACTAAGTTGTGACCACGTTCACAGTTTCTGAGGCTAAACACTTCAACGCTCCTTGTCAGTTTATGTTAGGCAATAATTTGAATGACTACTGGTTAGCTGTTTCACTTCATTCATATTAAGAAACAATATACAAAGGGTATAAAGTGATCAGCTCTGTTTACGCTGAGGAGGAGGGTTATAAAATCAGCTAACAGGGAGCAGGGCAGAGGGGAGAGTGCTCAGGGTTTTTGATGTGCTTCTGATGATCGTTTACGAAGGAAAATCTTTGGAGAAACTTTTAAATGTAGACACTCTGGGAACAGTGAAATGATGCAAAGCCCTCAACGGCATTTTCAGCATGGACCAGGGAGAGAGGAGAGAGTTTCCCTGGAACACACAGCTTGTCGATAAGAAAGAGCCTACAAAATACTCCAGGTCAAAAGGAGCGAGATCCAGGATCAGTTGAACTCCTGCAAGACCTGCCAGTGCCGAATTACAGCAATCTTGGTGCCTGCTGAGGTGGGAGTCAGGGAGGCTGTGGAATTCTGAGCTTCCTGGTTGGCTGAGGAGAGAGGGCTCAGGGGAGAGGTCTTCCTCCCACCACTGCCTTAGAGAAACCCCAAAACCTCATAGCTTCGAACCCCAGAATTCTCTGGTCTTCTGCAAAAATGCAGACATGCTGGTGTCAGGAATCAGCCTGGAGTCCCAGGAGCAGCATCTCACATCTTTACGGCAACACAAAACAAAGCAACACAAAAACAACAAATGCAAAGATATCTTCTTGAGGAGAGGCCTCAACTGAATGAGCAGGGAGGGGCGTGTTCCTTAAACCAGTGGTTCTCAAAAGGTGGTATCTGGACCAGCAGCAGCAGCAGTGCCACCTGGGTGCAGACCAGAGGATTCCAGAGCCCTGAGGGCTCCTAGAAGGAACACAGTGACATCACAGAGTCATTGTGGGGGAGGGGTTGGGCCAGCCAGGGCAGGCAGGGACAGCCCCTCTGATGAGGAGGCCACTGGGCTGAGACCAATGAATGAGATGGAGCCAGCCACGTGGTGAGCCAGAAGAGGGCATCACAGGTAGTGGGTCCAGCATGTGCAAAGGTCCTGGGGCAGGACAGTTCTTGGGGGTATTTGAGGTACAGGATGATCCCTGGATGAGCGCCTGGGTGCATGAAGCATGTGTGGAGAGTGTCAGCTCCCAGCGTGGCTGCAGGAGGGAGTTGTTTAATGAGTACTGAGTTTCAGCTCTGCAGGATGAAAGGAGTTTGTGTGTTAGAAATGCACATTCTCAGCCCCACCCCGGCCCCGTCACAGACCCTCCAGGGAACCCTCATGCAAGCCCAAGTCTGAGATCTGCTGCTCTCAACAACTGGGTGTTTCCCCAAGGGCCCCTCTGGGTGAATCTCAGATGTAGCGTGGGGAGAGAGGATACAGAGGCTGACCCCTGGCAAACTCTTCCCTCTGATACTCAGTGTTCAGGTCCATGAAATGGGCTCCCGAAGTCCAACCTCACAGACCCCATAGGAAAGCAGATGGAATCTCCAAGGGCACCAGCTATACATGGTGGTGGAAGGACCAACGCATGCTCTGAATGCCACTGCGGACCACAGGCCAGTGCCCTCCATGAGCCTGACCTCAGGCCTCAGTAATCGCTCCTTCTCTGTCCAACACGGGCCCTTTTTCTGTCCTCCTCTTTCTTTAGGCCTTTCTCTGTCCCTCACGACTGGCCTCACCCCGTCCTGGGCTCTGCAGAACTGGTGCATGGCTCTGCCAGGGGGTGAACCCTGGCTCTGCCCCTTTTCTGACTGAGGAAGCTGCTTGGCCTTTCTGTGTCTCAGCTGATCTCTAAAATGGGAGTGAAAATCTCTAAACTCATTGGCCGCAGTGAGAATTAGAGAAGACGCAGCACCCTGCTATATGCCTGGCATGGTTGCCGTCCGCCAACAGTGCCTACCAGTTATTATCAACCAGTCATGCTCTGAAACTCTCCACCCACCTAAACATGTGAGACCTCTGTGACACCCCCATCCTAGAGCTCCTTACGACCTCATTGGTTGAGCCCATGGATTCCTCTGTTTCTTAGATATCACCATTTTCCTTTCATGCGTGACTGTATAGAACCAGGTACCTGTAAACAGGAGCGTCTGCTCTGGAGCATCCTCTATTCTAATTTCTTAGCATCTCCCATTTGTGGTTTGCCATGAGAAATGAGCTTGTGGCTGTGGGCAGCCTCCCTGGGCTGTCTTCTTCCTGCTCATGTGGGATCAGGCTCGGAGCTGGAGGTCACTGCCTGCAGGGCTCCCCGGGAGAAGCACTGCACAGGATGCTCTGGGGTGATGAAAAGTTCCAGATTGGGCCATCCAGGGTTCCAGTCAGCAGCCATTAGCCACGAGTGGCTGTGCTCTTGAAGGGTGGCTCAGAAGCCTAAGAGCTGCATGTGTATCTTATGTGATCTGAATTGAAGTGTAAGCAGACACCTGTGGTGAGCAGCTTCCGAGGTGGACTGCAGCCCTGGGGAGTATCCCCCTGCTTCCAGGCTGTGCTCCCTGAGCCCCAAAGGTTCCAGCAGGTGCTTTCGGGGTTGCACCTTAGAGGCAGAAGGCAGGAAAGGTCGGTCGGCAGGGCTTTGTGGCCCCACCTTCTACAGAGCACGTGTGTCCTCATCCACGCACCATGCTGTTTGAAGAAAGCTTAGGAAAGGAATGATGAGACCCGTGACTTCAGTCAAGCCTTTGCTGAACATATAAGGAAACAGAGAGGGTCATGAAGTGGAAGGACTCACACAGCCACCCCTCCTTCAGTGGGGAAAGCGAGCCTGGGAACATGCTCAAGCCCCTTTGGGGTGGGGGGTGGGAAGATGGCGACAAGCAGTTCCTTGTGGACCCCGGTCCCTGACCCCACAGAGTGGGGACCCCAAGGGCAGTGAGGGGCAGAGTGAGTTTGTACCAGGCACTGGGACCCCAAGCTCCCTCTCTCTGGCCATGGCTGTGGGGGTCCCCAAGTGGAAGTGGAAGAGGGAAACTGAGGAAAACAAAATGGTCCTGCTTGAGAGAGGGAACATGGGCTGCTTTCTCCTCCCCCACCAGCTAGTCCAGTGAGCCTCATCTGTTCTCACGCTACTAATAAAGACATACCTGAGAATGGGGAATTTATAAAGAAGGAGGTTTAATGGACTCACAGTTCCACATGGCTGGGGAGGCCTCACACTCATGGCAGAGGACAAAGGAGAGGCAAAGGCAGGTCTTACATGGTGGCAGGCAGGAGAGCTTGTGACAGGGAATTCCCATTTAAAAAACCATCAAATCACGTGAGACTTACTCACTACCATGAGAACAGCATGGGGGAAACCACCTCCATGATTCAATGATCTCCACTTGGCCCTGCCCTTGACATGCTGGGATTATTACAATTCAAGGTGAAATTTGGGTGGGGACACAGCCAAACCGTATCAGAGCCTTTGAGATGTGTCGAGGCTGCCACCCCAGCTGAATTCATCAGCAGGACAGGAAGGGGGCTGGGAAGGGCTGTAACTTTCTTGCTCTGTGATCCAAGCTGAGACAGAAATGTTTGTTGAAAGGGGCTGGGGTCAAACAAGCCTGGGTTCAAATCCTGTCCCACCCTTGCTTGTTCTGTGACCTCGGAAGTCAGTTCCCCTCTCTGAGCTTCCTTTGTCTCATCTGTAAAATGGGGACAAAATATAAAATGTAAAAATACAAACCAGGAAGTTGGAAGTCATACACTTTCTGATTTCAAAAGTTACTAGAAAACTATGACAATCAAAACACTGTGGTCCTGACCTACATACAGACAGATAGACCAATGGGACAGAACACAGAGCCCAGAAAGAAGCCCTTTGACTTATTTGACATTCAAGTGTCTTGAGCCAAGACCCTTCAGTGGGGAAAGGGCAGTCTTTTCAAAAAATGGTATTTGGAAAACCAAATACCACACGCAGAAGAATGAAGTTGAGCCCTTCTCTTACACCAGATACAAAAAATTAACTCAAAAAGGATCAAAGGCATTACCATAATAACTAAATGTAAAAAAACTACAAAACTCTTAGAAGAAAACATAGGGGGAAAGCTTCACAATGTTGGACTCGGCAGTGGCTTCTTGGCCACGACACCCAAGAACAGGCAAGAAAAGGAAAAACAATTAAATCCATGCAAACACGTGTGCACAAATGTCCTCAGAGCGCTATTCCTAACAGCCAAATGCTGAGAGCAACGAAAATGTTCATTGACAGGAGAATGGATAAACAAAACGTGGTCCATCCATACAGTGGAATATTATTCAGCCTTAAAAAGGAAGGAAGTTCTGACACCTGCTATGACATGAGTGAGCCTTGAGGATATGGTGCCGAGTGAAACAAACCACTCATAAAAGGACAAACATTGTATAATTCCACAGACATGACTTGCCTAATGTCAGCAAATTCTCAGAGATAGAAAATAGCAGGTGGCGGAGGGCTGCTCAGGGTTACGGGGATGGGGGTGGTGTTTAACAGGGACCTTCCTGAGCTATTTCCTGATAGCAGCTGGGAGCCTTTTGAACAGCCTGCAGCGGGATTCTGGAACAATCTAAACTGGCCATGGCAGTTCCAGGGGCAGGGCTGACTTTGAACTCCAGCAGGAAGTGCAGTGCGAGGCCAGCTCACCCACTTCAGCGTCTCTTTCCTTTGTGTTGTTTAGACCCCCAAAAACACCCCCAAGTCCTGTCTCCCCTTGTGGAGGAAAGGCTGGTGGGAGGAAAGAAGGCTTGTTGAGTATCTACTGCACACCCGGCCCTGGGGCTACGGCTGGAAGCTGGACAGGCCGGGTCCTTGCCCTCCTGAGACCTGCCTTCTAGTGGGGAGAGAGATAGAGACGGAGGAAACAAAACACAGACCAGAGGATTTCAGAGGGTCTGAGGGCTCCGAGGAGAAGGAACACGATGATGTCATAGAGTCATTGTGGGGGAGGGGCCGGCCAGCCAGGGCAGGCAGGGGCGGCCTCTCTGACGAGAAGGAGGCCACTGGGCTGAGGCCAATGAATGGGAAAGAGCCAGCCATGTGGTGAGCTGGGAGAGGGCATCCCAGGCCGTGCGACCTGCGCTTGCAAAGGCCCTGGGGCCGGACAGTTCTTGGCAGAGTCTGAGGTACAGGATGATCCCTGGATGAGCGCCTGAGTGCACGAAGCATGGGTGGAGAGGGTCAGCTCCCAGCGTGGCTGCAGGAGGGGGTCGTGTAATGAATACTAAGTGCCAGTTCTGCAGGATGGAAACAGTTTTGAAATTGGACGGTGGCGATGGTGGTGCGATAATGCGAATGGACCCAATGCCACTGAAATATTCACTTTAAAAAAGTTAAAATGGCAAGGTTTACATTAACTAGACTTTGCCATAATAAAAGAAAAAGGAAAAAATATAATAACTGTGTGAAGTTGAGATGAAATGATGCAACTAATAATTTAGTTTGGTTAGCAAAGAGTAGGCACTCACATAGTTCAATATAACCATCATTATGACGGTACCCTGTCAGTGCTGGGGGATGCTTTATGAGGGAGGTGGAAGACGAGGAGGAGGCGGAGAGAGAAAGAGAATCAGCTTCTGTTATCCACAGCAGGATGCCTCTGGAGTTGTTTGAAGTAGAAAGGTAGTCCATGTGATCCCGTTTATATTGTAATATTGCTTGAGTAGGTCTTTAAAATTACAAAGTACTAGATAGAGCTAACTCAGCCCAGTCCTAATAATCACGACTCCTTGAGTATCTGTGAGGCTTCTGGTACGTTCTCTACAGTCCCAACATTGGGACCGACTGAACCATGTGTTGCACATTAAATCCAGGGTCCGGGACACCTCCCAGGCCACCTCTGTCATTTCACAAGTGCCAGGCCATCTTCTCAGTGCTTGTGAGCATCCCTTCACACTCAATCCTTCCCACACACCTGCCAAAGGGAAGGAGGCAGGAACCACCTACGGATGCCAAGAAACAGGCGGCATGGTCCTCCCGCCCTCGAGGCTGTTACCACCTGGAACACCCCACCCCAAAAGTAAGACCACCTACCATCTGGGCTTCTGTCTCACACAGGATATAGCCTCTCAGTGGCCAACTGTTTTTAATAAGGGTCTGCCAGTTCTAATGATATTGCACAGACACGGGGAAGGGGAGAGAGGAGACAGGACTTTGTCATGAGCTGTTCATCCCTCCAACAGCAGTGCTGGTGTCACGGCTGATGGGCAAAATTCCTACAGATGCCTTCTCTTAGAAACTCACTTCCCTCTGGAACCAGACGCAGGCTTCTCCAGGAAACAGCTCACTACCTGACACAATCCCCAACCCCCCTCTGTCTTCTTTTCCCTTTTGCTTGGGAGAGCGTTTTGGGCCACTGCCAAGAGAGAGAGACCTTAGGCTGCGCACCGAGTCCAGGCATCTATGTTTACTAAGGAACCAAGAGTCCCTCTCTTGAAAAAGAAAGAGAAGAGAATTTTTTTTTCTTTCCTGTGAAAGCCATTGCTGTGGCTAGGGCCATCAGAAGCGTACTCGCTTTATCTAAAGCCCCCAGAGGGCCTGCATAGCCCACTTTGCTTCTCCATGGCATAAGGGAACTCCTCAGGCACCCTGGGCTTTTCCTCTGGCCTGAAAC
The DNA here is from genome assembly GCF_000001405.40 of Homo sapiens. Lineage (NCBI taxonomy): Eukaryota > Metazoa > Chordata > Mammalia > Primates > Hominidae > Homo > Homo sapiens. The sequence goes on along the minus strand of NC_000016.10, from coordinate 86,344,004 downwards.
AAACTCCTGCTGTCCATGCAGATCTGGACTGTCACCCAATCCCCTGTCTGCTGAGACCCCTAATAGGATATCTGGCAGTGAGAGACGGCATCTGATCTTATCAGCTTCTTCTCTGGCAAGCCTGGCTCCACCAAAATAACTTTTATCTGGAAATAAAATAATGCAATTAATGTCCTGACTGTCTGATACCCTCTCGAGTGATCTCAGCTCTGATGATTTCATGGGGGGCCCCCTGTCTGCTAATTGCCCAGAGCATTTATTAAGTCAAAGGCATTTGGTTGGAAAACAAAGCCAGTGAGTGAACAAGGATCTTATGCAATGAAATGAATACACAGCACAGGGTTTTTTTTTTTTTTTCGTTTTCTCTTTCTCTATTTGGATCTAAAATGGCTCCGTTCCCCGCACCCCACCCCTTCCCGGGGCAGGAAAAGTGCATGCCCCTCGCAAGCGTCGTGACTGCATTTACGTCACCTAGGAATTTTCTTTTTCTGGCTTACTCTCTGGCATCACCCGGCCGAGAGGCTCCAGGAAAATCGTAAACCCTGTTGAATGGCACCGCAGTAACGGCCAGTCCCATCGCAACATGCTGTGCTTTTTGTCTTGTAATGTCAAAATGAACTTGGCCGGGAACCTGAAGCCGCCAGCTGTGTGCCAGCTTGGCTTTCCGTGTTTCTGATGGGGGGTGGGCTCCAAAGTGGGGAGGACTGAGCAGGCCCCAGCAAGCTCGCTCCGGGACCTTGGGGGGCTCAAATCAGGCTGCCCGGCATGGGATTGTCTCGACGGCTCCGAGAGCCCATCCAGAACCTTCTTATACTCACGTAGGGCTGGTGCAGCGCACACAGGAAGCCCTGGATCCAGATGAACTCAGTCTGCCTGCCTCTGCCAGGAATAGCTGTGTGACCTTCAGGGAAGCAGTTTGTCTCTCTGGGCTTTAGTTTCCTTGTCTGTAAAATGAGGAGAGACTGGAATGGGTTAGGAGTTTTTAGCTCATCTCATCCTGGGACCTTATTTTCTAAGGAAACCTTCCCAAGATGTGTCCTTTGTAAAATAGAAAACAGTTGAGATCTTCTGCTTGAAGCAGACGGCTGGTACCTCAGTCCCAACTGCTAAGTGCTCCTGGCTTCTTTTCCAGGAAGATTCTGGGGGTCAGACCACCAAATGCTCTCTGAGGGGAATTTCAAGCTTGTGCTTCTGTGTTCTACGATTTGCCAAAACCAGCTTCATTCAATCAGTCAATCTGTATCTATTGATCCACCTATATCAAGCTTGTCCAACCCAAGGCTCTAGGGCCACATGTGGCCAAGGAGAGCTTTGAATGTGGCCCAACAGAAATTCCTAAACTTTCTTAAAACATTATGAAATTTTTTGTCATTTTCTTTTTTTAGCTCATCAGCTATGGTGAGTGTTAGTGTATTTTAGGTATGGCCCAAGACAATTCTTCTCCTTTCCATGTGGCCCAGCCAGAGAAGCCAAAAGAGGACACCCCTGATGTATATCTCCTACCTAGATATCAACTAGGCTTGCCCTTATTTATCGCCAAACTTCAACATGTCTGAGAGTCCCCCAGAGACTTGTTCAAACATGGACTTCCGGGCCCCACCTCTGCAGTTTCTGATTGATTGGGGTCTGGGCTGTGGATTTCTAGCAAACTCCCAGATGAGACCGATGCTGTGGTTCCAGCTCACCCCCTGGGGATCCCCAAATCCTCTTCCATATTTGCTCACAGAGAGGGTTTCTTCACCTTGATTTTAGATATTTGAGCAGAAACTAAAGTGTGAAGGACAAGAACGGTGCTCTCTATTTCCGACATGCACAGAGAGGAATAGTCAGAAGGGATTGTGTCCAGTTTTGAAGGCTCTGTGCTGCCCTTTGGGGCCCAAAAGCATTTGCGTCATGGGATACTTGCATTTACTAAACTAATCTTTTCTCTTACAATTAGGGCATAAAAGTCTGACTAGTTGTAGTTAATCTGATTAACACACCCTACAGCCCAGTTCCATCCCATCCTGGGTGAGCAGCTAGTGGAATTCTCACACATCCATAAGGGACATGTGCCTCCATGTCCCTCATGGTGTCGTTTATGATGGTGAGAGCTGAGGAGCTTACCACTGGGACAGTGGACAGTACAGCGTGGGGCGCCCCCCATGGAGTGAGGGGTGCCAGCTAGGGACAGTGCATATGGACCCAATACAGTGGGTGTGTCTTAATACCTTGCTGAGGGTTGGGGTGGGGTGGGGAGGGGAGAAAAATAGAACGAAATATCTAACACAAGACCATTTATGCAAATTGTTTCCACACTAAGAGCACCCTTTAGACCCGTTGGAACCGTTGCCCACAGGCAGAGAAGGAATGGGAGTAGGAAACCCTCAGGAGGGGGCTGGAGAAATAAAACGAGAGAGGGGTTCCGTCGGGCCAGGGACGAAAATGGTGCACCAGCAGCCGAGGGCTGCCGTTTGTTGGCCGTCTGCACCTGAGGTAAGAAACCAGCACAGAAAAAGTGGAAAAATTAAAATGTGCGTCTTGGGCATCCACAGACAGCACTAACGACTTCTTTCCCTCCAGCCTCTTTACCTTTGTTAACCTCACATTGCCTGTTCTCATCACAGCAGGACAACTAAGCCCTGGCTCCGTCCTGGCGCCCGCGCTCCCTGTGTGTCCACAGTGGCCGGGGAACTTGGGGGCATGGCCAGTGGAAAATTAGAGAAAAGAATGACTCATCTAGGTTCCTTTTTCCTTTGTTCTCATTCCCCTCATGATCAGGGATGACTGTGGCTAATTTCCTTTGTGCGGTTTTAGGGCAAAGTCGGTTTGTAGTGAACTCACGCACGGTTCACGGACCTGGCTACATCAGTTGCAATCAAGGCACTTGTTTAAAAAACCAACACAACCACTAAATTCCCAGGGTCCACTCCATACCAGATTCTCTGGGACGGGGGTTAAAGAATCTGCAGGTGTGTGTGTGTGTGTGTGTGTGTGTGTGTGTGTGTGTGTGTGTGTGAAGTTTCCTTAAGTTTTCCAGGTGTTGGGGATGAAACCCAAGTGGGAGCTGGGCTTGTGCCCCCAACCTGTGCACTCTGCAGGTGCTGAGATGGGGCTCCCCTGCGCCCCCTGGTGGTGAGGACGAGGGGCGCGCCGCTCTCCCGGATGGGAGAGCCCAGCCTGGGGGCAGGTAGGAGCCCCACAGAAACCAGGTCTGCCATGACACCAGCTGGATGGGGCGAAACCACCACTCCACTGCAAGAACATTCGAGACCTTGTTTTTTTTTTATGCCGCCGTGTATTTCACTGCCACAGGCATTATCTCCTTCAATCTCATTTGTCTTCCACTGGTGCCTTTCCAGAGTCCCGAGGAGTGATTTTTATGGTGGAATTTAAGCCCCGTGTCAGGATATTAGGGAGATGCTTTGCGGGAGACACTGTTTCTCCCTTTCCCTCACATCTGTTCAAGCCTATGCTCAGGCCAAGTTCCCTGATCCCACATCACTGCGCAGAGGCCTCCCTGGTGAGGCCTAAGAAACAGGACAGTGATTGTGCCGACATCTTGGCTAATGGGAAGGCACCAGTGCTCCATGGGAGAGAGGCTTCTAAACGTCTTGTCGCAGGGGCTAGATCACTACTACGTTGTTTGTTATGTCCAAAAATATGCAGAGACTCCACATGAGCCAGGGCAGTGCTGGGGGCAGGTATTCACCCATGGGTGAGCAGACATGGCCCTGCCCTCCGGAAGCTTAGAGTCTACTGGGGAAATGGTCAAATAACCACACAAACAGATCATTAGAATTGGAAGGTCTGATGAAGTTTAATCTGAGACCTGAAGGTGAGGAGCTGGCTACAGTGATAGCTGGGAAAAGAGCACCTGGGAGGGAATAGCATATTTGAAGGCCCTGTGGCAGGCCTTCAAGTGGAGTGTGGCTGCAGCAGAGGCTGGAGAGGGAGGTGGGGCCAGGCCAGCATGGCTCAGAGTCCACAAGGAGGACCGGAGATCTGCTCTGTGAGCCCCAGGGTCATTGGAGGGGACTCAGTGGGGAGTGGCGTAATCCCATTTGTACTATTCTTTTTCCTGATCTAATAAATGCACGTGGTTAAGAAAGATCAAATAATCCTCAACAGCCTTTCATGGAAAACACACTGTCGATGGGAATGTAAATTAGTGCAGCCGCTGTGGAAAGCAGTTTGGAGATTTCTCAGAGAACTCAGAACTTCCATGTGAACCAGCAATTCCATCACTGGGTATAGACAGGAATAGACACACATGCATGTGTGTGTTCATCGTGGCACTATTGACAATAACAAAGACGTGGAATCAACCTAAACGCCTATTGACAGTAGACTACAGAAAATGTGGTATACACGCACTGTGGAATACTATGCCACCATAACAAGAATGAGATCATGTCCTTTGCTGCAACACGGGTGCAGGTGGAGGCCATTAGCCTCAGCAAAGTAACACAGGAACGGAAAATTAAATACAGCATGTTCTCACGTATAAGCGGGAGTTAATGATGAGAACATATGGACCCACAGAGGGGAACAACAGACACTGGGCCTCCTCAAGGGTGGCGGGTAGGAGGAGGGTGAGGATGGACACACTGCCTAGCAGGTACTATGCTGATTACCTGGGTGAAGAAATAATCGCACACCAGCCCCCTGCGACATGCACTTCACCCACATAACAAACCTGCACATGCACCCTCTGAACCTAAAATAAAAGTTGGGAAGAAAATGAAAACACCGGCTTCCTGCTTTACTCCTCCCCATGCCCAGTGCCACTCTCCAGAGCAACTATTTTGGGTTTTTTTGTTTTTGTCTGTTGGTCCTCAACTGTGTATTTTCACTCTCCTCATTAAAGTAGAGAATATTTGTCATCATTAAATGAATGAATGAATGGACTCCCACCCAAAACCCACCTGGGCAAGCTCAGGAAGAATGTCTGGAGGCCTGGAAGACTGGGGGCAGCCAGCAGCCTCCCTGCTGAGCGGTTCCAAGCACTGCCCATTGGCATGTGGGAAAGGGCACCTGGTGTATAAGTAGGAGCGCTGCCACCTCTTGGGGGCTGAATGCCAGAGGGGCAGAGGGAGCTGTGGGTCCCATGAGGTCTGGTGTCTGAAGCCCATGCTGGGACAGGTGGGCTGTGCCAGGTGAGGTGGTTCAGGTCCTACCCTCTCTTTGCAGGGCTTGAGTCTGGGGGAGCCTGGCTGCCCAGAGGTGGCAGATGACATGAAGAAATAACCATGTAAGGGCTGGCTGTGTATGAGGTAAGGAGAAAGGAGATGGGGTTGGGGAGGAGGGGGACTCAGAGGAGGGAGGGAATGGAAGAGCAAACATCATGGCTTCCTCGTCTAGAGCAAGCATTGGGAAGGATGAATGCCAACTATGTTCCAGGAACTTCCACTGTTCTCACACACCCAGGTGAGTGGTGTTCAGGTGGGTGGCACCCAGGTGAGTGACATCCCAGTTGAGTGGCACCCAGGTGAGTAGCATCCAGGTGAGTGACACCTAGGTGAGTGACATTCAGGTTAGTGGCGTCTGTGTGAGTGGCATCATCCAGGTGAGTAGCTTCCAGGTGAGTGGCACCCAGGTGAGTGGCATTCGGGTGAGTGGCATTATCCAGGTGACACCTGGGTGAGTGGCATCCAGGTGAGTGATATCATCCAGGTAAGTGGCACCTAGGTGACATCCAGGTGAGTGACGACATCCAGGTGAGTGACATCATCCAGGTAAATGGCACCCAGGTGAGTAGCATTCAGGTGAGTGACACCCAGGCGAGTGGCATCCACGTGACTAGCATTGTCCAGGTGCATAACACCCAGGTGAGTGGCACCCAGTTGAGTGGTGCCCAAGTGAGTCACATCCAGGTAAGTGGGGTCCAGGTGGTGGCACCCAGGCGAGTGGTGCCCAGGTGAGTGACAGCCAGGTGAATGGTGTCCAGGTGAGTGGCATCACCCAGGTGAATGGTGTCCAGGTGAGTGGCATCCAGGTAAGTGGTGTCCAGGTGGTGGCACCCAGGTGAGTGGTGTCCAGGTGAGGGGCATCACCCAGGTGAATGGTGTCCAGGTGAGTGGCATCCAGGTGGGTGGTACCGTCGACGTGACAATAGCTAAAAATTATTGGGCTCATTGTGGACAGGCACTGTGCCGAGCTTGACATCACTGAACTCAGTTCATCCTCGCCAGGAGCTTGTGGGCCGTCCCTAGATCAGAATCCGAGGAGAAAGGACTTCCACACGGCAGCCAGCGAGCTGGAGGGCGGCCTCCTGCCACCACCAGGCTCCCTAACCCAGTCCTGGATATCTGTGAAAGAATGAGTGGATCCCCACAGGCCAGGTGGGCGGGGACGGAGGGCTATTGTTTCCTGGGACAAACGTGTGTGGGGAGCTGAGTGTTTCTCCTTTCTCAGCCCTGACTTCCCACAGCTATCCCCAAACACACTCGTTTACACTGAAGCACCAGGAGATCAGAACCTTCTGGAATCTTAATATGCGAGGACTCGGTGGAGAAGGCGGCACTGAAGAAGAGTCGTCCCTAGGCCAGGCTGGAGGGAAACTCAAGACGGCGGCCTGGCCCTCCTGGGTGGCGGAAGTGGGAGCAGCAGGAGCCCTGGCGGATCCGGGAGGCCAGAAGAGCGGAAGCTTCCTCCCCTCTCAGGTGCGTCTCAGCCTCTGCTGGCAGCGCTGTGCCCCACTCCCCGCCCCTGCATCTCCTAGCTCAGGAAATGAGCCCCCGGGTGTCACCCCCTGAATCTCCCAGCACGGCCTTAAGGCCCGCACAACCTTCAGTGTCTGGGGTCAGCCTGCAGCGGGTCAGGGGTTTGCTTCCTGCAGCCCAGGCTGAACCCCCTCTGCGTGGGGATGAGGAGGCTGAGCCCCCTCTGCGTGGGGATGAGGAGGCTGAGCCCTCTCTGCGTGGGGATGAGGAGGCTGAACCCTCTCTGCGTGGGGATGAGGAGGCTGAACCCTCTCTGCGTAGGGATCAAGGGGCTGAACCCTCTCTGCGTGGGACTGAGGAGGCTGAGCCCTCTCTGCGTGCGGATGAGGAGGCTGAGCCCTCTCTGCGTGGGGATGAGGAGGCTGAACCCCCTCTGCGTGGGGATGAGGAGGCTGAACCCCCTCTGCGTGGGGATGAGGAGGCTGAACCCCCTCTGCGTGGGGATGAGGAGGCTGAGCCCTCTCTGCGTGGGGATGAGGAGGCTGAGCCCTCTCTGCGTGGGGATGAGGAGGCTGAACCCCCTCTGCGTGGGGATGAGGAGGCTGAGCCCTCTCTGCGTGGGGATGAGGAGGCTGAGCCCCCTCTGCGTAGGGATCAAGGGGCTGAACCCTCTCTGCGTGGGACTGAGGAGGCTGAGCCCTCTCTGCGTGCGGATGAGGAGGTTGAACCCCCTCTGCGTGGGGATGAGGAGGCCGACCCCTCTCTGCGTGGGGATGAGGAGACCGAACCCTCTCTGCGTGGGGATGAAGGGGCTGAGCCCTCTCTGCGTGGGGATGAAGGGGCTGAGCACTCTTTGCGTGGGGATGAGGAGGCTGACTCCCCTGTTGCTGTTCCCTGTGGCTTGGGGGCCCAGGCTCCCCATGGAGGCCGAGGGCTTCCAGCCCAGCGGAGACTGGAATAGGTTCTGCTGTCCCCACAGGAGGAAGCAGACAGAAGATGAAAAGGGGTGGGAGACAGGCAGGGGAAGGGAAGGGAGAGAAAGAGGGAAAGCACAGAGCAGAAGGAGACCGGGAGGGAGGGACCCTGTGCTCAGATCCTACTCAAAGTTTGCAGACAACTCACTGCCGTCCACCCTTCCCTGAAAAGCTTTGCAAAGATGAGGGGGTTGGCTGGTTTCAGAGTAGAGGTTTATGAGGAAAGGGTGATAAAGGCTTTAACAGTCACCAGGTCCCAGGGTGTTCGCCCTTCATAAGCCTGTGTGCTGGGAGGGATGGCAAGTGGGCCAGAGGCCCTTTTGTCTCGGGAACACAGGCCCTTGGAAGTCTAGCAGGAAAAGGCGGCTCCCAGGAGACCATCTATTCACATTCATCGGAAATGGCAGCCACTGGCCCAGAGGCCGGGGAGGGTGGGTGGAGGGAGCAAGGGGCGGGGCAAGGATGAATCATTCATTCATTCATTCATTCATTAGGCCAGCAAATATTTCTTTAGCAGCTACAGTGCATTCCAGGCCCTGGTCTCTATGCGGGAGAAGCCAGCAAAGACCCTGTCCTCAGGAAGCTTCCATTTCAGTGCGGGAGGACCCACAATCCATGAGGCCCCGGGCCTGCGGGTGTCAAGTCCTGCGAAGGAAAATAAGGCAGGGAAACAGGCTGGAGACTGCGGGTGCTGCGTGATGTTGTTTAGGTAGGGCCTGAAGGGAGGGAGGGGTGGCCACTACTGGATCCCCAGATCTCCGCACTCCTGCAGAGACAAGAGGAGCCAGTGCAGAGATGGTGCCGTGGCCAGAGGTGCAGGGGCCATCCAGGGGCAGGCAGGAGGCCGGAGTGGACGCAGCGAGGGGGAGGGGCAGGTGGGATTGGCTCGGGGAGGCCTTGGGCCCTGTTAAGAGCCTCAGATTACACCTGGCTGAGTTGGAAGCTGTTGGAGGGTTCGGAGCAGGGCCGAGATGGGACCCAACTCAGGTGTTAAAGAATCACATTGGCTGCTGTGTTAGAACTGACCAGTGGCAGGCCAGGCGCTAGCAGGGAGGCGCGTTCTGGGCTACTGTGATGACCCAGGTGACAGAGGGTGGCACCAGGACCTGCACAGAAAGTAGAGAAGGTGGTAAAAAATAAATATACAAAGTATGCAAATATATGTATAGATATGTAATTACATATTAATTATATATAAAATCTAACATATGTATATTAATTATATAAAAAATTATATATGTAATTTGCAGAGAAACTTATTTTGTATTCCTTCCTAGACAGGGATCCTTGGGAGATACAGGTTTGTCCATTTTGGCCGAGAAAGAACAGCCCCTGACCCATAGCAATCCTCTTTCAGTAACTGTTGAAGAAACAAAAGCCATTTCTTAGCAGGAAGCTGAGACCCCAGAGGCTGAAATTTCACTCAGACCCAGGAGAGCCAGAGTCCGGAGAATCCCCCTGGTCTCCGCCCCTCAATCCCAAAGTGAGGGTCTTTCTCAGGGTCCCTGGAAGAGCTGGTGGGAAAGCGGTTTATGAGTTTCTGAGTGCCGTCCCTTGCTCTGGGCAATGTCCTCTGAGATAAGAGACTCTTAAAATGGAAAGGACAAGCCACTCAAGGCTCTCCTCCCGAAGAGATGGGAACCATCCCTTCCCCATCCCCGTCTTCCCTCCTCCCAGGCCCCCTCTGACCCAGGCCCCCTCTGTACCGGTTCCCCCGCTGTGTGCACCCAGCCTCCTCACAGTGGCCTTCACTGAGCCCCACCCTGGGTTAGGGGCAGTCAGGCCCTGGGAATTCACAGAAGATAAGGCGGTCCCTGCCCTGCTCATCCCAGCCCAGGAGTCTGGCAGACTCATCAAGTGAAACCATTTTCTGTGCCTTCTGCCTCTGTTTTGGGAACTTAATATGCATCATGATAAAAGTGACTGTGATAGCAAAACACCCTTTAAAACACCCTTTAAAGATTGCATGTTGAAATACAACAAAAATACAGACAAGTATGCAAATCACAGGCATGCAGCTTAGTGAATTTTTGTGAAATCATCCCTGCCCTGGAGCCAGCCCCTCAGCCCAGAGGCTCCGGTGCCCCTCCTGGCTGCCACTCCCACCTCCTGATAACGCCTGTGACGCCCCAGCCAATGAGGGAGGCAGAACTACTACGAGTGGTGTGGAATAACAGATTTATGACAGGGATTTAGACCCTCCGCAATTGTGGGAGGAACTAGGGGGGTTCAGAAGCAAGTTCCTCCCCAAGGAGGCTTCCAGAAACATCAGTGAGTGCAGCTTGCAGGGAAATCCAGAAAGCCGGCTGGCACGTGGAGAATGGGGACGGGAGGCAGTGGAGGGGTCTGCGGGGCACAGCTGCTTCTGTGACTGGTGGTCCCTGGGTCACTGGTGGTCAGTGAGGCTTACAGTTGGGGAGACAGGGAGAACAAGAGCAAGTTGTCATCAATCAGCACCTCCTTGCCTGTCTCTCCCCAGGACAGCCACAAGGACTTTCGGGGGTCGTGGCAGCTGCTCCACTTCCAACTTCCAGATCCCTCTCACTTTCCTCTTCCCACCAACTCCAACCTGGGACCAAGCAGGGGAAAGCAGCTGCAGCCCAGCTTGACGCCCCTGCAAATGGAGACCTGTGCACCTGGTTGTGAGCATTTTAAAGGGTGTCACACAGGGCATACCCTTCGGTGCCTGGATTCCTTTGGTAAGTGTTATATTAGGGAGACGCACCCTTGCTGTTGTGTGTGGCAAGATTTGTGCATTCTCATTTTTCCATGATATTCCTCTGCATACCTATCCCATAATTCACTGATCCATCCTAGTGTTGAAAAGCATTGAAGGAGTTTCTGGTCATTGGCTGTTACAAACAGTGATGCCCGAATGCTCTGGTGATGGTCCTTTTGTGGACGTGGACACATTTTTCTTGCAATTGTGCCTAAATGTGGAATCTCCAGGTGGGAGGCTGTGCTCATATTCAGCTTCAGTAGAGAGTTCGTGTCCCATGGGAGCTGCACCCCCGATTATGTTTCCTGTTGCAAGCCCTTTTTACTCCTGGTCTTGGGTTCAAATGTTGATTCCCTTCCTTTCTAGCCATTTGACCTGGAACCATCTAGGTAACCATGCAGAGCAACAATTTCCTGCTTATCTGTAAAATAGGGATAAGAATAGTACCTCCCACCCGGGTCCCTGTAAGGAAATGCGGCAGTCCAGGAAAATTGCTTAGAATAGTGACTGTCACGTACAAATTCTCAACATATTAGGTGTTATTACTCTTTTTATTTATAATAATAATGATGGCCTTATCAAATTATTTGGAGGCAATCTGACTTTATCTGTAATTTGCATAGATGAAAGGGCAAAGCCTTGAACCTAAGTCATCTTCGAGTCCTCAGCACTTCACCCAGAGCCTGGCACACAGTAGGAGCACAGAAAGGTTTGTTGCATGGAATTAAGCACTCACGCTGGAGAGTGGATGTTCTTTGCTCAGTGCACTCAATCCCTCCCACAGCACAGCACACACCACAAGGATCGTGCCCCACAGACACATGGGGAAGACTGGGTGCAGAGTCTTAATCTTGACTCCCGTTTGCTGAGGCTCTCAATGTCTCAGGAAACCCTTAGATAACCTCATTTAATCCTCACAACAACCCGGCAAGGTGGGCTATGGACCCCCGGTTGATGGATGACGAACCCCCCCATCCCCTGTCCCCCAGGTTTACATCCAGCAGGAGTTGGCCCTGAGCTCTGAGTCCAGATCATTGCTCTTGGCTGAAGCAGCCTGTCTACTCACAAAGATGAGCATGGTCCCTGCCACGAGGAAACTCGTGGTCCTGTGGACTGCGGTGTGGAGGGAAAGCTTGGGATTCTGAGCCTGATAATGCACCATTACATCCCCACTCACTCGGGCTGTGTGAACCCAGCAAGTCACAGGATCACTGGGTGGTGAAAGAAAGAAACACTCACAGAAGCGTCTGTGCTTGGAGAGCCATCTGGTCCGTCATTGTGACTGCTGCTCTCATTGCTATCATGGGTGTCACCATTGCCATCACTCAAGGACTTCTCTCCAGGCCCCGAAGCCAAGCTGGTGCCTGGTTCCTCTGGGTTGGGAGAGGGGCTGGGCATGGACAGGAGGAGGGAAAAGGGACCTGTGCTAGCAGGTGATGCCATCCAAGACATCTGCATCCTAATCCCTGGAACCTGGGATTCCACTAGGTGCCATGGCAAAGAGGGATTAAGGTGGCAGGTGGAGTGAAGGTTGCTAATCAGCCGACCTTAAAGTAGGGAGATGATCCTGAATGAGACAAAAGAGAGAACCAGTCATGGTGTCATGAGAAGGACTCAAAATGCAACTGCTGACTTTGAAGATTAAGGGGCTACAAACCAAGGAACGTGGTAGTCTCTGGAAAAGACAAGGAATAGACGCTGCGTTGGGGCCACCAGAAGGAACCAGCCCTGTCAACACCCTAATTTTAGCCCAGTGAGGCCTGTGCTGGACTTCTGACCTCCAGAACTGTAAACTAATAAATGTGTGTTGTTTCTGCCACTAGATTTGTGGGAATTTGTTAGGGCAGGCATAAGAAACTGATACTGTGGTATTCCCTGCTGTGTCCCCAGGACCTCGTGGCCAGTAGGCTCACAAAAAATATCTATTTAATGGACAAACATCGTGAAGGAAATGCTTTTCTGTGAGCCTACCGTGTGCCAGTTTTTTGACACTGTGTGAGTTGTCAGATTCAGCAAATAAAAATACAGAATGCCCAGGTAGAGTTGAATTTTAGATAAACAACACACCACATTTATAAAAGTATGTTTCATGCTATTGTAAGAAACGTTTATTATTACTTGAAATGCAGATGTACCTGGGCGTCCTTATTTCGTCAGGCAACCCGTGCGGTCCCTTCCCAGATAACCCAGCAAGCCTCAATCCGTAGCCAGAAGGGAGAGCGGAAGTTCGACAGCAGACCCCATGCCCTTGCTTCCGCCCTGATGCACCCTGCAACTTCCCAAAGTGGTGGGTAATGAGCCAAACACCTCATCAAAGGGTCCTCCATGGGACAGGCAGGATGCACCACCTCCCATCAGGTCCCTAGATGCTTGGAGGAAGCACATTTGAGGGGCATCTTCCTTGAGCTAAAGCTGAGACCATCCGATCTCTGATGATTCTACGGGGCAAAGCCCTCTCCGCTCCTTCCAGAGGAACGGAAAGGATTCAAGTGGGATCCACGGTCAGATAGCGAGGGCCTGGGGCAGGCCTTGGTCGCGGGTGTCTTCCTGCGGAGTCGGCATTCCCCTGAGCGAGGGCCTGAGGAAATCTGCTAAGGAAGCAAGAGGCCAAGGGAAGTCCTTCCTTCAGAGGGTGGGAGTGCTCGCGGGAGGGAAAGCCACCAGCATGCAACATGAGACAGAATCTTGCCTTCCTATTTCAGGGAAAATGCTACAAAAATAGGGTCCATGTGGAATTCTCTTTCCCCTACGGCACTCTGCTGGAGGAGGGGCTGGTCAGTTCCTGAGGTTCAGCGACCCCCTGGCTTGGATGGACTTTCGCAAACACCTCCAGGAAATACCTTATCAAATATGGTCGCATGCATGCACTGGCACACAAAAATAACCTCGGAAAAAAGCACCGAGAATGGGATTGAACTTGCTTTGGCAAAGGTCTTTACGTGTATTGTTATTAGTGGAGTCTCCAACCCACCTCAGATTTTTTCCAAGGAAATTAAAATGCAAGATATCAAGGGATTTGCCCAAGGTCACGGCGCACAATAGACACTGCCCCAGTCTTCCAGTTTCCAGGCAATTGCTCGCTCTGAGAAGTGGGTTGGCCTCTCCTTCCAAACTTTATTTTTTTGTACTATTTGTATTATTCTTATTTTTTGAGAATTATTAATTTTTGAGAATATTATTATATTCTATTGCCCAGGCTGGAGTGCAATGGCACGATCTCAGCTCACTGCAACCTCCGCCTCCCAAGTTCAAGTGATTCTCCTGCCTCAGCCTCCCAAGTAGCTGGAATTACAAGCACCCACCACCATGCCTGGCTAATTTTTGTATTTTGGGTAGAGACAGGGTTTCACTATGTTGGCCAGGCTGGTCTCGAACTCGTGACCTCAAGAGATCCACCTGCCTCAACCTCCCAAAGTGCTGGGATTACAGATGTGAGCCACCGCCCCCGACCCAAACTTTAAATATAGTAAACATTTGAAGCCCCCTCCTCCCAGCCTTCCATTCAGGTCACCTGACCCAGGCACAATGATTCTGACATGATGCCAATTTCAAACACTATTTTGCTTTTTGTGAGCTCTACTGCACATATGATCTTCTTGGAGTTGGACAAGTTAAATTTGAATCTTTGCCCAATGAGCAAGGTGAGGGCCAGCAGCGAACTGTCTAGCTTCTGGACAGAAATGGCATGGTGGTGAAGTCAAATTGGGAAATTTGAAGAGAGTTGGACAAAAGACCGTGTACAAAGTTGTGAGTGAGGTATGTGAATGGTAATGCCCAGTTCAGCCCCTTACAGGTGGCATATGGGGACGGGTTCTACCACTGGGCATGAAGAAGGGAAAGAAGGAAGGACTGAAGCTTAGCAGGAGGGACTGCTGAGCCAGAGATGGGGCACAGATGGGGGACTCCACAGGGAGGGGGCTGGGAAGATGGTGCCACAGACAGCTCTACTCCTGCCTCGAATGATCCCCTAATCACTGCTCTTAAGTTACAGAGTAGGTTGCAAGCGGAGAATACCCATCACATTGGTCTTCCCCAGAAACCATTCTTTGTCCCATTTATTCAGCAAACATTTCCTGAGCATCTATCTATAAAGTGCCTGCCAAGATAAAGTTGGAACTTTCACCTTGACCTTCACCTGAAATGATGTTCCAAAACTATAAACCACAGTGCCATTTGTGACATTTTCCCATTATATTGAAATGAGGGAAATCATGGTCCTATGGGGCAATATTTTCACAAAAGCTAATGAAATTCAAATGCACAAGAAGGGCTCAGGGCAAGAAATCCAGGGCGAGGAGAATGAGAGCCTAAAGAATTTTACATTCAGAGGGAGATTGAATTTTATCTATGGAGCTGTAATTATTTTAAGCATCGAAGAGAATTGATCCAGAAGTAAGAAATTTACCTAATGTAGGATCTTGGCTCTTCCATCTGTTAGTCTATTCCAGGATGCCTTTGCTTTGGATAATTTTATTACCCATCTCACAGACATTGCTTCCTGAGAAGATGTCCTATTTCTATTAGATACTCATGCTCTCGGTTTGCTATGGGTGTACTCATTTCAATAACAAGAACAACGAAACAAAATGGAACAAATGTCTGTATTCATCAAACTGTCTTTCTCTTTTACTTTCAAAATTACTGAAAATTTATTCTGTATTTTCTGAGTCAAGTTCTCCGCATTGCATTTACCCTCCTACTTTATGAGAACACTGGAGGCAACTTCTGTAGGGACCACGGGGACAATAATAATATCTGGATGATGGACACCCATAGATCAAATGCAGTGAGTGGTTTTCCATGCTACAAACACCCTGACGGCATAGAATAATATTACAGAGTTCAACTGAGGCAAATGTAATACTGGTTTCCTCAGGACCTTCCTGAATTACGGCTGCGGTCCCGGCACACTCATCACAGTGGGCCCTTTACTTGAAAAATGTCTCACTTTGATGATAAATTATAAGATAACCTTAGCTATACATTGCTTATTTTACTAAATCACGTATTTTAAAGTAAATACTATGTCACTTATTTTATTTATTTATTTAATGAGATGGAGTTTTACTCTTGTTGCCCAGGCTGAAGTGCGGTGGCATGATCTTGGCTCACTGCAGCCTCATGCCCCAAATCCCCACAACATGCTTTCAATGCTTGCTTTCAATTTGGAAACCTCCATCAACAAAAAGAGGTAGAAACCACACAAAGACAGGGGGCTTACCAGCCAGTGATCTAAGCCGGCTGCCAGTAGCCCCTATGGCATCTTTGTGCAAATTAGAAAAAGGTGCTTTTTCTCCTGACATATCTAGCCCTGAGCCAGGTGCAAGGCCTGGGGAGTGCAGGATGGGCTGGCCTTCAACCCCCACGTGTCTCCTTGGCCAGGCACCTTGGGCAGTAAACAACCTGCACAACCAAACCCAGCAGCCCAGAGTCCAAGAGAGTCCTGGATGTTTTCTTACTGCCTTTCACAAAGAGTTTTACTGTCAGTTCACAAAGAATAATGAAAGGCAATTGCAGGGCCAACTGGTAGCATTTGGCTGTGTGTCTGATGTCGGTTCCTTGACATCCTGGCTTTCATGAATTGGTATCACTTGGGCGGGCTCACCCTTTTGCTACAGAAGAACCAAGTTAAAAGGCGGGCCATGGTGGCTCACGCCTGTAATCCCAGCACTTTGGGAGGCAGAGGCGGGTGGATCATGAGGTCAGGAGTTCAAGACCAGCCTGGCCAAGATGGTGAAACACTGTTTCTACTAAAAATACAAAAATCAGCCAGGCGTAGTGACAGGCACCGATAATCCCAGCTATTCAGGAGGCTGAGGCAGGAAATTGCTGGAATCTGGGAGGCAGAGGTTGCAGTGAGCCAAAATTGTGGCACTGCACTCCAGCCTGGGTGAAAGAGCGAGACTCTGTCTCAAAAGAAAAAAAAAAAAGAAAAGAAAAGAGGCCTCTTGTTGGTTCCTTCCCTTTCTTTGCATTGCTGAGGGAGTGGAAAGAGTAAAGAACGGCCCCATCTGAAACCCACTCTCAGTGGGAAGCTCTGGCATGGATGCTGGTGTTTGTGGGGCTGCTGTGATGACTCCATGGCCAGGGCGTTGGTCAGGTGCAACTCCGGGAATGGGGAGTGTTCTGGCCTCAGGCCGTGAACGTCTGGGAATGTGGGAGGCACCATGGAACCTTAGACGGCAGAGACAAGCTGCGAGGAAAAGCATGGAGGAGGTGGGCGTGCGCAGAGGCAGCTTGGACTCCAGGCAAGGAGGTGGCCCCACTGTCTCATGCACGTTCATTTTTAACTCTGTTTCACAGAAGAAGAAACTGAGGCTCAGGAGGTGATGAGGCAGCTTGGCTAAAGTCCCATGGAAGTGGCCACACAGCAAGTAAGTGGCCAGGATTTGAATCCAGAGCCAGCACATTTAGCCCTTGGCTGCCGTCCTCTGGCCGTGGCATTGCTGTGAGCCCTCTTAGGATTCTTTTCACCAGTTAGAGCTGTGGCCCCGCATCTTTGGTTTATCTTGAGTAACAAAGTCGGAAATAGACAAATGTGATCTTTGAAGTCCTGGGGACAACATTCAGCATGGCATCTACTATGTCAAGGGCTTCCTCTCGGATTGCAGTGTCGGGCATGAGGGTACATTGCATGTATGCCAAGCAACATTTTTGTTTTCTATATTTAAACTTTGCGCCCCCCCGCCCCCCACAGACACACACACTGAAATCCTGGAAGAAGCTACCTTATTTCTCTTGTGTTTTGGCTCTTAGGAAACTCAGAGGCGAATTTATGACCATTTGGAAATTGTATATAACTTTAAATTAGGAACTTCTATGTCTACATTATCCCAAACTTCATTCTACTATTCAATTCTCATCTCCCTTATTTCCACAGTGCTTATTTCTCATAGATTGATAGATAGATAGATGATTGATAGATAGATAATGATATGAAAGTGAATGGTGTATTTTTAAGTATTCAAATAACAGATAAAGTGATAGACTAAAATTTCCTACAAATAAAAACAATTTTAATCCTACTGTGCACTAGGGTAAGGTTACAATTTAAATAGCACAGCCAGGCACGGTGGCTCATGCCTGTAATCCCAGTACTTTGTGGGGCCGAGGCAGGTGGATCGCTTGAGGTCAGGAGTTCAAGACCAGCCTGACCAACATGATGAAACCTCGTCTCTACTAAAAATACAAAAATCAGCCAGGCGTAGTGGTGGGTGCCTGTAATCCCAGCCACTTGGGAGGCTGAGGCAGGAGAATTGCTTGAACCCAAGAGGCGGAGGTTGCAGTGAGCTGAGAACATGTCACTGCACTCCAGCTCCAGGTGACAGAGCGAGACATTATCTCAAAAAAAAAAAAATAATTAAATAACACAAGAACCCTGTCACTGAGAAAAAAAGACATAATTAAATAAGAAAGAGAAGCATGTGAGCAATGTAACAGAGTGCAGAAGCTCTGGCATAGGCTGTATTTGGCTGCTGCTATGTACTGTATGCTTTACATGTATCATCACACCTCACTTTACACGTGTCATCCTGCCTCACTTTATACGTGTCATCCCATCTCACTTTACACGTGTCATCCCAACTCACTTTACACGTGTCATCCTGCCTCACGTTACACGTGTCACCCTGCCTCATTTTACATGTATCATCCAGCATCACTTTACATGTATTATCCTGCCTCACTTTACACATATCATCCTGCTTCACTTTAGATGTATTATCATGCCTCACTTTACATATATCATACCACCTCAGTTAATTGTTGCAGGGTTCCTACTTTTTTATGGATAAGGAATTTAGTTGGTAGCACTAGGTGCCAATACATTTAATAAAAAAACCAAAATAATGGTGGTTTTAAAAACTATAGTTTTCTTTATTATTTTATATATTGAGTCTAGGGTCACTACAGTGGCCGCACAGCCACAGGGACTCAAACTTCTTCCTTCTCTTGCTTTAACATCCCTAACACCTCATGGCTGAAGATGGTTGCTGAAACTCCAGCCATCATATCTACATCCCAGGCAGCAGGAGGGAAAAGGGATTGAGCTAACACTTGTCGGTTTTTTTCTCAGGAAGGTTTGTTAGAGGTCTTCCCAGCAATGTTAACTCACATGCCATTGACCAACCCTAGCTGCAAGGGAGGCTGTCACATTATCATCCCCTAGCTGAAAATGTTAGCTTCTGAGATAAACGTGGGGTTCAGCTCCTAAGTGCATGAGTCAGAGTAGGCCAAGTGCTAAACAAGTGCTAAACATCCAAGTCTCAACATTAAATATACCTAACCTAATCTGAATGACTTAACTAAATAATGTTACCTTGTGCTCACATAGCCTATAACACAGGTTGGGGTGCTGTGGTTATCTGCACTCCCCAGAGTCACCTGGGGCCAGGCTTCCTCCATCCTGTACCCCTGCCCCCTGCTCCTGGAATCCTTCCAATTTGGTGGCAAGTGGGGAAAGATGCTGAGGATTGGTCACAGGGGCTTCTATGGGCCAGGCCCAGAGGTGACACACCCCTGGCTCACAGGCCATGACCAGAACTGGGTTACATGGTCACCCAACTGCAAAGGAGGCTGGGAAATGTGGGCTCCTCATGGGCATGGCAGGCCCGGGGAGCCTGGGTATTGGGGACCATAGCCGACCCTAGAGAGCACCGCCCTGGGGTAGACAGTGAGCACTGGCCAAGCTGCAGACAAGACACCCTAGAATTCAGACCCAGGGCCCAAGAAAGGATGTTTCCATCCTCAGGTGCCCAGAGAGCCAGAAGCCTGGACCTCACTGAGAAGGATGCCCAGGATACGGTGCCATCCTTTCCCCTGGGGGCACATGGCACAAAGGGTCTCCCTCGAAACTTCACCCTGTGCAAACCTCTGCCAAACTGCGCCTAAAGGATACAATTAGTGGAACTCTCCAGACAGGGGCTGCACAGGCAGCCTCCCCTCCGTGACCTGAATGGATCATTTGTGGCTCCAGTGACAGACGAATGCAATAATTAGGCCTATTTAGTAGAGAGGAGGTGAAAGGTCAAATGCGAGGCCACCGTCTCCCGTTTCCAGCCTGGTCACCGCGCCAGAGACTTGCAAAGGCTGCCGCTTCTGCAACCACCCAACACTGGCCAGCGCCGCCCAATGGGCCTCACTGCTGGTCGCTTCCCCGGGCTTTCAGAGTCCGTGGGGCTTCCAGGAGGCCGACACCACAGCCTACGGGTCCAGCTTTCAGTCTCCCTTGCAGGATTTCAGCCCTGAGCAGGCGAGGGCCGGGAGGTGGATCTCTCTGAAAGTGACCGTAGTGGTGCCATGAAGAGTGGGGCCAGGAAAAACAAGCTCGGGCCATCCCCAAGAGATGGGCTCGGCCCCCACCCTGCACGCCATGTCCCTAGCTTACCTCTTTCTTTCCCTCCCTAAAATTCTGATTTTGTTTTATTTTAACCCAAAGCAGATAATCTAGCTCCTCTCAGCCTGTCAGCATTCGCTGCCTGGGAGGTTTTCCTGGGGTCCATGGGGCCTGAGGGGTGGGAAGGGCAGGAGCTGCTGGGAATGAGTTGCAATCAGGCCTGAAACCCATATCCTGGAAGCAGGTGGCCCTAGACTCGCCTGCCTTCCCTGCACATGCCCGGGAGTCGGTTCTTCCAGTAGCCCCTCCTTCTGCACTTCCCCTTCCCTTCCCTCCATCCTGGAGCCTTTCAGATGACAAAGCCAGTAGAGTCCTCAGTGCCCCGCCTCTGCCACTCGCTCCTGAACCTGTAGGGTCCCAGAGAAGGGTTGTTTGATGGGCCTAGAAAAGGGATTCTCAGTAGCACCTTGGCAAGGTGAAAACGATCCTTAGAAAACTGAATTTAGCATCTTAGGCCAGAGGACAGGAAGATGGGGCACCCAGGATCCAGCCCCATCCTTTGACAGCCAGCAGCAAGCCCCCTCTCCTCTTCCCGCCTCTCCTCCCTGGCTTTCCCAGGGTCCACACAAGCTGGGGTGGAGGAAATCCCATGTTAGAGAAGAAAGGAGCACACCCAATGCTAGAGGGCATTCCTCGTCAACCTGGCAGATAGGGGTGCTCTAAATGCAATTGCAATTTCCCGCTTAGAGCCAGGAACTCAGAGGCTTGGTAGACAGCGCTTCTAAGAATAAACCAGACATGATCTTCCTCTCAAGCCCTCCTCTGGGACGGTGGGTCATTGGCAGAATCCCTCATTCCGCGATTGGATCCACACGCCCAGCGGGGTCCCCATGCATAGCACTGAGGGGCTCATGGCTCTGGGGTCAGACTCTCAGTAGCAGGTAGTGGGCAGGTCTCCCAACTCTCTGGGTCTCAGTTTCCCCCTCTGTGAAATGGGGATGAATGCAGAACTCAGGTCCCAGCGTGGATGTCAGGGTCAAAGGCAGGCCATGACCCCCCAGCCCCTGGATTCACAGGAGCTCTGATTCTCTTTGAATGATGGTGCGAAACATTCCCAGGACGAGGCTTGTTCCTTCTTGCTTTAGGGCACCTCCTTTGAAAACTCCGTGGCCTTCTCTCCCCTTTCCTACCTGCTCATTCCTAC
The DNA here is from genome assembly GCF_000001405.40 of Homo sapiens. Taxonomy (NCBI): domain Eukaryota; kingdom Metazoa; phylum Chordata; class Mammalia; order Primates; family Hominidae; genus Homo; species Homo sapiens. Next base: position 86,323,129 of record NC_000016.10, on the reverse strand, counting down.
CTACAAAGGTGAGCTCAGCTGGGGAGTGGGCAGGGGAGAGGTCGCCATCCCTGAGGGGAGGGCTTCTCAGGCCTGGTCACTCAGGAAGAGTGGCTGAGAGCAGAGGGGCGAGTGCCTGACATTTCAGCCTCTCAGCAGCCAGGAGACAGAAGGCGCCGGCCAGAGCTGGGCTCCGTCCAGTTTGGCAGATTCTGCTTCTGAACGTGGAGTCTTTGGGGGATCCAGTACATTTGCCATTGGACGAGTGCAACATCCTGGTTCACAAAACAAAATGCTTTAAACATAGATATGTATATTTGAAAGTCTCAACCCCCTTCTTGCCTGTCACCGTCCAAAGCAGTGGAGGGTGAGGGGTGAATTAACGGTACAGAGATCAGAAATCAATGGACATATTTTCCTTTAGGATGATGGGGGTGGGGGTGCTGGGCACACCAGATGTCTTTTCTTGGAGTATGGGAGACCCACAGGCACTGAGAAAATAGTTGCGGGATGGGCTGAGATGTTTGCCAGACAGTCCAGGCAAACCTCCCGCTGAGACTGGTAGAAGCTGCGGGAGCCTCCAACGCCCTGGCCAGGGAGGCTGGCACTGTTTATGCACCGTTGTTGGAAGGAGAACCGGAAGGAGGCCTGATTTATTTGTTTGTTTGTGGAGGAGGTCATTGTGTGCCCTCCAAAGCTTGACTCCAGGGGAACTTCTGGGACAAGCCTGGTCCCTTGGGAGGGATTCTTTTGTTTTATTGTGCAATTAGAGCCCTAGTGTTGAAGCCACCAAAATATATAGCCCTTGAGAATGAAAACACTGGAGATAAATTGGGCTAAGGGGGAAAAGACAAACTTGTCCCCCACTCCACCCCCCAAAAAATGAAACCCAAGTGAAGAGATGGCTGACAGGAGCTCCAGAACAGTCTGGGCTGAACATAGCAAGTCTCCCCATCAAAGAAAAGAAAAGGGAAGAGAGGAGACAAGAAGAAAAGAAAAGAAAAGGGAAAAGAAGGAAGGAGAGAGAAAGAGAGACAGATGAAAGAAAGAAAGAGACAGAGAGAAGAAGGAAGCAAGGGAGGAAGGAAGAAGGGAAGGAAGGAAGAAAGTTGTTCTAAAAAATAAAGTTTAGAAATTAAAATAAAAGCGACAGCTGAGACCCTCCTCAAATGAGTGAGGGTTTGCCCTCCTGCAGAAAATAAAAATCATCTCAGTAAATATTTCTGTCATGCAAAAATGCAAGATTATTTTTATACCTGGCAACCAAATTAGCTTCTCGTATTCAGGGACTCGCCTTTGATCCTTGTGTAACACCAGGGACTTAAATCACCTCAGAAAGTATCGAGGAACTCAGGTGTTTGGGTGTTGGCTGATCAACATGGTCAGGCCAAGGGGAAGGGAAGTCCTCAGGCCCCAGCTCCACGAATCTGAAGGACAGAGGCAGCTGCGTGTGGTGAAGGGGGCTGGAAGGTTTATCTGAGCAGCATGCTCCTTGGCTGGAAGGAGTGGAGAGATGTCGAGCAAGCCACCGGCATGGTGTCCTCTGGTCTCGGAACTGTTGTGGGCTTGCTGGCTCCTGTAGCACTGGGTGACATCCTAAGTTCTGCACCTCCACCACCACTTCTTTCACTCATCACACCCTCCCCATGACACCGGTGCCCCTGTTACCTCCATTTCACAGATGGGGAAACTGAGGCACGGTGACTCAAGGTCACATGCTGAAGGCTACAAGGTAAGTTTTTTGGTTTTTGGTTTTTGGTTTTTTTTGAGACGGAGTCTCGCTCTGTCGCCCAGGCTGGAGTGCAGTGGTGCGATCTCGGCTCATTGCAAGCTCCGCCTCCCGGGTTCACACCATTCTCCTGCCTCAGCCTCCCAAGTAGCTGGGACTACAGGCGCCCACCACCACGCCCGGCTAATTTTTTGTATTTTTATTTCGCAGTGTTGACCAGGATGGTCTTGATCTCCTGATCTTGTGATCCGCCCGTCTCGGCTTCCCAAAGTGCTGGGATTACAGGTGTGAGCCACCGCACCCGGCCTACAAGGTAAGTTTTAAGCCGGGCATCAAAGCACATCATAACCTGAGTGCCAAACCGTCTTTTGGAAACACATAGGCTCTTCTTTCTGTGCCTGGCACCCATTTGTTTGAACCCTACAATACTGCCAACCTCCAACTGCTTTTGACCAACAAAAAATGGCAATTTCGTGTAGTCCGACCTAATAGCAAGCATCCGGTAAATGGAACCTCTAACAGAGGAACAGGCTGTGGGCTATTCTCCAGATAGCTATTCTCCAAACTGGGTGTGGGCTATGTCCAAAAAGTGCCGGGCCAGCTGGTGGCCCAGCATATACTGAGGGTGTGGGCAGGAATATCAGAGGAATTATGGCAGATGACGGAGGAACACAGTGACCCTGGAGAAAGAGGGTCATTAGCAGAGAAAAGGAATCAGCTGGGGCTATAGGTGACTAAGCCCCTTTTTGAGCTAACAATTTGAAAAGACAACCTCATCTTGGAATTTGCAGGTCTTTTATTTTGCTTAATCTATAGCATTAAGAAAGCAGACTCTTAGGGGGAGTTAAAAGATATTAATACTTATTAAGCAAGCTACATATATTTTGATTTTGGTTCCTTGCATCTTACATGAGTGTTATATGATCAAAGTCTTTGCAGCTTTGAGGAAATAATTGGATATTTCTGTCACAGTTTTAAAGATGATGACATTGAGAGGCGGAAGATGTCTGATCTCTCATTCCAATGAGTCATAACCGCTTTCTTTTCTGCTATTAATTTTTCCTAAAAAGTTGTTTCTGGCACAAGGTCACCGAAATCAATTAAAACCCTTAAGCTGATACCTCACTCTGAGCCTACTGCAAATCAGATTTAGCAATAATCTGATCCCAGCTCTCCTGTCATGGGTAAAAAAGAAAACCCTCCTTACTGTGAGATTTTGTTTTCGGTGCCTAATTAGCTTGGTTCCACCATTATTGCATTTTAAAAGTAAAACATGATTTCATAATGAACAGTGAAACCACAGACGAGATGGTGTTGCAATTGGAATCATTCAGATAAGCAAGAAAGTCAAACCAGATGCTCACATGCCGAAGGTGGGAGGGGGCGGGTGCCAGATGCAGCAGATGCTCCGATGACAGGGTTGTCCCCAGAACTCCATGTTTCAATGGCTGGCCCCTCCCTCGATGTTTCATTCTATTTGAGAAGAACGTTGGAATTGGGAGGGCAAGGATGGGTCCAATTAATCAGAATCCTCTCCAGAATCCAGCTCTGGTTGCGTCTTTCTTTTCCAACTTAAGCTCACTGGGCTCGTTCTCGGCGGCTCTCATCCCCACCTTCCCCATGGCCCCTGGATTTCGCCCTGGTGCAGACGCTTCTGCAAAGGTCCTCAAAGAATTGAACTCTGCTCCTCACTGGGAGAAAGTTGCACAGCAGCTGCTTTGCATGGAGGACCTTCTGCTCAGACCTGCAGCCTGGATGGGGCAGTGTCTCAGTTATGGGATTTCTGTAAGGTGGAATTTCCTGGAACCTAGGAATGTGCACACCTCCAGAGCTCACTTTGCTTTGAGAACACAGGAAAATTTGACCTGAGAGCTATGATGAGAGTGGAGGTGAATGCAGCTGGTAAGAAAGCCAGCTCTACCTAGGGCAGGAGGAGGTGGAAGGGAGGGTGACCACAGTGGGAGTCAGATTTAAAATTTCCTCACGCATGTGAATGTAACAATTTAAAATATACTACAGCAACCACCCTTTTCTCACTCTTTTCCTGCTTCTGGATTAGAACTTTACGCCCAAAGGTGTAAAGTCTCCAGAAAAGGAGTTCTTTAGAATAAAGAACTTTCCAAATAAAATGCATTAATTTATTATTATTAATTATATAAATAATAATATTTATATATTTATATATTATTTATATATTATTATTATATATATTATATAATATATCATTATTATATATTATATATATTATATTATATATTATATAATATATTATTATATATATTATATTATATATTATATAATATATAATTATTATATATTATTTATATATAATATATACATATTATATATAATATGTGTATATTATTAATTATTAATATTAATATTATTAAATTATTAATAATATTAAATATCATTAAATTATTAATATTAATATCATTAAATTATTAATATTAATGTCATTAAATTATTAATAATATTAATATCATTAAATTATTAATAATATTAAATATCATTAAATTATTAATAATATTAAATATCATTAAATTAATAATATTAAATATCATTAAATTAATAATATTAAATACCATTAAATTATTAATAATATTAAATACCATTAAATTATTAATAATATTAAATATCATTAAATTATTAATAATATTAAATATCATTAAATTATTAATAATATTAAATATCATTAAATTATTAATAATATTAAATATCATTAAATTATTAATAATATTAAATATTATTAAATTATTAATAATATTAAATATTATTATTCATTGCAAGTTGATTTAACAATTACCTTGTAGATACACTATGATACGATGTAACAACAGCCTAGCTAATCTTTTGTTTATTTCCCAGTCATTTATTGTGCATCTACCATGTGCCGGACACTGCACTGGGCACTGGAGATACAGGAGAGGATAAAACAGACAAAAGTCCCCGTCCTTGCGGAAATCTCCTTGCAGGGATGGATGGACAGGAGGAGATTATAAAGAGATAAATACGATGAGGCTGGATGGTAATGCCTGGAGAAGAAGGAAGTAAATAGAGGAGGGGCAGGAGACACAGTTGGAGATAGGGTGCTTGGAGAATGTGTACGGATGCCTGGCATGTGCTCTGAGGTGAGGGTAGTTATTTCTGCCCATTTTACAAGTGAGGGAACTGATGTTCAGCTGTTAGTTGAATGAATAGCCTAAGGTCACCCAGATCGTGGCAGGATTCAGATTGTAATAATTTAGATTTGCCTGATGCAGTATTTAAGCTCTCAACTGTTTGTATTTGGCACATTATGTTTTTACCTAATACTTTAACTTGCTTTCTCACATCGTGGCTGCCCCACCCCAACCCCCCCGGCAGAAATGATTGTCCCTTTTATGGATGAGGAGATGGAGGCCCAGGAAGTAATCTGCCAACAGCCCTACCAAGCCCAGGCAGCCGGCTGGACCTCCGTGTCTGCATGTGAGGTCAGAGATGGTCCCACTGACTCCGTCCTGCTGGGGCCACTGGGGACATCTGATAGGGAGGGATCCGTCCACAGCTCTGCCCAGAGTGACCTCTGACATGGTTCAGTCTGCAAAGCTCCAGCATGGGCAGCCATAAAGCTGAGAGAGTGCAGATTCCAGGGAAGATTGAGCCGTTTATCGCAGGAAAGCCTCCATCATTGTTGTCAACCTAAACCTCTGGCACCGTGCGTGACCCGCAGCTCCAGATTCTGATCTGAGCCTCTAGGCTCCGGGATGGAGAAAGGGGACCCGATCCTCCCAGGCAGAGGCGAGAGGAGACCAGCGGTGAGCACTTGGTGTCTCTGCCACTCGCCTCTTGGTTTGTTTTTGATTTTTCTATTAAAAAAAAAAAAAAAAGAAACAGTCTTAAATTGGGCCTGTTGTGCTCAGGTCACCAGCGCCTACTTTCAGGGGCAGGGCTGGTTTAGGGGAGCCAAAGGCAGCCTCCTCCTTTGCAGCCTTTTTCAGCGTCTCATGCAGCAGAAGGGCCCTGCCCTTTGCACTTGGCCGTGGGAAGCCTGAAGCCCTTCTCGGGGTGGCTCACCAAGGCCTAACCCACCTCCACTCTGAGAAGTGTCTCGGGGGAAGCTTTCTTCCCCTCGTATATACTGTTTGCAGGTGTATTTCCCCTGTTTGATTTTTTTTTTCTAATTAGGAAAGGAAGAGATGTCTGAACAAATTGACCAGTAGAGATGAATACAAGGAAAAGGTCCAGGCCTCCTCCCCGAAGCTACGCCCTGCAGGGAGCGCTGCTGTTGGCAGGCTGGGGAGCAGCCATTTGGAATTGTTCTCCAGGTGCTCAAAACTTTTTATTTTGTGCTTTCAAGGAGGGGATTACCTTACATGTTGTTCTTCAACTTACTTTTTTCACTTATTTATTATGGAAAACTCTCAAAATCACTACGAGAACATCATTTTTTTTTTTTTGCAGTCGGAGTATTTGATCAATTTAGTGAACCAGTCAGTTTATGCAATTTCTTAAAGTCCAGTCATTTTCTTTGAGCAATGAGAATTATAAAACCCAACCCAACCCATTTCATCTTTTCCTTGGGCTGCCAGGAAGCTCAAAGTTAAATTTCATTAAGAGCTGAAGTTATGAATTCCCTTCTCTGTTCTCTCGTGGAATTAGATAGGTAGCCCGACCCAGCCCTTCCATGTTATAACAACAGATTTATTTTTAAATGCTTCTCCTTCCCACTCTGGATTATCAGTGTCTCACCAAGAAGAGACATGTTTCTTTGTTTATTTTATAGTTGTACTTTCTCCATCCAGTGCCCAGCATTTGCCCAGTGGGTTTTGCTTAATGATTAATGCTGGTGCCCAGGAAGCCCAGAGTCACTGCTCCTTTCTGCTTTTTCACTGGCTTTGGGTCTGGCAGAACTTTCCAATTATCCTGATTTCTATTCTGCTTTGTTTTAAAGGATGTGCAAAATTATTCTTGGCACCAGATGGGACATAAAACTTAAATATATTTAAAAGCAAAGAAAGAGCCATCAAAATGATGGAATGAACTGATAGATCAATTTTAAATCATCCCGGAGGGCTGGGCACTCCTGCTTCTGCATTTTTTTTTTCAATTTAGAGAATTATGTCACAAGAAAGCAAGCAATGACATTTATAAACCCTTAATTTTTCTATACTAAAGAGCTATACCAAGAAAGTAGAAAGCAGAGGAGAGTTTCCACTGGGCAAAAACAGGTTGAAGGTTGACTAAATGCAGTAAAATGAAGGAAGGAAATAATCATAGAAATTGCTCCCCAAATGGTGATATGATCCCGATACCAGGCCAGCCTGAGCAGACAGGGGCCCAGTCATGCTCTGTCATTTATTCAAGAGACAAGATGGCCCGGCACAGTGGCTCATACCTGCAATTCTAGTATTTTGGGAGGCTGAGGAGGGGGGATCACTTGAGGCCAGGAGTTCAAGACCAGACTGGCCAACATGGTGAAACCCCATCTGTACTAAAAAAAAAAAAAAAAAAAAAAAAAAAAAGCTGGATGCACAATCCCAGCTACTCAGAGGCTGAGGCACAAGAATTGCCTGAACTTGGGAGATGGAGGTTGCAGTGAGTCGAGATTGTGCCACTACACGCCAGCCCAGGCGACAACCAGACAGATTCATGGTCTCTGGTGGATGGGCCCCTCCCTCTCAACCAACTTATCTCTACAGAGAAGGCCTGGGGCATTGTCAGCCCAGGACCACACTCCCAACCACTTTTCCGTCACCACCCCTTACAGTCGCCTGCCCCTGTGCACGTCTCCTCACTGTAAGCATCAATGACCCAACTGTATTGAAAAGTCAAAGCCGGGTCAGAGGATTCCTCCTCCTGGGCAGGTCTCCAGCTTCTCACAGCCTTGACGCACCCGTCAATGACGCAAGGTCCAGTGATGCTCAATGATACCCAGAGATATCCAGATGCCCAGTGAAGCCCAGTGATGCCCAGTAAAACCCAGTGATACCCAGATGTCTAGTAAAGCCCCGTGATATACAGTGATGCCCGGTGATGCCCAGTGACACCCAGTGATGCCCTAATGATGCCCTAGGGATGCCCAGTGGTGCCCGGAGATATCCAGATGCCCACTAAAGCCCAGTGATGTCCAGTGATCACCAATGATACCCAGCAACATCCAGTGGTGCCCAGTAAGACCCAGTGATATGTAGTGGTGCCCAGTGATGTCCAGAGATGCCCAGTGATGCCCTAGTGATGCCCAGTGGTGCCCAGTAAGACCCAATGATATGTAGTGGTGCCCAGTGGTGTCCAGTGATGCCAGGTGATGGACATGTCCAGTGATACACAGAGATGTCCAGAGATATCCAGATGCCCAGGAAAGCCCAGTGATGTGCAGTGATGCCCAGAAATATCCAGTGATGCCCGGTAGAGCCCAGTGGTATCTAGTGAGGCCCAGTGATATCTAGTAAAGTGCAGTGATACCCAGAGTTGCCCAGTGTTGTTCAGTGATGTCCAGTGATGCCCAGTGATGCCCAGCAAAGCCCAATGATGCCTGTGACGGCCGGTGGGAATGGTTCTTCCACAGTCCCAGTGCCAGCCCATTCTGAGCACACTTCCCTTCCTCTACAGCCAGGAAGCTGCTGGTCTGTCCTGCGAGCTTCCCTGGGGTCTTCTCCATGCGAGCGCAGCAGTGCCCCTCCCGTGCTCCGGTGCCCAACCCCTGTCCTACTTGCAGACTGTTGTCATCACTGCAAGCCTCGTGTTTAGCTTTCATAAAGCCATCCTGACAAATCCGTTCCGCTCTTTCCTTAATCATTCCTGCTGCGATTCTCTAAACAACGCCCGATTTGTTGACATCTCCAGGGATGTTCAGCTAAGAGCTGTACATAGAATCCAGGTGCAGTTTCAACAGCCCCAGATAAAGAGGGATCAAGGCAGCCTCTCTCCTCGGAGGCCAGGGGGCTCCATGGCCCATGTCCACACCCTGAAAGCTGGGTGGGTGGAGCCAAGCTATCACAGACATTTTTTGTTTTATAATTTTTTTTTTTTTTTAGACGGAGTCTCGCTTTGTCACCCAGGCTGGAGTGCAGTGGCATGATCTCGGCTCACTGCAACCTCTGCCTCCCAAGTTCAAGTGATTCTCCTGCCTCAGCCTCCCCAGTAGCTGGGATTACAGGTGCCCACCATCACGCCCGGCTAATTTTTGTATTTTTAGCAGAGACGAGGTTTCACCATGTTGGCCAGGATGATCTCGATCTCCTGACCTCGTATCACAGTAATTTCTACCAGTGTGACAGCACTGTGGATAATGCTGGCCAAGGAGGCTTCACTTGCCCTCAGTGCTTAGATCGTTTTATTGTTTCTTTGCTTATTATTCTGTTGGTGTATGCTCACCATTAAAAAAAAAAAAGAGTACATATATACAAAAAGAAAAAGGGAAAAAACACCATCTGTAATCCCAACCCCCGGGGACAACAACTTATCTTAGCAAATAGCGCCTGTCATCTGATCAAGGGTAGGGCTAAGCACGTAGATTCTGGAGTTAACCACAGGAGTCCAGGTCATTTAATCTCTCTCTGCCTCAGTTTTCTCATTTCAAACAAGATGCTAATAATAGTACCCACTGCTGTGAAAGTAAACAGTTCCTACTATAGATACGACAGGAAGACCCCAAGATAACAAGATAAACGGCGTTCAGAGGCTCCTACGGGTGGTCAGGAATCAATGCTTTCCTCCTTCCAAGAGGCTTTCTCTGTGCATTTGTCACTTAAAAAATTGGATTACACTGTTTGTAGTTTCTTGCTCAACCTGGCTTTCGTTTTCTTTTTTTTCTTTTTCTTTTTTTTTTATCTTTATGCCACATTGTGGGAGCTGGTGCTGTGAGTCTAGGCACTTAATGCAATCCGCAAAGATTCCGCCATCAGGCGGATCATGAGGTCAGGAGTTCAAGACCAGCCTGTCCAGCCTGATGAAATCCCATCTCTACGAAAAATACAAAAAATTAGCCGGGCATGGTGGCGCACGCTTGTAATCCCAGCTACTCAGGAGGCTGAGGCAGGAGAATTGCTTGAACCCAGCAGGTGGAGGTTGCAGTGAGCCGAGATCATCGCACCATTGCACTCCAGACTGGGCGACAAGAGTGAAACTCCATCCCAAAAAAAGAAAAAAAATCTGCCACCAGCTGCCAAGCGGTCATGCTCCCGAGACACCCTCACTGTTAGACCCTGCACGCTTGTGCATGGCAAGGAGAGGCTCCAGAAATGTTAACTTTTTCTTTAGAATTTTCCTCAGTTGACTTCTCCTCCAAACATTAAACACAACAAGCCCACATATCTGAGCTTCAGCTGCAAGTGCACAATGCATCCCTTGGTTGATGCAGGAGACACGTTTTGCTAGAAGAAAGTCCAGTGTTGGCCTGGCGTGGCGGCTCACGCCTGTAATCCCAGCACTTTGGGAGGCCGAGGCGGGCAGATCGCCTGAGGTCGAGAGTTCAAGACAAGCCTGACCAACATGGAGAAACCCCGTCTCTACTAAAAATACAAAAATTAGCTGGATGTGGTGATGCATGCCTGTAATCCCAGCTACTCAGGAGGCTGAGGCGGGAGGATCGCTTGAACCCGGGAGGCGGAGGTTTTGGTAAGCCGAGATCGCGACATTGCACTCCAGCCTGGGCAACAAGAGCGAAACTCTGTCTCAAAAAAAAAAAAAAAAAAAAAAGCAAAAGAAAGAAAAGAAAGTCCAGTGTTAACAGAGACACATGAGTTTATTTCTTTTTTCTGTAATGTATTATTCTCCTGTGAGTGAGTGGTTTGTGCATTTTTGGACTGGATGGAGTTGGCCAGAGCCAAGGCGAGAGCTGTCCAAACTTCACTCATTTCCACATGAAGCCTCCTGTATTAGTGTAGGCAGCTGTGGGGCTCCAGGGACTCATATGCTGGCGGCCAGGATAGAGTGTGTTGAAGAAGTCAGGGGACTCTAGATCTGAAGTTTGATGCATGGTATCAGAGGGTGGAACAGACTGTCAGAGAGACGGGAGAGAGGCTCAGGGAGACGGATAGGTGCGGGGAAGGAGAAAGCAGGGTGGGGAAGAGGAAAGGAAAGACAAGGGACAAAAAAGAGATAGAGGCTGAGCACGGTGGCTCACGCCTGTAATCCCAACGCTTTGGGAGGCCAAGGCAGGCGGATCACGAGGTCAAGAGATCGAGACCATCCTGGCCAATATGGTGAAATCCCATCTCTACTAAAAATACAAAAATTAGCCGGGTGTGGTGGCGGGCACCTGTAATCCCAGCTACTCTGGAGTCTGAGGCAGGAGAATCGCTTGAACCTCGGAGGCAGAGGTTGCAGTGAGCCGAGATCACGCCACTGCATTCCAGCCTGGGCAACAAGAGCAAAACTCCGTCTTAAAAAAAAAAATAGGGAGAGAGAAGTGCACACATGCAGACAGAGAGACAGACAGAAAGAAAGAGATGGAGAGCGACCAAGACAGCCAAAGAGAAAGCCCCAGAGTGAACACGTATCGCATTTTCATGGTCTTCAATCCATGAGCACAATAAGTTCTCCTCTCCAGTGTCCTGCCTTCGTGTGTAGTGTGTCCGTGAACTGTAGCCCCGATCATTTAAAACAGAATTGTAGGTGTGGCCTTGGAGAAGCACCACTCTGTGGATCCCTGCAATCCGCGGAAGCTGTGGATCCCTGCAATCTGCGGAAACTGTTTCCAATGGCAGCTCCATCCAATTAGGTTTCAGCTTGCCTGTCTGTACTGACTTAAAAACTGAGGTGCCACCCCTGGATTCACCCACACAACTTTTGGGGATCCAGGGCACTGGCTCCCTACCCCAGAGCCCTGGGCCTGGGAAGAGAACCCAGTGTCCAAGTGCCCAGTGGGTGCCCAGTGGCATCACCCGTGGCAGACTAGAGATGGCTAAAACCCCTCACATCAGGGGGTCCTGTAGCCAGCTCCCAGAACAGGGGCTCAGTAGGGCTTTAGGATGTTTTTTGTATATTAGGACTCTTTTGGAGTCTTCTTGGAGGCGACAACCAAAGATAAAGCCACCTCTTACATTTGGTCATCTTTGCAGACAGGTAAAGTGGAGTCAAAAGGTAAGTAACTTTCAATTACTTGAAGGTAAAACCATCATCTGATAGGAAAACCAAGGACATGGCTCTGGGTGTCTACCCTGAGGCCCACGCCTGCTGCCACCCTCCCCAAGTGCTTCCAGAGGTTCAGCCACAAGGAATGCCAGGTTAGAACAGGTACCGGATGTCCCAAGAAGGCTGGGCAAGCTGACTTAGCTAGAAGACTGAGGTTGCATATGGGCAGTAGGGCATTCACCATAAGTGGGTTGGGATGTTTAGGAGGAGAGGAGGAGGGAGAGGAGAAAAAAGGAGAAGAAGGAAGAAGAGGAAGAAAAGGAAGAATGAGGAGAAACAGAAGGAAGAGGAAGGACCAGGAAGATGAAGGAAGAGGAGGAGGAGGAGAAAGAGAAGGAAGAAGAGAAGAAGAAAAGAGGAAGAAGGGAGAAAGGGAGGGAAGGAGGGAGGGAAGAGCAAAACTGGATATCCAGCTACCTGGAAACACTTCCATTCAATGTTTCCTGGAACCTCCCAGAAGTTTACAGCTAGGTGCTTCTAGGTCCATGAACAACTCTACAAACCCCTGGTGACATCTCTGAAGTGAAGAAGTGGGGCTTGACCTGACTTCCATACCTTCCAGCTCTGGGATTCCAGAATTCCATGAAATCGTCACCATATCAGGTCGTACTCAGGGTCGCATTGGAACTCCTGTGCACACTGCATTTGCAGTAAAGGAATATTATTTCATTACAAGAACAAATTATTATTATTGCCAAGTGGAGGGCAAGTGGGGCCCTGGGCTAATGAAACCATACCTCCTGAGGACCAGCAGCTCCTGTATGAAGACATTGATCTCTCCTCCTGGGCAGCTAAGCCTGAAAAAAATCCGCTTTTAATTACCAATTGGCATTGACTTAAAGTGCCATAGCTGTCTTATCACATTTAGAGTACTTGTCTACTTAAGATGGTTAATTTAAAGTGATATCCTTAATTTCCTCATGATTTCCAGTTTATGTTAACTTTAACCTGCTAGTTTGTAAATGCATTCTCTCTTTGATGACCTCAAAGCAAATCCCACACTTTGGTCTCCAATTACTTCAGAGGTAATACCCAAGCTTAGGTTTATCATCACTGCTCTGTCTGCATTGAATACAAATGATAATGGTCTTTCCCATTCCCATGACACTATGATTCGGAACAGGCTTCAAACACATGATCATGACAAGCCGGCTGGTGCTGGCTGCTGCAAGTTTGCCACATGCCAGGCATGGGGAAGTATTCTAAGGGCATCATCTCATGGCATGGACCCAACACCTAGTGGGCAGGTATCATTATATGCCCTTTTTACAGAGGAGGGAAGTGGAGCCCTGGTCACACAGCTGGGGGGGCAATAAGACAAGGAGCCCAGCCTCTGTCTGCTTCCTCAAGTTGCCCTTTTCAACTTTGTACTCGTCAGGTTAGACACTGTACCATGAACCCAACTGCCAGCGAATTAATGGTGGACACCCAGGGCACGCAGGAGAATGCCAAGTCCTGGGAAAGCATTGGCCAATTCCTCCCATGCTCTGAAACTCTGGGGTGTCCAGAGCAAGCAACATCCACTGCCCACTTAGCAGATGCATGCCCGTGCCCAGGACAAGTGGCTTTGCCAAGGTCACTTGGGTAGAAGGTGAGGGTGATGGGAGCCCTCCTATGCCCCTCTTCCTTGTTGTGCTCTCTGCCTTAAACAGAACCCCAAGTTGCTAAAAGGGATGTCCCTGGGGTCCGCAGTGCCTGTGTCTCACCCCAGCTAGGGGGGGCTCATTTGAAGAATTAAAGTTGGAGGACAGGACCAGTTGCTCTCAGCAGGGACCACTTGAGGGCCGGGGTACTCACTGCAAAAAGGGAAATATTACGTGCTTTTTAGAGCTGCTCTGGGGCTGAGGAGAGGGCCGTGTAAAAGGGTAGAACTGGCACAAGGCCTGGTCCATAGTAAATGCTCCATAAATACTCCAACCTCTCCTCTTCCATGTTCTTCCTTTCTGTTGCCAAAGCCCAGTGGTCTTTGACTACACAACACCATGACAGTGATAACATTTGTTCTGAGTTCCCTAGTGGCCCAGGGAAGGGAGAAATTATTATTGCATAATTTTCAATTTTACTAAAAGGAAAAAAAATCATACACTTACAGAAACGCAACTTTTATTAGCTCCACTTTTTTTTTTTTTTTTTTTTTTTTTTTTGTTTGAGACCAGCCCTTGCTCTGTTGCCCAGGCCGGAGTGTAGTGGTCTGATCACGGTTCCCCACAGCCTCCATTTCCCGGGCACAAATGATCCTGTCACCTCAGCCTCCTGAGTAGATAGGACTACAGGTGTGTGCCACCATGCCAACTAATTTTAAATTTTTTACAGAGATGAGGTCTTGCGGTGTTGCCCAGGCTGGTCTTAAACTCCTGAGCTCAAGAGATCCTCCTGCCTTAGCCTCTCAAAGTGCTTGCATTACAGAGTGAGCCACCGCACCCAGCCCCAAATTTTTAAAAACATTTCCCAGATGGGGACAGGCCTCTTGATAGAGTGGGTGAGTGGTCAGGCCTCTCCCTAGACCTGGGGTTCAAGACTGGAGTTCATTAGAATAACGAGGGTTGCAACTACACAGGGGGTGGTTACTCCGCTGGGCGGGGACCATGATCCATTTGCGTTGATTAGCTCACCATCATCATGGCACAACCTTAGGCAGGGGGTACCACTGGCCCGGTCTGGAGGGGAGGAAATTGGCTTGGGAGCTCACAGAGGTTGCGCAGCACAGCACAGAAAGGGCAGGGCCAGGGTTGACCTGCAGAGTCTGACCGGGGAGTTTGAGGGCTCGAGCCCCCGTGCTGCTGCTTGCTGCTAGACAGCACCTTCCATCCATTTCTAGAGAAGTCTGAAGACGGAGAAGCAACCATCAGCCTGAGTTCTGCCTGTGCCTCATGGATGAGTTGATTTGAATATCTTTCCCCAAAGAAGGTGTGAATTGTGTAAACTCATCACAGTTTATCCACCTCTTCATAATCAGCACATTCTACCCAGTCCTCTAGCTTCCTGCATTCCACAGGAGGAGTTACCTCTTTTGAATTTTATAAGTGTTTGTCAATAGTTATTTTTTTTTACAGTTTAGAAGAGAAAAGTTAGAACACATTAGGATTCCAACAGAGCTCCTGAGGGCTTGGGCTGTGGAGCTGAACTTCTGGGTTTGATCCCTCCATCCACTGCTCACAAGCCACATCACCCGGGATGAGCTGTTGAGCCTCTCTGGGCCTCTGTTTCCCCATCTGCCTGGAGGGGAGGACAATACGGTTACCTGTTAGGGTTGTTGTGAAGATGAAGTGAGTTATGATACACAGAGTGTTTAGTACACTCCCTGACACTAGGCAATTGTCATTTAAGTATGAGAATTTTTAAAATAATTTGGATTAATCAACAAGCATACTGCTTTGTGCCAGGTATTTGATCGAAAGCAAACTCAAAATTTGGAACCCTCATACATTGCCAGTAAGGTTATAAAATGGTACAGACTCTTTGGGAAACATTTGGGCAGTTATTCGAAATGTTAAACCTAGAGTGACCCTATGACTCAGCAATTTTACTCCTAGGTATTTACGTAAGAGAAACGAAGACACATGCCCATACAAAAACATGGGCACAGACGTTCACAGCAGCCTTACTCATAATAGCCAAGAGATGGAGACAATCCAAATGCCCATTGATTGATACGTAGATAAAAGGCAGTCTCTCCTTACAATGGAGTATTGTGCAACCGTAAAAAAGGAATGAAGGGCTGATACATGCTGTGGCAGGATGAACTCTGGAAATATGGTGCTCAGTGAAACAGGCCAGACACAAAAGACCACAGGGTGTGTGATTCCATTTCTATGAAAAGTCCATAGAACAGGGAAATCCTTAGAGATAGAAAGTAGATGCGTGGTTGCCAGGGGTTGTGGAGGGAGGAGTGGAGGAGTGACTATTAGTGAGTACTGGCTTCCTTTCGAAGTGATAAAATGTTCTAAAATTGATTGTGGTGATGGGTTGTACAACTCTGGGAATGTACTAAAACCATCAAATTGTGCATTTTTTAATGGGTGGATTGTATGGTATGTGAATTACTTCTCAACAAAACTGTTGAGCAATCTCAAAGCCTCACCGGAACTTGACTGTGAGGCATCTGCTACCTGGCACTGTGTCAAAGATTGTGTGTACACGTGGTGATATTTTTAAATGTGTCCCTTGATCCTCGTCTCCATTTGTGATTCGAAGGGGATGTTTGGGATCATTCTCGAGTTCAGCCTTTTCCAAAGTAGGAATCCTTTTCCCAAACTGGATTTAACAGAGCCCCGTCAGTTTCTTCACTGCAGGACTTCTCAGAGCCTTTACTATGCCCAGGTGCACAAAGACTCTCCAAGATGAGGGAAGAGTGAGCAACATTCCCAAACTGATCTCTCCAGAGAAACTCCTTGACATTCCTTCAAGGGGCATCTGATGGGACTAGTGCTTTGTGAAACCCATCTTGAGAAAGTTTCTACCCCCCAATTTTTAACTGTCTCGTATATGTGAATGTGGATGGTTTCTCATTTGTTTGTTTGTTTGTTTGTTTTTTCTGTCTCTCTTCTGGACAACTCATTCAACGTATAATAGGAAATTGTAGCATAATTAGCCCCAAACTTTTAGTAATGCAAATGTGGTCATTATTTCACCCACTCTTCCTGAAGCCTTCAGGCACTGATCTTTATTTCGACCTTCTGTTTGCATCTCTGGATGTTCGGGTGAGAACTAACAAATAATCCTAATTAAGGCAGAGAATGTTCTTCGCATGTCAGCCCATGTGCTAAGTGGTTTACATGTCTTATTTCCTTTAATGTTCACAAGAGTTCCATGAGGCAGGTGCCCCATTGTGTAGATGAAGAAACTGAGGCTTTGGGGAGCTTGGTAAATTTTCCCACGTCACACACAAGTGTGTGGTGAGCCAGTGTGCCGCCCACAGAGCCTGAACACTAAAATGCAACATTACATTCGAAAGGAATGAAGAAACAAATGAACAGCTCAAGACCACAAGTATCAGAGGACATGCTGCACTAATGTTTTTATGGAGAGTAAAAGGAACCATGTCATTCCTAATTCCATCAAATAGCTTATAATACATCAAACCACATGGAATAAACATGTGTAACTATTTTAGTTCTTGACAGGCTGAAGCAATACTCCTTTTGGAATTCTTCTGAGGGTGCTAAACATATGCTTGTGGCAGATTTGCAAAACTCATAAAATTACCTAAAAGTTTCACTTTTTTGTAACTCTTGCCTTGGTGATATGCTCGAAGTCTCAGGTTTCAGGAAGAATTTTATAGTTTCTCAACTTCTGCAAAAACAAAAGTTTTCTCTGTTAAATGTTAACATTCAGTGCTCAAAAAAAAAAGTGTTTTATGATCTTCCCAGAGTTATGGACTAAAGGAATCCAGGGATGCTTTTGGAGCTGGTCACAGAGGGTCCCCAGTAATTAAACCCTGGGTCCTGGAGATCTCAAAAGGCCTCCATAAGGGGTCAAGGGTTGAGAACCCCTGAAATTTTGTGTGGACTCTGGGAACAGACTCTTCTAGACAGGCTCCATGGCTTCCTGTCATCTTGTTCTCAGTGGAGCTCATGATTCATAAACACCTAAGAACAGGGGCCCCAATTCCTTCCTCCCTTGAGGGGTGACTTGGCTTGCCACCTTCACACAAGGACATCGTCCTAGAGTCAGCTCCGGGCCCACCTCGCTTCTCCCAAGGCAAAGGTCTAGGTGCTCCCCTCCCCTGGTCTTCATCAGGTCAATGTTTGGAATCCGCCAGGAAGTAGGTACTTGGGTTAACAAAAAATGTCTAATGGTTTTTGACCTAACTTCAGGAAATCACAAATAACCATTCCAGATCAGACCAGCGATTCCATTTTCCCCCACTGGGAAAGGAAGTTCGTACACTTTAAAACATTTTTTATAATGGGAGAATAGTGGAGGAAACTATGGCACATCCACAGGTCGGTGTATTAGGCAATCATCAAAATGATGTTTATAAGGAAACTTTAATGACTTGGCAAAGTATTTATGACATATTGACAGGTGAGAACAGCACAATATAAATTCCTGATACTGGTTTTATAAAGGATGCATTGTAGAAAACACACAGACACACACACACATATCTACATACACACACAAATTTACACATATACATACAAACATACACACATACACTCCCCACATATACACATACATATACACACACCCACATATGCACATGCATACACACGTACATACATACACACACATAAACACATATCTGCACACACATACACGTGTACACACCCACATATACACACATATACACATGTACACACCTATATACACTTATTTACACACAAATACACACACATATATATGCATATATACACATATATATACATACACACACACACACATATATATATTTTAAAACAGGTTGAAATCTACTGCAATGTTAACCAAGGTTAATTCTGAGTGGTGAAATTTCATGTCACTGTTATTTTTCTTTTCATTGTCTCCTACATTTTCCCCAAAGAAAGTGTATTATGTTCCTAACAGAAACCAAAGCATTCTAAAAAAACACTGTCTCTCTAAAAGAAAAGAGTGTTGAATGAGGGTAGAAAGAGAAAATGAGTAGTGATCCTGTTTTCAGTTAGAAAGGTTTCAAAACCATCTTTAAAAAGTTAAATCCAAGTCTTCAAGTTTTATTCATGCTCTTGAAAAATAGCAGATACCATTACATGTGCTTATTTATTTCACATTTAAGATCCAAGTGGAGAAATCGGATTATAGTTTCCTTGTCTGCCGTAAACTATGTGGATGGTTTCGTTTCAGACGGTTATAGGGTGAGTTCTGAATGCTTCTCAGTTTAACTTTTATCCCCATTTTCTCCTCTGTGTAACTCGGTGTGAAAGTCCGGGGGATGGAGATCCGTATCCGATTTGTGGCAGGGCCCACAAGGAGAGAGGAGTACCCCATGCAGGCGAATCGCCTCGTTTTGTCTGCAGAGCCAAGAGAGGCTGAAGTTGGCTGCAGGACAGTTTTCAGCGTCCGAGGATGGGGTGGCCGGTCAGGCAGACCTGCCCCGCAGGATGTTCCCGGGAGCAAGCAGTGAGCCCGCCCGCCCCCACGCTCCCTGCCCGGGCGCCCAGCGTGGAGGCTCCCCTGGTCTCCCCACACGGCCGGGGCCTCGCCCCAGCCCCAGCGCAGCCCCTCACCAGCTCCCAGAAACCGGTGAGTTTGGGTTGCAGGCCCCGCAGGGTCAGTGCCAAGGCCCGGCGCAGACTTCGTGGAGCTCACGCAAGGGCCCTGGGCCTGCGGCTGCAGTAAACAGACTCCCCTTAAAGGTCACCTCTTCAGGCTCCAGCTCTGCGGCCAGAGGAAGCTGCAATCATTTTTCAGGGCTGTAAATGCCAAAAGAAAACGCAGCGAGTCCCAGCTTTCCTCCATGCCCCTGGTCAGCCAAGCGCCTCGTCACAAGGCATTTCCTTGCCAAGTCAAGCTTCTTTTTTCCGCCTGAACCCGGAATAGACCTCGAGTAACCTTTGCTCAAGGGTCTTGGGGTGCAAGCTTTTAAATTTAGTTTGCAAGCTGCGGTGGCTCCCAGCCAGCAGTCCCCAGCCCCAGAGGAAGCCCATGCAGCACCTTCATCCTCCCTTGCACGCTGGACTCATGATGAGAAAGATTCGGACCACAGGGCAGGTTCTTTACATTAAAAGGCATCGTTGTGTCCCCCCCGCCCCGCCCCCCTTTTTTTCTTTTGGTTGAGTTTTGTGTGTTTTGCTTTGAAACCTAACGAAAGATTTCATTTCTGTGGCCTAACCTTCCACAGGTGAGAAGCAGCCCATAGCTTGTTACCTGTTTATCCGAAGGACAGATCGGTGCTCAAGAAAGGTAAGTTGTACAGAAAGGGAGGGTGAGATGAAATTTAAGGATTAATTTGAGGGAAGCTGAGAAGCCTCCTGTCCAAATCACAGACATCCATCTCATGAATAAATGAACCCACTTAAAAAAATTCATGTGTTCATCATAGAGTCCAGCTATTTAAATTATTGGGCTGATTCATACTAAAGTGTGAATGACTGATGCCAGAGCCTTTCTTCCAGAGCCCTGAGGATGGGACACTCCGAAAATGATGTTTTCAAGTGGCAGGACATTAGGATAGGAGGGCCGAGTGGGGTCATTGCAAATTGGGCCTCTGACTTGCCTAAGGGCATTTCTGCACCTAGAAAATCTAATCTCTGAAACCAGACCCAGTTGGAAAAAATAGAGGTGAATGCTTTGAACTAATCTGAGACCTCTATCAATTAAGGTAGGCTTTTTTTTTTTTTTTTTGGCCTGGTAATCTGTGAGCCATAAGCACATGGGCCGGTGACACCCGAGTCTACTGGAACATCTTCGAGGCCAGGCCTTCTTGCCTTCTGGTAGCTGCAGAGACTAGCACAGATCTCACACAAAGCCCAGACCCCATGGGTGTCTGATAGTTGCTCTGTATCCTTGGGCAGCTGAAGATAAAGTGCCTGAAGGATAGGAAGTCTTTAAAGAAATCTGTACTTTGAGAAATTATTTTATTTTTGTTAGATCTCTCACCAGCTTAAAGTTTCCTCTGTGAGCCTTTCAAGTGGTGCACGGTTTCCTCACATTCAATTATTTGTTCTGCTCCTTTAAAGCTGTGTGACCCTTGGCAAGTTACTTAACCTCTCTGCATCTCGCGACCCTGATGGAACAAAGAAGGAAATAGCGATACATGTTTTCAGCACTGTTTGAGGCTGGAGACACTGTTCAGCAAAGGGCTTCCCGTCGTTCCTGGCCCAGCATGGTTATTCCATATGTACTGGCTTTTATAGGTTAATAAATTAGAGCTGGGAACACAGTGGACCATCTCAGGCAGCGATGAGCTCCCGTGGATGGGAGTGTTCAAACAGACCAGAGGCAAGGCCAGGTCTTTGGAGAGAAACAGTTGAGATGATCCAAGTATGTGGATGGTGGGTGGATGGAGGTTTGGGAGTGGGGTTGGATCTGTTGACCATTAAAGCTCTTGCAGCATGAGGATCTAATTTTAAGTAGCTGGGCTAGTTCACAGGTGCATAAATGCCTGATAAATATGTGCAATGTAATTTTTTAAAGACCAAAGAGCAACAATGAGATGCTACTTTCTACTGCTGGAAGTAGCTAAGTGAAAGAATTGGGCACTTGGTATGATGCAGGGCTGAGAACTGGGACCCAGTGTAGATTGTTTGTGTGAGGAAAATTGGCACTTCCTTGCTTGTAGTTTGCTCAGATGGTCACTGTACGTGTGAATGCCCCATGCTCCAGTTACCCCAACTCTAGGCGTCGATCCCAAGGAAATATTTACACAAATGTGCAAAACATGTTCATTGTGGTGGTGTTTATAACATATCATAGCAAAAAAAAAGAAAAAAAAAAGAAAAAGTCTAAATGCCACACCTGGAGAATGCTATACAACTATTTATAGATGATGTAAATCTGTATTTATTGACATGGAGACACATCCGTGCCATATTGTGGCATCAAAAAGAAAAGCAGGTCAACAGCAGCATGGGAAATCTGATTCCATTTTTGAAACATACGCATGAATCTCTCTGGATATAATTTGCATAGACAGAGGTTTAATGAAACGTTACCAGCATATTATTTTGGAGTGATGAGGTTTTGGGTGACCATTCCTTTTTTCTTTACGCTCTGATGATTTTTTGGAAAATTTTCATAAGAACTTGTTATGAGATTTTTAAAAGACTGTATGCCTCTTAATTTTGAAAAAATAAAATAACTAGCTGAGCCCTGCAGAAACTCTCCAGTTAACACGTCAAGGCCTGATCCACCTAATAAGATGACATTCCAGGACAGAGAACTTTCAATTACATCAGAAGACAGTTGACAGATGGCAGAGCCCGCCAGCCTATCTCGGCTGATAGGATGATAAC
This sequence comes from Homo sapiens, assembly GCF_000001405.40. NCBI lineage: Eukaryota > Metazoa > Chordata > Mammalia > Primates > Hominidae > Homo > Homo sapiens. The sequence goes on along the minus strand of NC_000016.10, from coordinate 86,301,391 downwards.
CCCTTGAGCCTGGCTGGCTTCGGACCACAGGGCTGGCTGCAGACCCCACAATCGCAGCTACTTGCAGAAGTAAACAGGAAGCAGAGCCAGTGCTGAGAGCTGGCGGAGGACGTGCCCTCCTGGGCTCAGAGCAGGAGACTGGCCTCTTGCTCCACATGGACTGAAATTCCCAGGAAACAGGCTGCAGGCATGGACGCTGGACGTTGTGGGAGCGTGAGTGGTGAGCTGGGCCCCTAAGCCCCCATTGAGGGGGAGGGACAGGCAGCTGGAGGGGAGCACAGACAGAGACCGAGCGACTGGCAGAGACGGAGGGAAGGAGGAGGTTGGACCCACCATTGCAGGGTCCTTTTTCAGGAAGTAATCATCAGAATTAAAACTACGGAGTTACTTTCCTCACGGCCTCACTCAGGGCCACCGCTGAGCTGATCAATTGACAAACACAGACCTACCTTCCTTTGGAGGAAGCCACAACTCCCCCGCCGGGATTTGTCAGCGTTTGTGACTTTGTCAAGTCATCCCATCTGGCTGCACTCAGCCTGGACGTCGGGGAAACAAAATCCTATTTGCTGTACTTAGCACATGGGGTTTTAAAGGAGATGAACATGGATGTAAAATCACTTAAAAATATAAAATGTTGCCCCAATACCTATTACATTTATATTAATATATACATATATATTTTGTATACATATGTATACAATAATATACATATATATTACTTTAAGTAAATTAAATTCCAGATTACTTCGAGTTAAAAAAAAAAAACTCTTAAGAAATGTTCTAGCCAAAAAGGTACTCTGTAAAAAACTCACAGAAAGTACCCTATTCATAAGGTTTATTTCAGTCTTCATTCTTTTGTTGTTGCATTCATAAATTCACGATTATTTGTGGAGCTCCTCCTAAGTTCCCCCGCTGTGTCCTAGCACAGAGGATGTTGCCGTACACAAAAGATCAAATCCCTGCCTGCACAGGGTCACATTCCACAAGGAACAACGGCCATGAACGATACATTCGTAGATGTGGTCCCACAGAGCCCGCGGCAGCCAATGATTAGGTCGGTGCAAAAGTAATTGAGGTTTTGCAATCACTTTTCATTTAAATATTTCGTGAATGATCAATTCTGAGCAAGTGACGATTACAGGTCATCACTATCCCAGGAGAGAAGGAGGAATAAAGGCTTGAGAATACATGACATTGAAAACCAAAATCCTGAAGTGATGCTGTAATGTTGAGTTTCTGAGTCCACGCAACACTGTCACGGACTCACAGATGGACACCCAATCATCTGCGGTGCCCAGGGCATGGGTGCGAGGTGTCCCACGCAGAAGAGAACAGCCCAGCCCAAGCCACACGCAGCATATTTTCTAAGCTGGTATTTGTCCACATGAACAGCTCCAGAAGCTATTTTGTGGCAAAAGATACAAAAACTTCTGCAAATTCCAAAAACACCTTAAAACAAGATTTATTAGAACGGATTTTTTAAATTATCAGGAGTTTTTACACACTATTGTTTGTGCAATAAATATTTTTAAATGAGTTTAAATCGAGGGCTTAGAAAATAAACATTCTCCCTAAAATGATGACAAGAATAGCTGATGTTAAAGCCACGAAAACATCAACATATTACAAAAATATCTTAAAATAAGATGGAAGTTTTTAGTTTTCTTTTTCTTTTTATTGTTTTCATGTCTGCTGGGCTATTTTGTGTGCAATAAATATTTTTAAATAATTTTAAATCAAACACTCCAGAATAGCAGCTCTCCCTGTAATGGCAATAATGACCAACTAGCTATGAGCCAGTTGGCCAGTAAATGCAAGACAAACCTTGCATTTATGAATGAGTTTGATCTTCACAGCCATTATTATCCCAGTACTGCAGATGAGGAAGCCAACCAAGACACACAGAGAGGTTAAGTAATCCACCCCAAGTCACACAGCTGACAAAGGGCAGAGCTGGGATTTGAACCCAGGCCACTGAGCTCTGTCTTCTGCGTGTTCAACTCTGTTGCCACATGGCCTTCAACTGGAGATGAGAATGAAGAAGATGACAGGCACCAGTCCATAAAGCCTGCTCTGGGGCAGAGTCCATGCGGGGATATCTGCACCCTCATCTCTAATGGGCCCCCACTGTATAGGGCCAAGTCCTATTCTGGTCCCATTTTTCTAGTGAGGGACCGTCAAGCAACCTACCCAAATCACAGACCTAGTATATGGTGAGGCCAGGAGTCACACCCAGGTCTGTGTGATGCTCTGGTGAGGTCTGTCCATGACTGTTCATTGTGTCCTTTCAACAAAACATAGAAAAACAAACTAGCGTCTCAGTGTTAAGTAATTGTGACTCTGTGTGTCTTGGTTGAGTCATAAGAGAGGATAAATTTATGGAGAGAAAAAAAATTCCCTTAAAAAATGCAACTTAACTTTGCTCCCAGGAAGAGCCAGTTTCTTAGCTCTTCCTTGGAAGTATTGTGGTGTGCTACAAATGATCGGACATCATCACGCCCACAGAAATGCCGGCTCCAGGGAGCCAGTACAGCCCAGTCTGCACAACTCCCGGAAGAGAATTAATCCAGGAATGTTCCCTGAGTGCCTGCTAACGATGCTACCCTGTGAAAATACGCCTTGAACCCAGCAGAGCCTGGGTAAATATTTGTTGGTTTGCTCAAGTTTGCATCCAGGAAGAGCCACCTCGGAGGCTCCCTGCTGCAGAAAGCCACCATCCTGTCCTCCCCGTACCAGTCTGATGTCAGGCTCAACACGCAGCCAGTGAAACCGGGTTCTGAGGAGCCAGGCACCCCTCCTTTCTCCCTCTTTCTGCAATGTGCCAATGGCCTCTGGATTGCATTAAGCTGCATAAATAACAGGGCTGTTGTCAGATATCCCCTGGTGAGGAAAGGGCAGATGGGGAAGCCAGTGGGTCACGACCTTCATGTTTCTCAGCGGGGGTCAAAACGCCTTCCACGCTGGGCGAGGGGAGAGGAGGTCTGTGTTATGCTTGCACTGGGCCCTGACAGGCGAATATAATTCCTGCGCGGCTGCAGGGAACGCTGGGATTTGTTTTACAGCCTGGCGTGGCTCACTCTGTTCAACTAACATCTGGTGGGAAATGGAAAAGTCCCATGCTGGACCTTCCGGGCTGGGATGACTGGTGGATTTTGGCAGCAGCCTATCCTTGGAATGGGGCTTCGTTTCTTCTCTGTGCCTTGGTTTCTCCGGCAGTGAAAGAGGGGTGTGGGTGGTCCCCGAGTCCTACTGACGGGAGGGATCCGTGCACTGGAGCCCGCACAGCTCAAGGGGCTTGCCAGGCAGTAAGTGCTCGATTGTTCAGTGGATGATAACGGTCCCCGCCCCTTGATACCAAAGACAGAGGGGCTCTACTTTCTGAAGCCGCTCAGCTCAGGGGCCTGGCTTTGGGAGGGCGTGGAGCACAGGCACCCGCAAGACTGGATGTAAAATGCAACGTTCGGAGCTTATATTTCAGACTTCCCGTCGTAACCCCAATCTGCTTCTGCAGACAGAGGAGACAAACTCTGACCCTCACTTTGAAGTCGTTGCTTTCCCTGTCCTTGCTGGTCACGTCTAGCAGTTTTTGAGTGCCTCTGCAATATATTTTAGTGATTTAAGAAAAAAGGAGGGGTGAGCCACAGGAGAAGGAAGGGAGGGAAAAGGGAAAGGGAAAACAGAAAGCAGACTGACAGCGTGCCCGCGACGTGCCGGGCACATGCTTCCCTTCTTTTAATTCAATCTTTGTAAGCCCCCTGTGTGCAGGGCGACTGGGCCCTTTTTACGGGTGACTGCATTGAGGTTCAGGGAGATAGGTAACTTGTCTTGTCTCACCCTCATGTGGGATCGAGCCAGGATTCTAACCCCGGAAGTCTAGTGATGCGAGTCACTAGAATTAAAACAATAGTCATCACCCGGCATGTCAGCGGATTCCCTGTTTCTCTAGCTGCAGCCTCTCTCCAGGACATCGCTGTGGGTTTGTTCTCCTCTTGGTGACTCTGGGAGGCCTTGCCAAAGAGGAAAATGATGCTAGGGTCCCTACTCCAAGGAAAGGCTTTCTTCCACTTGGAATCATCCACTAGTAATATCATGCTATCCCAAGGAACAGGACAAAGGGGTCCTGACTTTCCTCCCTGCCCAAGACAGCAGAGCTTCTCTCCCGTTGGCGTGTCCTCACCCACAGATTAAATGTGGAGATTCTCACACAGTCATGGTAACTGCAGCTGGCATTTCCCCGGGTCTCGCCGTGGGCCACATGCTGGGCATGCTTGATCTCACTCAACCCTCCAAGCACCTCTAGGAGTTAGGTGTATTTATCGTGCCTATTTTGCAAACAAGGAAACTGAGGCTGGTGGTTCAGGCAGAGGCCTCAGAGGCAAGAAAGGCTGGGGCTTGAAGGCTGACTCAGAGTGACAGACACACGGATTCTCACGTAATGCTATCTCTCCAGGAGTTTCTGAGATCTGAATTCAAATGGGGCCCCCAAAGAGGGCTGCCCTGACTGCTGGCCCTGAAGTCCCACTGTCTGTCCCACGATCCTGCTTCATTGTCCTTGGTGTTCTCCTCCCACTCTGGGAATCCAGGGATTTTTTTCAGACTTCGTTCCTCCCCCCAGATTAGGAGACTCCCCAGGGTTCTGCCCTCAGTGCCTGGGTTGTACCTTTCCATAGTAGGTGCTCAATACAAATGAACCAGGTGGAAGGAGACGAGTGAGCAGAGGGCAGTGTCCGAGTCCACACCCGACTCCCCCAGGGAGGAGTTCTCCCTGGAGCCCCAGGACTAGAAATCCCCCATTGTGTAGGAAGGTGCCTGGGACTGCATCCGCGTGCTGTGGTCTGCAGAGCTGCAACCTTGAGGAGGCTTCAAAGCACCTCTGCCAATAGATCAGCCTTCCTCAGCCGTGACAGCCCCCAGTGCTCACCTCCTCCAAACAAACCCATGTAATGAAGACAGATGGCCCTGGTCAGCCACTGACCGTGCTGGGAGTGTCACATTCCTCACAGATGGCGCAGTGGGCGGCCAGGGGCCATAGAGCCCATCCTGGAACGTTGTTCGGGGTGTCCCCCGGGTGGGAATTTCCTCACCCAGCCCATGTTCCCCCATCACCCTGATAAGCAGAGTGAGTCTGGGGAGATGCGCTTCCTTCCTCCAGCCAACAGCACACCAGCCCCACCTTGGCCAGCAGGCAGGGGCTTTATTTGGCTCCCTTCTCGTTAGGCAGGTGTTGGAACCTGGGAGCCCTCTCAGAGACATGGACTACTTGGGGGTGGGAATTGGATTAGGGGAGTGTTTAAGAAGAGGAGTAGAACAGTGAGAAGCAACCAGTTCTTAAGTCTCTTTCCTCGGCCGCCTGCCCATCTGTGCCAACAGAGGTGGGCATTGTATTGGGGGGGTGTCTTCTAACATGCTGGGCAGGATACAACCGTTAGCACACCTCCGTCAGATACCTTCCCCCTTGGTGACTCTTTCAGGGCACGCGGCAGACAGGACATAAACTCCCAGCCTCCTAGGAGGGGTGCGGATTTTGAGAGAAGGACAATGGGAAAAGGTCTAAGGGAGTCACTGTCCGGGTGGGAGTCCAGGCTGTCTTTGCACAGAATAGTGGCAGCCTATAAACAGCTGTGGCTGGCATCTGTGGGCTGGCATTTGTGGCCAGCATTTTGTGTCTGGCATCTGTGGCCAGCATCTGTGGGCTGGCATTTGTGGCCAGCATTTTGTGACTGGCATCTTTGGCCAGCATTTCTGACTGGCATTGGTGGCCAGCATCTGTGGGCCAGTATCCATGCCCAGCATTTGTGGCTGGCATCCATGGCCAGCATCTGTGGGCTGGCATTTGTGGCCAGCATTTTGTAACTGGCATCCATGGCCAGCATCTGTGGCCAGCATCTGTGGGCCAGTATCCATGTCCAGCATTTGTGGCTGGCATCTCTGGCCAGCATCTGTGGGCTGGCATTTGTGGCCAGCATTTTGTGACTGGCATCCGTGGCCAGCATCTGTGGCCAGCATCTGTGGGCCAGTATCCATGCCCAGCATTTGTGGCTGGCACCAGTGGTCTACCTTAGTCCATCTGCCAGGTTGCCTGTTGCTCTCCCTGCTCCAGAGTTGCTGAAGCTGAGGCATAGAGCAGTGGAGGGGCCTGCCCCGGGTGACCAGGTGGTGCAGAGCCAAGGCATGTGAGCTGGGGCCCTGCCCCCCAGGCCTTGGGAGGGGTGCAGACCGCTTGTTTGAGGTGAAATCATGACAAGGCTGGAGTCCACACAGGGAGTGAAGGGCACGGGAGGCAGCCGTCCATACCCCTGCACAGCAGCCACTGTGATCACCCCAGCCCCACAGATGGGGAGACAGAGGTCCTAAAGGGTGAAGGGACATGCCCCTGGTACCCACAGAGCACGTGACTGGGAGGCCCCTGGCCCTTTGCTTCTTCGAGGGGATCTGGCTCAGTGTGGGGGCTCTGGCAAGGCCAGCATGGGCCTGTAACTTGTGAGTGTTGAGAAGACACCTCTCCAACTGTCCCATGGCAAAGAAGAGCTGCGCTGGCATGGGAAGGGCATCCTGTGTGTGACTCCAAGCATGTGCGTGTGCGTAGGCAGGGCGGGCAGGCACACGCCTGTGTGGTCCGAGGGGGCTTTGCGTGTGTGGTCCTCCACCAGCCCAGCACTGATCATCTGTCCAAATGCTGCTAACTGCCTGCCCGATGACCAGCATGTTTACTTTAGTCCTGTCTGCACGGACTGAACTCGGAGCCCTGTCTCCTTCCAGCTGGGCCTCCTCACGGGGAGAGGGAGAGACAGAAGGGGAGAGGAGGGAGAGGGAAAGACAGGAGGGAGGAGGGAGACACATGGGATTCTAAAAGAAAGAGATAAAAAAGAAGATGATGTTCACGTGAAGCTCCGCAATGGACGGGCTGTAAATGTGGTTCTGTATAAATCAAGATGACCATTTTCACACCCATCCTCTCTCCAGCACCCTCCAGCCTCCCTCTGTGTGCTCCTGCCCCACCCTACCCCACCCAGCAGCACACAAGCACTCAGACGCTCCAGGTCCATAAATCGCCCCTGTGGAGTCCTGGCGGAAACAGTGCTCCTGTTCCTACCCACTGAAATAAAAATATGCATGCTTGTCTGGTCTGGATGTGTGTCGTCTGTGTGTGTGTAAGGACCCCATTGTGTGTGTCTGTGTGCGTGCATGTGTGTGAGAGACAGGCCATACCCGTTGCAGTGGCACGTGCGAGTCTGCTGTATGTGGGTGAAGAAACGACTTGGTCGGTTTGGAGGGTTTTGGTAAGGGCTGGCGGGGGCCGCAGGGCCCTCAGTGTCCGTCTGTCACACGCAGAGTTCTTCAGCCTCTGTCCACCTCCCGGGAAACTCTTGAGGGTAAAATGAGTGAATGTCCTCCAGAGGTAAACACGCTATATAAATATAGCGGGGGGTTGAATGCATGGCCCGCCACAGCAGCTGTGCGTAATTTCAGAGCTTCAGAGGATGAGTTCTAAGTATTTCCTCTCTAAATCTTGATATTCAACTCCAATTTATATTTTCCCGTAGTTGTATTCTTGCATTGATGATTTACTCCTTTTTAACACTGATTTCCTATAAGCTATCTCAAATATTGTATGCAATGAAGAGGAATGGAAGAGAGAGAGAGAGAATGTTTTACTGAAAAGAAAGTTCTAGAAGTTCTGGTTTCAATGGATGTCAGACTAGAACTTTGTGTGAAGGAGAAATTAAGAGCGACGGTGACTATAAGAAAATGATCAGATGTTATACATGGAGAGGTTTCATTCTTCTGAATACTCTTATTTTTGTGAACCGAAAGGAATCTTGGAAATTATTTCCCTGCCTCCCATTCATTAGAGAGTCAGTGCCTCTGGGTTCCACAAAAGCAGGCTGAGAAATCGGGTTCCAGCCTCAGGACAGACCGGTCCTCTGGAGCACCCACACCAGCGCGCTCCAAATCAGGTAAATTATTACATATAAAACTAGAAGACACACAGATAACTTGATTAGGTGACTTGTTTTACTAGAGAATCTGGCACTTTTTATTGAGGTAAAATTCACATAACAGGAAATTAACCGTCTCCAAGTGTCCAATTCGGGGGCATTTAGTAAATGCAGAACGTTCGGTGCAATCACAACGCGCATCAGCCCTCTCTAGTTCCCTAACATTTCATCACCCCAAAAGGAAACCCTACGCAACTAAGCAGTGTCCCCTCTTGTCACTTCCTCCCAGCCCCGGCACCCATGGTTTGCATATTCCATTTACCTGGAAAACCCAGCACTTCTCATTTACCAAAAATGCTCCATGGAAGCTTATAAATCACCTAGCTGGTTTTCTTTTTTTTTTTTTTTTTTCCTTTTCCTTCTTATGAAGACAATGCATACCCATGTCAAAAATTCAACCACTGAAAAAAAATGTTTTTTAAATAAAGAAGACAGTTTTTAAAATTGAACCCTCCTGGTGTCTCACTGTCAGCAACTGCTGGGAATATTTGGTGGCCCCCAGGCCTCTCTCTCCTGCCCCAGACATCTCTGTATAAACACTCACCCAACACGACCGTTTCAAAAGCTACTGCAATCATACTCATCTGCTGCTTTGGAGCCTAAGTTTTTTAAACTTAGCAATATATGTCACGGACATATTTCCAATCAACATGTACCGTTCTCCTTGATGTTTTCAGGTCCATAGAGGGCTCCTTCCTGCCGTCCTACAGTTGCTCTAACCGGTCCCCTAGGGAAGGACGATTAGGTGCAAGCTTATAGCTTTCCTGCAAATGGATCCACTTTCTGGGCTGTGTTAATTGATTGGATTTAGGAGGCTTGCTCGTGGGCTGTGGGGATTGAGGAAGGATTTAAGGGTTCTATGGAAGAATTCAGAGCTTACTGACAACCACTAACGAGACCTGAGTGAAGCACAGACACACCTGCTCAGCGCCCCTTGACAGATGCACGTAAGGAGTAGATGCGAGGGAGGGCAGAGGAGAGGACTGGTGGCAGGAGCTGCCCCGGGGCACGGGACCTGCCAGCAACGGGTACAGGAAGGAGCCATGGGCTGGCCACCTATGCCCAGCAGCGAGCACATGCTGCACGTCAGCTTCATGGCAGTTCTAGGAGACATGGGATGAGGGAGGAGGCAGAAAGGCTAACGGCACCCTGGGATGTTATATGGAGATGCCAGGTGGGGTGTGTGTGTGTGTGTGTGTTTACAAGTGTATCAGCCAGCAAGAAAAGACAATTCCTTTAAACGCAGGGCTGTGTCCATTTTCCAAAATTCTCGTTAGTACCTAGTAACTCAAATCCACACTTTGCTTTAGTGACGTAAGGTGTCACACATGGAGATTTTTTTTTAAGCTAGTCATTTTTTTTTTTCAGTTATCCCAGATACGGGCTCACTCTCACTCTCCTCTCCGAATTCTTTGAGGTCTGGACAGAGTCTCGGCTCCCCTGGGGAACCTTCCTATATGCCTCTCTGTCTCTGGCCAGGGTGAGTCCCCATGCACTCTTGTGATCACTCCTGTCACTGTGCACACAGCCTGGGACCTCCCATCCTGTGGGTTAACTTTTCCTGTCATATTCCTGCCTCCCGGTTACATTGTGTGGCCCCTGGAGCAAGGATTTCACAGGATTCAGCTCCGGGGCCTGGCAGCAGAATGCACGTGGTGACCGTGTGTCAGAGAGACAGGGACGGATGGGCTGGGAATCGAACCTTGCTCGCAGGTCCCAGTCCCCCAGAATTGCTGTGTGGGTCAGATGGCCTCTCTGTCTGGGTTCACAGTGGGTGGCAGGTGGACTGCCAGCTTCCTCATGCACTCCCTGTGGTCCTGGAGTCATGTCAAACAGTCCCAGGGAGTGGCAGTTATTACCTTGCCTTTTAGACAAAGAAACTAAGGTTCAGAAATGTGAGATTATTCGCAGGGTGAGGACAAGGGTGAGGCAAGAGAGAGACCCTCACCTTGGGGGCACTGTTGAAGGGGGCACCAAAACATTCAGTCATCAGGACCAAAAAAAAAAAGTCTAAATCCGTGCAAAAATAAATCCATGAGGAACAAAACGTGAAATTTTAAATCAAGATGGAATACAGGGTCGGGGTCAGGGTAAGGCAAGCAAGGGAGCACGGGCAGGTGCCGAGATGGAGCCCATCTTTATTTTTTAAATGCTGATATTTTGTGCATCGTAGATTTTTTGTGTTCGTTTTGATTTTTTAAGATACTGCATTAAAATATTATTTATCTCGATGGCTGAGTGTTTCAGTGCTGCCTGTAATGTTGTACCCAAGATAAGAGCCTCATTCACTTTCCCTAGTCCTGGCCCTGCTGGGATCATCTTACCAGTGACTGGTGGAGCGGAGATTTGCACCCAGGGCTTTGGGCTGCCAGAGCTTTTTTTCCCATTGGTGGTGCAGAACTGCAGCTTCTAGCTGGACGCCTGACTCTCACTACAGCATCAATCTCGATTTCTGGGCACCTTGGGTTTCTGAGTTGAGTGGCTGGAGGGAGGGGATGGATGGTGCAGGGGGCAGACTGCACCCAAGGCACTGGCATGCAGTCACTTCTTAAGCTTTCTGTCTGTCCAGCCCTTTCCCCCTCTATTCCCAATGCCTGTCACAAGATTTAATTTGATATCCGAGGTCAGCAAGGAACTTAATATTTACCGGAATCACATTTCTGTCAATGCAGGGTGTTTGATGCTGGCATAACAGTGCTTCCATTCGAAACTCACGTACTCATACTCCTGGAACACAGAGTTTTGTGGAGAGGAGTCGTGTCTTTTGTGTGAAATATATACTTCAATATATATGCTTCACCAAAATATGAACAACAAAACAACATTTTCTACCTTTTTACTTAACATACAATTTTTTAAAACAAAATATTTCCAAAACCCAGATTCCCAGAATCTGGTGAGGAAAAAGTTTATAGGATGCTTGGAAGAGTCATTTATAAATTGATTTCGCTGTTGACCAGATAGTTTTGTCTATCTTTTTTTTTTTTTTTTTTTTTTACAAAATGATGACTTTCTTAAACCAAGATGCTCATGTATGTGTGCACAGGCGCGTACACACACAAATATACACACACAAACACACACACACACAAATATACACACACAAACACACACACACACAGTGCATATGCACACATACACCAAGATGGAACTCTGTGTTACTAAGGGTATGGCTTGAAGTATCAGCACAGCCCTGGCCATGAGGGGCTTATCAGCCTGCCTGCTTTAATTAAACTGATTGACCAATTCAGTTAAAACAACAACAGTGCAATTGTTTGGCAGAATTGAGCAATTCCTTGAGCCGAACTCATCTACCATTAAGATAGATGGGAAAGGGAACAGCAACAGCAAAAGGGAAGGGAGGACCTGAGACCAGTCCCCCCACTGTAAGCTCCAAGGGGATCCCTGCCCTCCTTCCAGAAGGTTCAGCTCAGATGGGATGGCCTTCCTCCTCGCCACCTTCCATCACAACAGATATGGTGCAGAGAGGTGAAATCACTCCTGAGGAAGAGAAAAGCCACCTGCCTGAGGGAGAAAGGTTTTTGCTGGGCTTTGATGTGGCTGGGGAGGTTGATTAAAACATCATTTTGGAGAAGTCTTATTTACTATTATGTATAGATCATCTACAGTAGGCTAAGGCCTCTGCTAAGTTACTACAGAAAATCCCAAGATGAATCCCTTCCAGTCCTGCAGCAATGACAGACGGAATTCTGAGAAACCGGTCCTGAGGGAGAAAGGAAACTCGGTGCGGAGCCCGTTAAGGGCTGCAGCTTCCAATACCAGCGCCTCCACTTTAAAAGGGTGCTAGAAATGGACTTTACGTGATCTTTTAAAAATTCACCGCAATGGTTTACAAAGTAAGATGTGTTTCTTGTAGAATACCTGGACCATATGCAACTACACAAGGGGAGAGGAACATGACAAAGCCACCACCAAGAGAACCACTTGCCACAGTTTGGTGTTTTGGTGTGTAAGTTACACACACACACACACACACAGGGAAGCGTGCACGCTTAGTCAGCACCCAGTAAGCATTAGCTGTTGTTATTCCTATTAGTTATTTTACCGTGTCCTTATAAGAATGGGATCACATGGTGCACGTGCTGTTTTGCAAATTACTTTCCTCATTTATTTGCCTGAACATCTCCCTTCACCCTTCAATATTTTTCGACGACGCAATCCTTCATGGCAGTAGAGCAGAAAGCCGCGTTAAAACCTTCAGCCTCCAGCCTTGCTGGGATCTGGAGGGGTGTGAGCGTCCCGCGGGTGGGCCGGCATTTCAGGGCTCCATGCGTGGGCTTTGGAGAGGCGGCAAGCCTGAGGTATTCTGGCAAACTGGACATCAATCTGTGCAATTCAGTGAATGCGGTTGTTTGTGTGAAGCCATGTCATGTTCTGCTCCCCACAAGAGCAGAGCAGTGGGGACCTGGAGCGGCTTGGATTTTTGCGGCTGAGGTTGGGCTAACAGCAAAGACTGGGGAGCTGCCTCCCTTAGGGGAGACTCCAGATGGAATTGTCAGCTGTGGCAGACCCAGGGCAGGCAGGCTGAGTTCTAGGGGAGGGAGCAGTTACAGCAGAGGGAGCACCGCTTCCTGCTCAGGCACCCCCACCTCTATAGGTAGACCGAGCAGCAGCTTACGACCAAACACAGTCCCCAGTGAGAGGCAAGAAAATCGAATTTCAGTTCACTTCTCCATCATAGCCAAGTGGTGAATACTATAACAAGAATGACACCGACCAACCCTGCCTATGAACCAAGCAGTGTTCTAAACTCTCCCGCGTGAACTCAATTTGCAACCACTCTTTGGGGCAGGGAGGCATGGCAGGGGCTCTTCTGTACAGCACAGAGACTGCCTGCAGATTCTATATCATCTGAGGTTGCACATAATTCCATTCCACCCCCAGGCATCCATCCTTGTTCATTTTATTTGAGAAAAAAAAAAGTCCAAAATATTACTCTTTTGTCCCCTCTTTTTACAAAACGATGAATGCTCAGTGCCCACGTTTCAGGCATCACAAAGAAATGACTTAAGTTCAAGGTCAAGAGACAGTTCTGTCCCCGCTGACCCAGAGATGTCCTTTGCTGATGCTCTGGGACGCCTTTTCAAGATGCTGTCTGGGGAGGGATGAAGTCAGAGTTTTGATCTCTTTAAAGTTTGATTTCTTTACCAAAGTACCACGTTTCTATACCATCTGTCCTGAAAGTGTCTTTGGCTGGGCTCACCATGTTCCCTGGCCTGTGGTCCTCTGATTGGAAATGGGTTTTCATGAAACAAACGGAAGGGGAGGGTGGGCAGACTGGAGAAGTTTGTAGCCTGTTTCTGGTTTTCTGCGACTTTCATTCTGGCCCCTCCTGGCTCTGTCATCCCCGGTCCCATCAGCACCGTCCAGACCAGACCTAGCGTAGCAGGTCCACACACCCGGGATGGCTCAGCACTGACCCTGCCTTCTCTTGCTCCCCAGGGAGGGCTCCCGGAGTAAAGCCTGAGGAACTCCACCTTTACAAGGTGATCTTCAGCGTTCAACAAACTTTGCTTCTCTGGCCACCTCCTTAATCAACTGCAGCCTTTTTCTATTTCTAGCCTGAAACAAACTCCACAAACACTGGCTCTTTCTTCATCTTCCTCCCTTTCCAATGATAATACTGGACAAAAATGGGACAATCTGTAATTTTTGCCCATTTTCTTAGGAATTTTTCCCCTCTAGTTAAAAATCAATCAATCAATCACACACACACACACACACACACACACACGCACGCACGCACGCACGCACACCATGAATTGAGTCAGGGTTCCCTCTGATCATCCCCACCGCGCTCTTCCTTTTGTCTGAAAGGGGCTGGGCAATGATAATTGTGCTTCTGGGGTGAGAGGTGTGGTGTGGGGGGATTCGCAGCAGAGGCTGCGGCAGCTGGTGGGGGGTCCTCCTTCCTGGTCCTCCGATGACTCCGACGACGACGAGGAGCTCTGAAGGGAGACCAGGAGGCGTCTCCACTGACCATGGGGCCCAGCAGCGCGGGGCCCGGGGCCAGCCCCGACCTTCCCCTCCACCAGCGGACGGACCCACAGCCTGAAGGCGGCTGGCACCAGAGGGGCCCCGGCAGGAGCCGATGGGCTGCGAGCGCGCTGGCGAGGGGCGCAGGAGAATGGAACGGGGACAGGGGAGAGGCAGAAGGAGGAGGAGAGGGAAGCCTGGAGAAGAGGAGAGCGCAGAACTGAGGAGCGGGGCAGAAAACAGAGGGAGAGTTGCAGACCGGGCTGAGCTGCAGCGGAGCGCGGGAGTGAGCGGCGGCGGGAAAGCTGGGGTTAGGGGGCCAGGACGTCGCGGGCGAGGGGCGGTGGTGAGTGCAGCCCAAGGGCGCACCGTCCCTGCAACAGCTTCGCGGGCGGGAACAGCAGGAAGGAGTGAGCCTTGGGCGGGCGGTGGGTTTCAGAGGAGGGAGGGCCGAGCAGCTGCAGGGGACAGAGGGGCAGAAAGACAGGGAGGCGGGGAGAAGGTAGGGAGCGGTTCTGGGTAACTACTTCGCTTCGGAAACCGCCCGGGTCTCAGGCCCCAAGGGCATCCCCCTCCTCCCAGATCCCCGTCTTGGGTCCCTGGACCCAAGTCCCGTGGAAGGCGACACCCGCGTCCCAGACCGCCGCGGCGGCTGCTGCCCCCACACGTCTGGTTCGGCTGGCTCTCCCCTGCGAGGGTCGGGGTTTCTGGAGCCCTGCGCACTGGGCTCCCCTTGCCCGCAGCGCCCCTGCGGCCCCTCCTCCCGCTGGCCTGGGATCCCGGAGACGCAGGACGACCTCGGTGCGCGAAGGGGCGGGGGGCGCGTGGGGTCCCTGGGGGCACACCTGCTCACTCATCCCTTCCCGTCTGAGGTCTTCGCTGATGCCAGCTTCACAGGCACGGGCATCAAGGCCCTGAGACGGGAGAAAGGGTAGGCCTCGCAGGTGCACGTGGGAGAGGCTGCACCTAAGCCCCCGCACCAGCCCTGGACCACCAGGGCGCAGGGCCCGAGGTGCGTGACAAAGGGGTGACCTCACCTGTAACAAGTGAACAAGCGTTGACACCCGCGCAGGCTCCAGTGTTCCAACGGCGGAGTCATATGAATCATCCTGATGCTTAATAAACAGATCCCAGAAGGAGCCTGGACATATTAGATCAGAACTTCCCAGGGAGCGGCCCAGGGATCTGGATTTCCAGTGCATGCCCTGCGGTGACCCTCACTCCAGAAAGCTCAGGCCCCACTGAGCTCCAGTGTTCTATCTCCAGACATGGATTACACCCGGGGCTACACAGCGAGACAGCGAACCTGTGCTGGGTCACCAGGTTGAGGGTGGTGGTGAGGTTAGTCTCAAAGCCCAGCCTAGTGGGGCTTCATGGCTCTGTTTTAGCCAAGGGGCTCTTGGATTGTCCCCGGAGGGGTCAAGGGTCTTTCCGCTGTCCTATTCAAAGTGTTTTAGGGTGAAATAATCATGATAATAGTCACAGCACCTGCTACGAATGAAGCAGGCGCTTATAGTCTAGAGAGCTACGGACTTTTGTGAATATTCTGTTTTAATCCTCACAATTGACCTTGGGAGGAAGGTACTATTTATCATCGCACTTCACTGATATGCAAACTGAGGTGCGACCAGGTTATTTTATTTTCTCCAAGTCCTGAAATGGTGCGCTGGGGCTCCCCAGCTCTACCCACAGGTACCTGCCTCCCTCCGGAAGGTGTGGACAGCACAGTGGTGGGCGGCCCAGCCCGGAGGGGGGACTTTGTGCTTCCATAGGAAGGGGTCTCAGAGCCTAGCATCTGGGTGTCCACCCAGGAAGGTGGGTGGGGCACAAGGTGGTCTCTGTTGTCCCTGCAGCTTCTGGGAACCCAGATGAAAGGCAGGAGTGTGGAGCACAGACCTGGGGTCTCTGTAGAATGTGCTGGAGGGTACCAGGAGCTAAAACTATGTGGAGCTGGGTGGGCCCAATAGAGGAGAAGGGAATAGGGGAGGGAGATTCATGAACTAAGTCCAGAGGTGGGGGATGGGAAGGGGAGGAAAGAGCTGATGGCTTTGGAACAGTGCTACTGAGAGAGGCAGGCACTGGGTCTCGGCACCACAGCGTGCCTTTGGTGGTCTCAGGTTCCATACAGGAACCCTGAAACGAAACAGGGAATGCCCTAAAGTGGCACCTCATATACTCTCCAGGTTTCTGGCAGCTCAGCAGTTGGGCTGGGGGTGCTTTCCTGTGCCCAATCCCTGGCACCCTTCCCACACCACCCCCACCCCCATAATGCAGCAGCAGAGAACCTCCATCTCACCGATGGGGGAACTGAGGCCCAAAGAGGTTGAACAGGGAGCCGATGGCCTGGAGCTTGCCTCCTTCCAAGGTTGTGAGTTGAATGGAATGGTCCGAAAGCCGGAGGTGTCCGCTATGGATCACCACCCTAACACTAAAACAGCAGCGGTATGACATTTATCAGATTCCTCCGAAATGCCAAGAACTGTGCTGGCAACTTTGCATTTTTATCTCATTAAATTGTCATGACAATCCTATGAAGTACTCTTAGTCTCCCTGTTTCACAGAGGGGGAAACTGAGGCTCCACCTGGAGGACATTTCTTGCGCTGGCTCTTTAAGAGTCTATGCCGGTGCTTCCAGCAGATGTCCAGGTTCTCCTCTTGGCATCTTACCCTGCCTCCCCCATGACCAGCTGAGTTCTAGTTGGCCAACTTTCATGAGACAGGGTAGCAGATGGGCATCTGGTACCCAGATCTCAAAGCTAGTCATGCCTGCCTCAGGGGTCTCGCCATACCCCAGAGTTTCTGCACCTGGGACCTCTGGCTCCTACTCTTTAATTTCCTCCACAGCCTCTTACCCAGATATTTTTAAATGGGGAGATTTAAAAAAATTTTTTAATGGGAAGAGTTAAAAATTTTAAAATGGGGCCATTTAAAGATGGGGAGAGGAGACAGAAGAGGATTCCGCCTTCTCCTCTTACAAGAACTGTTTCGTATCTTGCTCTCCTTTGTTAAGAGAGTTAAATAGCAGTTTGTAAATAGTACCTGGAGACCCTAGGATGCCAAATTAGTTGATGTGTGTTAATTAGCTCCTTGGGAAAAACCCAACACAAGAACATTTAAAGTCAGTGAAATCAGCATTATGTAGCTGATAGGGACACAGACTCTGAGCTCCTCCTGGCCTGCATGCCTGCATATGGCACTTCAGTCTCTGTGACCTTCGAGGTCATGGCCGCTGCCAGCAGTGGGGCTGGGAATCTGGCACGTGGAAGTCTCCTTGGGACCTCCCTGGCTTTGGGTGCAATCGGGGCTGAGGTTGGCACTGCTCAACATTGTGTAGAGCTCACCAGAGGTTCCGTGAACATTCAGAAGAAACAAATGCTGTCAAAGGTATTTCCCTTGGCCTGGGGCAGTGCCTCACCCTGTAATCCCAGCACTTTGGGAGACCAAGGTGGGTGGATCTCGAGGTCAAGAGATCGAGACCATCCTGGCCAACATGGTGAAACCCCGTCTCTATTAAAAATACAAAAATTAGTTGGGCGTGGTGGTGCACACCTGTAATCCCAGCTACTCAGGAGGCTGAGGCAGAAGAATCGCTTGAACCTGGGAGGCGGAGGTTGCAGTGAGCCGAGATCACGCCACTGCACTCCAGCCTGAAGACAGAGCAAGACTCTGTCTCAAGATAAAAAAATAAATAAATAAAAAATATTTCCCTTGAAATGCAGATGACTTTTCCCAAGTCTTTGCTTGGGAAAAGACAGAAGTGAGAATTCAGTTTTCTTGAAGATTCAGTGTAATTACTGTGAGCCTAGGGTAATGGAATGTCCTCAGAGAGCATAAAACATTTTCATCAATAACATACTGAGTGTTATGGAGGATTCCTTCTGTTCTAGTTGTTATTGTTATGGGAAAATTACCCAAAAACTTAGTGGCTAGAACTATATGATGTTGCTCATGGTTTTGTGGATTAGAAATCCAGGAAGATCTCGGCTCGGTGGTTCTCACTAGGGGTGTCTCATTTGACTGTGGTCAGATGTTGACTGGGTTGGATGTTCTAGATGACACATGTTTATAGCTGCTAGTAAATGCTGGTTGGTGTCTGGGAGCCCGGCTGGAGTATGGATTGGGGTGCCCACACATGGACCCCCAGCATGACCGCCTCAGGGCTGTCGGACTTCTTATGTGGCAGTGGCTTCCCCCAGAACGAGTGCCCCAGAGGACCAGGCAAAGCTGTGTAGTGTTTCACAAACTGGCCTGAGAAGTCACACAGTGGCATTTTCACTGCGTGCAATTGAATTCGGGGTCATAGGGCCACCAGATTCAGGGGAGGGGCACAGACCCAACCTCTCAATGGGAAGAGAACATGTGGGATAGGGGATGGGGTTTTGACCGTCTCGAATCTGTCCCCTCACATTTATGTAAAACAAGTGAAGGCTATTCATACGGCCTCAAGACTGGGACATCAATGCAATAGAGGATGTAGGTCTAGACTTTTCATGAGCTGCCATTCTTTCTGTTTGAAAGCCTTGAAAAGAAGTACCCACTGAAAATCCAGTCCAGGACAACAGAACACATTCATCTTGGGAGAAGCCTGGGTTACTTAGGGTTGGCGTCTCTTTCCAGGAAACAGAAATCAGGAAATATGCTAGACCAGGGAAGGGTATGAACAGTCAAATACCATTTTTCCTGCATCCCTTTGTCGGATCACTAGGATAATCCAGTGAGGTTGGGCACCCACCAGATTGGTAAATTGCATAGAAAATCTAACTAATAAGAGGTTCTAACTAACAAGCCTTTTGTCTGTTCCAACAGGAATCTGGAGGTAGGGAGTTCAAGGGAGTTCACAGAGGGTGCAACTGCTTAGCCACGTGATCAGGGCCCTGCACTTTTTCTCTGCTGCGTTCTGGTGTGTGTGTCCTCACAGTTACAAAAGGGCTGCTTCCCCTCCAGAAACATAACAAGGGCCAACCCCCTGACAGCCTTCCTATTTGCTGGCATTGCTTCAAGGGCTTTGCATGTGTTAATTCATTTAACCCTCCCTAACAACCTACAAGGAAGGTGCTTTTTTATAGCAAGAATACTGAGGCCCACGGCAATTAAGGCACTTGCTGGGGTCATAGGACCTGCAAGTGGCAATTCTGAGTATCAAACCAGGGAGATGGACTCCAGACACTTGGATTTAACCACCACACCAGCAGTATTTCAGGCAAAAAAATCACCTCTATCACCTCTGTCCAACAGTATTGCAGGCAAAAGAAGGGCAGAGGGAGGAGGATTCAGGGTTCTCCGAAACCGGCAGTTTATGCCTCATTGGCCAGAACTATGTCACAGAGTCACTTGTAATTTGGAGGAATCTGGTGGCGTTCGTGTGCTCAGCTGGGCTTATTGCTCCCCTCAAACAAAACTAGGGTTCTGTTAGAAAAAGAAGAGTGAAGAGTATTGTGGGGCAGTGAAGAGTGGCTGAAATGTAGCCCATTTATATTTCTGGGTCTCATTTTCCCTAGGTTCACCTTATAGTAGTTCTCGGAGCCCAGAACTCAGGGCTTCAGAAGAGATTTGGCTCATACAGAGGGGGATGGGTTGGCTCAGTGGCCAGCCGGAAATGTGGGTGACTGAGGGTCGTGGCCCAGTCTTAGCCATCAGTTAAATGTGTGAGCAGCGTCAGGTGTTCTCAACAGCTCCCATTCCTATGAGCACATGGCACCTGGACCCGTCATGAAAAGGGCCAGGCAGACAGCCCGGTCACCCTTGGCTGAAGCATGGGAATTGGCGTGCAGAGCTGTGCGCTGGCTCGGGCAGGCATCTGCAGCAGTGACAATGCTATGTGAGCCAGGCGGTCCTTCTAGCCTCCTTCCAGCTGGCCCGGAGCACCCCATGCCTGGGACATGCCACCCCTACGTGAGCAATGCTCTGTAGCCTCCTTCTGGTAATTTTTTAACGGCTCTACTTCAGAACTATGTTGAGCTCATTGTGTTTTGACATTCTAGGGAGAAAAAACCACTTAATTATCTGATCTATAAAGCAGCTCTTCCTTTCAAAAGGATTAAGGTCTTTAAAGCTGACATCCCATGCAGGCTGGCTGGGTCTGAGAAGTGGTTGGAGTCAGAAAGTCCTCTGTCATTTTCATGCGCGTCCGTGTGAAGAGCCCACCAAACAGGCTTTGTGTGAGCAACATGGCTGTTTATTTCACCTGGGCGCAGGCGGGCTGCGTCCGAAAAGAGAGTCAGGGAAGGGAGATAGGGGTTGGGCCGTTTTATAGGATTTGGGAAGGTAATGGAAAATTACAGTCAAAGGGGGTTGTTCTCTGCTGGGCAGGGGTGGATCTCACAAAGTACATTCTCAAGGGTGGGGAGAATTACAAAGAACCTTCTTAAGGGTGGGGGAGATTACAAAGTACATTGATCAGTTAGGGTGGGGCAGGAACAAATCACAATGGTGGAATGTCATCAGTTAAGGCTGTTTTTACTTCTTTTGTGGATCTTCAGTTACTTCAGGCCATCTGGATGTATGCGTGCAAGTCACGGGATGTGATGGCCTGGCCTGGGCTCAGAGGCCTGACATTCCTGCCTTCTTATATTAATAAGACAAATAAAACAAAATAGCGTTGAAGTGTTGGAGCGGCGGAAATTTTTGGGGGGTGGTATGGAGAGAGAACGGGTGATGTTTCTCAGGGCTGCTTCGAGCGGGATTAGGGGCGGCGTGGGAACCTAGAGTGGGAGAGATTAAGCTGAAGGGAGGTCTTGTGGTAAGGGGTGATATTGTGGGGATGTTAGAAGAAACATTTGTCGTATAGAATGATTGGTGATGGCCTGGATACGGTTTTGGATGAATTGAGAAGCTAAACGGAAGATACAAGGTCCGAATAAAAGGAGGAGAAAAATGGGTATTAAAGGACTAAGAATTGGGAGGACCCAGGACATCCAATTAGAGAGTGCCCAAGGGGGTTCAGCGTAATTACTTGCTTGGTTGGCAAGTTTTTGGGCTCTATCCTTGAGTTTTTTTATGTTGTCATACACCAGGCCAGATGCATTTAGGTAAAAACAACACTCCTCATTTAAGAATATGCAGAGTCCTCCTTTTTCAGCAGTAAGTCAGTCAAGGCCTTGGCGGTTTTGGAGGACAACTGCAGCTGAAGAGTCAACTTGGGCCTGGAGGACTGATAAAGTTTGTGATTTTGAGGGCCTCTAAAAGTATTAAAGCAGCGGCAGCCGCTGCACGCAGACATGAGGGCTAGGTTAAAACAGTAAGGTCAAGTTGTTTGGACAGAAAGGCTACAGGGTGTGGTCCTGGCTCTTGTGTAAGAATTACGACCACGCTAACCATGCCTAGGAAGGAAAGGAGTTATTGTTTTGTAGAAAGGTGCCGGGGTTTGAGAGATCAGTCGGACACGATTGGCAGGGAGAGCACGTGTGTTTTTATGAGAATTATGCCGAGATAGGTAACAGATGAGGAAGAAATTTGGGCTTGATTGAAGTAATGGGGGCTGTCTGTGAAGCCTTGCGGCAGTACAGCCTAGGTAATTTGCTGAGCCTAATGGGTGTCAGGGTCAGTCCAAGTGAAAGCAAAGAGAGGCTGGGATGAAGGGTGCAAAGGAATAGTAAAGAAAGCATGTTTGAGATCCAGAACAGAATAATGGGTTGTAGAGGCAGGTATTGAGGATAGGAGAGTATATGGGTTTGGCACCACGGGGTGGATAGGCAAAACAATTTGGTTGATAAGGCACAGATTCTGAACTAACCTGTAAGCCCTGTCTGGTTTTAGGACAGGTAAAATGGGGGAATGGTAAGGAGAGTTTATAGGTTTTAGAAGCCCATGCTGTAGCAGGCGAGTGATAACAGGCTTTAATCCTTTTAAAGCATGCTGTGGGATGGGATACTGGCGTTGAGTGGGGTAAGGGTGATTAGGTTTTAACGGGATGGTAATGGGCATGTGATCAGTTGCCAGGGAAGGAGTAGAGATGTCCCATACTTGTGGGTTAAGGTGGGGGGATATGAAAGAAAGACGCGAAGGAGGCTTTGGGTTAGCGAGAAGGGCAGCAATGAGTTGCAGCTGTAGTCCAGGAATAGTCAGGGAAGCAGATAATTTGGTTAAAATATCTCGGCCTAATAAGGGAACTGGGCAGGTGGGGATAACTAAAAAAGAGTGCATAAAAGAGTGTCGTCCAAGTTGGCACCAGAGTGGGGGAGTTTTAAGAGGTTTAGAAGCCTGGCTGTCAATACCCACAACAGTTATGGAGGCAAGGGAAACAGGCCCTTGAAAAGCAGGTAATGTGGAGAAGGGGTTCAGGGGTACTTGTCCCTACCCCAGGAAAGCGGCAAGTCCTGCCCCAGGAAAGCGGGACTTGCCGCTGAGGGTGAAGGAGAAAGGGTCGAGGGGTACCTGCCCCTGCCCCAGGAAAGCGGGACTTGCCGCTGAGGGTGAAGGAGAAGGGGTCGAGGGGCACCTGCCCCTGCCCCAGGAAAGCGGGACTTGCCGCTGAGGGTGAAGGAGAAGGGGTTGAGGGGCACCTGCCCCTGCCCCAGGAAAGCGGGACTTGCCGCTGAGGGTGAAGGAGAAGGGGTCGAGGGGCACCTGCCCCTGCCCCAGGAAAGCGGGACTTGCCGCTGAGGGTGAAGGAGAAGGGGTTGAGGGGTACCTGCCCCTGCCCCAGGAAAGCGGGACTTGCCGCTAAGGGTATAGTGAGGGAGGTTGGAGAAGAGAGTAAAAAGAGGCCGCTTACCGGATTTGAAATTGGTGAGATGTTTCTTGGGCTGGTCGGTCTGAGGACCTGAGGTCATAGGTGGATCTTTCCCACGGAGCAAAGAGCAGGAGGACAGGGGATTGATCTCCCAAGGGAGGTCCCCCGATCCGAGTCACGGCACCAAATTGCATACGTGTCCGTGTGAAGAGCCCACCAAACAGGCTTTGTGTGAGCAACATGGCTGTGTATTTCACCTGGGCGCAGGCGGGCTGCGTCCGAAAAGAGAGTCAGGGAAGGGAGATAGGGGTGGGGCCGTTTTATAGGATTTGGGAAGGTAATGGAAAATTACAGTCAAAGGGGGTTGTTCTCTGCTGGGCAGGGGTGGATCTCACAAAGTACATTCTCAAGGGTGGGGAGAATTACAAAGAACCTTCTTAAGGGTGGGGGAGATTACAAAGTACATTGATCAGCTAGGGTGGGGCAGGAACAAATCACAATGGTGGAATGTCATCAGTTAAGGCTGTTTTTACTTCTTTTGTGGATCTTCAGTTACTTCAGGCCATCTGGATGTATGCGTGCAAGTCACAGGGGATGCGATGGCCTGGCCTGGGCTCAGAGGCCTGACAGTCGTCTCAAGAGAGCCACTTAACCTTGGGGAGTCTTCATTTCAGCATCTGTAAAATGGGTATAGGACGCCTTCTTAAATTTAGTGCCAACCCAAGGGGGCTGGTGGCACTTGTGTGCTCCTTTCCCAGCAGGCATGATTGTCTCCTGTCCTGGAGACCATTTGATCTGGGGACATGAGCTTGAAGTTAATTTCTGCAACTGGCAATTTAGGGAGAGCCTGAATGTGCAAATAGAGCAATGGAACTCTCAGATGGAGCTCTGGCCCCTCATGTTCTGGTCAAGTGGCCCTGGTCATTTGACTTCTCAGTCTCTGTTTGGAGCCTTCAGTGGCTGTTCTGGGCTTCTCTATGGGGAGACATGGCCTTACTGGGGAGAGCAGCTGGGGATCTGGTCTCCAGGCTGGGGACGTAGAGGCAACACCCTGTCTCCACTTACATATTTACTTATTTGAATAGCTGCTATCTGAGCATGAAATGAAACAGCAATAAGATCTTACAAAAAAGTGAAATGAAAAGCAATCACTGCACCCCAACCCCTGTTCTGAATGAGCCAGTTTCTGGAGCTTGGAATGCCATGCGCCTGCAGCTGGCAACCCTCTGCTTGGTTCACCAGCTATGAAATCTGTTTCACACCGAAGCAGGTGCACGTGGCTGGTGGAATGTGCATTCAGCTCTCTTTTGCATCTGAACAGAATTCAACTGCCTCTGAATGTTGCTCTGAGCAGATCAGCAGTGATGATTGTTTTTCAAATTCACTCTCCTCACCTCCCCACCCATGCACACAGATACTCACCAAAGTCTCCTGTTGCTGTGGTTTGGCTCTGTGTCCCCACCCAAATCTCATCTCAAATGGTAATCCCCACATGTCAAGGGAGGGACCTGGTGAGAGGCAATTGGATCATGGGTGCTGTTTCCCCCATGCCGTTCTTGTTACAGTGAGGGAGTTCTCATGAGATCTGATGTTTTAAAAAGTGGCAGTTTTGTCCAGGTGCAGTGGCTGACGCCTGTAATCCCAGCACTTTGGGAGGCCGAGGTGGGCAGATCACCTGAGGTCCAGAGTTCGAGACCAGCCTGACTAACATGGAGAAACCCCATCTCTACTAAAAATACAAAATTAGCCAGGCATGCTGGTGCATGCGAGTAATCCCAGCTACTCAGGAGACTGAGGCAGGAAAACTGCTTGAACCCAGGAGGTGAAGGTTGCGGTGAGCCGAAATCACATCATTGAACTCCAGCCTGGGCAACAAGAAACTGTTGCCTGTCTCAAAAAACAAACTCTGTCTCAAAAAACAAACAAACAAAAGTGGCAGTTTTTCCTGCACTTTCTCTCTCTCCTGCCACCATGTAAGATGTGCCTTGCTTCCCCTTTGCCCTTCATGATTGTAAGTTTCCTGAGACCTCCCAGCCATGCAGAACTGTGAATCAAGTAAACCTCTTTTCTTTATAAATTACCCAGTCTCAGGTATTTTTTTAGAGCAATGTGAAAATGGACTAATACACCTTCTCCCTGATGCCAGTGACCATCAGGGGAGTAAGCCACTTTACATCAGTGCTGTTGAACATTTGATGCCAGTTCTTCATCAGCCAGCTGTCTCCTTTATTCTCTTTCAGTGGCCAGTACCAAGCTACTGTTTGAACTAGTGCATAGAAATATGCACATATTAGGGAATTAGGCCAAGTTAGAGGATGATGGAAACATGTTTTCTCTAATGAATAAATAAATAAGGATGATATCCAGATCCGTCCACAATGAGCTCCGTGTCAAATCCTTTCTGACTCAACGATCACCAAGGTCACTCCTGGTTTTTAAGTTCTGCAATTCTATATTTTGCCAAATTAATTGCAGCACATTTAATCATTATTAAGAAAGTATACTTTCCGAAGGGGAAAAAAGCATGTTTAAGTAATTAATATACATGGCGAATATGTTGGAAGATTATATGAGAAAAATACTTTCAGTTCTTTGAAAAGCCTGAATATGATTATTTTAATAGGAAAATAATTAACAAAGGATAAGGATGTTATGAAAATCCTGTACATCAACTAACATTGTTATGCATAGTGCATATATTATACTGTATCTCATATGCATTATAATGCATATAATATGCAATAATTATTATAACACATTGACTAATTATGTCACAATATTAATTATAACTTACATTGATTGGTTCCCTATTAAATGCTACGCACTTTACTTCTGTCTCCATATATAAGACTTCTCTAGCCCTATGTATTGGATGCTAATATTATCATCTCCATTTTATAGGTGGCGACACGGAGGCCCAGAGTGAGGAAGTCATGTATTCAAGGTGGCAGAGCTGGGATTTGTATATCATCTCTGTACCTGAGCCCCTAACCTGCAAGTCATAATAGGCAACGGATCAATGTAAGTTATAATTAATATTGTCGCATATATCTATTATTAAGTTACAATAATTATTACATATTCATTATAATGTATATGAGATGCATGATAATACGTGCACTATGCATAACAATGTTTGTCGATGTACAGGTACATCTGTAGGATGCTGTCATTAGACAGTCATTTAAAACTGTATTCCTGGCTGGTCCAGTGGCAGTAGATTTCAGAATTTATTAACATTAGTGTCACTAAAGTTGGTATACAATCCTTCACTGCTAAATTTGACTGGCTAAAAAATACTTCAAAAAAATAGAACTGTATTCCTGTTTCATAGATTTTCATGTAGACATTTCTCATATATACTCAGCTATACTTGGTCCTAATGTTAATGCAAACAAACATCAGATAATTCAATTCAGGAAAAACCTAGCAAGGATCCCCAGACGCCAGGCAAGTTTCCTCATCCACTCAAGGCAGTCTGAAATGGACCAAGTAATGTTCCCACCCTCTGGGTTCTCAGCATCTTGTTCTGCAGAGGGCCCACCTGAGGATATGAATCTAAGGTGCACACGTGCTTCATTCATTCATTCGTTCATTTATGCCAGAAACTGGTATTGCCTGCATTGTCCATTGGCAGCATTGCACCTGCCACTGCTTATACAGAGAGAGATCAAGTCTCTGCCTCCTCCCTCTGGGAGGATCCACACAGCCAACTAAAGAGACAGGACTGTGGCCAAACAACCCCAGAACGGGCACAGGCATAGAACATACACAGAGAGGGGACATGGCCTTTTCCAGGGGAAAAAGATGCCAGATTACGTCTTTGAAAGAGAGGAGCATGGGAGGTGCTGTGCGGCGGGAACAGAATTGTGGGCTGGAAGGGAATGCTCAACCACCTGGAGCTCTGGGTTCCAGACTTTGGGATTTTACAAATCATGACAAGTTCCCTTCAAATTGAAAAAGAAATAACTTGGGGGAGCTGACTAGAGTTGTCAGACTTTTGCTTTTGTTTTTGCCAACTGTGGACCTTAAATTTACCCACTGCTGTTGCTGTAGTTTCATAAAATGGCAGGCTAGCGCTTCCAAATTAGAATGTGCAGGTCTCATGGTGCCTCCCTACGCACCTGCCCTCTGTAAGGCTGGGCTTCTCTGTGGGAGAGATGTGGCCTTGCTTGGGAGATCAGCTGGGGACCTGGTCAGAGGTAAGAACAGAGGGCAGGGGGTAAGGGACCACCGCAGCCTCACTGTGACAGTTGGCCTGCCCAGCTCAAATGGCCAGCACCTGCTTTTCTTTGCATGGGGCTGCCTCTGGATTTTGCCACCTGCACAGCAAGCTTGAGTTCCTGGGAGTTCACGCATGCACACATGCATGCACATGCACACGTAGGCACCAGCAATCTTTGAGCAACGACCACCCAGAGTTGGTGTATTGCAGCTGTGTCTCCTGGGGAACTCTGAGCATCTGTCTACACTGGCTCCCAGGGTTTCAAGCAGGGTTGAGCTCAGTGCCCACTTGGTAAGTAGGCCAATGACTGCTCACTATCAATTGCCCTCTGTCCTCATTTCTCTTCCTCACCCATTCACTGACTTTCCTGGGATCGTCAGCTAAACAAACTCGGTTCCTCTGCATCTCTTGGGAGAGGACCGAAATTAAAACAGTCCCCAAAAAATCTGGCCACCTATCTCAGGCACAAAGGCTTCCCTCAGACCAGCCTTCCATGTAAGATGCTCCTAAGAAGTAAGCAAAAATGAAGTACCTACAGCCTCCTGGCGACTTTCACAGTTACAACCATCCCATGTGAAACTCAGGGAATGTCGTGGAAATAACCTTCCCTGGAATTTGCCCAGCTCCAGGTCCTGGAGTCTTCGGGAGGGTTTTGTTCTTAGCAAAAGGAGACCTGCCCAGCTGGCCAGGATGCTTGGCTGTGAGGAATAAATGCAGGGATTTTGTGAGAAGTCACTTTTAGCTGACATTGGAAAGGGGGTTCTGGTAGGGGCCAACTGTTTGTCTCAGGTGGGGGCTCTCCATGCTGGGGAGTGTGGAGACCCTGCTCAGCCAGGCTGGGCATTGTAAGGAACTCATCTCACCAGACATCTACAAGCAAGTCTCCATGCTTGGGCACTGTGGAAGGACCTATGGGCAATGGACACTCTCATCCTGATGATGACAGAGGCAAGATTCCTCCTCTTGGTCTCACAGTCCTGATAGGCTGCAGTGACACAGAGCCAGCAGTCCAGCTTAGGGCTGTGCTGGGTAGGGTCTGTGTGCATCATTAACACTGGGAAATGGAATTTACTGCACTGGATAGCTCAACAACCAACCACAAAGATGGAAAACCAGGCTCAGAACAAAACACAATGAAGCAGAGATGTGTCAGAGTCTAAGAGAAAAGAGCTATCTGATGGTCTCTGCAGGTCCCCACTGCGGGTGTTTGTTGTATTTAGTTTAATAAGTATGTATATAGTGCTTTTTATTACTTATACATGTGTGTGTTTAATTCTCATAACAACCACATAAGGTTAGTAATATTTTTATCTTCATATTATAGAGAAGGAAACTGAGATGCAGGAGAGTTTACAATACTTGCCTAAGGTTACCAGCAACTGGTGTAAGAGGTAGCAGACTCAGGATTTAAACTCAAGCTGTTTGTCTCTGGAACACCATTTCTTTTTCCATATTAAAATAACATAAGAAATGAGGGATCTGGATTTAGCTCCATGAAGGCCTCGTGAAGTCTTTCTGTTCCACTTTGCAAGCTTCTTTCTTTAAGATCTCATGGTCCAAGAAGGCTGCTGGAGCTCCATCCATTGCATCCACATTCCAGGCAGAAAAAAAGTGGTAATGGGAGGAGAAAGATAAAAGTCAGGCTTATCAGATGAGTCAACTCTTTGAGATATTTTCTTGGAAGACCTACACAATAAATAGTTTCTGCTTATATCTCAACAACAATAACACATAAGATAAGGAAAGTATGTAATAATAATAAATAGAAACCCTTACACCTACCTTTTTCCTCTTTCTGGAGCCAGGTAGTAAGAACCACATGAAATTATAATAAAATTTGCCATAGTCTTGTTCATACTTACATTCCTATATTTCAAAATGCTTTGCGTAACTGGCCACCATAATCGCTCTAATTACGGAGGCAAGGAGCACAATTCCTGGGATGCTGGTGGATGTTAAATAATTAGAGTGAGCTGGTGGAAACTTTCTAGTTTCTGTATTGAGGTTAAATCGGCATTTGCAGTTCTCTGGGGCAAGGCTTGCTTTCAAGTTCTCATCGGTGTAATTAAGCCAGTGACTTTACAAAGCAAAACACCCCCGTTTACATTTACAACCAGGATACCCAGCAATCACCTCCTCCAGCCCTGGGAAGGTGTGAGAGCCACATACACAGCCCCTTGCTTTGCAACTGGGTCAAACAGACATGCCCTCGTCAGCTGGGAGAGAGGATTCTAAATGAGTACACAGAAAGAGAAAAACTTTCAGCTCCACCCAAGCTAGATCTTCACAGAGAGCTTTAATTCTGTTCTCGTTTTGTTTAAAAAGACTGTGAGTTTGCAGAACACAGCATACAACCAAACGTAACTTTAAGCACCAAATCATTTCAAGTGGATGCCTGGCATTTGTTCATTGGGACCACTTCACCCAGTGTCTCTGGGACCTTCAGGGACTTGGGGTAAGCAGGATGCTGGGGCTGTTTGGCACCAAGTCCAGGGTAGGCTACAGCCTAGCTGACTCCCCGCTGACCCTGGGGGAATGAGACCCTTGCTAGCCATCCGTGCACAACATTCAGCAGTTAAATCTGAATCTCGATACTGCCTCTAGCTAGCTGTGTCCTCTTGGGGCAAGGTGGTTTAACCTTTCCAGGCCTCAGTTTCTTCATCTGTTCAGTGGAAATGATCGTGGGCTCTTGTGACCTGCTGTAAGCCAGAGCTGTTACCAGCCATTGTATTTCGATGAGCTACGAAGCTGTGTAAAAACAATGCATAAAACAGAATTGCCTGGGAGCAAAGAGCAGTCCCTCTCCCCACAAACACTTCCTTCATCCTTGCATTTTCCAGTTCCCCATTTTGAGCTGTCTCCTCTCCCCCAGGATGTGCCTTCTAGATGGGAGTATGGAGAGTTGACTGAGATGGATACCGCCCCCACCCATGCTGGACAGCCTTACATATTTCCAGTTGGGTCCAGCTTAAGGAGGGGACTGTGACATCACTAAGGGTGCACACACCATGCTGTGTAGGAAGGCTCAAATGCCTGGGTGAAAAGTGCTTAAAGCAAAAGAAGTTGGAGTGTTGTCGAATAGAGTAATTTTAGAGAGAGTATTAAAGAGTCTTGTCAATGCCTATGTATTGACTTCCCCTGGGGTTTTAAAATTTGATTTCCTTGGCTGAGAATTCAGTTCTTGGCTTAACCACAACCTCATGAAATATTAACAGTTTCTCCACTGGAAATGGCGTGTGTGTGTGTGTGTGTGTGTGTCAGAGAAAAAGAGACAGAGCGTATGCATACGCATGCTTACATAGTTTTGTTCTAGAAAATTCTAGGAAAATTAACAATTTTCCCGATGAAAATTGTGTGTATGTGTGTGCATGTGCGTGTGTGAGTGCACATGCATGTGCACCCATTAAATTATTCTGGAAAATTCTAAGAACACCACGTTAATGAGGCCTAAGAATGCTGTTGCTGTGTGCCAGTACCCCAGCTACGTCCCCTGAATCTTCGTGACACCCTCTCAGGTTGGGATTTTCTTTATTGTTGTTACAGAGATGAAGAAAGTGAGGTCAGACAGGAACTCTGAGGCTCACCAGGGTCACGTGGCTGGATCCTGTCCCAGGGTCTGTGCTGCCTTCTAGTACCAGGGCAGTAACAGGGTAGAGTTTTACCCGGAAAGATAGTGCCCCAGTTCTGGAACTTCCCCCAGGAGGCTCATCCCTGTCTGGGACGGGCCTACACCTTCCTCTATAGTAAACAAGGGCAAGCCCACACTCCCACATTTCCCTGACTGGCCCCCAAAGCCCACCGCAGCTGCCTTTCAGCACCAGGGAGCTCAGGGCACTTGCATTCTTAGGCAATGTGCCACAGTCCTTCATCTCTGACCCTCTTCTGACACCAGAAAACTCAGGGCAGTCCCTTGCTCTCTTGCCTCTGTCAGCAGTTATGGGGCAAGTCTGGCTTTGGTGTACGAGCATCACCACTGTCTCAGGCACAGAGCACAGCAGGGGCACTCCCTGGGTACTCTTCTCCTGGCACGTTTGTGTGCCTGGACATGCTCTGACAATCTCTTCCCCCATCAGATCCTTAGGCTGGAAAGAACTTCCAATCCTGCAGAGTTCATTCACTCCAGGGCAGGAGAAGTCACTCAAGACTTCTCCTGCCCTGACCCCAAGATGGAATCAGGGTCATTTTATGGGTATTTGCTGTAGGAATGCACTTCTTTTCCTTCCTAAATCACTCAGAGCCCGAGTGTGAATCCCAGTTCTGCCACTTACTACTGAGTGACCTTGGGCAAGTAACTCAACCTTTCTGGGCCTCATTTGCCTCATGTAAAATGAGACGAATAATATCTGCCACATAGGATTATTGTGGAGGCTGTGTTGCTTACTGCACACAGGCTTAGAGCAGCACCTGTTACACAGGAAGCACCTACTACTGGGTGATGCTTTCCTTCTTTGTTTCCAGCACATAGTCAGTGTTTAAGAAACCTGAATGCCTCTTTGCGAATAAAAGTGATGCAGTAACTTCATAGTTTTCATGGCTCTTCAA
The DNA here is from genome assembly GCF_000001405.40 of Homo sapiens. Lineage (NCBI taxonomy): Eukaryota > Metazoa > Chordata > Mammalia > Primates > Hominidae > Homo > Homo sapiens. The sequence continues at coordinate 86,269,956 of NC_000016.10, read as the reverse complement.
AGTCAAGTTTCAGCATATCTGAAGTAAACCCTAGATAGAGACCTCCTTTGAAAAAGCAAATTAACCCAAAGGACTATAAATCATGCTGCTATGAAGACACATGCACACGTATGTTTATTGCGGCACTATTCACAATAGCAAAGACTTGGAACCAACCCAAGTGTCCAACAATGATAGACTGGATTAAGAAAATGTGGCACATATACACCATGGAATACTATGCAGCCACAAAAAATGAGTTCATGTCCTTTGTAGGGACATGGATGAAATTGGAAATCATCATTCTCAGTAAACTATCGCAAAGACAAAAAACCAAACACTGCATGTTCTCACTTATAGGTGGGAATTGAACAATGAGAACACATGGACACAGGAAGGGGAACATCACACTCTGGGGACTGTTGTGGAGTGGGGGGAGAGGGGAGGGATAGCATTAGGAGATATACCTAATGCTAAATGATGAGTTAATGGGTGCAGCACACCAGCATGGCACATGTATACATATGTAACTAACCTGCACATTGTGCACATGTACCCTAAAACTTAAAGTATAATAATAATAAAAGAAAAGAAAAGAAAAAGCAAATTATACAGAAACTTGCTGCTATGGTTTGAATATGTCCTCAGAATGTCTATGTTAGAAGTTTGGCCCCTCACGTAGCAATGTTGGGAGGTGGGGCCTTTAAGAGGTGATTAGGTCATTAAGAGGGATTAATGCCCCTCCTTCAAAACAGGATTAATTCTCAAAGGAGTGAGTTATGGCTTTTGCAGGACTAGATTGGTCACCACAAAGGCAGGTTGTTATAAAGTGAGGACATCTCTCATCTTTGCCCCTTCTATAAGCACCCACTTCCTCTTCTGCTTCTCCTCCAGGTTATGATGCAGTGGAGGCCCTTACCAGAAGCCAACCAGATGCCAGCACCATGCTCTTGGATTTCCCAGTCTCCAGAATGGTGAGCTAAATAAACCCCTATTCTTCATAAATTACTCAATCTGGGGTATACAGCTATTGCAACAGAAAATGGACTAAGACACCTGTCTTCTCACATCCCTTCATTATGCAGTGCTCTACTATAGGAAAGATGGTACCAAATCATATTTTTTATTCAGTCAATTTAAATACCAGTCATTAAAGGAAATATGGGGATTTTCTGGCATTAAAATGCTATGGCTCTAAATAAACCAGAGAATGTGAATATTACAGAGTTACATTGTGTTAAGGTTTCAGGATAGACCTTGAAAGGCTGTTTGCTGGGGTCACCAGACTCAGCTGAACTAGGTTTCAAACAGTTCCCCAGTTTCCACCAAGACACTTTCCCTTGATACCACAGCTGGAGAAAATTCCATGCCCTTTGGTTCCCCAGACACATTCCTAGAACCAAGCAGGCGCTGCTGATGTTTGGAAATGAACTGGATCTTTGAATATATGCACGGAAGAGGAACAGGAGCACTGTAGCAGCAGCTATAAAAATGCTATGAAATGACCACACCAGGAAATGGAATTCATGGGAACAGTTGTAAACATACAAGCAACACTGAAAGAAACAGAGAGGGACCCTAATTATTGAAACACACACCACAAAAATTCAATGAAGGAATATTAGGACCTAAGAGCTGGACACCCATCCATTAACATTGTTTCCCCAAGAGTGAGATGCATGTCAGCGGGGCACAGGATGATTTTAGGTGGTAACAGACACAGGAGTTATTGAATCAAGTAGAAAGTCTTTTTTTCTAATTCTTTTTCTTTTTCTTTTTCTTTTTCTTTTTTATTATACTTTAAGTTTTAGGGTACATGTGCACATTGTGCAGGTTAGTTACATATGTATATATGTGCCATGCTGGTGCGCTGCACCCAGTAACTCGTCATCTAGCATTAGGTATACCTCCCAATGCTATCCCTCCCCCCTCCCCCAACCCCACCACAGTCCCCAGAGTGTGATATTCCCCTTTCTGTGTCCATGTGATCTCATTGTTCAATTCCCACCTATGAGTGAGAATATGCGGTGTTTGGTTTTTTGTTCTTGTGATAGTTTACTGAGAATGATGGTTTCCAATTTCATCCATGTCCCTACAAAGGACATGAACTCATCCTTTTTCATGGCTGCATAGTATTCCATGGTGTATGTGTGCCACATTTTCTTAATCGAGTCTATCATTGTTGGCCATTTGGGTTGGTTCCAAGTCTTTGCTGTTGTGAATAATGCCGCAATAAACATAAGTGTGCATGTGTCTTTATAGCAGCATGATTTATAGTCCTTTGGGTATATACACAGTAATGGGATGGCTGGGTCAAATGGTATTTCTAGTTCTAGATCCCTGAGGAATCGCCACACTGACTTCCACAATGGTTGAACTAGTTTACAGTCCCACCAACAGTGTAAAAGTGTTCCTGTTTCCCCACATCCTCTCCAGCACCTGTTGTTTCCTGACTTTTTAATGATTGCCATTCTAACTGGTGTGAGATGGTATCTCATTGTGGTTTTGATTTGCATTTCTCTGATGGCCAGTGATGATGAGCATTTTTTCATTTGTTTTTTGGCTGCATAAATGTCTTCTTTTGAGAAGTGTCTGTTCATGTCCTTTGCCCACTTTTTGATGGGGTTGTTTGTTTTTTTCTTGTAAATTTGTTGGAGTTCATTGTAGATTCTGAATATTAGCCCTTTGTCAGATGAGTAAGTTGCAAAAATTTTCTCCCATTTTGTAGGTTGCCTGTTCACTCTGATGGTAGTTTCTTTTGTTGTGCAGAAGCTCTTTCGTTTAATTAGATCCCATTTGTCAATTTTGTCTTTTGTTGCCATTGCTTTTGGTGTTTTAGACATGAAGTCCTTGCCCATGCCTATGTCCTGAATGGTAATGCCTAGGTTTTCTTCTAGGGTTTTTATGGTTTTAGGTCTAAGGTTTAAGTCTTTAATCCATCTTGAATTGATTTTTGTATAAAGTGTAAGGAAGGGATCCAGTTTCAGCTTTCTACATATGGCTAGCCAGTTTTCCCAGCACCATTTATTAAACAGGGAATCCTTTCCCCATTGTTTGTTTTTCTCAGTTTGTCAAAGATCAGATAGTTGTAGATATGTGGCGTTATTTCTGAGGGCTCTGTTCTGTTCCATTGATCTATATCTCTGTTTTGGTACCAGTACCATGCTGTTTTGGTTACTGCAGCCTTGTAGTATAGTTTGAAGTCAGGTAGTGTGATGCCTCCAGCTTTGTTCTTTTGGCTTAGGATTGACTTGGCGATGCAGGCTCTTTTTTGGTTCCATATGAACTTTAAAGTAGTTTTTTCCAATTCTGTGAAGAAAGGCATTGGTAGCTTGATGGGGATGGCATTGAATCTGTAAATTACCTTGGGCAGTATGGCCATTTTCACGATATTGATTCTTCCTACCCATGAGCATGGAATGTTCTTCCATTTGTTTGTATCCTCTTTTATTTCCTTGAGCAGTGGTTTGTAGTACTCCTTGAAGAGGTCCTTCACATCCCTTGTAAGTTGGATTCCTAGGTATTTTATTCTCTTTGAAGCAATTGTGAATGGGAGTTCACTCATGATTTGGCTCTCTGTTTGTCTGTTGTTGGTGTATAAGAGTGCTTGTGATTTTTGTACATTGATTTTGTATCCTGAGACTTTGCTGAAGTTGCTTATCAGCTTAAGGAGATTTTGGGCTGAGACGATGGGGTTTTCTAGATATACAATCATGTCATCTGCAAACAGGGACAATTTGACTTCCTCTTTTCCTAATTGAATACCATTTATTTCCTTCTCCTGCCTAATTGCCTTGGCCAGAAATTCCAACACTATGTTGAATAGGAGTGGTGAGAGAGGGCATCCCTGTCTTGTGCCAGTTTTCAAAGGGAATGCTTCCAGGTTTTGCCCATTCAGTATGATATTGGCTGTGGGTTTGTCATAGATAGCTCTTATTATTTTGAAATATGTCCCATCAATACCTGATTTATTGAGAGTTTTTAGCATGAAGGGTTGTTGAATTTTGTCAAAGGCCTTTTCTGCATCTATTGAGATAATCATGTGGTTTTTGTCTTTGGCTCTGTTTATATGCTGGATTACATTTATTGATTTGCGTATATTGAACCAGCCTTGCATCCCAGGGATGAAGCCCACTTGATCATGGTGGATAAGCTTTTTGATGTGCTGCTGGATTCGGTTTGCCAGTATTTTATTGAGGATTTTTGCATCAGTGTTCATCAAGGATATTGGTCTAAAATTCTCTTTTTTGGTTGTGTCTCTGCCCGGCTTTGGTATCAGAATGATGCTGGCCTCATAACATGAGTTAGGGAGGATTCCCTCTTTTTCTATTGATTGGAATAGTTTCAGAAGGAATGGTACCAGTTCCTCCTTGTACCTCTGGTAGAATTCGGCTGTGAATCCATCTGGTCCTGGACTCTTTTTGGTTGGTAAGCTATTGATTATTGCCACAATTTCAGCTCCTGTTATTGGTCTATTCAGAGATTCAACTTCTTCCTGCTTTAGTCTTGGGAGAGTGTATGTGTCCAGGAATTTATCTATTTCTTCTAGATTTTCTAGTTTATTTGCATAGAGGTGTTTGTAGTATTCTCTGATGGTAGTTTGTATTTCTGTGGGATCGGTGGTGATATCCCCTTTATCATTTTTTATTGCGTCTATTTGATTCTTCTCTGTTTTTTTCTTTATTAGTCTTGCTAGCGGTCTACCAATTTTGTTGATCCTTTCAAAAAACCAGCTCCTGGATTCATTAATTTTTTGAAGGGTTTTTTTGTGTCTCTATTTCCTTCAGTTCTGCTCTGATTTTAGTTATTTCTTGCCTTCTGCTAGCTTTTGAATGTGTTTGCTCTTGCTTTTCTAGTTCTTTTAATTGTGATGTTAGGGTGTCAATTTTGGATCTTTCCTGCTTTCTCTTGTGGGCATTTAGTGCTATAAATTTCCCTCTGCACACTGCTTTGAATGTGTCCCAGAGATTCTGGTATGTTGTGTCTTTGTTCTCGTTGGTTTCAAAGAACATCTTTATTTCTGCCTTCATTTTGTTATGTACCTAGTAGTAATTCAGGAGCAGGTTGTTGAGTTTCCATGTAGTTGAGTGGTTTTGAGTGAGATTCTTAATCCTGAGTTCTAGTTTGATTGCACTGTGGTCTGAGAGATAGTTTGTTATAATCTCTGTTCTTTTACATTTGCTGAGGAGAGCTTTACTTCCAAGTATGTGGTCAATTTTGGAATAGGTGTGGTGTGGTGCTGAAAAAAATGTATATTCTGTTGATTTGGGGTGGAGAGTTCTGTAGATGTCTATTAGGTCCGCTTGGTGCAGAGCTGGGTTCAATTCCTGGGTATCCTTGTTGACTGTCTGTCTCGTTGATCTGTCTAATGTTGACAGTGGGGTGTTAAAGTCTCCCATTATTAATGTGTGGGAGTCTAAGTCTCTTTGTAGGTCACTCAGGACTTGCTTTAGGAATCTGGGTGCTCCTGTGTTGGGTGCATATATATTTAGGATAGTTAGCTCTTCTTGTTGAATTGATCCCTTTACCATTATGTAATGGCCTTCTTTGTCTCTTTTGATCTTTGTTGGTTTAAAGTCTGTTTTATCAGAGACTAGGATTGCAACCCCTGCCTTTTTTTGTTTTCCATTTGCTTGGTAGATCTTCCTCCATCCTTTTATTTTGAGCCTATGTGTGTCTCTGCACGTGAGATGGGTTTCTTGAATACAGCACACTGATGGGTCTTGACTCTTTATCCAATTTGCCAGTCTGTATCTTTTAATTGGAGAATTTAGTCCATTTACATTTAAAGTTAATATTGTTATGTGTGAATTTGATCCTGTCATTATGATGTTAGCTGGTGATTTTGCTCGTTAGTTGATGCAGTTTCTTCCTAGTCTCGATGGTCTTTACATTTTGGCATGATTTTGCAGCGGCTGGTACTGGTTGTTCCTTTCCATGTTTAGCGCTTTCTTCAGGAGCTCTTTTAGGGCAGGCCTGGTGGTGACAAAATCTCTCAGCATTTGCTTGTCTGTAAAGTATTTTATTTCTCCTTCACTTATGAAGCTTAGTTTGGCTGGATACGAAATTCTGGGTTGAAAACACTTTTCTTCAAGAATGTTGAATATTGGCCCCCACTCTCTTCTGGCTTGTAGGGTTTCTGCCGAGAGATCCGCTGTTAGTCTGATGGGCTTCCCTTTGAGGGTAACCCGACCTTTCTCTCTGGCTGTCCTTAACATTTTTTCCTCATTTCAACTTTGCTGAATCTGACAATTACGTGTCTTGGAGTTGCTCTTCTCAAGGAGTATTGTTGTGGCATTCTCTGTATTTCCTGAATCTGAACGTTGGCCTGCCTTGCTAGATTGGGGAAGTTCTCCTGGATAATATCCTGCAGAGTGTTTTCCAACTTGGTTCCATTCTCCCCATCACTTTCAGGTACACCAATCAGACGTAGATTTGGTCTTTTCACATAGTCCCATATTTCTTGGAGGCTTTGCTCATTTCTTTTAATTCTTTTTTCTCTAGACTTCCCTTCTCGCTTCATTTCATTCATTTCGTCTTCCATCGCTGATACCCTTTCTTCCAGTTGATCGCATCGGCTCCTGAGGCTTCTGCATTCTTCACGTAGTTCTGGAGCCTTGGTTTTCAGCTCCATCAGCTCCTTTAAGCACTTCTCTGTATTGGTTATTCTAGTTATACATTCTTCTAAATTTTTTTCAAAGTTTTCAACTTCTTTGCCTTTGGTTTGAATGTCCTCCCGTAGCTCAGAGTAATTTGATCGTCTGAAGCCTTCTTCTCTCAGCTTGTCAAAGTCATTCCCCATCCAGCTTTGTTCCATTGCTGGTGAGGAACTGCCTCCCTTTGGAGGAGGAGAGGCACTCTGCTTTTTAGAGTTTCCAGTTTTTTGTTCTGTTTTTTCCCCATCTTTGTGGTTTTATCTACTTTTGGTCTTTGATGATGGTGATGTACAGATGGGTTTTTGGTGTGGATGTCCTTTCTGTTTGTTAGTTTTCCTTCTAACAGAGAGGACCCTGAGCTGCAGGTCTGTTGGAGTACCCTGCCGTGTGAGGTGTCAGTGTGCCCCTGCTGGGGGGTGCCTCCCAGTTAGGCTGCTCGGGGGTCAGGGGTCAGGGACCCACTTGAGGAGGCAGTCTGCCCGTTCTCAGATCTCCAGCTGTGTGCTGGGAGAACCACTGCTCTCTTCAAAGCTGTCAGACAGGGACATTTAAGTCTGCAGAGGTTACTGCTGTCTTTTTGTTTGTCTGTGCCCTGCCCCCAGAGGTGGAGCCTACAGAGGCAGGCAGGCCTCCTTGAGCTGTGGTGGGCTCCACCCAGTTCGAGCTTCCCGGCTGCTTTGTTTACCTAAGCAAGCCTGGGCAATGGCGGGCGCCCCTCCCCCAGCCTCGCTGCTGCCTTGCAGTTTGATGTCAGACTGCTGTGCTAGCAATTAGTGAGACTCCCTGGGCGTAGGACCCTCCGAGCCAGGTGCGGGATATAATCTCGTGGTGCGCCGTTTTTTTTAAGCCCGTCGGAAAAGCGCAGTATTCGGGTGGGAGTGACCCGATTTTCCAGGTGCCATCTGTCACCCCTTTCTTTGACTCAGACAGGGAACTCCCTGACCCCTTGCGCTTCCCAAGTGAGGCAATGCCTTGCCCTGCTTCGGCTCGCACACGGTGCGCGCACCCACTGACCTGCGCCCACTGTCTGGCACTCCGTAGTGAGATGAACCCGGTACCTCAGATGGAAATGCAGAAATCACCCGTCTTCTGCGTCGCTCACGCTGGGAGCTGTAGACTGGAGCTCTTCCTATTCGGCCATCTTGGCTCCTCCCCAATTCTTTTTCAATACATCTGTTTAACTCCAGAATGAAGTCTCGGTTTGGAGCTAATATATCTTTCACACTTCTATTTACCTGTCTCCCTTCATAACAAGGTGAGGTGATCTCAGGGAGGAGGCAACATCTAGCAAGAATGTAACAACATTGCTTTGTTTGTATTATTTATTTTTAAGAGACATTGGTTTTCTGTTCACAGTAGTTGTATCAAGTTTATTAAGTTTATTTAAGTAGAAATGTCAGTTAGTTAAAGAGAAATGTTCACTGAGTAAAAGCAGAGATTAAAAGTGGGTAGTATTATTCTGCAGTTATCCCCCAACATTTTAGTGACTGAACACAACGAAGGTTTATTTTGCTGTGTGGGTCTGGTCAACTCTCCAAGTCATCACTCCTGTGTGGAGACAGCATTCTAGGCTGCTTCCATCTTGAAGTGATAGCTTCATCTTGAGTGCTAGCTCAGAATTAAGTGTCAAGGTTTGCCACAATACAGGGAAAGTGGCTCCGAAGTTCTTTCATAAGCAATTAAATCCTTTGACTAGGAAGTGAAGCATTGACCAGGAAGTGACACATCACCTTTCCACAAACCCCATTGGCCAGAACTAGTCACGTGGCCCAGGTCACCTGCAAAGAGTACTGGGAAATGAAGTCTTTCATATGTCCAGAAAAGAATAGAAATATTGATCAGCTCAAATAATATCTATCACAGGAGGTATATAGATAAGAAAGCATCTGAAAGGTGGAAACTGAATGACTAAAATGTTGGAAATACTAGGTTATTCCACAGTACACTGACATCACTTAAGAAGCCTTAGGCTGATTGGCCTCAGTTAGCTTAAACAATAAGGAAATGTATAATGTCATACAAGGCAAGTCCAGAAGTGGTGCGGGTTCTCAAGTTGGCTCAGGTTTCTGGTGGATTGCAGCATTCTACAATATCATCAAGGAACCATGTTCTTTCCATCTTTCCACCTCTTCACTCTTGGCTCCATCCTCAGGTTGGTCACAACGGCTGCAGCAGTTCCAGGACAGGGAGCAAGAAGGAAACCTCCTTCTCTTATATCACCTTCATTCAATAAGAGAATCATGTCCCATGTCTCGTTGGCCAGAAGTAGGTCACATGGCCATTGCTAAACCATTGATTGGGGGAGTGGACCTACATGGTTGGCTTGGACTAATGAGGATTTGTTTCCGTGGTGGTGTTGGAGTCACCTCTGTGAGGGATACTTAAGGAAATTTGTTTTTGTTTTTGGTTTTTAGCAAGACAGAGATGGAGGAGCTTCATCTGGTTTATAGAGATGATAGATAGGTAGATAGATAGACAGATAGATAGATTGATATAGATAGACAGATAATAGATACATTAGATAGCTGGATAGCTCCTCCTACATCCTCAGATTCCAGAGCTGCTAGCTAGATAGAGCTAGCTAGCTAGATGGATGGTTGGGTGGGTGGATAGATGGCTAGATAATACACACATAGACAGAGATTCAAACATCTGGGTAATTTAAACTTACATTTATTGATATCCAGAAAAAGGATGGTTGTTGGTCATTTGCTCCCCCTTAACATATCCAAAGATGTTGCTTATTCTGAGATTTTTTACATAATTGTTGAATCTCTCCCTCACTTTGTCTGCATAGAAATAACTGACTTTCACCTACATCACCTATTAGCAAAATAATTGAGTAATTGACTGTAGGGTGTGCCATGGGCCCTATAGTCTCCAGTTGTCTAAGGTAACAATGTCCCTTGAGTGAATGAAGCAATCTTCCCAGCACCCTAGTTTAGTAATTCCCTGAAACAGATTTATCTACATTTCAGAAGGTGCCCTGTACCACCTGACTCAGCTGGGTGCATTTGACCAGTTTTGCCCCCATCTGTAAATATCCCTCAGTCCCCATGGAGCTGTAGAGGTGAGTGATGAAGCAGTGACAGCTCTGGGTAGGAACTCAGCTTAATTTCAAGTTCCAGACCCTCTCCATCCTCAGGTTCTTCTTCTGTAAAATGAAGATCCCTTTGCGGTGAAACGTTTTGCAGCTCTGGAATCTGAGGGTGTAGGAGGAGCTACAGAAGAGGGGTATAGGACTCACCTGAATAAAGGTGGCATCTGTGATTACTGTGGGCGAGGGTGAGAGGGAAGAGGATACTGACACTAAGCCTTGCCTTCTTAGTCCAAATTTTGGTTGTGCATTAAATATGTCTTAATTTTTTTTATAACTTAACCTCACCCCAAATTTGAGCTTCTGTTTCACTAAATCACAATCACTTCTGGGGTCTTCCATTCACCTTTGCTAGGGTAATATCTGAGAGCTGTTAGATTCATGTGGCACTAAGTGTCAGAGGGAATTCCACCTGCCCTTGAAGTTGATGTGCACTGAGATGCCCATTCTTCCTGTCCATTTGGCCCTTCAGGTGTGGTGACCATTTGCATGCCAAGCTTGAGGACACTGGAATTCTGCGAAGTCATCTGTTCCCTTGCCCACGTAGGTCAACTCACGGCCATTTCCTCTCTCGGTCTTATTGTTTGCTAGCAGGGAACAGGCTCTCATTTGTAATATTCAGGAAGAAGCTTCTGCTTAATAACAGAGACCCAAATTAACAGTGGCTTAGACCAGACAAAGGTTGATTCCACACTCTCATATCACACACAGGCAACCCAACCTAAACTTAAATACTAGGCAAAGAGTACCAGAATTGGGATGGCCAGGTCCTTGGGAGGCCCACAAATTGGAAGGCTTATCCATGGGTGCTGGAGATGGGGTGAAGAGGAAGATGATGGGACCAGGGTTAAAGGCCCTCTTGCTGGTAGAGGAAAAATAGTGGAATCCATCCATTGTGGTGACATACAATAGCAGCAAGACTTCCAAGAGATAGTCAAGATGGAATACAGAGATTTGGAAGTGGCCACGATGGAAGAGGAACGTGAATAGCCAAATATTTCTCTTTCTGTGCAATCACTAAAAGGGATAGAACTGGCATTCCCCACTCACAGGAGGCCTCAGGGAAGCTGTATAATCACAAGCACAGTTTCAGTTCATAAAAATTTCCAACTTCTTCAGTTAAGTTCAGGCATTTTTCAGGTCCTTAAGAACCTCCTTCCTTTTCACACCAGACCATTCTCGGACAAAATCCAAAGCTGCCTTAGGGGTGAGCTAAAAGATGCTTTGAATATTTCCCTGGCTGTACCAATGTCTTAAGCCCAATTTCAAATACTAACTAGGAGAAAATCAAGTCTTGGTTTCCAGATTTGTATAATTTTACCTCCTTTGGCCTCTATTGTTGATGACTGGGAGGCCTCGGTTACTGGAAGAGACAATCCCTCGTGTAAACAATGCTGCCACATCCTGATGTCATGGCTCAGGATTTTATAACTTCCAGTTTCTGGTCTTCCATGGGACTTTCCAAATGCTGCCCCTTTTCCCAAATTTAATGTGGAAAAATGAATTTGAAGTCATAGGGATTTAGAACTGAAAGAAACTGTACAAAGACTCTCATCTGTATTTGAAAAAAATTGTTCTGTAATAGCTTTGATGGATGACCAAAAGGAAAACTGGTAGAATGAAAGACTAAGGGGCCGGGCGTGGTGGCTCATGACTGTAATCCCACCACTTTGGGAGGCCGAGGCGGGCAGATCACCTGAGGTCAGGAGTTCGAGACCAGTCTGGCCAACAAGGGGAAACTCCATCTCTATTAGAAATACAAAAATTAGCCAGGCATCATGGTGCATGCCTCTAATACCAGCTACTCAGGAGGCTAAGGCAAGAGAATCACTTGAACCTGGAGGCAGAGGTTGCAGTGAGTCAAGATTGCACCACTGCACTCCAGCCTGGGTGACAGAGTGAGACTGTCTCAAAAAAAATAAAAATAAAAATAAAAAAAAGATTAAGGAAACAGTAATTCTAAATATAAGGATGATTATTATGTGAAGTTTACTACTAGGCCAGGCACTAGGCACATCAGTTCATACACGTGATGCCATCTAACCACAATAGTGCTGTGAGGTGGGTGCTGTTATTATCTCCATATTACAAATGGGGGTGGTTGGGGAGCTCTTATCAATTTTTAGTTGTATTCATTGATGTAACACTCAATTTCTCTGCAGAACATATAGCTTTTGTATGGAAAAATCAGGCAGAAAGAGACGTCTTGTGCCTGTTACCGTCTATTTCTGTAATTTACTACCAAATAGCAAGCCACCAGAGAAGTGACCTTGACCTTTGGCTCTTGTTACCTCTCCTGCTACCTCCTGGCCTCTTGAGACCTGGGTGCGCCTGGAGCTACTCTCTTCCACATGTTTGTTCTCTTCCTGAATGAGGAGATTGAGGGTTTTTAGTATGTGCTGATCTATTTTCCTTGGGCCACCCAAGAAGTCATAGAGCAAAGAGGGATTAAAATGCCTCTCTCCTGAGTGTCTCTTCAGGAGAGGACTAAATAATGGAAAATGAACGTGAAGTGTCGTGTGAAGAAACCTTGGGTCAGATGGCTGCTGAGGCCTCCTGAGTTAGTGGTTAGATGGCCCACGCTTTGAGTCAACCTTCAGTTGGGAAAAGACTTGGAGGTTATTCCCCAGAAGAATGTGAGATAATACACTAGCGGCCCAGTGAGTCTTCTCAACCATGATTAACTGAGGAAGGCTGGGGAGAAGGTCAACATATCTTATGCTAGAAGGTCCCAAGTGCAGCTGTGAATTTGACACTGAGGGTCATGTTGGCGAATGTTCCTACAGCAAAGATAATGGAGGCAGCTGGGTGGGGAAGCAAGGTTGAAAAGGCAGGGGTTATGAAAGTAGGATAGGCTTGAGTTCGACTTTTCCCTCTGAGGAGACTTGGTTCCTGCCAAGATGGAGTAGCTCCATTCCTCCAATCCCTACCTCTTATAACTAAAAACCCTGAACATAGCACAACAAACATGCAAAGACTCTGAAATGTGGATTGGAGACGGCAGGCTGCTTAGGAATCTCGGGACTTAAGGGATGACTCAGCACAAAGTTTCCTGAGTTTCCATATTGAGTCCCATCTGTCTCATACAGGGTGCTGGAGAAGCCCAGAGCCCCAAACCATCAACAGGCCCAGACAAAAAAATCATCCTAAGAAAGCCTGTTTTCTCCAGTCAACATACCAGGAAAAGTGTGGATTAACAGAACTGAAAACCTTGATGACCATAGCCACCATGCTCCAGCCAACCAAAACCAACGGAAACGCTCCTTCTTTCTCTACAACCTTCCAGGTCTCCCACCCAGTGGTGTCAACTGAGCCAAACAGTGACCTAACCTTTCATTTCCTATCCAGCAGAAGCAGGCATGCTCTGATTCCTCTGTTGGGGTGGTATTGGTGGGCTGAGTGGCGAGCTAAACCTCCATTCCCATCTGGAAGGAAATAGACTGAATTCAACAGTGTAAGGTGGAGCTAGTGGGCATTCCTCACTCCTCACTTCACCCTATATATCAGCAAAGCACAGTAGGAGCTGAGCCTTGAATCCTGCCCAGCATCAATGAGGCTGAATGAAGTGGTATGAAAATGAGGAAGGGCTAGTCCACACTCTAGTTTCTCCTGCCCTCCCCCTGCTGACAATGAGGCCCAATGGGTAGCTGAGCCTCTACCCCATCAACAAGGCTGAATGAGGACAAATGAGGCAGAGCTAGCCAGCACTCTGTTTCCCCCACTCCCTAGTATCAGTGAGGGTACAGCAGGGAACTGAGCTTACTACTCAATTTGGAAGCAATGAAGCAGTGTGAGTTGGTGTCAGTGGTACTGAGTTGGGGGTGAATTTCTAGCCCACCCATATGCAGTGAGTTAGTGTGAGTCATCACCACTCCACTTAGAGTGCATAGGTCAATGGAGCCCAGTGGAGCAGTGAACAACCACCCCTACCCTGGATCTACAGGATGCATCTGAACATGGTGACTGCCTGATAAAAAAGAAAATTAAACAGGGTCCTTAGTCTTATGACACAATCCCCCAAAGATCCAGGATCCAAACAAAATCTGCTAATCATCACAAGCACCATGACAATAACAACTTGAAAGAGAAAAGACCACCACCAACACAAAAAATGAGATGATTTGGAATGATATGACAAGGATTATAAACAGCAATCACAAAAATCCTTCAGCAAGTAATCATGACTATACTTGAAAAAAAGAAAGTCTCAACAAAGAAGGGCAAGATATGAAAAAGAATCAAAAGGAAATTATAGAACTGAAAAATACAATAACCAAAATAAAAACACTGGTTGAGTGTAACAGCAGAATAAATATGACAGATGAAATAATGAGTTTGCTTGAAGATAGAACAAAAGAAATTATTCAATTTAAACAACAGAAAGAAAATAGATTTTAAAAAACAACAAACAGAGCTCCAGGGACCTGTGGTATAATATTTTAGAAATCTAATATTTACATTGTCAGAATGTCAGAAAATGAAGAAAAAGCGTGTTGGTCTGAAAAAATGTATAAGAAAGTAGTGGCTGAAAATTTCCCAAATATGGTGAAAGGCATAACCCTAAGAGATTCAAGAAGCTGACTAAAACTCAGAGTAAACCCAGATAAATCTGCACTAAGACACATTGTAAGCAAACTTCTGAAAAGTAAAGACAAGTAAAAAATCTTGAAAGAAGCTAAAGAGAAATAACATTTTACCTGTTGGAGAACATCAATTCAATTGCCTGTGGATTTTTTATCTGAAACCAGAGAGGACAGAAAAGAGTAGCACAATATTTTTCAAGTGATTGAGAGAAAAGAAGTGTCAACCACAAATTTTATATCCAGTAAAAATATCCTTCCAAATTGAAGGGGAAATAGATTCTCAGGTGAAGAAAAACTGAGAGAATCCATCTCTCAACAGGCTCACTCTTAAAAAATGACTTTGGGAAGTTGTCTAAGGAACTTAAGAAGGGAAAGAAGAATGGATAAACGTAGGAGTAAATATAACAGATATTACTTCTCTTCTTGACTTTCTTAAATCTTATTTGATAGTTAAAGCAAAAATCATAGCACTATCTGAGGTGGTATTCAATGTATATACAGGAAGTAGCTAAGACAATTTTATCTTAAAAGTGGGGAGCATAAGGGGACCCAAATGGAAGTAAGTTTTCTAAACTTCACTCAAAGCGGTAAAACCTCAATACTAATAGACTTTAATAAGTTAGTTGATATAGTATCTGAAGCAGCCACTAATAAAAATAAAAAAGTCATAAGCTAAAAAACATTTTTAAGTAAATAAAAATGGAACTCAAAAAATGTTTATGGCAAAAAGAAAGAAACAGGAATTAGAAACAGATATAACAAACAGAAAACAAGAAAATGGCAGACTTAAGCTATATCAATAATTACTTTAAATATTTGAAGTAAAATAATGAAAAAACAAAGATTGGCAGAAGGATTTTTAAAAACCTCACCACCTAACGATATGCTTTTTATAAGAAACTCACTTGCACCAGCCTGACCAACATGGTGAAACCCCATCCCTACTAAAAATACAAAAATTAACTGGGTGTGGTAGCAGGTGCCTGTAATCCCAGCTACTCGGGAGGCTGAGGCAGGAGAATCGCTTGAACTCGGGAGGTGGAGGTTACAGTGAGCCAAGATTGTGCCATTGCACTCCAGCCTGGGCAACAGAGCAAGACTCTGTCTCAAAAAAAAAAAAAAAAAGAAAGAAATCACTTGCAACATAACGACAGAGGTTAACAATAAAAAGATGGGAAAAGATATATCATGCAAATATTAATTTTAAAAAGAAGAGGCTATATTAATATCAGGTAAAGTCAACTTTAGAACAAAGGAAATTACTAAAGACAAATATGTATATCACATAACGATAAGAAGATCAGTCCAGGCTGGGTGTGGTGGCTCATGCCTGTAATCCCAGCACCGGGAGGCTGAGGAGGGAGGAATGCTTTACCAGGGTAGGCAACATGGCAAAACCCCGTTTCTAAAAAAAAAAAAAAAAAAAAAAAAAATTAGCCAGGCATGGTGGCACATGCCTATAGTCCCAGCTACTTGGGTGGCTGAGGTGGAAGGATCTTTTGAGCTCAGGAGGTTGAGACTGCAGTGAATCATGATCGTGCGACTGCACTCGACAGAGCTAGACCCTGTCTAAAAATAAAAAATAAATTTTGTTAAAAATCAGTCCAATAAATTTGATTTCTACCCTTTGCTATCTTTAATACCAAGCAACATAACCACTTTGAGGCTCAGCTTCTCCATCACTAAAATAGACACCATAGAATAGTTAGTAAAATATTATGATGATTAAATACTTAGTACAGGTTAGCACATGGGAAAGGTTCAAAGTGATAGCTGTCATTATCATCATAAGGAGTGTTTATTTCATCCTCACTATTTAAATAATGTACATCAGTCAGGAAAATAGAAACAACACCAGCCTTGTGTTGGGGGACGGGGCTGAGGGGTAAAAGTCGTCATCACATAAAATTTGCTATTTTCTGGCTGGGCGTGGTGGCTCATGCCTGTAATCCAAGCTCCTTGGGAGGCCAAGATGGGCAGATCACCTGAGGTCAGGAGTTTGAGACCAGTCTGGCCAATGTGGTGAAACCCAGTCTCGACTAAAGATAAAAAAATTAGCCAGGCGTGGTGGCACATGCCTGTAATCCCAGCTACTTGGGAGGCTGAGGCAGGAGAATCGCTTGAACCCGGGAGGCGGAGGTTGACATGACCAGAGATTGCTCCATTGCACTCCAGCCTGGGCGACAGAGTGAGACTCCATCTCAAAAAAAAAAAAAAAGAAAAAAAAAAAAAATTTACTATTTTCACCATTTTTAACTACAATTTGGTGGCATTAAGTACATTCACATTATTGTGCACCCATCACCATTATTCATCGCTATAGCTTTTTCATCTTCCCAAACTGAAGCTCGATACTCATTAAACATATCAGTTATTTTAACACAGAGAATTTAATATAAATATGTTTTAAAATCTAGTTATTGGAACACTGAAAAGAGGCAAAAGGGAACTTTAAGATACTGCAGAGGCAAGAATTACAGATGGACTCAGCTAACACCTCCAGGGCTAGGACGACAAAGGGAAGAGGTTGAGGTTAGGAGAATTTGGGAGCTTGGAGGAGGGGTCCTATGGAGGTAAGACCCAGACCCTCGAGGAAACAAAGCTAAGCAGCTGAGGCTGGCGTCTCTGAAGGGTGGGGGTGGAGGGGTGCAGCATGGATGGGGGAAGAGATTCTGGAAAGTGGAACCAGCTGCTTCTGACAAGGTGAAACCCATTGATGCTGGGATGCTGATGGGAGGGGAAGGAGCTCGGCTCTCCTGCCTTCTCCTGCGTTGCCCTCTAGCGCCCCCTATTTGTGTAACCAAACAGGGAGCAGCTGGCAATGGTGAAGTGGGGTTGCCCAGCCCCACTGGAGCATCACTATGCAAAGAACAGAAGGACAGTGTATGAGGGCCCGGGGACTGCCGTAACAAAATACCATGACCTGGGTGACTCACAGCAACAGAAACGTATTCCCCCACATTCTAGAGGCCAGAAGTCCAAAGTCAATGTGTCAGCTCCCTCTGAGTGCTCTAGGGGAGAATCCTTCCTGCCTCTTCCAGCTCCTGGTGGCTCCAGGCTGTCCTTGTCTTGCGGCTGCAGTGCTCCAATCTCTGTCTCCATCCTCTTGTGGCCTGTCCCCTCCCTGTGCATCTCTTCTTCTTTTAAGGACTCCAGTATTCCCCAATACTGAATTGGGGCCCATTCTAATTCCCACTGCAGATGGTTCTGGAGCTGAGAGACAAGAGCTTTATAACCAGCACAGGCATTGTTCTGAAACTCAGGTGATAGGGCCCACATCTACTTACACAAGGCACGCAGGACTTTCAGTGCCTCTGTTTCCCCGTCTGTAAAATAGGGGATTGGATTAGCAAACAAGTGAAGATCAACTATGTGCAAAGGCTCCAGGCCACATGTGCCAAATATGAGAGAGCAAGGCCCAGTTCCTGCTCTCCAGGTGCTTCGGGTGAACAATGGCAGCTCCGAGTGAGCAGTGCAGGTGACCTCAAGGGAAGGGAGCTTGGGGAAGGTCCACGCCATGTGGGCATTGCAGGATGCCTGGGTGAAAACCCCTGTTTGTTTGACCTAGTGGAGGACAAGAGCCACCCAGCTGGGTGTGGATGGATGTGTGGATTTATAGGATCGCCATGCCTTTCCCGAAGCTTTTTGATGGAATTGAGGGATCCCAGACGGGGCACAGAACTCACACGCACAGTGCTTGAAGTGGTTTTCAAAGGACAGGCTGCAGCTTCCATATTCATCTGACTGAGAGTAATGTAAACTGCCTCCCTCACTAGAGCTACAGTTTATTTGTACAGTTTGGGCCATTTCTGTAAACATTTGACCCATTTCGAAATCCAATCCAAAAGGAAAGCAAATGAGGGCTTTTATATTGTGCAATGGAATTCACGATCGACGGCGGTAACATTTTACCTATTGCAATGTATTGAATGCTGCATTCAAGAAGTAAGATAAAGGAATTTTTAAACATCTCAAAACTCAGGGAGAAAAAAAATGCATGTATTCATGAAGAGTAAAGAGGTATGAGACTAAACGTCCCCCACAGGTGGGGGAATGGGGTTCTCTTTACCATCACGGCCCCACGAAGACAGCACAGGGCTCAGTAAATCTTGGATGGATGGGAAACCCCAGCGACAGAGTCAGGAACCTTCATTGGAGTCAGAGTAAGGGGCACCCAGATGAGCAGGTCTCCAGATGAGAAACACAGCTCTGCTTCATTTCAAAACACGGATGAATCCTTTCTAGTTGTGCCTCCTGCTTTTCTTGTCCACTAAATCATGCTGTCACTATGCCAGGGACCTTGTTAAGGAAAAGCAATGCAATTTTCAAATGAAATAAGTAATTGCTACCAACTTATGTTTTTTAAGAAATATATAGATTTTTTATAAAGCGGGACTTGCTACAGCTAATATAGGGAGAGAGAGAAAAGGAGAGGGAGGAAGATAGAGGAGGGAGAGAGAGCAGGGGAGGGAGGGAGCAGTCACACTGTAAGCATATGCATAACAGATTACTGGTTTTGAAATTATTATTGTGTTGTTACAATATGGAGGGATTGGCGATACATTGCAAAGAGCAGAAAATTATAAGTGGAGAAAAATGAACACATCAGCTAGTTCTTAAGAATTCAGGAGGCCGGGCGCGGTGGCTCACGCCTGTAATCCCAGCACTTTGGGAGGCCGAGGCGGGCGGATCACGAGGTCAGGAGATCGAGACCATTCTGGCTAACACGGTGAAACCCCGTCTCTACTAAAAATACAAAAAATTAGCCGGGCGTGGTAGCGGGCGCCTGTAGTCCCAGCTACTCGGGAGGCTGAGGCAGGAGAATGGCGTGAACCCGGGAGGCGGAGCTTGCAGTGAGCCGAGATCACGCCACTGCACTCCAGCCTGGGCGACAGAGCGAGACTCCGTCTCAAAAAAAAAAAAAAAAAGAATTCAGGAGTGATCTTCTAAATCCTTAACCTCTGATGCGGATGGCTTGGACACTGGGCACTCTACTGGTTGCTGACCAGTTGGGCAGACTGTGTCCATGATGCCAGTGCTGTGCTTGCCAGGCAGGTCCCTCTTCTGCTTAGTGTAAGGTGTTACAAAGCATCATGAGCCACTGCACTGGCAGCTTTGAGCTTGGCCTATTGAGAACCCCTGAGAATTCTGTTAAAAATTGCAGACTCTGGGGTCCTTTCCCCAGAGTTTGCGATTCTCTGGGGCTAGGGCAGGGCTCATGAATCTCCACATTTACCAAGGCCCCAGATGCTGCCCTGGACCATAGAGACAGGGCAGGACCTCATGGGAACAGAGACACTACCAGGATTGCTCCCTGCACAGTACCTGGAACACACTTCTAGAAACACAGTACATATCTGTAAAATGACTCAAGACTTCTGAGAAGTGAATGTGAAGTTTGTTCTCAGTTGGGCTCCCAATAGGAAGGAGATGAACCACTCAATTAGGAGAATTCTGGGAGGATGAGTTTGCCGAGAGACTTACCATACAGGTGGAGATGGGTATAAGGGAGGCCTGAGGGGTGAAGCAAGAAACCGGGGCCAGTAGCATTGTAGCTGTTACCACTCCTAGGTCCTGGGGTCAAGGGAAGAGAGGGGAGCAGGACTCAGAAGGAGAGAAAATCGTGGAGAAGTGGCCACCATGAGAGAAGTGGTGGACTTTGGTTGAGGAACATGGCAGCCTGAGATGATCTCCCAAGGAGGACCTCCCAGGAGGGAGAAGAGTAAATATTCCCAATGGCAGCCTCCCTGTCCCACCTCCCATAGATCGTCTGTGCTCCCCAGTGGCTGAGCTCAACTGGAAGCAGAGGGGAGAGGACCCAGAGGATTGCTCCCTGACCCCAGGGCAGAGAGAGGGTGGAAAATGGAGGGATGGCCCGGGAGGGTCATGGAAGGTCACATCCTGTATGTCTTCCTAAGTCCACATTGCATCTACCCTGTGATGCTCATCGCCACTGCTACCATCGCCCTCATCACCATTGCCACCATTGGTCTCAACGCTTCATTGCTTTGTGTCTGATTTATTGTCATAACTTCTAGCCTGGTCTCCTGCCACAGCCTCACTCCCTTTCCAGTTCACCTTCCAGAGGCCAAGAGACCAAGATTTCTAACACCCACACCCAGGCATGGCACCGTCCCTTTTCATGCTGCTGATAACGACATACCAGAGACTGGGTCATTCATAAAGAAAAAGAGGTTTAATGGACTCACCGTTCCATGTGGCTGGGGAGGCCTCACAATCATGGTGGAAGGTGAAAGGCACGTCTTACATAGCAGCAGGCAAGAGAGAATGAGAGCCAAGCGGAAGGGGAAACCCCTTGTAAAGTCATCAGATCTCGTGAGATTTATTTACTACCATGAGAACAGTATGGGGGGGAAACCGCCCTCCTGATTCAATTATCTCCCACCAGGTCCCTCGTGTAACACTTGGGAATTACGGGAGCTACAATTTAAGATGAGATTTGGGTGGGGACACAGCCAAACCATATCAGGCACCAACCTTCAAAAGCCCTCCGGGGCTCCCCTCAACTCCCGACTGGCCCTTTCAGCCTCCTGCCAACTGTGTGGACATCACCCTGGGAAATGGAATTTCCATGAGACTCCTGGCGGTTTCCCACCTTTGCACACATGATCCTTCTGGCTGGACCCCCATCCCTGGTCTTGAAGGGTTCCTATGCTTCCTTGAGGATTCTGCCCCGGTATCACCTCCTCCAGAAGTGTCTCTTGACCTCTTCATCTGCATCAGCCCCCTTCCTCTGAGCGCCCACAGGGTCTCATGGCCGATGATCTCACATAAATGAAGTTTGTGCAGTGTAGTGGCCGTGTATTGGCTTGTGTGTTGGTTTGGACGTGGACATTCACAGTAGGGGCATAAAGGGAGGTTCCTCTTTTCTAAATGCCAGAGAGAAATGAAACCCGGTCAAATTCATCACATCTGCAGTCCCAGGTCCTTCGAATGTGTCATTAGGGTTATTATCACTGATAATAAACATGCCTCGTGTCTACTAGGAGACAGGCCTGGTGCACACTGACTCACTTGGGGGCCCAGGTGGGCACCTTGCAGGGGGCATTGGCCAGGCCCAGGTCTACTCACAAGGACTGTTTAATCAGTTACCTAGATGGTGTCAGTAAATGCATTGTCCTTCAGCTGGGTCCCCCTCTGCCCAACCCCAGAGCCCTTAACCCTGGGACACACAGTGACCTGGGTGGCTGCCAGGGGCCCCCATCAGCTGGATGGTGGCTGGAGATGGGGGAGGGGAGGCTATTGAGTGTCCTCAGCCTCAGGATCTGTATCCCAGACCCCTACACGGGCAGTGGGACATCCAGATCGGGTTTGGACTGCGTCCTGATTTGGAGCACAGTGAAGTCTATTCTTCTCAGGCTGCAAACCAGCCCATTCCGGGGCATTCACATTTCAGCTGGGTTTGCGGTCACATGCACGTTGTTCAATTTCACCGAAATCAGCAGCACTCGGGGTGTCGATCTCAGCCCTGTGGGTTCAGTGACCATCAGTGCCAATTACATGAAATGCCAGTTGCCACGCAATTCTACCTTCGCACAGGCCAGCCAAAGAAAAAAATGTGTTCCTAAAGTTAATTAAAACCAAACCAAGACCACATGGCTCCTTTTGGGGGAACTGACCCCGGCTCCTTTCCCATCTCCATTTCCCTCTCGTGGTGTTGAAGCTGATCCCACCCAGGGCTCATTTTGATTTTTGCACAATTCACCTTTGTTGGGATCTAGGCTCAATTTGTTTGAGTAGTTGGTTGAACCAACAGCCCACTTGGATATTTGCATTTAATAGGCAAATGGGATCATATATCTGCTGGACGAAGTGTCTCTACTGTGGGGATTTTCACCTTTGCAGAGGCACGTGTAAGTTCCAGGATTATGAAGTATCAAGTTATATTAACCAGGACAAAGGGAGGAGGGAGGATGGAGGGACACAGACCGTGGGATATTGGGTTACTTTCGAGGCCAGTTGATTTCTACAGCCTGTCTGAGCTTCCTGCATGTCTGTGGAGATAAAATTGATTGTGAATCAATTGGCCAGAAGTTTCTCCTGTGAGATTCTGAGCTTGGCTCATTCCCTGGTGTACCTTTGATTTTCTGTTGAGCAAAGCCTTGGTTAACAGAACAATAATTAGTCATTAAGAGCACACCATGCATTTCGGAAACGTCCCTGATGGTTGATAGAGTTTAATCTTACCATTCTGGGCTATAATTTTTTAAAATGTTTTCAAAGTAGCTTTTTAAAATTTTATTGATTTATTTTTAAGCAGCTTTATTGAGATATAAATTCAGATACCGTGCAAGTCACTCATTTAAAGCATGACATTTAATGATCTGCGGTGTGTCACATTATTCACTTTCTAAGAACTGTGGTAAAATATGTATAACGTAAAACTTAATATGGTAACCATTTTAGGTGTACCTAAATGGTGGTGTTAATTGCCTTCACAATATTATGCAACCATCACCACCATCTATCCCTAAAGCTTTTACCTCACCCCAAATAGACATGTTTCTACCATTTAGCCTCCCCACAGAGTGTGAGAATATCCAGGTGAAAAATGAAGCGATACTGTCAAGTTTCCTAAAGGAGTTACCTCCCAAGTGGCTCATGGGTTCCTGGAAGCTTCCGGGTCTTGAGCTTGAGCTCCGTGAGGAAGGGAATGTGGCGCGGTGCTGCCAAGATCTGCAACGGTGCTTGGCACATGTAGGTGTACAGTGCATACGAGTGAGATTTGTTGTCGGGAATATCTTAAAATTGGAGTGGCTGTGTTGGAACAGCCGTGGTTAGGTGTGAAGGGTGCCCGCTCCCTCCCAAGGGGCTCTGTGGCAGGACAGGAGCCTGTGGGGGATTGTCAGCCATGGAGGCATTGGGTCTCTGTGGCACTATGGGGGGCTGATGGGAACTGGGTCCATCTCGTGTGTTCTGGGAACTCCCAGGGCTTTGAGCCAGCTGCCCCCTACCTGCTTTCCCCATCTCAGGCAACAGTCATGTGGCTTACATCTGCCACGACACTTGATATTTTTCTAAGATGTCTTCCAAAATAAGTAGAAAGAGAGGTTATTGCCCCATTTCACAGATGAACTAACTGTGGTCCCCAGGCAATCTCAGGGCGAGATACCCCTGGGAGCCAAGAAGAGGAGCCTGCCTTTTCTCCTTTGATCAATCATCAAGGTTACAAATAGTCACCCAGATGTCACGAAAGCCCTCACCTGTGGCCTGCTTGGAATCAGCATGTTTCCAGACGGTGTGGCGGTTTTACCTGAAACATGGCTGCTTACCCTGTGACTCTTCTCCCTTCTAAAGGTGGTTGCTGGTCTCCTTCCCTGTGGACATTGACTTGCTCCGGTGCATACAATGAGGTAGAAATGAGCCAGTGTGGTTTCCAGGATGGAGTATAAATGTGATGCAGCTCCTGCCTCGCCCTGTCTGTCTTAGGTGCCCACCGTTAGAGCCCAGTCACCATGTACAGGAACCAGGCCACACAAGAGGCCACACGTCCTCTGGCCACAGCCCCTGCTGTGGTCCCGGCCACGCTTGTGTGTCAGTGCACAGCTGTATGGGGGACCCAGCCCCAGCCTTTGAGCCTGCCCAGTAGATGCCATCAGTGGAGGAACAAGTAAAGGAAACATCAGTGTTGTAAGCCAGCAAGCTTTGGGCTTCTTTGCTGTGCAGGGGTGGAACCTAGGAGTGATGATATCACCCCTTGTGATGTGTGAGTTCCAGGTTCCTCCTGGGGCTCCCTTCAACTTCCCTTCAAACCCTCTCTGCCTGGCTTCTATCTGTCTGTCCTCCTCCTGGTACTTTATGGATTTAACGAAGAAAAGTTAATCATCATTTGCCACATATAGGACAAAACTTTAACCCTCGTGTATTAAATGGGGGATGATAATGTGCTGCTTCTGGGAGGAAATTAAACTTACACAGCAGAAGCGTCCACTGTTCAGCATACCCATGGACACCACCATGGTAGACAGACCCGTAGGCGGACCCAGGACCCCACACCCTGGTGTGCACACCCTGTGGGAACCCCTTCCCTGAGAGCAGCCAGGGCCTGTGACTGCTTCTGATCCATAGGGTCTGGCAAAGGTGACAGACGTGTCTGGTTCCATACACGTGGTTATGGGGTGGCGCTGCCTAAGGCTGTGGCCCTCAGTCGGCTGGAATCCACCCACCATGCTGGCTGTGAAGAAGCTGGGCACACTGCTGAGCCCTGTATGGTGGGGAACTGTAGTTGACCTCTAGTTGTGGAAGGCAGCCTCCAGCTGATGGCTAACAAATGAAACAAAATGAAATGAAGCACTCCAAAACTGTAGCTTTCAGTCCAACAGCCCTACAGACCTGAAGTCTTGCAAAAGCCTGAGCAAGCAAGAAACTGGATGTTTCCCCACTCAGGCGTTCAGATGAGACCAGCCCCAGCCAATATGTTAATCAAAGCCCTGCAGAGGCCGCAACTGAGCTGGGCCCAGATGCCTGACTGTTTTTGCCAGCTGCTATGTGTATTGAAATGTGTCATGCAGCAGAGACCACCTTAATCCACATCGTCACCATGCCATGTCCAGCAGCTGTACAGGTCTCCTCTCTAGCCTCCTGTCCTCCACCCACCTGCAGCCCCCTCAGCCTTTTCTCAACCCTTCATTGTGGTGACCCTGTAAAAATGTAGGTCAGTCTGTGGCTCTGGCAGTGACAAGATAATTGTCATCAAGCTCATGGTTCACCGTCTACCTCCACCTGCCCCTCTGGCCATGTCTCCTGCTTCTCCCCATCCCTCCCAATAATGACAACTCCAGCCATGTGGGCCTTCTGTCTATTCCCCAAGCTCATCAAGCTCACTTGTACTTGGCACTAGCCATTCCCTCTTTCTGGAATGTTCTTCCCCCAAATCTCCACATGGCCGGCTCCTACTTGGCTGGGATGGCCCCTGTAGCCCACCCCTCCCCACGTACTCCCCTCCCCATCTCCTTTCATTTTCATCTCAGCTCCCACCACGACCTGGCATGCCTGGCTTTTTTTGTTTATTTTCTGGCCCCCACCCCAGTTATACTGTGTGCTTCCTGAGTTAGGAACTCTGTGCTATTTGTACCTGCAGCCCTGAGGATTAGGACACTCCTTGGCATGTGGTAGGAGCTCAGCTAGTATTTGCGGACTGTTCTGAAGTCCCCAGTGAGCCAGTGGTGGATAAAGTTATTGCCCGTCACCCCCATGACGTCTCTGCTCCCGTGCCAGCTGCCTTCCTCACAGCCGCCTTCCTTCCCCAGTGGGGAACACAATTCCATGGGCGGATGCTTGGGGCATTTTTATTTTAACAAAGAAACCAATGCAATGACTGTCTCTGTGGGGAGTTTTGGCTCTCCAGAGGCCGGGTAAGGGAGCGATTTATTTTGCGGCTGGTCTGTAAACCTCTCACCAGAGAGTACCTCTGAAGCTCCAGGGTGGCCAGCTCCACTCCAGGACAGGGGCCATTCATAAGTCTGTGGCTCCGACAGTGACAAGATAATGGTCTCCAAGCTCGTGGTTCTGGCTCCTCCTGTTTTCTTCCAGCCTGGCTGCCCGGAGCCTCTGGGTGATGGAGAGAGGCACATCTCTCAGGGCTGGTGCCAGCCACTGGACGGAAAGCTGCCTGCCAGGCAGCAGAATCAGAACATATGTTAAGTGGCTTTCAAGGACAGTGGGCAGGGCAGCAGCCTAGTTATTCGGCAATGTGCGTCAGGTCCAGATGGGCGATGGTGCCCTTACAGTTTTCGAGAAAGATGAGAATCCTGAAACACCAGGCACTCGCCTGCCATCCCCAGCCCAGCAGGCAGTGGCTGCGGAAAGCTGGTTCTGTGGGGCTCACACTCTCAGCCAGGTGCCCTCTGAGCCCGTGCCTCCTCAGGAACCTGGGGCTCCCCAGGGCCTGGGAAAGTGGGGAAGCCGCTGACTCAGCTCACTGTTCAGCAGGGGATGGTCTGCATGTGCCTCACAAAAGCTGAGCACAAAACTCACTGTGAGGAACTTTACACGAGAGATGCAGCTGTCAGGGCCTTGCCCGTGCTTCAGTGTGTTCTCTGCGCTCCTCACTGGGCCTGGGGATAAGTTTGCGCCCCTAGAAGCAGAGGCTACATCTAGTAATAACAATAGAATAATAATAATAATACAAACACTGATATTTGTGCATTTTACATCTTAACCCCCACAGCCTGCCCTATTCAGATGCACGCAGGTGCCCACAGTCCACCTGCCAAGGCAGTGCCCTCGGTGCCTGCATGAGAATCAGTGGCCCACTCCTCCCCTTGAGGAGCTGAGCTTGGAAATTAGAGAGAGAGAGGGGCATGGGCCGAACAATTGCACAAATATCAGGCCTCACCGTAAGGCAAGCACTGGGAGGGAAAGTCCTGCCCCTGGCATGTGACTTTCAAGCTCATTTTGTGGATGAGGGGTCTGAGGCCCAGGCAAATGATCCTGGGCGGGGAGAGCAGACAAGGGGGGACGTGTGGATGCCAAATCCAGGGATTCCTGAATGGATTCCCAACACTTGTTCTCAGGATGGGTCCCACAAAGGGCTCAGTGAAGGGTGGTTGGAAGGACAGTGAGCTGCTGAGTTCCACACTGTCATTGGGATTGAAACCGCACATGGATTGGAAGGACTTCTCTTCCCCATGTGATTATCCCAAGGGACTCCCGCTGCCCATGTGGTAGGTGCTCGGTGAGGATGGCATATCCCCAACACTGTGCCAGGCAGGCTTGTGGGATGTGATGGGGCTCTGGGCCGCAGGGGCCTGGAGACTGGGGTTGTAAAGAGAGGCATCATCCAGGAAAGCACTGGAGAAGTGAAGCAGCATTTGAAACCCGTGTCAGGTCTATTGCTTGGGCCGAGATGGAAGCAGTTCCCACGACGAAGAGGGGAGAGTGTGCCTGGAGGCCACCTCCACGCTGGTGCGGCCAGGCACCCTACTGGTCTCCTGCCAGCACGTCTCTCTCCTGCACACACGTGTGTAGGCAGCTAAGGCTCAGCAACAGCAGACCTCCTTCTGTTCAGGGGTTGGGGGCAAGGGTGGTCGGACTCACCCCCTCATCACATGGGAGCGCCAAGGGTGGTTTGCTGACAGTGCAAGGTACAGGAAAGTGTGTGAGAGCATGGGTGAGTGTGAGAGCGTGTGAGGGTGTCTGAATGTGTGAGTGTGTCAGAGTGTGGGTGAGTGTGAGAGCATGTGAGAGTGTGTGGGAGTGTGTGTCAGAGTGTGAGTGAGTCTGAGCATGGGGGGGTTTCTGAATGTGTGTGTGTGTCAGAGCATGGGTGTGAGAGCCTGTGAGGATGTTTGTGTGTGTCTGTGTGAGCATGGGTGAGTGTGAGACCGTCTGAGGGTGTCTGAGTGTGAGTGTGAGTGTGTGTGTGGATGTCAGAACATCGGTGAGTGAGCATGAGGTGTGTGTGTGTCAGAGCATGGGTGAGTGTGAGAGCCTGTGAGGGTGTTTGAGTGTGTCTATGTAAGTGTAGGGGTGAGCAGGGGTGAGTGTGGGAGCACGTGAGGGTGTCTGAGTGTGCGTGCAAGAGCATGAACTTGTGTGAAAGTATGGGTGAGTGTGCACAAGTGTGTGTGAGTGTGTGTGTGTGATAAAAGAGGTTAAATACAGATTTGCCCAATGCACTCCCGTGCCCTGGGACCGCTCCCTTCTGGACATGCCATCAGCCAGGGAATTTCTGGAATACCAAGAACAATGTCAGGACACTTCCAGAAGGAAGCTCCTTCCTGTCAGAGGGAAGAAAACAGCCCCGCAACTGGGAGGGGATCTGGCTGCAGAAATACAATTCTGTGCCTCACCCTGGCTCCCGGAGCACAGCGGTTCCCAGTCACTCCACAAGAAAAATAGGGCTGTGCCGCCGGTGACCTGTGATGAGGACAATATCAGTTCTCCTTTTACATTCAGAGAGATCATACAACTCCTTAAATATCATAAATATCTTTTCTGTTTCCTATTTTTTTCTCTTCTCATTGTCACAATGAGTTCCAGGGAGTGGGCTAGACGGGGGAAATTATCCTCATATTTTGATGCAGAATTTAAAATGACTTGTCCATGCCACAGTCAGTGGAAATGACAGAGTTGGGTAAGATCCCAGGGGTTTGCTATTCTACCTAGTATCTCCCCTGAGGCACAGCAACGGGAATGAGACGGAATTTCCTATTAAAAGTATGAGGTGCATATCAATGGGTCATGCAGCTCTGGAAAATAATTATCTCCTTCTGCTTCTTAACTCTTTTCACATCCTTTCCATGTGACCAGTGTCGTTGCCACTTTTACTTGTTGCTTCATTGTATTAGTTCTGTCCTTGTTTATTCCAAATATTTGCATCCTTGTTTGAGGTGGAAGTTTGGGAAAATGCTTTGTGATGAATATTCCCCCCCGCCTCTCAGCTACCTTCCATCGCGACTATTTGGGAGAAATCTAGGCAGCTCGGCCATTTGGATGGCCCATCTGTGGGTCCCCAAAACCAAGACGCATGGGGTCTTCCCTCTGCCTTCAGAGGCTTGAGGTCTTGTGGAAGAGGCAGCTGTATGGGAGAACCGGCTGGCGATTTATTTATTGCCATCCTTGGGGTTTTACTGGGGTCTCCATAAAATCTGCTTGTTGAGTCAGAAAGGTTTATAGTCTGGGATGTGTTTGGGGATTTTTAGATTCTGCATGTTTAGTTTGTCATTTTGAGAAAAGCCACAAGTTTTGTTTTGTTTCGTTTTGTTTTAAACAAAGGAATTTCAGGATTGGTGGAGAAGCTAAAGAGAAGCCTGCATCCTATAAAAGGGAAGAAAACATTCTCTGGGGCATTTTCAAGGACATAGAGGCTACAAAGATTCGGGACAATTCATCTGGTACTTTTTTTCAATCCTTAGTTACAAATTTTTAAATCTCTGTCTCTCTTTCTGTGTGTCACACACACACAGATGAAATAGCTAAATGAGATTTTTTTAAAAAAAGCTTCAGGGGAAAATAAAAGTCATTGCCACAAAGTTTCCAAAGAATTCATAGTTCTCATACTTAGACACAATTAAACTGTGCTTGCCAAGGTAAGAAGCAAATATTTGTATTTCTACAGAATGGCACATATGTCTTATAAAGGCATGCCTTGTTTCTTTCATAAAGAATGTAAATTTTAAAACAAATATTTTTGCCTCAGTTCAATTTCTCTTAAAAGATTTAGAAAGAAATCAAAGATGTCTTTTTGACATGAATAATATGCAATCATCAATTTCTCTCCAGCAGACATTTGGGGGTGTGTGCGTGTGTGTGTGTATTACAAGCAAGCATTCTAATATTGCACAAAATAATTTACTCTCTTTGCCTACTTTGTTGCAAATTCTGAAGGTACCTAGGAGTCATGTAGAAAAGCCCATCTTGTTTCTTTCAAACCTCTCTTAAATATTCCTTCTGCATGAACTTTGCCTTCAATTATTTCAATTATTTTCATGCAAATGTCACTCAAGAAATATTTACATATTTATGTGTATAAAATGTACGAAGTCATCTTAGGTACCCAGTTTTTGCAGTAGATCACACTGACAGTAATATGCATTGCTAGGTTTACTGTGAATTCAGACAGAACACAAACTGTGTTACAGTAGTTTCCATAGGAGCTCAAACTTAGACACAATATAAACCAAACTAAATTAAAAGAATTTTTATAATAGCTAAAATCTAATAACTAATTTTAATAGGGTTTATAGATCCTCATTCAGGGTCTTAGGAATAAAACATCCTTTATTTTGGCAATGAAGTAATTGGTTCATTAAATAAAAACTACAAAATATGCAGCTCCCTTCGCGTTGACAAAACGTGAGAGGGGCATTAATTGATCACAAAGAACACGTTCACTCCCCAACAGCAGCAAACATTTCAAACAACCCCCAGGATAAATTACAGCAGGCTGTCTTCCGGTGAGGACAGCTGTCCCCAGGCCTGGGGACGGATTGACCATCCCAAGCCGCATCCACTTAACTGCTGGAAAGGAAAATCTCCTTCCAGCACCTTCCTGAGAGAAGGGAAGAGAGAGCTGGATTCGTCTCTGCCCAGTGACTCGGCTGCTTTCACAGGGGAAACGCTGCTTCCCTCCACGTCCGGTGAGGCCAGCACTTTCAATGGCAAGGGGGAAATTCAGTGGACTCTGGTTGTTTCAATGTCAGAATTTTTAAAATCCACCTAAGGCAGAAAATGTATCTCGCAGGTGGCTTATTTTTTATGCCTTAAATCTAGACTTCAGGTGTCATAGATGCAATCCGAAATCTGTCTGCATTTTGTCAAGAAATACTTTTAGTTTTTATTTTTTTATTATTATTTATTTTTGTTTGTTCTTTTTTTTTTTTATACTTTAAGTTTTAGGGTACATGTGCACATTGTGCAGGTTAGTTACATATGTATACATGTGCCATGCTGGTGTGCTGCACCCACTAACTTGTCATCTAGCATTAGGTATATCTCCCAATGCTATCCCTCCCCCCTCCCCCCACCCCACAACAGTCCCCAGAGTGTGATGTTCCCCTTCCTGTGTCCATGTGATCTCATTGTTCACTTCCCACCTATGAGTGAGAATATGCGGTGTTTGGTTTTTTGTTCTTGTGATAGTTTACTGAGAATGATGATTTCCAATTTCATCCATGTCCCTACAAAGGACATGAACTCATCATTTTTTATGGCTGCATAGTATTCCATGGTGTATATGTGCCACATTTTCTTAATCCAGTCTATCATTGTTGGACACTTGGGTTGGTTCCAAGTCTTTGCTATTGTAAATAGTGCCGCAATAAACATACGTGTGCATGTGTCTTTATAGCAGCATGATTTATAGTCCTTTGGGTATATACCCAGTAATGGGATGGCTGGGTCAAATGGTATTTCTAGTTCTAGATCCCTGAGGAATCGCCACACTGACTTCCACAATGGTTGAACTAGTTTACAGTCCCACCAACAGTGTAAAAGTGTTCCTATTTCTCCACATCCTCTCCAGCACCTGTTGTTTCCTGACTTTTTAATGATTGCCATTCTAACTGGTGTGAGATGGTATCTCATTGTGGTTTTGATTTGCATTTCTCTGATGGCCAGTGATGGTGAGCATTTTTTCATGTGTTTTTTGGCTGCATAAATGTCTTCTTTTGAGAAGTGTCTGTTCATGTCCTTTGCCCAATTTTTGATGGGGTTGTTTGCTTTTTTCTTGTAAATTTGTTGGAGTTCATTGTAGATTCTGGATATTAGCCCTTTGTCAGATGAGTAAGTTGCGAAAATTTTCTCCCATTTTGTAGGTTGCCTGTTCACTCTGATGGTAGTTTCTTTTGCTGTGCAGAAGCTCTTTAGTTTAATTAGATCCCATTTGTCAATTCTGGCTTTTGTTGCCATTGCTTTTGGTGTTTTAGACATGAAGTCCTTGCCCATGCCTATGTCCTGAATGGTAATGCCTAGGTTTTCTTCTAGGGTTTTTATGGTTTTAGGTCTAACATTTAAGTCTTTAATCCATCTTGAATTGATTTTTGTATAAGGTGGAAGGAAGGGATCCAGTTTCAGCTTTCTACATATGGCTAGCCAGTTTTCCCAGCACCATTTATTAAATAGGGAATCCTTTCCCCATTTCTTGTTTTTCTCAGGTTTGTCAAAGATCAGATAGTTGTAGATATGTGGCGTTATTTCTGAGGGCTCTGTTCTGTTCCATTATCTCTGTTTTGGTACCAGTACCATGCTGTTTTGGTTACTGTAGCCTTGTAGTATAGTTTGAAGTCAGGTAGTGTGATGCCTCCAGCTTTGTTCTTTTGGCTTAGGATTGACTTGGCGATGCGGGCTCTTTTTTGGTTCCATATGAACTTTAAAGTAGTTTTTTCCAGTTCTGTGAAGAAAGGCATTGGTAGCTTGATGGGGATGGCATTGAATCTGTAAATTACCTTGGGCAGTATGGCCATTTTCACGATATTGATTCTTCCTACCCGTGAGCATGGAATGTTCTTCCATTTGTCTGTATCCTCTTTTATTTCCTTGAGCAGTGGTTTGTAGTTCTTCTTGAAGAGGTCCTTCACATCCCTTGTAAGTTGGATTCCTAGGTATTTTATTCTCTTTGAAGCAATTGTGAATGGGAGTTCACTCATGATTTGGCTCTCTGTTTGTCTGTTGTTGGTGTATAAGAGTGCTTGTGATTTTTGCACATTGATTTTGTATCCTGAGACTTTGCTGAAGTTGCTTATCAGCTTAAGGAGATTTTGGGCTGAGACAGTGGGGTTTTCTAGATATACAATCATGTCATCTGCAAACAGGGACAATTTGACTTCCTCTTTTCCTAATTGAATACCCTTTATTTCCTTCTCCTGCCTAATTGCCCTGGCCAGAACTTCCAACACTATGTTGAATAGGAGTGGTGAGAGAGGGCATCCCTGTCTTGTGCCAGTTTTCAAAGGGAATGCTTCCAGGTTTTGCCCATTCAGTATGATATTGGCTGTGGGTTTGTCATAGATAGCTCTTATTATTTTGAAATATGTCCCATCAATACCTGATTTATTGAGAGTTTTTAGCATGAAGGGTTGTTGAATTTTGTCAAAGGCCTTTTCTGCATCTATTGAGATAATCATGTGGTTTTTGTCTTTGGCTCTGTTTATATGCTGGATTACATTTATTGATTTGCGTATATTGAACCAGCCTTGCATCCCAGGGATGAAGCCCACTTGATCATGGTGGATAAGCTTTTTGATGTGCTGCCGGATTCGTTTTGCCAGGATTTTATTGAGGATTTTTGTATCAATGTTCATCAAGGATATTGGTCTAAAATTCTCTTTTTTTGGTTGTGTCTCTGCCCGGCTTTGGTATCAGAATGATGCTGGCCTCATAACATGAGTTAGGGAGGATTCCCTCTTTTTCTATTGATTGGAATAGTTTCAGAAGGAATGGTACCAGTTCCTCCTTGTACCTCTGGTAGAATTCGGCTGTGAATCCATCTGGTCGTGGACTCTTTTTGGTTGGTAAGCTATTGATTATTGCCACAATTTGAGATCCTGTTATTGGTCTATTCAGAGATTCAACTTCTTCCTGGTTTAGTCTTGGGAGAGTGTATGTGTCAAGGAATTTATCCGTTTCTTCTAGATTTTCTAGTTTATTTGCGTAGAGGTGTTTGTAGTATTCCCTGATGGTAGTTTGTATTTCTGTGGGATCGGTGGTGATATCCCCTTTATCATTTTTTATTGCCTTTATTAGATTCTTCTCTCTTTTTTTCTTTATTAGTCTTGCTAGCGGTCTATCAATTTTGTTGATCCTTTCAAAAAACCAGCTCCTGGATTCATTAATTTTTTGAAGGGTTTTTTGTGTCTCTATTTCCTTCAGTTCTGCTCTGATTTTAGTTATTTCTTGCCTTCTGCTAGCTTTTGAATGTGTTTGCTCTTGCTTTTCTAGTTCTTTTAATTGTGATGTTAGGGTGTCAATTTTGGATCTTTCCTGCTTTCTCTTGTGGGCATTTAGTGCTATAAATTTCCCTCTACACACTGCTTTGAATGTGTCCCAGAGATTCTGGTATGTTGTGTCTTTGTTCTCGTTGGTTTCAAAGAACATCTTTATTTCTGCCTTCATTTCGTTATGTACCCAGTAGTCATTCAGGAGCAGGTTGTTGAGTTTCCATGTAGTTGAGTGGTTTTGAGTGAGATTCTTAATCCTGAGTTCTAGTTTGATTGCACTGTGGTCTGAGAGATAGTTTGTTATAATTTCTGTTTTTTACATTTGCTGAGGAGAGCTTTACTTCCAAGTATGTGGTCAATTTTGGAATAGGTGTGGTGTGGTGCTGAAAAAAATGTATATTCTGTTGATTTGGGGTGGAGAGTTCTGTAGATGTCTATTAGGTCCGCTTGGTGCAGAGCTGAGTTCAATTCCTGGGTATCCTTGTTGACTTTCTGTCTCATTGATCTGTCTAATGTTGACAGTGGGGTGTTAAAGTCTCCCATTATTACTGTGTGGGAGTCTAAGTCTCTTTGTAGGTCACTCAGGACTTGCTTTAGGAATCTGGGTGCTCCTGTGTTGGGTGCATATATATTTAGGATAGTTAGCTCTTCTTGTTGAATTGATCCCTTTACCATTATGTAATGGCCTTCTTTGTCTCTTTTGATCTTTGTTGGTTTAAAGTCTGTTTTATCAGAGACTAGGATTGCAACCCCTTTTTTTGTTTTCCATTTACTTGGTAGATCTTCCTCCATCCTTTTATTTTGAGCCTATGTGTGTCTCTGCACGTGAGATGGGTTTCTTGAATACAGCACACTGATGGGTCTTGACTCTTTATCCAATTTGCCAGTCTGTGTCTTTTAATTGGAGCATTTAGTCCATTTACATTTAAAGTTAATAGTGTTATGTGTGAATTTGATCCTGTCATTATGATGTTAGCTGGTGATTTTGCTCGTTAGTTGCAGTTTCTTCCTAGTCTCGATGGTCTTTACATTTTGGCATGATTTTGCAGCGGCTGGTACTGGTTGTTCCTTTCCATGTTTAGCGCTTTCTTCAGGAGCTCTTTTAGGGCAGGCCTGGTGGTGACAAAATCTCTCAGCATTTGCTTGTCTGTAAAGTATTTTATTTCTCCTTCACTTATGAAGCTTAGTTTGGCTGGATATGAAATTCTGGGTTGAAAATTCTTTTCTTTAAGAATGTTGAATATTGGCCCCCACTCTCTTCTGGCTTGTAGGGTTTCTGCCGAGAGATCCGCTGTTAGTCTGATGGGCTTCCCTTTGAGGGTAACCCGACCTTTCTCTCTGGCTGCCCTTAACATTTTTTCCTTCATTTCAACTTTGCTGAATCTGACAATTACGTGTCTTGGAGTTGCTCTTCTCGAGGAGTATCTTTGTGGCGTTCTCTGTATTTCCTGAATCTGAACGTTGGCCTGCCTTGCTAGATTGGGGAAGTTCTCCTGGATAATATCCTGCAGAGTGTTTTCCAACTTGGTTCCATTCTCCCCATCACTTTCAGGTACAGCAATCAGACGTAGATTTGGTCTTTTCACATAGTCCCATATTTCTTGGAGGCTTTGCTCATTTCTTTTGATTGTTTTTTCTCTAGACTTCCCTTCTCGCTTCATTTCATTCATTTCATCTTCCATTGCTGATACCCTTTCTTCCAGTTGATCGCATCGGCTCCTGAGGCTTCTGCATTCTTCACGTAGTTCTGGAGCCTTGGTTTTCAGCTCCATCAGCTCCTTTAAGCACTTCTCTGTATTGGTTATTCTAGTTATACATTCTTCTAAATTTTTTTCAAAGTTTTCAACTTCTTTGCCTTTGGTTTGAATGTCCTCCCGTAGCTCAGAGTAATTTGATCGTCTGAAGCCTTCTTCTCTCAGCTCGTCAAAGTCATTCCCCATCCAGCTTTGTTCCATTGCTGGTGAGGAGCTGCCTTCCTTTGGAGGAGGAGAGGTGCTCTGATTTTTAGAGTTTGCAGTTTTTCTGTTCTGTTTTTTCCCCATCTTTGTGGTTTTATCTACTTTTGGTCTTTGATGATGGTGATGTACAGATGGGTTTTTGGTGTGGATGTCCTTTCTGTTTGTTAGTTTTCCTTCTAACAGACAGGACCCTCAGCTGCAGGTCTGTTGGAGTACCCTGCCGTGTGAGGTGTCAGTGTGCCCCTGCTGGAGGGTGCCTCCCAGTTAGGCTGCTCGGGGGTCAGGGGTCAGGGACCCACTTGAGGAGGCAGTCTGCCAGTTCTCAGATCTCCAGCTGTGTACTGGGAGAACCACTGCTCTGTTCAAAGCTGTCAGACAGGGACATTTAAGTCTGCAGAGGTTACTGCTGTCTTTTTGTTTGTCTGTGCCCTGCCCCCAGAGGTGGAGCCTACAGAGGCAGGCAGGCCTCCTTGAGCTGTGGTGGGCTCCACCCAGTTCGAGCTTCCCGGCTGCTTTGTT
Organism: Homo sapiens; assembly: GCF_000001405.40. Lineage (NCBI taxonomy): Eukaryota > Metazoa > Chordata > Mammalia > Primates > Hominidae > Homo > Homo sapiens. The sequence goes on along the minus strand of NC_000016.10, from coordinate 86,233,764 downwards.
TACCTAAGCAAGCCTGGGCAATGGGGGGCGCCCCTCCCCCAGCCTGGCTGCTGCCTTGCAGTTTGATCTCAGACTGCTGTGCTAGCAATCAGCGAGACTCCGTGGGGTAGGACCCTCCGAGCCAGGTTCGGGATATAATCTAGTGGTGCACCGTTTTTTAAGCCCGTCGGAAAAGCGCAGTATTCGGGTGGGAGTGACCCGATTTTCCAGGTGCCGTCCGTCTCCCCTTTCTTTGATTAAGAAAGGGAACTCCCTGACCCCTTGCGCTTCCCAAGCGAGGCAATGCCTCTCCATGCTTCGGCTCGTGCATGGTGCGCGCACCCACTGACCTGCGCCCACTGTCTGGCACTCCCTAGTGAGATGAACCCGGTACCTCAGATGGAAATGCAGAAATCACCCGTCTTCTGCGTCGCTCAGGCTGGGAGCTGTAGACCGGAGCTGTTCCTATTCGGCCATCTTGGCTCCTTCCTTGTTTTGTTTTCTTTTCTTTTCTTTGTGGTGAAAACACTTGAGATCTGTCCTCTTAGCAAATTTCAAGAATACAATACAATTGTTACCTAGAGTCACATTGCTGGACATTAGATCTCCAGAAATTATTCCTCTTGCATAACTGAAACTGTAACATCCTCCCATTCCCCATCCCCAGCCTCCGGCAACTGCCATTCTACTCTCTGCTTCTGTGAGTTCCACTTCTTAGACAGCTCCTCGGGTCCACATACAGTTTTGAGTCCACATACGTCTCTGAATAGGGAAGAGCAGTGTATTCTTGGAGTTAAGCTCCAGGTAGGCGCAACAGAGAGGGACAGTAACTGTATTAGGTCCTAAAGTGCAGAATAAGGGTCTTGTTTAGGGGTTGGGCATGACAGAGACCCTCTGGTTTGAACCAGGAATATTTTTTCTATCATCTGGTTGGGGTTGGGGAAGAGACAGTCCCAATGCCTGGGAGCCAAGAGGGAGCGGTGAGGGGCTGGAGCTCACGGACTGGGGCCCTCCCGCTGTCTCAGAGCAGCTGTGGCCAGGTACCCAATCTTCAGGCGGCTGGGCCTGCTGCTTCCCTCTTGCCCCACCTCCCCCCAGATGTGGGTGGCCTGGGGGGGAATCTTCACACCAGGCCACCCAAGGAGAGGGCTGCTCCTCCTGTGTGAGCCATTTTCTGTTCTTAATGGACACAAGGCTGGCAGGGATCATTTGTAAGGTCGAGTTCCGATGAAATTCCCAAGCGGGGACAGGTATGGACCACCACGGTCTCCATTACGCTTCCACTGGCTCCTGGGAGCTCTGGGCGAGGGCAGCCCGTGCCCAGCAACATGGGATTCACTCAACCCTGATAACCCAGTTATTACAGCCGGGAAGTACATGGGGTAAAAGCTAAACCCCATAAGTTGCCTTAGAACCGTTAGGGACCACCACCCAGGGCCTCAACGAAATCAAATTGCCAAGGAGGCCTGGCAGGCTCAGTTAAACCAACGGCCTCCCACACAAAAGTTTATGGGATCAAAATCGGCACAGGATCACCCGTCAGGGTCTACCCGGCATAGCCTCAGAAGAAGGGAGTGGGACGGGGGAAGATTCCTGGACTCCTTCTGGGTTCACCCAGCCCCTCCTCCTCTGACGCTCCCATGAGGACCATGGTTCCTGGGTCAGCCCTTCACCAGAGCCCTTCACCAGCAACCCCTGCCTGCGTGTGTGTGTCATGGGGCTGCAGGATGAGAGTGACTGAGAAAAATGCCTTCAAGGTAGGAGAAAACGCAAGAGCTGGAAGGTTGTTTGATTTTTTAAAAATATGCATAATGCCTTCGCCCACCAGCACAGCTAAAATTAAACGCTGGCAAGGATGTGAGCAGCTGCTTGTGGGAGTGTGAATTTCCCTTCTGGAAAAAGATTTGGCGGCATCTTCTCATGCCGGACATCATGCCTGCTGGATGACCCGGCAATTCCGCTCCCAGTGACACACACAACAGGAAGGCCAGCACATGTGCACCAGGCATGTGCAAGCATGCTTTTGTCACACAGCCCCCAGCTGGGCCTCCCCGCTGCCCCAGCAAGAGGATAGACATATGAGGATCAGTTTGTTGACGCAGCAGGATACTATAAAGCAGTGAAGATGAACCAATGCCAAAAATACCACAGCTCTCCCATGCTGCGGACATGGGAGAGATGCCCTGCCTGATCCCAGCACATCACGTGCCAACCAGGCTCTCAGAAGCCAGGAAAGCAATTGCTCTTGGGGAATTGGGATTGTGACAGGCAGAGGGTTTCTAGGGTGCTGGTACCATTTTCCCTCTGGTTGTGGGTGGAGAGTTACCCAGGAGTCTTCACTTTGTAGTCATGCATTGAGCTGCACACTTTGGATCTGAGCAGTTTTCTGTCTGTGCTTTACACAGAATAAAAAGATTTAGTGAAAATGATCTGAAAATATATTCATGCACTGGACAAGAGTAGCGAAAGGGGTGGACTGGATCTGGGGGTACAAGGTCAAATCTCCATCTAGCCTGCTGGGTAACCATAGCAATGCATCGGCCTCTGCCCTTCCTCCTCCACAAAATGAGGGCCACAGAAGGTACCCCTTTTGTGAGGATGTGAACTCCTTTGAAACACTCTGCATTCCCACCCAGAAAAATGTACACATGCATGACATTTTGTGTGCAAATTCCAGGTGGGGGCTCACAGGCCTCCCTAAAGTTCACACCCAGGGATGCCCAATCAGATCCCAGGTGATGGAGCTCTGGAGGGGGTGGGTGTGGGGTGTGCACCTTAAGAAGCAGGTTCTACAGCCTGACAGCCCTGGGGCTGAGTCCTGGCTCAACACTTTCTAATCATGGGGTCTTTCTTGGGCAAGCAGGTTGATGTTCAGGCCTCAGATTCCTCATCTGTAGAATGGGGAAAATAAGGTCCAGGGAGTGGAGGGGAGCTTTGTAGAGATCAGGCATGGCCAGCACTTGGCACAGAGCCTGTCACACAGTAAGCATGCTGGAAATGTCAGCAACTGTTCTGAGGTGGCCTCCAAGCCTCCTTCCAGCCCTGACGTTCCAGGATCTATTATGAATGAAAAAACCCACCCCGAAATTAGAATTGAGTAACACGAGGCTGCGTGTGTCCTTCGTGTCAACGTCAAATTTCCTCAGAGAGACGTGGTTTTGGCACTTGGACTCTCTGGAAACCAAAGTTAGCTTGCAAATGAGATGTCACATGTGTCCAGTGATGGCGTCTTGGGCCTTTTGTGTGCAAAGAAGTTTCCAGAAGGACATCCGCTCCGGCCCAGAAACCACTGGATAGCCCTTCGTGGTCTTGGGCTGCATGACTCTGGTTTTATTAGTAATCAACTGTCATCCAGAAGACTGCTTGGGGCCTTGGCCAGAGTCTCCTTCATGCCGTTGGGCGGCGCCATGGCACATGCCCAGAGTCTCCGGGGGGCTGGGAAGGAAGCGGTTCCCGGTGGCAGCCGTGGCTCTTCCACGGTCCTAGCTTATCTCCTGGCATGCCAATAAAACAGAAATGTTTGCAGCAATAATGAAATAGGTCCCCAGATTAAATATGCTGCTCTCTTCGTTATTAGAAAAACTGTTTGCCTGACGGGGCAGTGGCCTGGGATGAGGAAGCTCCCAGCAGGAGACATGTGGCTGAGAAGGAGGGAGAAGGAAGCCCGGGGAGGCTGCCCATCCACAGGCCCACGTTTGAGGGCACTGCTCCACGTGTCAGAGCCAGGCCCCATGCCATCATCACGGGGTGTCACTGTCACTCCGCTAACACCTGTGCTTTGAGCCCCACCATCTGGGGGTGTGCTGTTTCCAAGAAAAAGCCACATCTACTCCAAGCTTCCCACCGTCAAAGGGCACAAAAGCCCTCCCAAGCCTTCATGGTGAAGATTGTCTGTGCTTGGCATTCCTAACATCAAGAGCAACAGGCAGTCTTTGCTGAGGGCTCACTATCCACAGAGTTGCATTAATCCCCACAGCACCTTCTAATAAAACAGTTTTATGCCCATTTTGCAGAGGAGGAAACTGAGGCATAAGGAAACCAAGTGTGTTGACCACAGTCACCACTAGTGAATGCTGGAGCTGGGATTCAAGTCCAGGCAGGTGACCCAGAACCCATGCCCCTCCCCATTGTGTCACAACCCCTCTGTGGTGTGGGTATGGTCTCATTTTCTCCATTTTCTACTGGACAAAAAGGGTGCATAGGGTGACTAGGAAATTCATCAGAAAATAACACGGAGCCCTGTCTAACCATGAGCACACAGCAGCCCAATCCCAGCTGAGGAACATTCTGAAAACACCTGAGTGGCCTCCTTCACACTGTCAAGGTCGTCAGAAACAAGGGGAGGCCAACAGGCTCCCAGCACAAAGGAGCTGAAGGAAACCTGATGGTTAATGCCATGTGGGCTCCTGGACAGGATCCTGGGGCAGAAAGAGGACATTATGTAAAAACAAAGGAAATCTGAATAAAGTATGGACTTTAATTAATAATGAAATAATAACATATTAATATGGGTTCATTAACTGTAATCAATATAATTGGTTTCTTAAATGTACTAGACTAATGTAAGAAGTTAGCAATAACCAGAGTGGGTGTGAGGTATATGGGGACTCTCTGTACTATTTTCTCAATTTAGTGTGTTCTTAAAAAAGTAAAATCAGTTAAAAAGAATAAGATGGCAGGAAAGATGGATAGCGAGAGGAAGTGATATGGTTTGGCTCTGTGTCCCCACCCAAATCTCATCTCAAATTGTAATCCCCTTCATCTCTACGTGTTGAGGGAAGGACCTGGTGGGAGGTGATTGGATCATGGCAGCAGTTTCCCCCATGCTGTTCTCATGATAGTGAGTTCTCACGAGGACTGATGGTTTTATAAGTGTTTGACAGTTCCTCCTTCACTTTCTCTCTCTCACCTGCCAGCATGTAAGACATGCTTGCTTCCCCTTCCGCTATGATTGTCAGTTTCCTGAGGCCTCCTCAGCCTCTTTATAACAATGTGAGAATGAACTAATATGGGAGGGAGGGAGGGAGGGAGAGAGGGAGGGAAGGAGGGAAGGAAGGAAGGAAGGAAGGTAGGTAGGGAGGGAGGGAGGGAGGGATTATACAAGAATCACAGGATCGTGACAGTTGCAGAATCTTGGTGTGGATACATGTGTACTATTTGTGTAATTTTTCTGTATGTTTGAAATATTTTATAATACAATGTTGGGAAGATAAAAAGGTATCAGAGGCTAAGGGCAGTATTCAAGTCTCACCCAAACCAAGTTTCCTTATTCCTTTGTGTGTGGGTGCATCCTCCCTGGAGGAGGAAAAGCACTACTCACTAATCATGAAAGCTTCATCACCAGCACACAACGGCAGGACACGGCATCTCTGCAGTGTATGATGTGGCCGCTGACACCAGGATCCCTTTTTCTTCCCAAGTAGATCCAAATCTTGACAGGGCCAGCATCCAAGTCTCTGAATGCCAAGGAAACAGGGCTAAAGAACAGACCCAGGGGATGTGTAACTCATCCTTCCCTCCTCATAAGCCACAGTCAGTGCCAGTCAGGGCATCAGCACACGTTACAGGCACGAGCTTTGCACTCAGCACCCCCTGGGCCACAGAAGGGGAAGAACCTCACACCCCAGGACCAAAGAACCTGTCGAGATTCAGCAAAAGTCCTGCAAAGAGAAAAACACACATCTGGTGGCAGGAGGAGGGCGCGGGGGCGGGACGGGCATGCTGCCGCTCCCAAGGCCCCTCCTCTGGCTGATTGAGGACGGGACGCACAAACAACCCCAAATGCTTCCAGTCTGGTCCTCGAGGAGAAAGGATATTTGTGGTAACGGAGAAATTTGCCACCCAGCGCTGTTGCTTTGGTGTCATGTTTCTGCGGTCACAAGTTATTCATCCAAAATTGGTCTCTGCTAAGAAACAACAAGAAAAAAAGTCCATGCAACAAAATGGGATTTGAAGTGATCTTCCATTCTGGGGTTGATATTGGGGAAATGAAGAGAAAAAACAAAAGCAGAAGAAAAGAGAGAATAGTATATTGGACTGAAGTCCTTCCACCTCACTCCATCCTCCGACACGGGGAACCAGGCTTCCTCCCACAGAGTCAGGATGGGCTTCCTGCCTGCCAGGGAAGGTCTAGACTCTGCGACACAGATGCTGGGGTGTGCTCTCAAAAGGCCAATGGCTAAGGCACACCCAAGTGGGGATCCCAATTCAGAATGCCTGGGACACAGTGGAGAATTCCCTTAAGACAGCAGAACCGGATTTCAGGATCCCATGAACCACCTTCCTTGCCCTCCTCTTGCCTGTTGGAGGAATATTTTCTCAGTCAGCCTCTGGGTTGGTCGCTGGAAAATAGTTATCCAGGCAGCAGCAGCAGCAGCCTACTAGGACATAGCACATAGGTCATCTGGCTGAGGTCCCCCTGCCCACAGGCACGACCCAGCTCTCCATCTGCAGGATAGGTGGCTGGGCCACCCACCCCAGGCCCAGGGAGGCTTCAGCATTTCACAAGCTCATCAACTTCAGCTCCACAGCACCGGCCACTCCCGGGTGCTGTGGACCCCTTCCAAGTGCTCAGAGATGCTCAGGGTCAGACCAGGGTGGAGTCCTGGCCCTGCCGTGTGAGAGGTCAAGTTGCTTGGATCTTGCTGAGCCTTGGGAGCTCAAGGTACAAAATGACAATGGCGATGACGCCCACCCCGCGAGGTTTTGGGAAGTCAACCATTCAAAGTGCTTCACCTGGCATTGGACCAAGGTGAGCGCTCAAAATATGTTACCATAATTATCAGGTGGACACAGCAAACAGCTTGGGTCTAATCCCTCTCCTGGGATCTGGGCCTCACCTGCCTGCAGCTAAGCAGTAAAGGAGCTGAGATTCGAAAGCAGGGAGTCTGGGCTCCTACAGGAGTGGTGAGAAAGGGTGGCATGATGGGAAGGCTGGGTCACCCACTACAGATAGAGCCAAACATGCCTAGAGTGTGCCCACCCCTTTCCATCCCTACCCCATTGCAGGTGCAGGTGGAGACGGAACCCTAGACACTGCTCATCCCAATCAGGCCCTTTCCAGGCCTGTCCCATTCCAATCGGGCATCAGATGTGGCATTGATCATCATCTACTTAACAAACGAGGCTCCCCTTTCAATGCACTTGGTGAGTTCACAGGCTACAGGTGGGCAATCCACAGGACCCCCTTGCCTCCCCTCCTGGCCTTCCCCCCTACCACCCCCAATATCAAGTGCAGCTGTGGGTTTTTGTGCTAATGAGCATTACAATGTGGTCAGCTTTTCATCTTATTGTTTCTTCTGATGACTGGAGATTTACCTCATGCAGAAGAGAGTGGAATACTGAGGGTGGGTGCCCCAACTCCCTAAAGCCCTGCTCTGCACTGATGGCCGGAGGTGGGCTAGAAACCAACTGGTTCGGCTGGAGAAGAGGAAGCAACTCATGGACAAGGGTCCCCTTGGGGGGTGGGTCCTTTGGAGAAGGGCCCACAAGGTGTAGAAAGAGCACAGTCCCCAGTCACTGAGCAGCACCATGTGCCCTGGGAAGACACCTCTCAACCCGCCAGCCCCAGGGCTTGCCCTCCTCCTGGGAGAGACTGACAAGTGCTGAAGCTGCCAAGCAATCACAGACAGAGCCAAAGAGCCAAGATATCAGAGGCCTGAGATGATAATGGAGTTGGATTCCTGGAACTAGTCTATCCCAACACCACTTATTGTTTCACCAATCCATTCATTTACTCAAAGAATTACTCATTCAAAATATAAAAGCATTCCATTTTGGTTTCAGAAGAAAAATTACTCATTCATTCAACAAACATTCCACAGGGTCTCCTCTGGGCCAACCTTGGTTCTGAGATAGCAGGTGCTGAAATACTGCTGAATCCTCAAAGCCAGACTAGCCAGTGCCTGGCACCTGATGGGAATATGATTTCAACGAACAGGTGGGTGGATGAATGGATGGATGGATGGACAAATGGGTGGAAGGGTGGATGAATAAATGGGTGAATGGGTGGTGGTGGGTGGGTGGATGACCCTCACCTCCTCACAGAAAGTAATCTTTGCTGTGTTCACATAAAATCCACACAACAATCTCTCTCTCTTTTTCTCTCTCTCTGGAAAGAAATGAAGAGACCACCCAGAAATACAGACCCAGCCTTTCATTCTCTTATATTCCTTATGTCCAACATTTATTGGGCCCTTACCATGTGCTCCATATGGTGCTGGGTCCTGGGAGTTGGAGTTACAAACAACTAAGATGACAGACTTTGCTCCAAGTAGGGATTCTTGGCTCTCAGCCCCATGGAGAAAGTCTCCTTATCACCTTTCTGCACAGGGGAGGAAATCGAGATCAAAAAAGTTAAGAGACTGAGTTAAGGCCACTCCATCAGCTGCCCCAAAGCCCCTGTGTCTGCTCTGGCTGGCACTCTGAGGTCCCACTGCTGACAAGAGTGGAGTAAGAGGAAAAAGAGGTGATGTGCAATTGTGTGAGGAGTTCTTACCACTCAGGGATTCAGAGGCTGAAGGAAGGTGAGGGCTGGAAGGTCCAGGGAAGGCTTTAAGGAGAAAGAGAGAGGCAGGTAGTGGGAATGAGGTGGGGTGCTGTAAGCTCTAAAGGTCAGAGAGGATGAAAGGGAGTGACCCTTGGTCAGACCAGAGGCTGAGCCACCTTCAAATGCGATTGGCCCTAGCATCAGGTCTGCATTCCCCTCCCCTGCCCTTTATCCTTACCACCATTACCACCACCACCAACATCATCATCATCAACAACACCAATAACAACACCATCACCACCAACACCAACAACTTTATCACTACTAACTACAATAATATCAACATCATTAATATCAACATCATCATCACCAACATTGCCATCATCAACACCAATACAACACCATCACCAACACCAATAACACCATCACCCTCAACACCAACAACACCATCACTACCAATAACATCACCAGCACCAACACCAGCACAACAACACTATCATCACCAACAGCAACACCGTCACTACCAAAAACAACAGCAACACCAACACCATCACCATCACTACCAACACACCAACAGTACCAACAACACTAACACACCAACACCATCACCATCACCAACAACAGCAACACCAATGGTAACAGCAACAATAACAGTCATAAGAGCTAAATACATTTGACCCTGACCATGTGTAGAGCACTGAGCTGAGAGTTTTAAGTGCATTATTTTGTTTGAGTCTCCCGAAGGAGAACCGTGAGAGGGGTACTGCTGTGACAGACACCCCCATTTTGGAGATGAGGAACTGAGTTGTAGAACACTCCTGTTAATCTTTCCGGGCTAGACCCGAGAAAGGCCTTGAACACAGACGTTGGACTCTGAAATCAGTGCCTTCAACATCCCCGCCCCATGGCTTTCTGTTCAGAGAAATGGGTCACATTTGTTGTGTGCCCACAATGTGCAGTGTGCAGGGTGTCCTGAAGGTGTCCCACATGCAGAAAGTCATTGCATCCTTTTCCTTCCCCCAGGGCAGGGCCTGTGACTCTCCTGGTTGGGTCCAAAAGGACAGGCTCCTTAGGGAGACTGAGAATTGCAACCTGATTGCCCAGGAATGGAGTGGAGGGTCTGGGCTTTGGTCCTGACACCCTGATTTGCCACTGCTCCGTGCCACCTCCTCCCCTGTACTTTGCTCCTGGGTCTCACTCGAGCTTACCCTCTCTGAAACTCAGTTTCCTCATCTGCGAAACACACAGATTCATCAAGAGCTGTGGTTCTCACTAAAGGGTGATTTTGCCCCCAGGGACATTCAGTGGTGTCATCACCATGAGGGGGGTGCTACTGGCACCTGGTGAGTGGAGGCCAGGGATGCTGCCCAACATCCTGCAGCGCACAGGACAGCCCAGATTCTCCATCAGCAGTGCCCAGGTGGAGAAGCCCTGACCTCGATGATCCCAAGCTCCCAGAAATTGTAACTAAACTCCCAAAGCTTGTCAGAAAACGAATTCTCTGTCAAAATCCCTAAAAGGAAAGAAAAAAAAATCCTTTCTCTGCTTTCCCAACTCCAGCCCAGTCTCACACACATGAACCTCTGCAAAGATGGAGCCAGGGAGGCTTGAACACAGTTGTGTTCCAGACAGAAAATGACTTAATTCTCCAGAATGGACCCCTATTTTATGCTATTTAATATCTGCACACGATTCCAGACCCTTTCTTACTGCTGTTCAGAGCAAGACAGTAATTTCATTCTTTTTCTTTTTCCTTTTTTTTTCCTGCTCCCTGCTGCCCTCACATTGAAACTCCGTGAACTCTGGCGTCGGTTGTAAGAACGTCTTTATAAAGGGTTGCACGAGATTTCTTACTATATCAGAGTTCCTGAGGATGATGTATCACGTTACTAATTCCCTTAATTGCATGTCTGGGCTAAAAACAGACTCTCTTAGTTTTTCTAAGAAGTTACATTCTTAATGACATTAAAACACGATGGTAAATGAAGCTAAATGCTAACTGATGTACTTAAATCATGAATCAGTCTATAGAGTGTTTACCTAAACTTGTTTATCCTTCTTGGTCACTCATTTTGTAGGTTTTGCCAACACTGAGTCAGATTCGGTATCTGGAAATGGCTCAAGAATTTTTGTTTTCTTTCGATTTTTTAGCCCCAGACTGAGTGGATGCTGCAATCATGCAGTAATCAAAGAATTAGAAAAAGCAAGAGGCTGGAGGCTGATTCATTTCCCCGGCTTTTTGCAGGGTGGGGAGGACAGAGAAGCTGCAGGGAGAGATGAAGTTTTTTCCTTGAGGATGAAAAGCTCTTAACCTTGCACGTTTGGCTTCTTCTATTCAATTTTTTTAAAAGCAGAGATAGGGAGGTATGTGATTAATAGCAAAAGACAGCATTTAAGGACCGCCAGGTGCCAGGTGTTCTAAACGTGCCATGTATTTTAGCTCACAGAATCCTCCCCACAAAGCCGAGAAGCAGGAAGCAGCAACCCTCCCAGATGAAGAAGCGAAGGCTCGGAAAAGCTAAGTAACTTCTCCAAGCTGACGCAGCTCGTGAGAGGAGGGACTGGGATTCAAATCCCTGCAGGGGGAGACCAGCAGCCCCGACTTCAGCCGCCATGCCTCCTGCCTGAGAAGCTAGCTGCGAAGGTTCCAGAAGGAGACTGCCCTCCGGGAACAGAAACAGCGCATGACTGCGACCTGTCTGCAAAAATCTTGATCACTTGTAAATCCTTCTCCACCTGATAAGTTATCACATTGGCTCATGATGTTTTTTTTCATTCTCAGTGAGTTCAAAATACTATTTTGGTTTGTCTCAGTTTCTTCCTCTCTCTCTCTCTCTCTCTCTCTCTCTCTCGTATAAAGGTATCCACATGTCACATGTCATTTGTTGATAATTAAATTTTGAATAGACAATTCATTGTCAAAACCATCAAACAGTATACTACATGTCTGCATTTGACTCTATATACATTTTACCTAACAAGGAAAGCCCATAAACAAATACGAAAGTCTGGCTAATGATCCACATACAGAAGTGTTTGGGAGGATGGGCTCTGAGATCTACAGCTTACTTTGAAAGGCATCAAAGTGTATTGACGGACGTCTGGATGGATGGAGGGATAGACGTGTGTTAAACTAAACAGACCAACATGGCAATTACAGAAACTAGATGATAAGTACATCGATGCTCACTGTACAATTCTTCATGTTGCTAATTTTCATTAACATGTTCAAAAATTCTGAATACAGACACTAGGTAGAAACTCCAAAGACACAAGTTAAATGTAAGTAAGTCTTCCTCCACCTCATCCTGTCTGTCAGTCTTTCGGGTTCCCTAACAATGGCAATGGCAATCCCTAGTACCTGTGGCTCTGGGGTATCATTCCAGGGATATTCTATGCCTGTTTTAACACATAGATGATTTATTTTCAGTGATGATAATGATAACTAATAATTATGCCGCACTTGCTACATGCCAAGCACTGTCCTGTTTAACATACATTGATTTATGAAATCTCTTCAACAGCCCTATGGCGTGGATGCTGTTACTACCCCATTTTACAAAGGAGTAAAGTGAGGCCCAGAGAGAACAGTTAAATCACTTCCCCAGCTTCACTCAACTCATCTACGGTGAGTCGACGGTACACATGCCCTTCCACAACACAAAGGTCTCCACTTTGCCACGTGTCACTCTGATGGTTCCAGGTGCAGATTTTGCGTCTGCTTCTTGACTTCTAATGGCTGCACCATTTTGCATTGGATGGTTATACCATCATTTATTTGACTCATCTCCTGTGCACAAGCATCTAGTTTATCTGCAAACTTTTGCTACCAAAAACAATGCTGCAATGAATAAATAAGCTGATGCCTGCTTCTAAGCGTGCGTGCATGCTGTAATGTGAGATGAATTCCCAGAAGTGGAGTGGCTGAGTCCAAGAGTAAATGCATTTTTCATTTTGATAGTATCGCCAAATGTCTTTCCAAAGGGGTTGTGCTGGATCCCACTCCAGCTAGCAATGTGTGAGAGCACCAATCCCACCGCCCACTGCAGCACACATATTGACGTCGGCTAGTCCAATACCAGCACAGGCAGCTGGGCCCCCTCGGGTGATGCAGTGGGCAAAGTGCGCACTCAGCTCTGAGGTATTGAGGAAACTGTCTCATTGTGGTTGGGATTCATGTTTTCTTCCATAAATGGGACAGAGCATCTTTTTATATGTCTGAATTCATTTCAACTGCTGTTCCTTCAACTAGACCATTTTCTTACAAATTGTGGGTTTAAGGGCTAGACAAGCAGGTTTATTCCTCTCTCCCAATGTTCTAACTGAAGGTAGAGTGGAAAATTATCTTCTCTAGGAAGAAATGTACCACCACTCTGAAGAATGAAAGAAAGCAAGCTAAAAAGGAGAGAGAGCATGAAGAAGGAAGACAAAACTGAAGTTAGGTCATGGAAACCAGAAGAGATCCTGGGGCCACATTGTGCACTTGAATCTCATTATGGTCAAACCCTGTTGCAACATTTCCCAAAAGACCAAGAAGGGGAAAACTCTGGAAGCTGGGGAAGGGAAAGTACTGACAGCCTGTGCCTGAGTGTGTGAGCATGTGTGTGTGTGTGTGTGAGTGTGTGTGTATCTTAGACTTGGACTACAAAATTTAGAGAAAAAAGAGTAAGAAAGAAAAGAAAGAAAAAATACAACACTTAAACATTCCATACATAGAGGTCACATATGAAGGGACAATGAAATGGTGTCTTAGAAGAATTTGGGGTCTTTGCAGGTGTGCCCCCTAGAACACCGCATCGGTCTACATCTGTGTTCTAGTCTCTGAAGAAATCATGTGGTTCTTCTGGTGCCCGCCGAGGAATTTACTGGTATTTATGAAAAGAACATGGCTTAGTTGCGTCTCTTCTGATCTAACCCATTTGGAACGTAACTTAGAAGGACAGTCCTGCGCATCTTCTTGCGAAACTGTTCCATAGTCCTCCCCTAGGAAGTCGTGCAGTTCTTGGAGACATTTGGGCAACTCTTTAATCTGCCTCATCAGGGAGGGAGGGCACACAGGCCTGGGGTAGAAAAGGCCAGCCTCATTTTTTTTTTTTTATTGTGATGAAATTGCAAACTTACATCCTGAGACTAAAATTAAATGGAGGAAAGCTCTGCCCGTCGTGGGTGGTCTTCCTCGGGCCCTTCGGAAGGAGGGGTCGGATGGAGCAGGAGAGCACATTTAGCAACATTTCCAATAGGGTAATGACAGCAATCATGATAGCTGTCCCCCTTGGGAGGGAGAAATCACAAAAACCTACACAGTGACAAAAATAAACAAGCGTGTAACGCCAGCAGAGGAGGCCTGGCCCGCTCTGAACTTGGAGAACATCAAAGTGAAGCCAGTTATCAGGCCGTCCAGGCTCCAGGCTCCTTCGCGTCCTGCTCAGTGCTTTTATCAGCCGTTTGGACTTTGGAGGAGCCCAGAGGACGCTCGCTGAGCACAGCTGCGAGGAACAGACGTGCTGGACTGCAGAGTCTGAACAGAAAGGATGCTCAGGCTGTGGCTGATAAATGGGAGGCACAGGAGGAAATTTCACAGGGATGAACAACCCTCCTCCATTTAGATTCCAAAAATTCCAACCCATGAAAAGAGCAGAGAGAGCCCGGACTGAAGTCAGGCAGATCCGGGAAGGAATCCATACCTGCGCGTCCCCTGGGCAGCACAGGGTGGGAGGCCCCAGATCCCTGGCTTCCTCACCTGCGGAAAGGATGAGACTCGCCCAGCGTTCACCCAGTGAATATGCTTTCAGCCTCTGCTGGGTACCAGGCATAGTTTTGGGCACTGGGAATAAAGGGGTGAGGAAATAGAATTTTTAAATTCCTAAAGAAATCAGATTTTTAAAAATCCTTGTGGTGATGGAAATGTTCCGTATCATGATAGTGGGGATGATACAGGAACCTACACATGTAATAAATTGCATAGAAACACACACACACACGCACGCACACACACACACCCCTGCAGGTTAAAAATAAGAAACCGAGTAAAACGGGTGGATTGAGTCAGTGTCATTATCCTGGTTGTAACATTCTGTAGTTCTGCAAAATGTTGCAGTTGGAGGAAACTAAATGAAGTCTGCATTGTATCTCTCTGTATTATGTCTTAGAACCACCTGGGAATCTACAATGACCTCAATACAAATTTCAATTAACAGATAAATACATCAAAACCCCTGCCATCCTGGAGCCCACGTTCCGTTGGGGAATTTCCAAGGTAGACTCCAATGAGACAGCAAGCTTGGGCCTCCCCCCCGCCCCGCTTCACATCACCTGTCAGGGGACAGTGGGAGATCAGTAATGGCCATTATTAGCTACTTCGTGTCAGTCAGGGGCCTGCTCAACTGGAAGTAAATGGCCGTTTAAACTGGGCTTTAAATTGAAGCTGGCATGAGAAGGCAATCTTCCCAAAGGTGTGGCCCAGGTTGAGGGAATGGCAGGAGGGGTAGCTGTGCAGGGAAGGAAGCCCCACGGGTAGGTGGGGTGGGGTGGGGCTGAAGAGGCCACCCAGCAGAGAGGCGACAATTACCATAGGCCAGGTATCTTATGAAACAGAAATGTATTCTGCCACAGGCCTGGAGGCGGGGGTCTGAAATCAAGGTGTGGGCAGGGCTGTGCTCCCTGTGAAGGCACCAGGGGAGAACCCTTCCTGCCTCTTCCAGCTTCCCAAGGTTCCAGGTGTTCCCTGGCTTGTGCCTTCATCCCTCCAACCTCTGCCTCTGTCTCCACATGGCTGCCTTCTCTGTGTCTCTCTGTGTCCATGTTTTCTCCTCTTCTGACTCTCTTGAGGGCACTTGTCATTGGACTTAGGGCCCATGCTAATCCAGGATGATCGCATCGCAAGATCTTTAATTACATCTATGCAGGCCCTTTTCCCCAAATAAAGTCGTATTCACAGGTCCCAGGCTGAGACATGGATGTGTCTTTTGCAGGAGTACCTTTCAACGCCCCCACAGATGGTTCCAGGTGGTCCAGAGCCTGACAGGGAAGGAGAGCCTAGGGTATAGGTCTGGGGGGCAAAGAGAGGCACCGGGGGGCCCGGAAGACAGCACTGGCACAGTCAGTCCCAGGAAAATAGTGATGATGACGATTATGATTACAGCCCAAGATGAAACACCTGGGCTCTGGCAGAGGCCAGCCGCATCCCTTGACTCTCATTCCCTGAGAGGGAATGAGACATTTGGGCAACCTGCTTGGTTTCCCACTGTGGCCGGCTTTGATTCTCTGCCCAGTATTTGCTCCTTTTGATTGATTACCTCATGTTATATAACCTGAGTGGCTACAAGCAGCAATCTGTAATTTGCAACATCCGGAAAGCCACTGTCAGCTTCAGGTATCAGAGTCAGCAGCCCGGGCCTGTGGGAGGAAGAGCTCTCCCAGGCAGGACCCATGACATAATCTGGGGGTCCAGGGCTAGCTGAAAATGCAAGGCGCTGTGCTCAACAGTTACCCATCTTAGGATGGTGTCCGCAGGGCATTAAACCCAGCACAGGCCTTTCTGAGTGCGAGCCCCTGAGTGCCTGTGTAGGCCACTTGTCTGCGGAGCTGGCCTCACTCCCAGGTTACAGCGAGGCAGGCAGACCCAAGCCACACACATGGGGCCGCTGAGTCCAGGCGACACGGGGGGGTCTCAGTCAAATGACGTTCATTTTTGATGAGGATTATGGGGTTGGCAGAAATCAGATGGCGAATGTGTCTTTGCAGGGGAAGCCTTAGCTCAAGCTGCAGGCTGACTTCCGATCCCCAGATGAAAATGAGTGCACATCCAGCTCTCGGCACACTTCAGGAAGGGAAGAACGGGCAGCGGGAGACCCCTCAGATGGGATAGGCCGGTGGTGGCCAGTCCCTCTGCTGTAGCCAGGAGGAGCCCTGGGTGTCCTTAGATCCTGCAAGCCGAGGCTCAGCCCTCCTGCTAACCCTGCTCCGAGGCTCCTCCCTGCCCCCACAGGCTGTAGGGTCGGAACCCAGCACACGCCCCCCCAGGGCAGAGTCCTCACCCTTGGCCTGCACCCTGTTTTCCAGCCAGAGCCTCTGAGAGCGGCCGTCCTGCAGCACAGCCACTACATGTGCCTAGCAGAGCCGGTGCCTGGGGTCTGAGCATCCTGTGGGCTGCTGGGCTGGGCTGGTGCTCGGCATGGGATGGTCCCGAAGGAGGGGCCCGGTGCCTGGAAAGGCCACAGCATGACCCTCGTGGTGGGGGTCTCTTGAGTGCAGACATGTGTGAAGTGCTGTCCGTGCATTTTCTTACTCTAGCCTCATGACAACTCCACGAGGGGCACCGTCATCAGCTCCTGTGGATTGCTGAGAAGGCAGAGGCTCCAAGAGGGCAAGTTACTTGCCCAAGGTCACACAGCCGGTGCTGATGGCGCTGGACTCAGACCTGGGCATCCTGGTTTTGGAGCCCCTCATTCTTACCCAAGGTGCTTCTGTGCCACCCCAGGACAGGGTGTGGTTGCAGAGAGGTCCATGAGCAGGCATGGCCACCCCTGCAGGCACAGAACACAAGTGTTCTCTCCAAATGATGGGCGTCAGAGCCCAGCCAGCCCTGCTCGTTGACGGGGATGGCATTGAGCAGGGTTCAGATATCTGACCTTGGCTTCAGGGTCTCTCCTCCCAGAAATGTCCTCTGCTGACCTCCGTCCGAGGTCAGCATCCTTTTCCAGGCATCCCAAAGTCAGGCGCGTAGCTCATATACACTGCAGGTCAACTCAAAATCACTGTTGATATCCAAGGTGGGGAGCAAAGGCCTCGAATCCCTGTCCACAATAGGACAAAAGCCGTGATGGTATCTGGGGTGGCCCTGCTCAGCTTCCTGTGAGTGGGATCAGGGTGACCATGACAGGGAGGCTATCTGTGCCAACTCTCAGCGTGGCTGCCAGCCAGCTCGCTAGTCCCCTCTGCTTAGCCTCCTTCCCTCTCTGTGGGAGGAAGCTGAGCACAGCAGCTAAGCAAGCACATGCTGGTGGGAGCAGGACTGCCTGGATTCAAATCCCAGCACCACCTCTTGCTGATCATGGGGTGCTGGTCTGCAGTGAGTTCTCTACTTTCCCTGAGCCTCAAGTTCCCCAGTTGCAAAATGGGGATGTGGCCCCACCAGGGATGCTGTGAGTGCCACTGCACTTCCGGCACTCAGAGCCGCATCTGGGATACCCACTGGTCTTTCTTATTGAGAAGTTGAGACATATGGAAGGTGACGTGGGGCCTTTAAGGCTCCTGTCCATTCAGCAACCTCCTTGCAGTTGGCTGAATGATGCCCCTTCTGCCAGACATCCATGTCCTGATCCACAGAACCCATGAATATGTTGCCTGATGTGGCCAAAGGGACTTTGCAGATGGGATTCAGTTAGGGACTTTGAGAGGGGAGAGTTATCACAGATGATCCGGGTGTGTCCAGGGTAATCTCAGGGTGCTCACTGGGGGCAGAGGGAGCTGTGGCAATGGGAGCTGTTCAGAGACACCGTGCGATCGGCTCTGAAGATGGAGGAGGGGCCAATAGCTGAGGAATGCGGGTGGCCTTTGGAAGCCGGAGAAGGCAAGGAACAGATTCTCCCCTGGAGCCTCCAGAAGGAACCAGCCCTCCAGACACCTTGATTTTAGGCCAGTGAGGCGTATGTCAGACTTTTTACCTCCATAGCTGTAAGAGAATAAGTTTGTGTGGTTTTAAGGCACTAAGCTTGTGGTCATTTGTCATGGCAGCCTAGGAAACTAATGAAGTCATAAAGAGGAAAAAGGTTTCCCAAACTTGCTTAACCATAATTAACTGCTGATTATCGATCACCTACCAGGGTCAGTCTGCACTGGGCCTTACAGACGTTATCTCATTCCATTGCTCATTCCGTTGCCCCAACTACCCCAGGACATGGGTGCTATAATCAGCATGTGCAGCTGAGCAAACAGCCTTTGAGAGGCCACGCAGCCTGCCTGAGGCCACCCAGCTGTGAGAGACAAGGGAGAAATTCGAATCCAGGACCATGTGGCCCCCAAGTCTATGCTCTTTCCACTTTACCAAGCTCCTTCCGTTTCAGGGGATCAGACAGGACCCATTGAGCAAAGCACCCCAACATGCCAGGCCAACCATGGCTTTCCTTCCTTTTCAAACCCACATGGAAAGGAAATCCAATCTGTCTGTTTCTGACTCATTTACACATAATTCATCAAAACGTTCTTCAGTTGGAGTCGTCTGAAACCCAAAAAGCCTAATGAGCTATTTTTCCTTTGAACCAGGAAGCTGATCCTGCCAGCTCCGGACAGAACTGAAACTTGGAAAGGTCCAAATTCTGTTCCCAAATTAGAAGTGAGGAAGTTCGCTGAGATCTCCACACGGCAGAGTGTAATTAGGACCAGGCTATCTGTCTCCAGTGGGGTCAGGGCCTGGGGCCGGCCCTGGAGCAGGCAGAGCTTCAGGAAGGCCATGGCTGGCTCTTCTCCACAACCCCTCCCTGGGGTGGACAACTGGGAGAGGCTTGGAGGGGTGTGCCAGCGTCACAAACAAAATAGGGATAATAGATGACGACTACAGGACACCTGCTCTGGCCAGGACAACTCTAAGAACTTTACGTGAACTGCACAGTGGCTTCCTCATTATCCCATTTTACAGATGAGGAAACTGACGTCACACACACATTGATTAAAAGACTCGCCCGAGATGACACAGCCAGAAACCCTGGACCGGGGTCCTCCAACTGCCAGGCACACCGAGTTCCCCAGAGCACTTGTCAAAGTGCAGATTGTGACTCAGCAGGTCTGGGGTGGGGCCTGAGACTCTGCATTTCCAACAGGCTCCCAGGGGACACCTATGCTGCTGGTGTGGGGACCTTACTTCCAGGGCAACAGGTTAGGGCAGAGCTTTTCCACCCAGGCTGCTCTTTAGAATCCCCAGGGATAATACAAAAGCACAAACAGAACAACAGCTCTGATGGCCAGGACCCTGCCAGACCAATGCAGTCAGTGTCTGGGGTGGGGAGCAGACAAGCACGTTTTAAAGCTACCCAGGTGATTCTAACCTGCACCCTGGGAAGAATCGCCATCCCAGGTCAACGAGTCCAGGTCTTTTCCTCCACGTGGAAGCATTCACTCCCACAGAGAGCCGCCTCTCCTTAGCAAGGAGCCAGTTGAGCTGGCATGTCCAGGAAGCATTTGCAGGCCACACCATGCATGCCTGCAGTGGAGCTCAGGCCATGCGCCTCTGTCCTTGCCTATGAAATGGGGCGAACAAGGCAGGGAGCTAATAGGACCATTGGGAGGAGTGAGGAGTTAATCTAAGCGAAATTCTTCAAAGGACACCTGGCTAGTGGCAAGCCTGTCAGTGTCAGCTGCTCTAGCCATTGGGTATTAACTGGGCACCGCCCTGCTAACACAGCCCCGGCACTCCATAAGAATCTGCAAATGCTTGTGAATGAATGAGGCCTGGGTTCAAGAAGCAATGAATGAATGGATTCACGAATGAAGGGCAGACATCTGAGGCAGGGTGCATCCCTGGGCTCCTTCCTGGTTCCCCATTTGGGCATCTCCCTAACAGCAGGGATCAGCTTGAGCCTTTGCCTAAATTAAATAGCCCCCTCTCCTGGGCCCCACCCTCACGCAAATACACACTCACTCCCACAGCCCCAGCACACATGTGTGTTTATTTTCTTTGCCGTTCACACTTCTCCTTTTACGGTCCCTTCCACTCTGATCCTAAAGGCTTGTCTGATTTTGTACAGAGCTCAAAGCATAGCACTGAAGACACACACCTGGTCTTCCTGCGGTAGGTCAGTGAGTGAAATGGAGAGGCTGTCCAACACTGAGCACCCTAGGGGATATTTCCTGAGTGTCCACCATGCTGGGAGCCATGGGGAGGCACAAAAAAGGAAAAGGTGTGTATAAAGCTCACTCTGCAAGGAGACAGCAATGTGGTAAAGAGGAAGGAGCCACGGTCTGTGTGGTGTATGGGGAGGGGCCACAGTCTGTGTGGTGTAGGGGAAGGGACCATGGTCTGTGTAGTATATAGGAAGGATCCATGGTCTGTGTGGTGTAGGGGGAGGGGCCACGGTCTGTGTGGTATGGGGGAAGGAAACATGGTCTGTGTGGTGTAGGGGAAGGAACCATGGTCTGTGTGGTGTAAGGGAAGGGGCCACGGTCTGTGTGGTGTAAGGGAAGGGGCCACGGTCTGTGTGGTGTGGAGAAAGGGACCACAGTCTGTGTGGTGTTGGGGAATGAGCCACGGTCTGTGTGGTGTGAGGAAGGGGCCACGGTCTGTTTGGTGTGGAGGAAGGAGCCATGGTCTGTGTGGTGTGGAGGAAGGAGCCATGGTCTGTGTGGTGTAGGGGAAGGGCCATGGTCTGTGTGCTGTGGAGGAAGTGGCCACGGTCTGTGTGGTGTGGAGGAAGAAGCCATGGTCTGTGTGGTGTACGGTGAGGGGCCATGGTCTGTGTGGTGTCGGGGAAGGGGACACAGTCTCTGTGGTGTGTGGGAAGGAGCCACGGTCTGTGTGGTGTGGAGGAAGGGACCACAGTCTGTGTGGTGTGAGGAAGGGGCCATGGTCTGTGCGGTGTGGAGGAAAGGGCCACAGTCTCTGTGGTGTGGAGGAAGGGACCACGGTCTGTGTGCTCTAGAGGAAGGGACCATGATCTATGTGGTGTGGAGGAAGGAGCTATGGTCTATATGGTGGTGGTCTATGTACTGTAGAGAAAGGAGACCATGGCCTACATGGTAGTAAAGTAGGATCAAATGATCTAGGGCTGCACTATCTGGACTGAAAACCTGGGCACCATCATTCACTAGGAGTATAAGCATAGTTCACATTTGTGTTAGTTACACGCTATAAAAGTGCCTGGCACAAAGCTGATTTCTCAGTCACCCAACAGTTCACTCCTCTGTCCAGGCCATTATCATGGGACATTTACTTGGTTATGTATTTGTCTGCTCTTCTAAATAAAAGCAATGAGTATTCTTATTGCCGAAAGCTGTCACATATCTTATGTATACGCAAATAGATTCTTAAGTTAATCCCTCCCCCAAATGTATAAAATTTTAAAGATATGGAAATAGCAAAGATAACATCAAGGACCTAACTAATCTCCGCCGTTGGACACTGTCTCATCTCAGGAAGTCACTGTCTGGGGCCAGCTAAGGAGCCATACTATGCAGAAACCATACCCAGGACTTTAGGCTGAACCCAAACCCTCCTCACCCAGCCCAGGCAAAACGTAGTGGCTGCCAAACAAAACAGGAAGTCCCGTCCCAGGAAGTTCCACCCCAGGAAGTCCTGGCACAGGAAATCCTGCTGCTAGAGGTGGGCCTTTCCCTGGTAGGCCTATGCGGTCCAATATGGCAGCTCCTCTCCCCACGTGGCTGCTGAGGGCTTGAGATGTGCCTGATTTGAACTGTGAGGTGTGCTGTAAATGTAAAATACCTAACCAATTTTGAACAATTATCAAATCACAATTTAAAAAAGAATTTAAATATATTAATAATTTTTATGTTCATTATAGGTTCAGGTGATATATTTTGGATATATTTGCTTAAAATATTTAAAAAGTTAACTTCTGTTTCTTTTTGATCTCACAATAATCCTGCAGCATTTTCTTGGTGAGATGGGAGAAGGGCCCCCGGCCACAGCTTGTTGAGAACTGCATAGTCCAGAACCTGGCCTCTGTAGGTGGTTTCACTGTCATCCTCAGAGAGTCCATCTGCCTGGACTCCTCTCCGGGGCTCCTTGCATTTTAAAACTGGGGTTGCCAAGGCCTTAAAGCGCACCCAGCTTTTGCATCCTCCGAGTATCTGGACTTCTAGGGGGACAGCTGGCTGTGATCCCATAAGCCTGAGGGAGCTGCAGGACAACTGGGAAAGCGGAAGCAGACTGCCTTCCCTACCCCACAGCCCTCCTGCCCTGAGCCTTCCCTGCCCCACCTCCTGCTGCCCTGTGGTCCCCTATCCCTCCAAGCCCCTCACCGTGCAGGCCCCATGTCCTGAGCCCTCTGCTCCTCCTCACTGCCCAAGGAGAGCAGGACTCCCTGGAAGTAAAGAGTCTGCCATGTCAATTAGGTTGAGTGCTGTTTCCATTAGGGTGACTGTTGACAGGAACGTGTCACAGAAGATGGATGCTCGTTTTGTCCCATGAGTCCTAAGACCTCAGTGCCAGAGGTGGCCCTGAAAGGCCTTTTTTCAGTAAATTAGTGCGTTTGTTTAGTCCTTGAAGGGTTGTATACAGACTCTGCCTGGCTCAGGAGGTGGCCGCAGCCACTTACTCCTGGACGGCTGTTGATTCTGGGTGGGGCTGTCCCTGGACACACTACACTCTCTACCAGAGGCAACGTCAGAGCCAACTTGGCTCAAATCCCCCACCTTTTGGCATTTCCTTAAGCATTAGAAGCCCATTTTGTTATTCTTTTCAGTCTTCATTAGATATAACTTCAGTGGGACATTCCGACTTAGTTACAGCTGCGTGGTGTGCTAAAGAGAACACCATGGAAGATCTGTAAGCTCCCAAATCAGGGAACCACTCACAGCCCCCTTGCACCCTCGCACTTTCTGGGTGAGACCTGAAAGCCATTCTCTGCAGAGTGCCCGCTATGTTCCCGGCTCTGTGCTAAGGAAAGCCCTTCAACTAGGATTTAGTAGCCCCATTTGGAAACTGAGGTGAGGAGAGGCGGAGAGACCGCCAGGAATGGCAGCATCAGAACTTGGAGGGGGGCTGCAGTCCCACGACCCCGTGTAGGGTGCTGACTACATAACTAGTAGGAGGCATCACCATTTCCTGCAGGCCCACACATTGATTTTTACGTCGATCAGTCAGGGCGTCACCTCTCGAGAGATGCTATTGAAATAAGCCTAGGCTGGAGGAACTGGAACGCTCCAGCACTGCTGGGGGGAATGCAAGATGGTGCAGCCGCTGTGGAAAACACCTGGCTGTTTCTCAAAAAGTGAAGCCTAGAGTGACCACTGAAAACAGGTACTAATGCGAAACTGTACACAAATATTCTTAGCAGCCTAGCCATGACAACCAAAAAGTAGAAATAACTCAAGTGTCCATCAGCAGTGAGTGGATAAACAAAATGTGGTCTATCCACATGATGGAATATTATTCAGCAATAAAAGGAAAGTAATTCTGATATATACTGTAACATGAATGAACCTTGAAGAGATTATGTGAAGTAAACTAAGCCAGACACAAAAAGATTCCATATTTTTTGATTCCATTCATACGAAATGTCCAGAATAGACGAATCTGTGGAGACAGAAAGTAGGAGAGCTGGGGGCTGGGGAGAGGTGGGAGAATGAGGGATGACGTCTCATGAGCTCAGGGCTTCCTTCTGGGGTAATGGAAATGTCCTGGAACTCGACAGAGGTGGTGGTTGCACACAGTGTGAAGGTACTAAACGCCACTGAAGTGTTCACTTTAAAATGGTTCATATTATGGTACGTTAATTTCACTTCAATAAATAAAATATTAGAAATGAGCCTGGGGCTGCAGAAAGCCAGAGGCCCAGGGCTGTGGGTTAAGTCCCTGAACCCGAGACTGCAGATTCTCTAGGTGATATGGGGCAAGAGGGCGCAGCACCACCTACCAGCCACTCTTGTGTTGTCTTCATTTTTTCACAGGGTAGGGCCCTTGTCTCTTCCTCCCATTGTGGCCAAGGGACACTTCAGACAAATCAGCGCAGTGGTCAGACACTGAGCCTCTGTGTCTTCCACAGGGGACCAACTTCACAAACATCCAACCCACGGAAGCCATGAGCTCCTCAGCCCTTCCTGAGACCACGTGGGCACTACAGACAACTCCCCAGGCCCCAGAAGGTTCTCCACTGCAACAGAGAGGAGCTCCCCTTATCTTAAGTTTCTTTCAACCACAGCAGGAGAGTTTGCAAGCCATTTCCTCACCTGCAAGTCTCAGCAGAGGGCATCTCTCATGCCTCTTCTGCTGCCTCCCAGTGCCCCCATTAGGCCCCTGCAGCAAATTCTCAACAGGCAGCAAAGACTGATAACTGTCCAGAGAGGTGGTCCCAGCCCCCATGCCTGAACTCTCCAAAGGGAATTACATGCTTTTATAGAAAGATCACCAGTTTCTCCTGGGTTTTTTAAAGCCCAGTAGTTTCTCTCCCACTGCCTCGTTAATGAATTTAAGGCTCCCTTTGTGGATCGGGTTCAAGACGAAGATGTTATAAAGTGAAGCTGGGTGACTGGAAAGCCCTGCTTTTTGTTTGTTTGTTTGTTTGTTTGTTTGTTTTTGAGACGGAGTCTCGCTCCGTCACCCAGGCTGGAGTGCAGTGGCGCAATCTCGGCTCACTGCAAGCTCTGCCTCCCGGGTCCACGCCATTCTCCTGCCTCAGCCTCCCGAGTAGCTACAGGCGCCCGTGGAAACCCTGCTTTTTAAATCCCCCTCGTCCCCAACACACACACACACACACACACACACACACACAAAGTTGTTAAAGTCATAATCCTTGGCGTTGCCAAAGGCGTAGAGAGATGAGTGGCTGCTCGCCTTGGTTATGTGGACATGACCTTACAACCTTTCTAAGGGTGATGTGGAAGTTCCCGCCAGGAGC
The DNA here is from genome assembly GCF_000001405.40 of Homo sapiens. NCBI lineage: Eukaryota > Metazoa > Chordata > Mammalia > Primates > Hominidae > Homo > Homo sapiens. The sequence goes on along the minus strand of NC_000016.10, from coordinate 86,208,729 downwards.
TTGGAACCTTGATGTGAAACTTCCATGCGTCACTCCTTTCGTGTTAATGCCTGTATTTGGAACTTACAGAAAGAAATCAACAGGCAGGTTCACACAGATTTATGTGTAAGAATTTACATTTGCATCGTTAGTTATAAAGGTGAATATTCGGCAACAACCTATGTGCCCAACAATAGGAGATGGTTTAAATAAGCAGGAAATGAGCTACTAGGGAGACACCAAACTGATGTCCTCACTGTGCTTTTGTCCTGGCTTTTCTGCTCATGGGCAGAATCACCTTCCTTCTCTGGACTTTATCTTCCTCATTTTTTACAACAGGAATATATATATATATACACACACACACATATATACATATATATGCACTATACACACGTATATATATATATATATATACGTGTGTGTATGTATGTGTGTGTGTGTGTGTGTGTGTGTATATATATATATATATATATCTTCCCAGGTTCTAGGGGCTAAGTGACCTTGGTTTTTCAAGAACTGCTTGGGGCTATATATATATATATATATATATTTTATATATATATTTTATATATATATATATCTATCTTAAAAAATAAAGAAAAGTAAACATTGCATAAAAAACGTTCTAAAGTTATATATAAAATAATTCAAACTGGGTTTAAAATGTACATAGGGAGAAAGAGACAAAGAGAAATAAAATATAGCAAAATGCAAAAGCAGTTAATCCCAGGATGGCAGGGTTATATTGATTAATAAATTACTCCTTAAACATTTTTATTTTTTAAAAAAACTTTTAACCCCTGCCCATTGTAAACTAAAACAGTTATAAAGGAAAACTTTTAAACCTCTGCCCATTGTAAACTAAAACAGTTATAAAGGAAAATGCAGGAAGGACAGGTACACGTTGGATAATCGCACCTCGCACGTTTTAGGTTGAAACATCGCACGTGGAGACGCATCTTTCCAGGAGGCATGAGTGGGTTGTGGAAAGTGGTCTTGGTCTAATTCTGTGGGTCAGGAGACCGGGTTCTAGGGGCCAAGCAGCCTTGCTTTTACTAGAACTGCTTCAGGTCTCACCTGGGAAGTGGAGATGAAATATCTCCCTTGAGGCTGTGATGTCACTGGGGTAATGGCTGCGGACATTGCCCAAGCTCCAAGGAGGAGCCATGCGCTTGGGCACAGCAGAGAATGGACAGCAGCCCCCGCCCATCCTGGGTGGCACAGGTTCACTCGTTGGTCCACCTGGAAGGAGAAGAGCCCTGGGCTCTGGGTCCTACCCTTCCCTCACCTGGCCAATTACAGCCATGCCTGGGCCACCTCATGGCCACCTTCAGCTGACTGAGGGCCTGGTGAGTGCTCTGGCACTGACCTCCTGGTGGCCTCCACCAAGTCACTTGCCCTCTCTCTGGGCCTTGGCTTTTCCCACTGTAAAGACAGAAGATCTCTAGGTCAGTGTTTCTGAAACCTCATCATTCAAGTTCTGCTAAACTGTCAACATTTTTGCTGCAGCTCTTTGCTATCCTGTGCTTATCTGCTTAATTTTCTTTAAATAAATTCACTTTAATTTTTAAACTTTTAAAATTTATTTATAAACATAAATGATATTATCCTTTGAATTTTTTTGAGGCAAGGTCTTGCTCTGCTGCCCAGTCTGGAGTGCAGGGGTGTGATCATGGCTCACTGCAGCCTCCACCTCCCAGGCTCAAGCAATCCTCCTCCCTCAACCTCCTGAGTAACCAGGACTACAGATGCATGCCACCATGCTTGGCTAATTTTTTTTACTTTTTTGTAGAGACGAGGTCTTTCTATGTTGCCCAGGTTGGTCTCGAACTCCCGGGCTCAAGCAATCCTCCCATCTCAGCTTCCCAAGGTGTTGGGATTACAGGCGTGAGCCACCACACCCAGCATCATTTGCTTTCTTAAAAAAATTCATTTAATAAATATCTTTTTTAAAAACTTTTATTTTAGACTCAGCAGGTTTATGTGCAAGTTTGCTTCCTGGGAATATTGCATGATGCTGAGGTTTGGGGTTTGATGATCCTATCACCCAGGTACTGAGCATAATACTCAACAGTTATTTTCTCAGCCCTTGGCCCCCTCTTTCCCTCCCCTCAGGTAGCACTCAGTTTCTATTGCTGCCATCTTTCTGTTCATGAGTACCCCATGTATTTCTTTTTAAAAGGAAACTTTCTATGGCAATTGTAAATGGGAAAGGAACACCCATCAACATAACCATACAAATTATATTCAGTGAAAACAAAGTAACGTTATTGAATTCGAGCGATACTGTAGCCTGATGAATTTCCACTCCAAAGGCCTTGGCTTTTATTTTTTGTTTTGTTTTAGAGAGATGGGGGTCTCACTATGTTGCCCAGACTGGTCTTGAACTCCTGGGCTCAAGTGATCCTGCCAGTCCTCCTACCTCAGCCTCCCAAAGTACTGGGATTATAGGCGTGAACCACCTCAGCTGGCCTGCTTTTTCTTAAAAGGAAAAGGCAGCCCCTGCTAGGAAGGTGTAAGACAGAATAACATTGAAGGAACACTTTCTCCTTGATGTAATCAGAAAGCTGGAAAGACTGGGAGAAATAACGTACTCACTTCTGATGAGATGTACTGACTCCCTGTCCTGTGGAGATGAGCAGGAAGCGTCATCAGCTTTGAGGCCTCGGCTCCCAGCTGTTCTCCTGAACCCTAGCGGGCTTCCCAGGCTGAAGGCCTACTTGGTTTTCATTAGGCCCCAGAACAATGGAGGGTGTTAAGCTGTTTATTATTTCAAGTCAGCAGAATTAGCGAAGACTTCGTGCATGGTACTTAAACCTATGCCACCCTCTAGAAATCCAGCCTCTTTCAAGAGATGCAAATTGTTCTCAAATCTCTTATTAGCAATACTCTTAACTGTTGAAAGATTACAGGCCATTAAGAGGTTTGAGAAACCACAGAGGCCCCTGAGAGCCGCGACAGAAGGCTGGAGACACCGAGGGGGTTTTCCTGGGCACTCGGGGTGAATGTGCAGCTCGCCGATTGTGCAGCCCCCACCAGACGCCGTGTCCTGGACACTGGACACCTCACATGGCCTCGTCCTCACCACCACCCTGCCCGTGGGGAGTATTAGGCCTGTTGTACAGATTTTTCAGTGGAGCTCAGAAAGGTGGAGTCATTCTGTAAGAAAACTTCATTCATTCATCCATTCAAAAATATTTACTAAAGCCTCCTATGTTAGACATGGTTCTGGGCAGTGGAGATATGACAGTGAAGCTGTTACAGCGGGTAGTTAGTCAGGTATGAGCGGGGCAAAAGAGGGCTCCCCCACACACACCAGGAGTGTCAGACAGCCATCAGCTGATGGTCAGGTGGTTGTTACTGTCTCGCTAAAGTACTAATTGGTCACAGCTGGTGCCAGGGACCGGCCTTCTCCTGGCAGATAGAAGACACCTGAAACTGGTGATCAGCTACTTCCCAATAAGATCCCAGGAGTCAGAAGTAACACAAGACTGGCCGGGGCGCAGTGGCTCACACCTGTAATCCCAGCACTTTGGGAGGCCGAGGCCGGTGGATCATGAGGTCAGGAGATCGAGACCATCCTGGCTAACACGGTGAAACCCCCGTCTCTACTAAAAATACAAAAAATTAGCCGGGCGTGGTGGTGGGCGCCTGTAGTCCCAGCTACTCGGGAGGCTGAGACAGGAGAATGGCGTGAACCCAGGAGACGGAGCTTGCCTTGAGCCAAGATGGCGCCACTGCACTCCAGCCTGGGCGACAGAGCGAGACTCCATCTCCAAAAAAAAAAAAAAGAAGAAAAAGAAAAAAAGGTAACGCAATACCCGGAAGTACACCAACATAGAAAGCCCCAGGTCAAAAGGTCAAGCTATGCACTTGATCTCTCAAGTCACCCACTTGGCCCCCTTCCAAGGATACTCTCCTTCCTTTCCTTCTTGCTCTGAAGCTTTCTAATACACTTTTACTCCTGCTTTAAAACTGGCCTTGGTCTCTCCTTGTGCTTTATGCCCCTCAGTCGAATTCTTCCTTCTGAGGAGGCAAGAATCGAAGTTGCCACAGACCTTCTGGATACGGATTCTCCACCATTAACAGACCTAACAGGCAAAAACTACCTGCTTAATGGAACCTGCATTCTCATGGGGGAAGGTATATATCAGAGATTCAGAGTGGTGTCAGGTGGTGCAGGAAATGCCTGCAAATACGAGGTATAGGTTGGAAGGGGTGGGTCCGAACAGCATCGTCTGCACTTCACCTAGCTCTGGGTTCTTTGTCAACATTTTTCCTGAATATGCTAAACACATATTAAACCCGCGAGTGGGTTGCATCCAGGTCAGCATCCTGGTGGTAACACTGCACTGTGGTATGAAAGATGTTACCAGTGGGAGAAACTGGGTGAAGAGTACAGAGATCTCTCCGTGTTACTCCTCACACCTGCCTAGGAATCTACCATTATCTCAGCATAAAACGTTTTTTAAAAATTAAAAAAAAAAAATCTTTAACCGAAGCCAAAATAGTAACAATGGCTCCCATCTGTCAAGCGCCTGGAGAGGCCGATGGTGAACAAACAGCCCTGGAGCCAGACCACCTGGGTTCAGATCTCAGCTCCACCCGTGGCCTCGGTCGAACGCTATCACTGCCCTGGGCCTCAGTGCTGACATCTGACAAATGGGTTTGTGGTGGTGACCGCCTCCTCCGGTTGGTGTGAGAAGGAGATGTTAATGAGCAAGGGCCCCACGTGCTGTTTGTTTTTTATTGTTATGACTTTGTGGAGGGTTCTGGGAGGCTCTGTACTGACCTTTTACAAGCATCGAGCATTATCTCAGGTAATCCCCATAACCACACTTCAGAGGCAGGATGAAGCCCACTTCACAGTTGACAAGAGAGGAGCACCTAGAGCTGAGGTTGAGCGGTGGGTCTCGGACCTGGAGGTTGCTGGCGGAAGGGAGGGGACTGAAGGACACGTCCTGGACAGGGGTTGCTATAGCCCAGTCCTGCCCACCCCTGGAGAGGCAGGACCCTGCCCTGGCCACACAGGCTGCAGGGATGCTGGCTTTGGGGCCGGGCTCTGTGCAAACCATCATCTCCCCCAAGGAAAAGCAGTCAGCCACCGGTGTCCTCTGGAGTGTCTGGGATTCAGAGACTCCCCAAAGCTTTGCAGAGCGAGGGGCCTGTGTGTCCTCCCGCCATCTTAGGGAGAAGCTGGAGCTGAAAGTTCACCTCATTCCCATCATCCAAAAGACAGAGGGCCTCCCTCGCCAGCTGGGGTCCTACTTCTTTTCTAAGCCTGCTCCAATTTTTGTTTTGTTGCCGTGTTTTTGTCTCAAGCCTCATGTGTTGTCCCAGCAAAAATTGGTTTGATATTTCCAGAAAGGTTTCTCCTCTTCCCTGAGAACAAACAGACCCTAGCTCCGCACAATTCAAACCCTCAGGGCTCAGGAACCAGAAAGAATAGAGGAGGAAATCGGTGTTGGAGGCCTGGGCGGGTGCACAGGGGAGAGAGGTGCAGCGGGTGCCACATCGCGGGGCCACCCCACAGCAGGCGCTGCTAATCCCAGCTATGGAAGAGGAAACTCAGACCTCAGAAAGGAAAAGTGACTCCCAGAGCAGCAGAACTGGCTGGGGCTGTGGCTCTGAGGACACCACTTAAGAAACTCTCTTAAATAATCATCACGTTTTCCAATTTAATAATAGTGCCCTTCTCTCTTCTCAGCACCACTGCCCTGCAGAGGTCAGGGGCCGAATCTGAGCTCTGGTACTTACTAGCTGTGTGCCTTGGGGCAAGTCTTCTGGGCCTCACTTACCCCATCTGTAAAATGGGCACAAAAAATACCTGCCCCATAGGGTGGTGGACACGGTGAAATAGATTAACCGATGTGAGGCTCCTGAAATGGTGCCTGACTCACTAGATCTTCTCTCTCTCTCTCTCTCTCTCTCCTCTCTCTCTCCAAATATATATGTGTGTTAGCTGTCATTGAAGAGGTTTGTGATTTACGGAAAAGTAAGTGGGCCAATGTAGCATTGTAAATACTTGTAACAAATAACTGGAATTCATCTTAATTCAACAAGGTTTGAATTTTTCCCAGAAGGCTTTTAAGTTTTCTCTTTTGTTTTGTCTTGCTGTGTTTACTAAGAAAGAGAGCCCCACGCTGATGAGAAGGAGCGTTCCCGAGGTTGCTTTTGGGCCAGTCCTGTGCATGCTCTTGGTTTGGACAGCAAGGCCCTGGGGCTAGGGTAGGGCCCAGCACAAGATAACCAGGGGCCGCGTCACTTTCCTTCAGACCCGACCCACAAACAAGGGGACAGAACAGAGGCGGGCATCCTGGAAAACTCTCCCACGCTGAGAGCGTTTCTGCTTCACGAAGAACCAGTCCCCAGCGCCCCTACTCAGCTCACGCCACATCCCGGGTGTCGAGTAGTCCGCAGTGGTGCTCTACTCGCAGGCTGCTGTGACCCTTGGACCAGGGTGAGCCCCCACCCTGGCAGGGCACCCTTAGGGAGCAGGAATTAAAGAAACAAAACCTCAGAAGTCTCCAGTTCATTAAATGGAAGCGTATTTCCTAAGTTTGAATCTAGATGTTTAGGCTTAGAGCTGTTCTCAAGCCCTGGCTGCACACAGGATTACCTGGGAGCTGGTAAAAATCAATCAATCAATAAAGCAGCCGCATGCCCGCAGGTTCTTCTAAATCCCTGGGGGGCATCTGTGCTGTAAAACTCTCCAGGGAATGAGAACCGCTGGGCCTGGGAGGGGAGCCTTGGGCTAGGAACAGCAGGAGACGAAGGTCTCTGCAGCAGAAGTGAGCGCCAGCGACAGGAGAGTGGGGCAGATCCCTGCCACCTCCCCCAGCCACCCACCCAGCCTCTCCTCACCCGGGTACTTTCCAGAGAGCACCGCCTGCCTCCTTCTCCCCTGACCCCGCCTCACTCAGCTCTGCCTGGCTGTTAACAGCACCAGGGCTTCTCCGCTCTCCCCAGGTATCTAGCCCCAAAGCTTTTTCAACTCTACTGCTTTCTTATCTGCCTGCCTGGAACCCCATCTTCACCTCCTTCATCTCCCTCTTTCTGGTTTCCCTTCCTGGTGTCCCCGGCCTGCAACATACTGAGTCCTGCAGCTATGACCTTCCTCTGGCTCTCAGCTTCTCTCTTTTGATGCTCAAGAGGTGTAAGATTGTCACAGCCACAGCAGGGAAGAAAAACAGGCTTCTCTGTGCTCTTATTGATGAACTGAGGAGGCCCTTCTCAAGCCTGGCCTCCAGCTCTGGCCTCCAGGCCCTGGGAGGGGCATTAAACACACGGCCCACCCACCCTGGCTTCAGACTCTCACAGCTTCTGTCGTCACACACTTGCCACTACACCTTCCCCTCTGGCCTCATAAGGACCTTCAAAGTAAATCACGGAAGGAATCCTTAGCCTGTTTTCTTTGGATGTGGATATGGAAATTCAGCTAGAAGTTGGGGGACCCAGAACTTAGCCTGGGGACTGGTGATTCTCTCCAGAGCCCTCGGAGCCAGAGCGGCCAGGTGCCAGGTGTGGCTGCTCAACCCCTAGGTTTTCAGTGTCCTTCTTCGGGGCCACTGTCCCTCCAGGCAGTATGCACAGTGGTTAGGAGCCTCACTAAGAAGAGGGGCTGTGACACCTCTGGAGGTTAATGGACGTGACATGCAGAATGCACCTGGAACACACCTGGCCCTAGAGAGTGCTCCACAGTGGCCTCTGCTCCCTAGCCACCATTCTCTGTGGCGCTTTAAAATCCGCCTGCAGGGTGATCTCATGTGCTGCCCTCACCGCTGGCCGGTAGGACTTACAGGAAGGAATCAGGCCGAACCTCTGGAGTGGGTATGCACTGAAAAATAAGCTGCTCATCTATCTGTGTTGTGGGGAGGGGAGGCAATTTCCTGGGCGGGCGGGCCCTGGGAGAGGTTCAGTGTTAGGAGTGAATCTGGGCTAGAGACCTGGGGAGAGGGGAGAAGCCCTGGTGCTGTGTGAATCTTCTGTGTGATTTGGAGACGAGACATGACTGGCAGTTTCAGGCAGATCAGTCAGAGGAGGGCTGCTGGGCTGTGTGCCTTGTTGGGTTTGCATGTTCTGAAGTTATTTGACAATGAAAACAATAAAGAAGTGAATAAAAATATCCACTTATGTTTTTGAAGCACTTTTATTCTAAGACCACTTCCAGGGATGAAGGAGGAAAGACGTAGTCATCTGCTTGCCCCAGCTCACAGCCGGACGCTGCGGCTTTTGGGTAAGATCTTAAGCAGTTTTCTTAAGGTCTGGCTTTGAGCTTCTGCCCAGCTCCATTCCTCTGTGTCAGAAGAGTTTAATGAGTAAGAGGGTGGTCGCTGAGAGACGCAAAGAGTCTCAGGAGAAAACGTGGCCCAGAAATAAAGGCACGCCCGTGGTCACACAGAAAATGGGAACAAATGCGCAGTCTCCCACCTCCCGAACCTCCAAAGAGACCATAAACCCCAGCTCAGAACTGGCTTGCGAGCCACTGCCGCATTGCAGGGGGGAAGGCAAATATCTCCTCAGCTAACGAATGCGGGGAAGGGGAGGGATTTTATATTCCAAATGATTTTTTTTTTTCTTGTGAACACAGACATCTGGTGTCCTATAAATAAAATTCAAAATGTAAATACCGTAAAGCCCATTAGAGAGTGGTTTTAGGTTTGGTGGGAGCGCGGGTCAGCTGCTAACCCGCTGCACCGTGGTGGGAAAACATCACCCCACACGTGGGTGTTCTCGGCTCCAGCAAGCCGCCTGCGTCACTGCACCAGCCGGGCTGCACTTCGTCTTACGGATAAACATTAAAACACGGGTCAATTGTCTTATATTTATTATGTTGCATGAACAGTTTTAAATAGCTACCTAAAAACCTTTCTGCTTTCATTTTATACATTGGGGAAGAAATACCTTGTGAAGGGAGAATACCACACTTCTTGCAAAGGACCCAAATTCCTGTGCCCACCAATTACGCCCCGGGACATGCGCTCGGCCAGATTTTAATATCAGGTTTAAAATGCTCTTCAAAAGACATTTTCTGTTTGAGACATATTAAACAAGCTTTATTTAATAATGCTCAATTTGACTTTTCCAATTTAAATATGGGCTCTGATCAGCAACCATTTGATCCCGGCTTCATTTCAGGCTGAAGAATAATTTCTTCTGGTTGTTTTTCTTCGGTGCTGGGTTGATCCTGGGGCCGAGTGGCTGCTCTCGAGTTCCCTACATTTCTCGAGTCTGTGCTGTGAGTGGAAAGAAACAGAGCCATAAAAAGCCTCTCCCAAAGCTGCTGCATAACGTTTACATTGTGCGTCCTCACATCTGTCTGGCTGAAGACAAAAGATATCATTTAAAAGACTCCTCCTAACTGGATAATTATACGGAGACATTTTATTTTTTAAAGTAGAGCATCTGAATGCAAAGAAATTCCCAAGGAGGTGTTCTTTTTCTAGATCTATTCTGCTATCTACCCTCTGCTTTTCCCCTATTTGGGGATTTTTATAAGAATTGTATACACCAAATGGGTGGTCATCCATTAGCAGTCAAGGATTTTGAGACAGCAGCAAGAAGAGGGAGAGTTATTTTAACATTTGAGTTCAATGTGTTTTACAAGAGGGAATGCCACTGTAGATTCCACTAACCTTAGGAACATTTCAGATAGATCTTTTGGTTCCCGTCATTACTGTTCTGATTTTACTAGCATGGTATTTAAAAAGCAAACCCTGAATTTTGGTTTTATCTTCTCCTGCCACCTTCAGAAAATAGCCACCATGAAGCCGGTGGCCCTGGTCCCCCTCTCGAGGTATCATAAAGCCATTCATAACGGCATAAACGCCTGACAACACTCCCTGATGCCAGCCCGGGGTAAGTCGGACAGTGATGAGGGTGGGAGAAACGCTGTCGGTTATCTGAGCACCCTCTCTACCGGGACCGTGATCCCAGCCCGGGAGGAGGGGTCTTTTGCTGTGAAAGGAGCATTTATTAGCGCAGGGCCAGTGCCTGGTTTATGGACCCCAGCTGGGTGGGAGGATGCCACCCCACCCCGCCTGCAGCCTGCGTCCTGGCCTGAAGTGTTTACTGTCAGGGTGATTTACACCATCCAGGTGTTCATTTGGGAAGCATCTCGGCTCTGAGCTGACGCGGCGATTGCAGTGGGTTTGCAGACTGCAGCGTTTTTCTATTCATCAGGGTCCAGGGGCCAAAAAAGACAGTTTTTGTAAATGCTGGCCCAAAGCAGGCTCCTGTCCTGTGATTCCACAAAGGAAGGCTGAGTGACCATGTTAGCCAAGCTCCCCGGTGCCCTGTCCGTGTTGGAGAAATGGGCACTTAGTGCAGTTGCCCTGCTCTCTCATGGATCCTCTCATCAGATCAGTTCCTCCCGGCAGTCTCTGCCCTCCGAGCTTTGGTGGCCGTGTGGATGCTAAGCCGGGCTTTCCTTCTGCTCCTTTAGCACCCCGGGGCTTTCAAAAGGGTCTTGCTAAGCAGTTTCTTTTCTTAATGGAATTTGGGGTTCACAGACGAGCCTGGAGTGTTGGCGATTGCTCCATTTCTCCCCAGCCCCACAGATCAGCCTCTGCCGGGTGCTTCCATGTTAAGGGAGACATTTTTCAGGAGCCGCTTTCTCGAGATAACCACTCTATTATTTTTGCTCACATTTCAACGCAGGTGATGGTGTTATTGTTTTGTCACTGGGTTTCCACGGGGAGTCCCTGACACCTATGCCTGGCATAATTTGAATGCCGAATTAAAACATGCCCCTATACACTAAAAATGGCCTTTTTGTTTGATTAAAAAAACAAAACAAAAACATATATTTTAAAATTTGTTTTATCATATCCATCTCACCTCCATTTAAAGGAGTTTGGACATTTATTAACATATCCATTTTTACACTTGTACTAATCTTTTCTCCAGCCGCTTCTGGTACTCTGATGAAAAAGCAAGAAAATGTATCTTGTGCCTCATAGAACTCTCTCTCTACACACACACACACACACACACACACACACGAGGGTGAGGGGAGGATTCTTATAGTGAAGTAAAAGATGATTCTTTGTCTATGTTTAATTTTCGCAAATAACTTTTTAATGATCCTGAAAGTAACTTTTTTACTGATCCTGAAAATACTGATGCTGAAATTTTAAGAGCTCCTTTCAACTTAGCTGGTTTTCTCTCCCTGACGAAATTCTTCAAGAATAGTTCTTTTGCACCCTTGCAAGATCGGTAAACATAAAGCGTTTGGTCAAGCAGAGGTGGGTTAAAAAGGGGGAACCATTTGATCCAGTTTTAGGAAATAATATTATTCCTTCTGCTTTGAACTCTATGTTTAAAATAGTCTTTTACGCCAATGATTTGAATACTAACAAATTCACTTAAAAAGCATCCACAATTCCCGTTTGTTGTGCTCTTTTCTCCCTGGACTATGAATATGTAAACCTCCCCAACAGGGTAAAAATGCATTGATTTGCCACACTAAACAGGGAAACGTTTGCACCAGTGACAACTGTTTAAAATTACTGGTCCTGGGATGAGGAAAAAAATGGCAGAAATAAAACAAAATTTTTTATTTCCAAGCATCAAGTTGAAGCCCTTTCAAGCGATCATCGGCTCCCTGGGAAATGCCTTTTCTCTGTTACCTGGCACAGCCGAACATCAAGAAGAAACGTGGAAAACATCACACTGACCCCCCAGAAAAATGAAAGAAAAGTACGGAAGAGACCAATTCCCACCCTTGCTATAGACGGAATAAGTATGTGCGTTTGTGAACCTTAAGTGTTCATCTAAATATGTTGCTTCAACGGAGATCCGCTTGTGGATACAGACACACGAAAATACACGAGACCACGCTCTATTTTAAGGAATTGCTGAAGAGTGTTGAACACTCAAACCCACCGCACAGCACCCTCGCAGCTAAGAGCACAATTGAATGAAACCAGCGGATTCATTTATTTTAACCTCCACTGGAGCTGTCCCAAAAAAGCAGGTGGCTATTGAAAGTGTTTTTCTGTTTTTGTCTTTTTTTTTTAATTCTAAATAACAAGAGGGATAAAAATTAATGTCGTTCTATGGGGTCTGAACATGAAAAGGTACGAGAGAGTGAGCCAGGGCCTGTGAAATGGCTAAACGGATTAGTAGCCTTACTTTTCAACATATAAACATCTGAAACCCGTTTCCTGTTTAAGAAAAAAAAAGTCTAGGTGGATGACCTCGGGCACTTTTTTTTTATTAACAAATGTGAATTGTACATCATGGTGGGAAAAAAAAAAAATGGTCCGCTCTTGGTGGTCTTTCTACAGTCTGTATATGGGAGACAGAGAAAAAAATACAAAAATAAACGTTACCTTCTCACTTGCAGGGTGGGCAATGCCATTTCTGCAGCCGTCCAGGGCTCTGGCAAATGTTAAGGCTGTCACTGTAGACAGAATCCCCATGGTCTGTCTGTGTGCCTCGATAGAGTCCGAAGAAAAACATTCCTCGCATTCCTGACGGTTGGTCCTATCTCCGGGCCTTGGACTCGGCCCTGCAGGCTCGTGTCACCCCGTCAAACGGCCTAGGCCACGGCTAATCTAAACCGCTGCCCTCCCCAGCCAGCCCTGCGGCAGGGTGAAAACTGGGACCAATTTGCTGCCTAAACCCTGAGGATACAGCAAGTTTGATTCTCGACCTTTAAGGACACCAGCTGCAATTTGTTCCGCCGAAAAGAGCTTAGCGGTTCTGGCACATTCTGACAAGATACATTTTATAGGGTTTGTGCTCAAATTTGATATTGGAAGTTAGGATTCCAATTTTATGCCTCCAGTGATAACAATAGCAGCTGGGACCTTTAAGAAATGTGTGTGTATGCCTTCTATTGAAGAGTTACATAACAAAAGCTATTTATGTCAAACACCTTATAAGGGAAAGATTTAGCCTAAATGTCAACATAACATATAATACTTTTTCATATTTAGATAGGACGAAAACATCTGCTATCAGTGCTGCATATAATTTTTGGTTTGGAGTATTAGATCTGTGGGGGCTTTCAACATTTCAAGTAAGCATCTCCTTGCCTTAATTTACGAATTCATCGAGGGGCCTTTTTTTCAATATTGTTTCTGTATAAAAAACAAATACCGATACATCATGATTTGGTTTTCCAAGTCCTTCTAATGAACGCACACAAAAGAAGGGCACAATTTCATGTTGTTTGATTTGACATTTGTAATTCCCAAGCATGCCATGAAGCCATTCAGTGGTGCCTTATAAACCGAGGCTGCTTTTGTCTCCTGAAAATGGCTGTGGTTTTGGAGAGGACCTGGCTGACCAGAACCTTGGTAATTCTGATGAAGGAAGAGATCAGCCGCTCAAGGAAGAAAACCTTTCCCAGCAAAGGAACAGCAGCGCCCAGTTCAAGACAACATCTGCAGCTCGATTTTGGAGGGGCTTAAATTCCCTCCAGCTTCCCTAGTGACACCACAGCAAGCTTTCTGAGAAGGAATCCCACCACCAAATAGACAATGACTCTTGTTTACACCAGACGCTTAGGAGTGACCACACGTGGGCCTGTGAGGCAGGCTTGGCTGGAAAATCCCAGCTTCCCTCTTAGCTTTTCTGCTCAGACGGCAGAACCTAACTGAGATGGGAAGAGAACCCCAATTAGCAAAGCCAGGGATTCGCCTGCACCCATGCATGTGCCGGTTCCGTCCGTCCCCTTGCTTCAGGTTTCTTTGACGAATTGGACGGTGTGACCACGGGTTAATGAGAAAGCCCAGTGGACGGCGGCACGCACGGTCATCTGGATGTTCTCTGCTCCTGCCCCAGCCCCTGAGCCTCCCACTGTGGACCACAGCCCCCGTTGGGGAACACAGAGGTCACGGGGGCCAAATGCAAATACCACTTCTCCTTGGGACCTGTTGGAACCAGGCGACACCAACTTAAACTTGGCAAAACGCAAGTTCAATTTCTTTTGTTCTGAAGTCACAACTTGGATGTAACAGCTCCTAAGCCAATATGATCTGAAAAAGAACTCACTACTGAGCTGCCCCCTTCCCACGGTCCGAAAATTGCTTCAGCCTAAACGGAAGGCAATTTCCTTTTCTTTTATAACAAGAGAACCGCTAAGCTTCTCTTAGTATTTCCACCCAGTGTCACCACTAAATACCAGCACTTACAAAAAGATCCCTCGTTGTGTCAACTGCCAGGCTGTCTAATACGCTGAATTTTAAATATGTTGGCTACATGATTATTGTCAGAGAGAATCATGCTCCAGATAAGGACCAGGAAGTGCATCTAGAGACAGCATGAATATTTAGAATAAAAATGCGCTGCTCCAGAGGTTTCTGCAGAGACTTAGATTTGAAACAATGGCTTTCTGTGTGCTGTGTCCCATCCACTCAGTGACATTGATGCTGACTGTCATTATCTACATTTCACATCAGAGGAGATGGAAGGAAAGGAAGATTCAGTTTCACAAGGGGAGAACATAACAGATGAGGCTCGAAGGTAAATAATAATAATTGTATGAATAACCACCTTTACGGAGTTATTACCAGATGCCAGGAGTTTTCTACTCCTGTTATACCATCATACGTGGAAAGACTCATTTGACCCCCACAACAACCCAGGAGGAGGGACTATTATTAGCTTCACTTTGTAGATGAGGAAACTGAGGCAGACAGAGGCCAGCCCATCGCTGAAGACCAGGCTGCTGGAGAGTGACAAAGTGTCAGAGTCAGGAGCTCAAGCCAGGCTGTCCACTGGCAGAGCTGGAAAAACAGGAGATAAACATCAGCAGCGAGAGCCCAGGTCACACTGCCCGGGATCACACCCCAGACTGCCAACTGGGTGAATGAACCATTCTGAGCCTTAGTTTGCTCTTCTATAAACCGGGGAGAGCAATGGTCCCTACCTCATGGGTTTTTTATTGGGATTGCATAAAATAGGCCCTGAAAAGTGCTGGACGTGCCCGGCAAACATGAGTGCTGTGCATGCGGTCTGGGCTGGCTGCCCACCTGCCCAAAGCTCATTCCTCTCACTGACCAGGTCATGACTGCAACGTTTGCTCCAGGAATCCATCTGAGAACTCTGTCCATGTTCTCAAATGCCTGGATGGCGAGGTGGCTGAGGGCAGTATCGTGCGGTCCCCAGCAGCCAGGACTCAGCCCAGCTGACCTGTCCCCAGCCAGCAGAAGAGGATCCGCAGATGCCCGCAGGAAGGGGACGCATTGCCAGGTCCACCAGCTCTCCCACAGACAGCTCCAGGCCTCACTGCTGAGTCTGTGTCCTATATACAATGTCATCTGAGGGTGGCACCGAACACCTGGCTGGCTTGCTGGCCACCCACCACCCTTTCAGCCACCCTGGCTGCCCTCTGGTTTCTATCGCGTCTGTTAAAAGGCAGACCCCTCTGGATGCTTTCCTCCACTCTTTCAAAGTGCCCCCACCCTCACCCTTCAAACATCAAGTTGATGGTTGTACCATGAGCCACAGGAACAATAAACAGCCCGGAAGCCACTCCACTCAAGGTCTCGAGGCCCTCCCGACAGCCGGCCGCCTGCCCTGCCACGGAGGCTGGGCAGCACAGCTGGGGGCTTGAGAGCTGGTTCAAATCCTGTGTCTGCCCCCTGCGAGCTATGTTTGCTCAGGCAAGTAGCTTGCCCTCTCTGGATCTAGTTTCCCTGTCCTCAAAAGCATGGGCAGACATGGGCAAAGTGCTGGCTTGCAATTCTCAATAAATTACAGATTATCAGATCGCTATTTAACTCAGGCAACAAAAGGAAAATACTTGATTGTGTGGAGAGCAATAACTCTTAAAAATGGGGTGGCCGCCCCATAATAAGAAAAGCTAGAAAAAAATAAACCACAGACGCAGTGATTTGGCAGGGTGATATACGGAGGAAATTCTGCCATCAGGAAACAGTATTGTCCATAGGTTTTCTTCCTACTTTCTTCCTTTAATTACTAAATAAAATCTTCAATCACTGAAAAATCACTGTAATATAAACAAACATGCCGTTCCCAGTGGCATTAGGCTATTCTTACATTTAAAGTATCTATACATTCATAATTAAAATATTAACGTTTTGCAAATATAAAAAACTTGAAAAATAGAGTGGCAGGATTGTGGTTGAGTTCTTTTCTGTGATACATCTTTTATTAATGTCTTATGTTTTTTCTTCCTCAACTTTTTCTGTGAATTTCTTTCCATATACACGTAGTTGGAACCTCGATGCAGTTTTACATGAGTATTTTAAAGTGCTGAACAATATTCTAACACAAAACCATCTTCCTTCCTATTTTTGGGCATTCGCGTTGTTAAATTGATCTCTGTTACAGAAATATTTCCCCTGTAGAGCTTTTTACCATATTTTGGGTTATTTCATTGGGACAGATTCCCAGTAGTGATGAGAGTCGAAGGCTATCCACATCGGATGATCCTTGATAGAGCTCAGTGTCACTTATTACGGAGCCTCCCCTCGCGGACATAAAGAACCTACACTCAGGCAGCCCCCTATAGGTCGCAGTTCAGTGGAAATGACCCCACGGATGGGTCTTTGCCTCTGACTTGAATCTGCATGAACTTTTACTGGGAAGTGGAGTTCATGAAGATTTTTTTTAATTGTCACAAGTTCTTTGGGGAGAATAGCTTTATGGATAAGATTAGAATTAAGAGAATTGTTTACAGATAATACAGAGAAAACATGTCTGCTAATTAATTAACAGCAAACTTTAAAAAAATAAAGGGAAACACACAAATGGCCATATTAATATAAAAACAGCCAGTCCCTGATCCGCATCATCTCTTAAAACCCCTATGCATTCGCAGTGGAGGGAGCTCGTGGAGCCGAAATCACAGACTGAGGGCTGCGAGGGGCCTCGGAATGCCTCCAGCCCAGCGGCGTGCTCGGAACCCCTGCGGATCTGACTAAAGGGCAGGTTCAGATTCAGCGAGTCTGGATGGGGCTGAGGGTCTCATCAGTGACTAGCACAAGGGAGGCCAGAGTCACTGGTCCTGGAACCACACAGGGTAGCCGGGGCTTAGAACAGAAAGGACACGGATTTCGTCTGTTTGTGGTAGTGGCTTCCTGAAGCCTTGTTTGAGAAGGATTTGGAGCAACAGATCTTAACTTTTACTATACTTTAGAATCACCGAGTAGGGGGTGGGGGGTGGTGTTTAAAAACCTCCTAGGTGGGTTGCACCCCCAGCTAACTGAATCAGAATATGTGGGAGTGGGACCCCGGTACCGGGATTTCTTCAAAGCTCCCATGTGATCCTAATGTGCAGCTGAGGCTGAAAACCGGTGATTTAGATGTTTTGTCGAGCCTGGGCAGGAGGGAGCTGAAGGAGGGACTAGTGATGTCTGCCAGGAGGAAGGCGGTGGCAAACACTGTGAATTTGCCATCACTGATGTGAAGTTTGCAGGGAGTAAGAGACTTATCCAAAGTCTCGACTGTAGTGGAGTTAGGGAGTTAGGAAGTCCATCTTCAGATTCTCACCTTCAGGCTTCTCTTTTTTTTGTTTTTTCTTTTTTCCTTTTCAAACAGAGTCTCACTCTGTCATCCAGACTCTCCACCCAGTGGCGTGATGATCATAGCTCATTGCAGCCTTGAACTCCTGAGCTCAAGCAATCCTCCCACCTCAGCCTCCCAAGTAGCTGGGACCACAGGCATGTCCCACCACACCTGGCTCTTTCCTCCTGGCCTCAAGCAATCCTCCCACCTCAGCTTCCCAAAGTGCTGGGATTACAGGTGTGAGCCACCATGCCCAGCCGGACTCCAGTTATAATTCAAGATTGACATGGACGGGTAGAGGTCCCAATCTTGAGGTCCCTACCATACTGAGGTCCCTATCAATCATATTGTACTGTTTGGCCAATAACAGTTAAGCAGGGGCCTGGCATTGAAGTTCTGCCTCAGCAGTGGTGAGCGCCAAGGCTGCTGAAGAAGAGACTGAGAGAGGACTAAGTGACACCTTGAATTTATCCCAAAAGACAGAAGCCGGTCTGGGAAGGCTGGAAAATGGGGTGCGTTCAAGGGAGCCCCGCTGTCTGGGATCCTGGAAGGTCACAGGAAGGCTTCAGACCGTGGCAGATTGTCCAGAGGACAGAGTTAACTGATACCAGCAGGTCAGGGCATCCACGTCAAGAACACGATTTAGGAATCTGGTGTTTTTCCAAATACACTGAGAGTCGAAATTGGAAGTGTGGCCATCTCTGGGATAGTATTCTGAGGTGGGTGCAGGATTTGCAGGGAGGACCCTCTGGGTGTCCACATATGTGACAGTCTTCAAGCTATACATTTAAGGTTTGTGTACTCTGTACCCTATTCCTGTATGTAAGATGCATTTTAATTGCAACTTATAATTAAGTAAAAATTAAAAGAAAGAAAAAAATTAAAAGCCAAGAAAGATAAATCTACAGTAGTCCCCGCCTATCTGCAGTTTTGCTTTCCGAGGTTTCAGTTACCCTCGGTCAATGGGGGTCTGAAAATAGGTGAGCACAGTACAATAAGACATTTAGAGAGAGAGAGAGGGAGAGAGAGGGAGAGAGAGGGAGAGAGAGGGAGAGAGAGGGAGAGAGAGGGAGAGAGAGGGAGAGAGAGGGAGAGGGAGAGAGAGGGAGAGAGAGGGAGAGAGAGGGAGAGAGAGGAATTCAGTCACTTAACTTTTATTGCAGTATATTGTTACTGTTCTATTTTATTATTATTCACTGTTCTTACTCTCGTATTGTGCCTCAGTTATAAATTAAACTTTATCATGGGTCCGTACAGGAAAACCCTAGTATACACAGGGTTCCATACCATCCACAGTTGCAACCATCCACTGGGGGTCTAGAACATCTCCCTCGAGGACAAAGGGGGACTACTGTATCTTACAAAGAAGATGACTGAAAAGGCATCAAAACAGAAAACAATTAAAAGAAGGAGTAAGTAACAGAAGATGAACCAATAAAGCAAATCAACACATGAAATACGATGACTGCAAAATGCAATTATGATCCTCTGCTCTTTGCTGGCTTTTCTTACATTTTTGGAGGTTTAGTATTGCATTTCTGTTGAATTTCTCAGAGCATGGGGGCACACTACTATCTTTTCAGTGCTTGTCTGAATCTGCTATGGGCTGGATTAAGTGCTGAAGTGGATCAGGTGACACTTAAAATCCTGCAGGGAATATTCGCTCTAAGGAGGGAAGATCTTGGAGGTTTTAAGCAAAAAGAATCCTTGAAGTAGCCCCAGATGGATTATGCCAAGCCCCTACATAAGGCTTACAAAGATGTGATTAAAAATAAAATCTCTCCTGACTGTAAAGTAGAAATTACATGGAAACTTTTCCTCCTCTCTTTGATGTATCAAATATCAAATCTATTTCTCAAAAATGAAAAAAAAATATTTTCATTTGGAAGAGGGAACATGGGGTGGGGATGGAGGGACTGTTTTTCCAGATTAGCTAAATAGAGGCTGCAGTTGGAAGAGCCACACAGGTGATAACAGGAAGGCTGAACAGGGAATTGGTTTCACTGAACTTGTCTGTCATCAAAAGAGACTCAGAGTCAAGGAGGGGATGTCAGATATAGGGAGGTAAGTCCCTGGGATCCTCCCTAGAAGAGCAGGTGCAGCCACCGCAGCCCCGGGCAGCCTGGAGAACTGACGGCCAAGGGCTCAGTGATCCTCAGAGAAGGACAGCAAGGGAAATCCACGTTATCACAGGCACACTCCAAAAGTGTCTCTTGTCTCTGCCTGTCTCACTGAAACGTTTCACCACAAAATGTGATCCCTAAAAATGCATCTTCCCCCAAGAGGAATGAAAATGCTAGAACAGATATTCACATCAAGGTATAAACGGCTGCAAAACCAGGATGGATGAGGAGCTTTGGGGACCTGAACGCAGGGTGGGGAGGGCCCTCTAAAGCAGGAAGTGTGGGCTCAGGCCAAGTCCTTGCCCTCTTCAGAGGTGCAAACCACAAAATAGCAGCATGAGCTCTAGGCCATGTCGGCCTTCACTGTTATGGAAGATGTCAACGAGTTCAGGCTTCATTATAATCCATGCATCTTTACAACTCATGCATCTTTATAATCCATGCATCTTTATAACCCATGCATCTTTATAATCCATGCATCTTTACAACCCATGCATCTTTATAATCCACGCATCTTTATAACCCATGCATCTTTATAATCCACGCATCTTTATAACCCATGCATCTTTATAATTTTGGAGCCCCTTCTAGCTGGGTGCTGCGGGAGCTCCCAAATAGGAGAAACAAATGGTTAACACAAAGCCTGTGCAGGTCCACCAGTGAGCCCAGACCTGAAGGGGATTCTGAAAATGGGAGGCAGCCCCTTCTGGACAGTCCTTACTCTCAGGTAACCCAGGACTGTGCATAAATGAAGAGCAGCCTGGAATCAGAATCGCTGTAATCAACTGTAACCAGAAATTGCCCGACAAACCGCTTTTCTCTCCCCATCATCTGCCAGCGAAATGGATATGTCTATTCCAGTGACGCACCCTAGCACTGGGGAAATAACCAGAGGACAGGTTCAGGGACCCGCCGGGCCCACGTTAGGAGAGACCTAAGCTAGAACTCCACAGTTCAGTTGGCTTCCATAAGCCCCTGGTCATATTGGTAATCCCAGTGACTTTTTAGGTCTCCTAGAATTAGTATCAGTTCAGAGCCAGTGTCTAGGAACCTCCCAAAGCTCTGATTATTTCTTTTCCCTCAAAGCCATTACCCTGGTCAATGGCCATTTTTTCCCCATCCGCCCTCCCTGACTCTGAGCCATTCTTGCAGGGCAGCCTGAGTGCTCTTTCATCAGCAAGCACAAATATGTCATCTTCTTGCTTATTAAATCCTTCTAGAGTGTCTGTATGGTTCGTTGCTCCAACCTGGACACTTTTGAGAGTCAAGGGGGATGTTGCCAATAATCACAGTGGAACAACAGTCACAAACTTGGGACGTGCAACAGGCAAACTGGGATGTGTGATACCCGTGTGTTTTACAGGGCTCTGAACGCTGGGTCCTGGCTCCCACGCCAGCCTTCTCCCATCTGTGGAGCCCAGCCAAGCAGATCTACCCTCAATCCACCTGCCTCTGAGACACTGCACATGCAGGTTCCTCTCCATCGGTCTCCCCTCATTATCTGGATGCCTCTGATTCATCCCTTGGATGTATGCAGAGGCCGAACCCCAGAGTCTCGAGGATTGTTGTGTTGTGAAATCCCCTTCCCATGGCCCTCACCACACCTGGCCTGCCATCTGCCAGGCGGTGAGGACAGGGCTCCCCACTGCCTCACCACCATGGACCTTCAGCATTGGCAGTGGCTGGTACATAACAAACAGCCATAAATATCTGTTGAATGAATAACTGGACTTCCTTACATGCCTCCTGCAGAAAGGAAGAAGTGAGGAGCTACAAAGCTGCTGGGAATTTCTGCAAGTTTCAGCAAACACAGTTTAGGCAGCTTCCTGGTGCTAGCGTGCTCTCATTTTGAAAGACGGCCATCCAGTGGAGAAAGATGAAGAGTCTGGAACAACGTGCACTGCTAGACTGTCTTCCCAGCTGCAAGTGAGACCAGGGATTTTCCTATCCACCGTTCCATGAGTGGCTACTGAGAGGGAACATCATTCTGGGGAACACGGGTCTCTGTGGACACAGCACAAAAATGGGAGTGGGCAGAGGTATGTTAGAGGAATAGAAGGACTGCCTTGGTGAACCCACCAGGTGCCTTTGCCAGAATGATCAAAACAGTGTCCCTCTGCAGGCAGACTGGGCTCTCCATTGGGGTGAATAACTTCGGAGCTGCCCCCACTCCCCGCCCTGGCCAGGCTGCCCTGCCGTAGTCAGCAAACCACACAACTGTTCCTGCAGCCCTGGAGCGTGGGAGCAGAAAGGGTCTAGACCAACGGAATGCCTCCCTCTCCCCTTTCCTCCCCTAAACCCCAGTGTTGGCCTTTGTGGAACCAAATCACAGTGGAACTTTCCAGAAAGCCTGCAATAACGACGCTATTTCTTTGAGGCTGTGGTAGGTGGCTTCTCTTTGTTGCCCTATGTCATACCAATGTTATTTCCTTTTATTATAAATAGGAATTTCGCTCAAAGGGGCGCAGCCTAATACCCCCTGGCTGCTTTGTACTTTAATCAGGGCTTTCCTGCCGAAATGTTTATCTTCCAGCAAAGAGGTGCTAATTTTATCTTGCAAAAGTGGATATCTGCTTACGTCCCCTTCTACCTTCAAGAAAGATAACCAAAAGCATATTATGTCATCTAAATACAGCATCCTCTGAGATCAAAAGGCGTAATGTACACAACTGCCAGAGTTGATGGAGCGGCCATTGGCGTGCTCTTCCGCCCGGCTCGCGTGTGCTCCATTGATAGACAAACTTGGCCATTTCTATGAAAGAAACTCCCAGGCGCTCTGTTTGTGCCAGTTGATTTCGATGATATTGGGAGGTTTTGAAATGAGAATCCAAAATAGATATGCCCTTCTCACCCCTCTGTGTAAGCCCTCACCACAGGAAATGGCACAAGTTCAAATGTTCGTATTGGAAGCAACGTGGGACTAGATAAGAAGTATGTTCCTGATGGACGTCTTCATGTTTAAAATCTAGTCAAAATGATGCATAGTCAGAAGCCACCTGAGTGTGTCTTCCTTGGACTCGAGTCCTACTTCTAGTTCAGTGTTTTGAACCACATTCTGTTACAAGAGTACGCATGTCAACACAGTACGCACACATGTGCACACACCCATTTGAAGTAAATGCTCGAAAAACTAGATGTGATCTGATGTGCATTACATGCTGAAACATTTTGTCCCAGTCTGGTCCAGCTTAACCCCTTGTCCTTCCCTACTCAAAGTGTGGTCCCTGGACCAGTGGCTTCAGAGTCACCTGAGTTGGAAATGCAGAATCCAGGGCCCCAATGCAGACCTGCACGGTGTCAACCTGCATTTTAACAAGCTCTCCTGGCAGCATGATGATGCATATTACAGTTTGAGAGTGCTGGTCTATTTCATTTTTCTAAGTGTATTTACTTTTCATAATTTGGCTACACCTGGCTAAATCGATGTCCCTACTCAGCAGTGCTTCATGACCCAGGATTGGACAAACCTACCGCAGAACACTAGAACCAGGATTCCGAGGGCTCTGGGGTGGCTGCGTTGAGAAAAGAAAGCAGCATTTGCCTACAATGCTGCCCTTCGAAGGCAGTTTTCCCTTAGGCACTCTCTCAGACTTTGAACAAGGAAGGTGACATCCCGGACACTTGTTCCCCCTTCCCTGGCCCGCTGCTTCCTCCTCTGCCTTCTCTTCAGAAATTCCTCCAATGCTCCTCTCCTCGGCCTCTTAGGTCCCCAATATGCTCAGAAAAATGAAGACTTCCTATTTAGTGTGGTCTCTGTAAGCTTTGTCACAAATTAAGATTTAAGCTTCCAAGCTTGGTGGGGTATACAAAGACTCCTAGAGATCAGGATGGCAGGGGGTGGGGCGGGTGCTGGCCTGGCGATGTGGCTCCCTTACCTGTCACCTTGGTGAGGGTCTTCTCTCACCCTGAGTGAATGCGTCACCAAGGGGCCTTGGATTCTGGAGGGTCTGGCACGAGGCCACCCCTGGGAGACAGAGTATTAAGGAGTGTGAGAGGGACATATCAGATGTTAGGTGAAAAGGCCAACTCTTCCCTGCTCGAATTAGAGTTGAGAATAAAATAAAAATGCCTAAAACATCTTCAGGCACCCTCACACGAAGGCCGATTAGCTCCCTCAGCTCAGGATGGATTTACAAGGATAAAATAAAATTATAAATGGACATAGCTTTGAAAACCGAAAAGCATATTGAACTTGCCTGGACTTAACAGCAGGAAGACTGCTTTCCCTTATAGAGTAGATAAATACGCTGTAAAACTCATTATCACTCACGTGCTGATTTTTAACTTTTTTTAAATTTCAAAAGTAATCTCTATCTGGAAAAATAGACAAAAGCACAGAGAAATGATGAAAACCACCTATAAGCTCTACACCAAGAGAAAACTGCTGGCCAATTTGCTATGTATCCCTCAAGACAGTGTTCTATGAATCCACACACATATAAGTGTGTATCCATACAATATTTACCACCTTGTGTTCTTACACATAAATGGCATAATATTGAACACATTATTCAGAAGCTCACTTTTTCTCCCAGCAATATGTCTTAGAGACCTTTCCATGTCTACAGTACTTCACAACCTCGTTTTTTAAACCAATGCACAATACTCAGTGTAGAAACATCATCGTTTGTTTTACCGTTTTTATATTGATAGTCATTTCGGTACTTCCAGTTGTCACAAATTCGCATTTAAGCACCCAAGCTCGGTGGGGTTTGCAAAGATGCCTAGAGATCCAAATGAGCTGCAGGGAGTGGTCACATGTTCATGCATTACTCATGATACTATCATAAAAATGTTTCCAGTGAATATCTCAGACCTGCCTCTTTGTTCACATGTGGGTATTTATTTTCCAAAATGGATACCAAAATTGATGTCTGTGGTGAAGAGTTTAGTAGTTTTCAACTAGAATAGGTATTGTCTAATTGATTCCAAAAACAACATGCCAATTTATGGGCCACCAAGAGAGTCACCCTGCTCTCCATCCTATCCCCAATGCTGGCTATGATCAATTCTTTCATTATTACTGATAAAAGAAAAACAATATCTTGGGGTTGTTTTGTTTGTTTGTTTGTTTGTTTGTTTGTTTTAAAGACTGGGTCTTGCTCTGCCTCAGAGACTGGAGTACAGTAGTGCCATCATAGCTCACTGAAGCCTCAAAATCCTGGGCTCAAGGGATCCTCTCACCTCAGCCTCCCAAGTAGCTGGAACTACAGGTGTGCAGCACCATGCCAATTTTTTTTTTTTTTGGGGTGGGGTAGAGACGGAGGTCTCACTTTGTTGCCCAGGCTGGTCTCTAACTCCTGGCTTCAAGCAACTCTCCTGCCTCAGCCATCCTCCTGCCTCAGCCTCCCAAAGCTTATCCTTTGATCATTTTTCTATTTATACATCTATGTGTGTGTCTATCTTTTTATGCCTGATTTTTAAGAGGGCTCTATCTTGGATATTATTCATTTCCCTGTTTCATATTTTGCAAGTATTTTTTCCCAGTTGGTTACCTCAATTTTCATTTTATGGTGTTATCATATTATTTTTTACACAGTTCAATTTGTCATTTATTTCCTTTTTTACTTTTGCATTTATGTTGTAAGGAAAGTTTTTCTATCTTCAAAGTTGCAAACACGTTCTTCTACATTTATTCCTAACATTTTTAGACTTCAGTTTTTTACTTTCATGCTTTTTCCAGTTGTCCCAACACTACTGAATGCTAGATACTCTTCATGATGTATTGGAGTGCCTTCTTCACTGTGTAATAAATCCCTCAAAAAGCACCTGTTGATGGACTCTGGTCTATTTCATTGGTCTATTTCCAGATATTTGGGGATTTTTTTTCATATACCTTAATGTTGATAGTTTCTAGTTTAATTTCACTGTGGTCAGATTTAAATTTAAATTTAAGTTTAAATGTGGTCAAGTTTACATTTAAATTCTAAATTTTTAAAAAATTTTAAAAAATTATTTTTAATTTATTGAGGCTTATTTTCTGACCTAGAACAGGGGCAGAGAAGGTTTTTCTGGAAAGGGCCAGAGAGCAAATATTTTAGGCTTTACCAGCCACAGAGTTGTCACTGCTGCATGTTCTTCTTTCTTTAGTTTTGTTGTATTTTGTGCAACCCTTTAAAAATACAGAGATCACTTTTAGGTCATGGTCTGTACAATAAAAAACAGGCCATGGGCCATAGTGGCCTAGAACATGGTCTACCTTGCTCAGCACGCCATGTGCACGTTCTTTTCATGTGCACATGGGCAGCGCGTTCTGTAACTGTCAGTTAAATCCGGCTGGTGTATAATGTTGTTCAAGTTTTCTGTATGTCATGATCATTTTTGTCTATTTGTTCCATCAATTATTGGGATAGGAGTATTGGAATCTCCAACTGTAGTTATGGATTTTACTCTTTCTCCTGTTAGCTCTATCAGTTTTTGTTTCATGCATTTTGAAGCCGAAACACTTTGTTATATGACCTCATGAATAATGATTACCATCAAATCAGATTGTTGAATGAGTGACAGAAATGCCATGAATGTCCACGTTGTCAGCAATCCTCGCAATAACATTTTCAGATGCTCGGTCGTGGAAACAGCACTTCCCTAGTCTGCAGTTCTTCCAGAAACCAATGGTGAGGTCACTTTGATCAGGGTTCTAAGAACCGGCCCTTGGTTTTCCCATGTGTAAAATGGCCATGATAAGACCCCACCATATGTGGGAAGGATTAAATGGGACAATATATACGTGTAAGACTTAGAGTGGCCACTGTCAGAGAGAGTGTTCTCAGTGCACTTCGCTGTTGGTATTGGTGTTAGGATCCGTAATCGCATTATTTCCTAGCGGGGTAGAGGAAAATAAGAGAGGGCTTTTGCCAGGCACGTGGCCATGGTTGAGCAGGAAGGAAAGGGGCTGACTGGGGGCCTCCATCTAACAAGATGAGAAGCAGACCAGGACATGTGGGCAGGCTTCCACGACATGGCATGGGCTATATTCTGACTTCCACAAACTGTTGAGATCACATCCGTCCCACTCGCCCTGCCAGCCTCAATAGCTAAAGCCCACTCACCCAACAATAGCTTCTATATTCTCCAAGAATTTAAACCCTAGGCTTCAATGAGAATGCTAATAATTATGAGAACCACAGTACAAACTGAGTGGGAGGCACAGGGATGCTGGAGTCAGACGTGGGCACAGGCTGTGACCTAAACACTTGTCAGGTATTACTGGTTATGCTTGAAGGAACAGTACCGCGTAACAACCAGCACGACACCTTGGGAACAGAAGAACAATATGCGCAGAGGGTGCACGTGCCCAGGGTGAGTTCGAGTTTGCTGGGCAGCTCCACTGCTCTTGGCCTCACTGACCTGGGCGGCCGTCTCTCACTGCAGCCTTAGCCCAGCACGTGCTCATGGCCTGGCAAAGAAACCGTGAGCCCCGCCCCCTGTGGTTGCTGACATCCCATTGGCCAAGTGAGCCACGTGGCTGAGGCCACATGAAGGGGCGGAGCCTGTCATCCCACCCACGTGGGCTCCCTCAGTTCAGCAACAGCAGGCTGAGGGTTGGGGAGCTGGAACCAAGGGCACAGTTCACCCTACACCTGTGTACATGGACAATGGCTTCACCTCCGTGGTTCAGCCTGTTGACTGCCATGGGAAAGCAGCTCTGCGTCTCAGGCAGGGAGGAGTTCTGGTTAGGCAATACTGCAGCATCAGCAGGTGCTCTGGTGCGCACCCCATGGACAGATTCAGCAAGGCGCACACCCCAGTAAGTGCCTGATGCTCACCCCAGTGCAGGTGCCTGGGAAATAGGTGGCTCTTTGTCCCACCAGGCCCAACTCTGCCCATGCTGCATTTCTCTAGAGGAGACACCAGTCTCCATGTTCTGTGTATGGGGGTGTTTCTGGTATGTGTGAGAATGTGTGTGTGGTGTGTGTATATATGTGTGTGTGTGTGTGTGTGTGTATACACGTGTGATGTGTGTATGTGATGTGTATATATATATATGTGCATGTGTGTGATTATATATATGTGTGTGTGGTGTGTGTGGTGCATGTGAACGTGTGATGTGTGTGTACGATGTGTATACATATGCATGTGGTGTGGGTGTGTGTGGATGTGTATGTGATGTGTGGATGTGTGTGTGTGATGTGTATACATCTGGGTGTGCATGTGTGTGATGTGTACACATATGCATGTGGTATGTGTGTGTGGTTTGAATGTGTGATGTGTGTACCTGTGTGCAAAGTGTATATATATGCAGGTGGTGTGTGAGTGTTGGTGCATCACGTAGGTGTGTGTGTGTACACATGCATGTGGTGTGTGAGTGCATGGTGCGTGTGGATGTGTGTGTAATATGTGTGATGTGTGTATATAAATGCATGTGGGGTGTGAGTGTGGTGCGTGTGGATGTGTGTGTAATGTGTGTGATGTGTATACATATGCATGTGACTGTATTGTGATGTGTATATACATGCATGTGGGTGTGTGTGGTGCATGTGGTGTGAGTGTGATGTGTATGCATATGTGTGTGGTGTGTGTGCATGCGGTGTGAATGTGTGTGCTTGGCAAACCGAACGCCAACGTAGAGTGAATGGTACTAGCCCAGGGAAAACAGCTTAAGCTTCCTAATCAGAAACTGCCAACTCACCTCTCTCAGGGACTTTCCAGTAAACGAATCCAGTCTGTCCTTGTCCCGCTTGGGGAGCATCTTATAAAAGCCTCCCCTGCGTCCCCCGGTGGAGCCCTGAGCAGCCTGCGATCTGGAGCTGCCTGATCCGTGAATCGCTGTTTGCTCAATTACATTCGTTAGAATGTTGATGTGCCCAAGTTTATCTTCCAGTAGGTGTGTGTGTGTGAATGTGTGTATGCAGGGGGTGGTGTGTGTGGTGTGTGTCTGTGTGTCTGTGGTGTCGGTGTGAATGTGTTTATGTGTGTCGGGAATGAATGTACATATATGTGTGTGCAGGTTGTGAATATGTGTGTGGGGTGGCTGCATATGTGTGTGTGTTTGTGGTGTGAGGGTGAATATGTGTGTGTAACCAGAAGAGTTCCCGAATCTTGCCTTGATGAAGCCCAGAGTGAGCCTGAGGCTGAAGTAAACCCCGATTGCATGATGCAGACAATTTCCCAATAAAAAACCAATTCAAAGCTCTTGCCTAACACGCAACTGTGATACTGGAGTTGTCCCTGGAAAGATCTCAACTCTCTCTACACCTTCCGCAAGATGAAAATACTGCCCCCTTTTAAGCAGTAGAAGCAGGCATTTGCATTAGCCAGAGATAACATGTACACCCTTTTCTGCCATTGGACAGATTTTTAAAAAATCAATCTTATTGAGGTAAAATTGATTTACGATGAAATGTGCTCATTTTAAATTTTGAAAAATATATGTGTCATGTGACCATAACTCCAACAAAGATGTCTTTTACTTAGTTCATTTGTATCACCATGAAAATTCCTTTATGCCCCTTCCCAATCAATCTTCCTCTCCAGGCAACCACAGATCAATTTCTATAGCTACAGATTAGCTCAACCTGTCCTAGAACGTCATAGAAATGGAATCACGCAGCATGTACCCTATTGCATCTGACTTCCTTCACAAATAATAATGTTTTAAACTTCATAGACAGTGTTTCATATATCAGGAATGTGCTCCTTTTTATTGTTGAGTAGTGTCCCATGGTAAAGATCTACCGCAATTTGCACATCGATTAACCTGTTGGTGGGCCTTTGGGTCGTATCCAGCTTTTGGCTACTGTAAATGAAACTGCTCTGACCATTTGCATATACATCTTTTTGTGAAGAAATGTTTTAATTTATCTCGGGAAAAATACCTAAGAGCAAAATTGCTAGGTCATTAAGTAATTGTACATTTAACTTTATAAGAAATTGCTAAACTGCTATTCAAAGGGGCTGTGCCATTTTACACTCCCGCAGACTCTGTATGAAGGTTGCAGTTGCTCTTCATCCTCTCCAACACTTGGTAGTTTTAGTTTTTTTAATTTTAGCCATCTGGCAGGTGCATAGTATTACTATACTATCATTTTAATGGGCATTTCCTGATGACTAGTGATGTCGAGCATTTTTTTTTTTTTTTTTTTTTTTGAGACAGGGTCTCACTCTGTCACCCAGGCTGAGGTGCAATGGTGTGATCTTGGCATACTGAAACCCCCACCTCCTGGGTTCAAGCGATTCTCCTGCCTCAGCCTCCTGAGTATCTGGGATTACAGGCTCCCACCACCATGCCTGGCTAATTTTTTTATTTTTAGGAGAGACATGGTTTCACCATGTTGGCCAGGCTGGTCTCAAACTCCTGATCTCAAGTGATCCA
Organism: Homo sapiens; assembly: GCF_000001405.40. NCBI lineage: Eukaryota > Metazoa > Chordata > Mammalia > Primates > Hominidae > Homo > Homo sapiens. The sequence goes on along the minus strand of NC_000016.10, from coordinate 86,178,828 downwards.
CCTGCCTCAGCCTCCCTAAGTGCTGGGATTACAGGTGATGTTGAACATCTTATTGTATGCCTAATAGACATTGATGTATCTTCTTTGTGAAGATACTTCTGTCCAGAAGAATTGACCATTTGTAAAGTTGGATTGGTTATCTTCCTAATATTGAGTTTTAACAGTTCTTCATGTATTTTGGATACAATCCTCTCTCCGGACATACTCCTTGCAGCCTGAGAGGCTTGCTTTTTAACTTTTAGTAGTATTTTTGAAGTTGTTTTTTTTTTTTTTTTTTTTTTGACAGAGTCTCACTCTGTCGCCAGGCTGGAGTGCAGTGGTGCTATCTCAGCTCACTGCAAACTCTGCCTCCCGGGTTCAAGTGATTCTCCTGCCTCAGCCTCCCAAGTAGCTGGAACTACAGGTGCCCACCACCACGCCCGGCTAATTTTGTATTTTTAGTAGAAACAGAGTTTCACCATGTTGGCCAGGATGGTCTCGATCTCTTGACCTTGTGAACCGCCCATCTCAGCCTCCCAAAGTGCTGGGATTATAGGCATGAGCCACTGCACTCAGCCTTTTTAAAGACTTTTAATAATAATTTTAAAGAGAAAAGTTTTAAATTTTGATAAATATCAATTCATCAAAATTTTTTCTGTTCAGTGCTCTGTTAGGTCTAAGAAATCTTTGCCTGCCCCGAATTTGTGGAAATACATTCCTTATGTTTTTCTTCTAGAAATTTCAGTTTTATTTCTTACATTTAGCTCTTTGATAAATTTTAAATTAATTTATGTACATGGTGTGAGGTAGGGGTAAGATATCATTTTTTTTCTATATGACTATTCAGTTGCTCTTAACCAAGTTGAGGAAGTTTCCTTCTAGTTCTTAATGACCAAGTATTGTATTTTGTCAAATGCTTTTTCTGTGCCACATCACACATTAAAATACTGACAAACATGAACTGTGCAAATAGTCACCAGGACTACATTGTTGGGAATGGAAACAGGTCTCATTCCTTTTGATGGGTTTACTGCCTTGACAGCTGGAGGTTTGCCATAGACAGTGTCAGTTGGTGGCCCAGTAGCCATTTGCAAATCCTCCTTCCTTGCCTCCCAGATTACCACTTTCCCAACCTCTCTTGCAGCCAGTGGTCAGCATGTGACCCAGTTTGAGCCAATGATCCATAAGGGAAAGCATACTATAGATCTCCTAAAAGAGAGTTTTTCTTCCTAGTAAAAGGACAGAGGTCACTTTTCTATCTACCTCCCTTTAGAGGTAGTCATAGGAGGATGTGATGCCTAAAGAAACACCTGTCACATTGCAACTATGCTGGAATGATCAGGAGAACTGCAGACATGCTTCCCAGGATCCTGACATCACTTGGAATTAATTCTATCATGGGATACTGAACTTCAGACTTTTCATTGTGAAAAATAATAAGTTGTCTTTATTATGTGTGCTGCATTAGTTAGTATTTTATTATTTATAAATCATACAGTCTTCTCCTCTACCCACCCTCACACCCCAAAATCCTAGTCCAGTATAGAATGGACCTTCTCTCAAGCAAAAAAGGTAAGTATTTTCATCACCAATCCTTTTCAAACATGAAAATGAGACAGACTGATTCCATAAGCCACAAAGTCATGGGATGGGATCTAAGGAATAAAGTGGAAAGCCTGGGGATTACAAGCCTGGGTTCTCACACTGCCTACCTCCCCAGCATCTCTAGGCTTCCTTCATTTTCTCAAGGTTTCATGCGCCTTTCTATAGTCTTCTGTCAGCCTGAAACACTCCCCTTTACCTAGACTCTTTTCTTTGTCTGGCTTGTCCTACTCATCCTTCAGATCTCAGTTTAAAGCTTACCTCCTCAGGGGTGACCCCCCCAGACCCCCCAGATTCTCTCTTACCATTCTGAATTTTTTCTCATAGCAGTAATCTCAATTGAAATTAGGTGTGTGATTTGCTGTAATAATCTCCTCCACTGGAACATGTCTCTGAGGATGGGGATCAGACCTTTTTGTTGTAGCCCCATGCTCAGCACATACTGCAGTGCCTGGAACATCAGAGATGTTATGCACATATCTGGGATGGATGGGTGGATGGGTGGGTGGGTGGATGAATGGATGCGTGGATGGGTGGATGGGTGGATGGATGGATGGGTGGGTGGGTGGATGGATGGATGGATGTGTGGATGGGTGGATGGATGGATGGGCGGATGGATGGACAGATGGATGGATGGATAGGTGGATGGGTGGATGGAGGCTTGAATAGGTAGATGGATGGGTGGATAGGTGGATGGATGTGTAGGTAGATGGATGGATGGGTGAAAGATTTCAATGGCACTGTCACCAACTTGCTGCATACTTAGGCAATTTATTTCCGCTTTGTGGGCTGTAGTTTTCTCATCTGTCATATCTTCGCTTGAACTAGGTGGAATGTAAGAGTCCTTCCATTGCCAACTGTTTATCAAACGGAACCCAGATGTTTGAATGTAGTTTTGCTTTTAAAATTGGCCCTTCCCCCATGTATTCATTTATTTCCCTCCACTGCTGATGACCCTGCAGTTGTCCCAGAAACTCATTCCATAAAAGCATCCCATGGAGGACAGCTGAAGCCGGTCGCCTTGACTACTCCAAGATGCAGGGTGCAGTGGTTTCCAGGCTTGGGATAGTTTCAGCATCTGCTGATTTCTCCACAATGCCAAGTCCCTAGTCCCTTCTCCCACATTAAGAAGGCAGAATTTGTGGTGGGTTGTCAGTAATCATCAGAGGAGGCGGCATCTTTATTAGCCTGATTTCCAACACATCTGTTCATCATCAAGCAGACGGCAGATAAGAAGCAAAGTCCTTTTTTCAGATTAAAGATTGCAATGAGTGCAATTGCCTGCAATGCCCATAATGTGGCTTTTACGTCTGCATAGTGGGTGCTGCAGTGGCTTAATCCTGAACATCTGTCTTCATATGGAAACCAGTCCTAGAAACTCACAGTATAGACACTTCTGTATGAAATCCTCTTATCATAATTCATAGTGGAAACAAAGGCTAAGACAAGTTCCATCACTATTTTTTTTACATTTTACGTTCTAGGGTACATGTGCACAACGTGCAGGTTTGTTACATATGCATACATGTGCCATGTTGGTGTGCTGCACCCATTAACTCATCATTTACATTAGGTATATTTCCTAAGGCTATCCCTCCCCCCTCCCCCCACCCCACAACAGGCCCCGGTGTGTGATGTTCCCCTTCCTGTGTCTAAGTGTTCTCATTGTTCAATTCCCACCTATGAGTGAGAATATGAGGTGTTTGGTGTTTTGTCCTTGCGATAGTCTGCTGAGAATGATGGTTTCCAGCTTCATCCATGTCCCTACAAAGGACATGAACTCATCCTTTTTTATGGCTGCATAGTATTCCATGGTGTATATGTGCCACATTTTCTTAATCCAGTCTATCACTGATGGACATTTGGGTTGGTTCCAAGTCTTTGCTATTGTGAATAGTGCCGCAATAAACATACGTGTGCATGTGTCTTTATAGCAGCATGATTTATAATCCTTTGGGTATATACCCAGTAATGGGATGGCTGGGTCAAATGGTATTTCTAGTTCTAGATCCTTGAGGAATCACCACACTGTCTTCCACAATGGTTGAACTGTTCCATCACTTTTTCATTTTCTTTTTCATCCATTTCCTCAGGGAAGAGTCACCAGCTCATCTGCTCTTCCCCTTCTGGTGGGAATCACATTAAGAGATGACCATTCATTGAGCCCCACTGAGCCAGGAACAGTGCTGAGGACATTTCATTCATTCTCTCTAATTCTCACAATAATTCTTTACTGTACATTCTCATTGTCATTTGATAGGTAAGGAAACAGGCTTACAGCCATGCTCAGACTTGCCCAACTTCTGCAGCTAAAGTGGTGAGTCTGAGATTTGAACCCAGATCTGAGCCTCTGAGGCTGAGCCCGTCTACTACTCCAGGTTGCTTATCCAGTAATATTCTGTGGCAGGAGGAAAGGTGAAGAGTCAGAAGATGGACTCAGAGCCAAGTGGCCAGCTGCTCAGCCACCTCCTTGCCTTCCTGATACCTGTAGGTAAGGCAGGAATGAGCTCTACAGCAGACCTCATCTCTTCACAGCAAGCCCAGTGACCTTCAACTTGAACCCACAGACTCTACCCTGAGATTGTCTGCAACAGGGATGATGGCATTTTTTGAATAAATCAAGAGGATCTTTTCTATAAAGGGATTGGTGGGGAGGGAGAGGGTGTGAAAATGAGATATTTAGATCTGCTGCAACATCTTGGGATGGAGGTTAAGAAAATCACCAAGATGCCACGGCAGAGCATTGATGTGGCTTAGCCTACTGCCACATCCAGCATTCTTGTCCCACGAGAAAAGCAGCTCCCCATGTCTACCTTCTGTTAGCCATAAGTGAGTTACTTGCAGCTGACAGTATTCTTAACTGATACACAATTTCAGCCAGAAACCACTTTTAAACACACCCAATCCCTTCGATGGCTGTCCAAAAGAGAGATCTAAATCTTTAGCTTACATTCAGGACCCCTCATCACTTGGCCCCTTCCTAAGTTTTTGAACTTCCTAGTTCATCTCAGGCAAGCCACCCGGTATACTTTGCCTCTCCCTTGCAAAACCCTGCAGCAAATTCCAACTAATATACTGTCAAGGGTCAAGGGATCCTTACCAGTGGGAGTAATAGACACTGTCTGTTCTCTAGCCACACTCTCAAATTCTTTTAAAACTCAGAGTTAGTTTCCCCACATTCCCAGCTCAATAAATAGAACTGAATGATGGGAGATGAAGATGAAACAGCCAAGCATTCCATCTGAATCCGGAATCCGTAGCCCAGATCCTCCCAAGTAAGGCATGACTCCCATCACCACATAGCTACCCAACCCTACCATTAGGCAAGGCAAACCCCTACTTACAATCAAAATGAACTTCATGTGTAACCAGGAGGCCACTTGTTTCCAGGAACACCAGGCAGAGCCCTCCTCATCCCCGACCCTGCCCCACAAGCCTCCTTTCCACCCCCAGCTCTTTCCATCCCCTTTTCTTCTTATTCGATGCTAGCATTTGCTTTTTTAGATGAGACCCACACTCCCTTCAATGGGACTGTGATAGAGTCAAATCTCAGAGACAGCAATTTCATATTTTAAAATGAAAATGCACATAGATTGGGCATAGCACAGAGGAAAGAAGAAACAAGCAACCTATATTTGGCTTCAAGGAGTATAGATTAGTGCACCTTGACTGGAGGGCAAGTAGGGGTACATAGCCAGATCCCTTAAAGTGTGTAAGTTCACTTCTGGTAACATCATCTAAGGGGAAAAAAATGGAGATTACACACAAATGTGTGTACAAAACGAATCAGTGTTTTTTTAACGAAGCATTGGGAACAACCTAGATGTTCAAAAAATCTGGAATCATTAAATTGATAAATTAGAAATTGATGAAAAGCAAGAATGCAGTCATTAAGAAACACTTCTGTAAAGAATATTTAATGCCGGCTGGGCATGGTGGCTCACGCCTGTAATCCCAGCACTTTGGGAGGCTGAGGCGGGTGGATCACCTGAGGTCAGGAGTTCGAGATCAGCCTGGCCAACATGGTGAAACCCCGTCTCTACTAAAAATACAATCATTAGCCAGGCATGATGGTGGGTGCCTGTAATCCCAGCTACTCGGGAGGCTGAGACAGGAGAATGGCTTGAACCCGGGAAGCAGAGGTTGCAGTGAGCCGAGATTGTGCCATTGCACTCCAGCCTGGGCAACAAGAATGAAACTCACTCTCAAAAAAAGAGAAAAGAATAGTCAATGCCAAGAAACATTCATAACCATTCATATAATCAAATATGAAACAAGGACTAGAATGAGATATGTAACTGGATACCACTTATGTAATCTAAATATTCAGGTATGCAGAACCAAATACATCTTTTGCAAGAATACACTCTGTAGCGGACACTTCTTGAGTGCTTACTGTTTGCAGGAAAGTGTTCCAAATGCATCTATTTACTTACCACAGCCACCCTCTAAGGTAAGGTTCGTTATGACATAAACTGAGGCTCCAAGTCCCACAGCTAATCAATAACAGATCTGAGATTCAAATCCAGGAATCCCAGACCCCAGGCCTTTTAGCTGAATGCTACAAATAAAAAGGTTTACATTGAATATATTAGAATGATTGTCAGTGAAGAGTGGGAGGGGAGATGGAGGATAAAAGGAATAAACAAGCTCACCAACGAGACGGGGTTTTTGCACAGCATGGCAAGGCAGCTCTGCATAGGAGGCCCAAGGAGGGGAGGAAAGAAGGGAGAAGAAAGAAATGGAGGGAGGGAGAAAAGGAAGGGAGAAAGACATACATGAAGATATAGGTATAGATGTGCGTGCGTGTGTGTGCAAGTGTGGATGGTCTTACAGTCTTAGTTCAGGCTGCTATAACAAATATCATAGACTGGGTGGCTTAAATAATAAACATTTATTTCTTAGAATCCTGAAGGGAATTCAAAGATTGGGGTGCCAGCATGGTCAGGTTCTTGGTGAAGACCCCCATCCTTATTCACAGAGGGCTGCCTTCTCACTGTGTCCTCACATGGCAGAGAGAAACATCATCTCTCCGTGTCTCTTATAAAGGCATAACCCCATTCAGGAGGTCTGCCCCACGACTTAACCACCTTCCAAAGACCCCACCATCCAACACCATCACATTGAGGGTTAGGATTTCAAGAACATTCTGGGGGACACGAACATTCAGTCCATAACGTTCATACATAGGCATATACATATATTATATTATATTATATTATATCATATATAATTAAATCTGTATTATATAACTATGTTATATATTATAATATGTAATAATATATGTAATATATATTATTCTGTGAAATATTTCATATATATTTATACATATGTTATATATGAATATATAATTATGTATTCATATGATATATACATATATTATAAAATTATATATAATATACATTTATATATTTTTAATATATAATAATTTAATATATTATATAATATCTTCATATATTATTCATAATTATATAAGTGTATATATAACATATTGCATATAATATAATATATATGTATATTGATCTCTCGCATGGCCTGTGACTTTGCTTCCTAGGAGGGTGTGCTGTGCCTCAGGACCCATGTTCCCACCCACTCACTCACCACCTTACCCTGGTCACAGCTGACTACATCAGGGATTAGCAGTGAACCCAGACAAGAAACATTCCCAGTCTGTGCAGCAATCTCTAACCTCAAAAGGTCATCTGATTCACTCAAGGTCCAGAGAGTTTGGACTTGAGAACATGGAAAGAATCTACAAGTGAGGGTGGAGCTGGAGCGGAGAGAGGTGGCGTGTAGGGGGTTCTGGGAGGCGATGATGGAACGGTCTGGGGGCTGAGGCCTGTGCCTCCCACCAGTGCTGTGAGGCAGGCTGGCAGGGCAGGAAGAACAGTGGGGCTGTGCAGAAGGTGCAAGAGTCAAACCTCACAGACACACAGGAACCCTTGGGGGAAGGGAGAGACAGGGAGAAGGAGAGGAGAGAAAGAGACAGAAAATGGAGACAGAGAGACAGAGAAAGAGAGAGGCAGACAGATGGATGACGCTAAGCACACTGAGCCTCCCCAAGTCCAGGAATCCTGAAGACGAGCCCATTCATTCCTAACAACAGCCCTCTAAACAATCCAGCAATGCCAAATACCACGTTATCTACTTCACCGTTTGTCCAATGCACTATTATTTTGTGAACCACAAGAAATACACTGTAATAATTTATAAGAAGCCATCGATTGTACAATGCACCCTGATTTCAGAGATGTTAAAATGTCGGAAAATGTGTATCTTAGGCTAGATAAATTTCTAAGTATGCAACTGCTCTCCCCTTACTCTCTCCATGTAGACATTACTAATCAATTACGGCACTGTTTCTGGCCAAGTCTACTTCTCAGCACACCATGACAGGCAATCATCAGCTGATTTAAGTGGGCACATGAATGACACCTCTGTGTGGCTTCTGGTCTGTGCCTAGGGTTTCTCAAATGAGATTAGAAAGAAGTAGTTCCCTCACTGTGGTGGGGGACCATGGGAGAAATCTCAACTTCCTGTCCCAGAGAAATAAGTCCATAATTTAGGAAGGCCACTTAGAAAATAACTTGAGGGCTGTGTTTCATTTTAAATAGGCCTCCACCTAATCCATCTCTTTCCTCCCCAGGGAGATGTCTCAAACGGGTTCTCATGGTTGACTGTCCAGAAATCTTGGGGTTGCATCTGGAACTCCCCGTACAATGCAGATAATTTTGCCAAGAGAAAATACTCTAGTATCTGTGTGTAATATGAAATTATGAACACACACACTCGGCCATCCCACCAGACACAGTCAGTCATTTTGGGGTTTGCCATCAAGGGTCATCTGTCCATTGCTTGCCTTTGCTAGCAAACAAATACTCAGACTCGCCGACATTTGAGAAATGCGTCTGGTCACACATTGCTGGTAAGAAGGTGATAGGGCACAGCCACTCTAAAAACACTCTGGAAATATTAAACATGCAACTCCATTCGACCCTGCAGTTACACTCCTGAGCATTTTGTCCAGAGACGGGAAAGCTTACGTTCACCCAAGAACCTGTACAAGAATGCTTAGAAGAGCTTTATTCCTAATCGCCAACAACTGGGCACACCCAGATGTCCTTCAGGGAGTGAATAGGCAACTTCTGGGACATGTACGCCATGGAACACTGCTCAACAGCAACAGGGAACAAAACTACTGATGCACGCAGCAGCCTGGATGTCACTCCAGAGCATTGCGCTGGGAGGAGAAAGCCTACCTCAAAAGGCTGCAAACTCTATGATTCCATTTACAGAGCATTCTTAGGCTTGTCACCCAGGCTGGAGTGAAGTGATGCTATCACAACTCACTGCAGCCTCGACCTCCCAGGCTCAAGTGATCCTCCCACCTCAGCCTCCTGAATAGCTAGGACTACAGGTACACACAACCAGGCCTGGCTAATGCTTTTGTTTTTTTTTTTTTGTAGAGATGGGGTCTCACTATGTAGCCCAGGCTGGTCTCGAACTCCTCGGCTCAAGTGATCTGCCCATCTTGGCCTCCCAAAGTGTTGGGATTACAGGTCTGAGCCATGGCACCCGGTCTCTAGAACATTCTTGAAATGACAAAATTATAGAAATTGAGAGTAGATGAGTGGTTGCCAGAGGCTAAGGAGAAGTGAGGATGGGAAGGAAGTGGATGAGGCTATAAAATGCCAAAGGAAGTGGTCCGTGTGGTGGTGGACACGCCCTTTGTCTTGTCTGTGTGATAATCAGTATCCTGGATGTGGTATTTTTCTGATATTGTACCATAGTATAGGATCATACAGTACTCTACTTTAAGTTCCCATTGGAAAAAAAACTGGGTGAAGTGCGTATGGGGTTTCTCTGTGGTATTTTCTATAACTAGTTGCATGTGAATGCACAATTATCTCAAAATAAAAAGTTTTTTAAAACAGAGAAAAAAAGCCCCTGGCAGAAAAAGAGACAGTGGTGCTCACCAAACACGCCATCTTCCCTCCTCACTTCTCATCCCCTTTCAGCAAGGCAGATGCAAGGGACTAGGAGCTCTGGGGCGAGTGAAGACATCCCTTCCCCTGCCTTAGTGACTGAGGGGGCCTCCGTGCTGGGTTGGTGCAGCCACAGAAGTACAGAGACTCCCCCTAGGAGAGAGAGGAGCCTCGAAGTCTCTGTGTGAGCAAGACACAAACCTAGACTGTGCAAAGCCGCTGAGATTTGTGAGCCTCCCATTACTGCAGCACACCCCAGCCTGCCCTGACTCCTCCACCAAGGACAGGCCTTTCTCTTGCTTCGCTTGTAACGTGACTGCCATCTGACACTGGGCTCTGGACACTGCTGGAGTACAGGCATACTCATGAGAGAGCTGAATATGTCTCCATTCAGGGGACTGTGACCCTCTGGGAGGAGACTCATCCTGAGGGATGAGAAAGCAGGATGCTTCTGGCAATATTTGGTGGTTGAAGCAGAGGGCAGTTCTGAGGACAGCAAGCTGTCTGTCCCTAGAATTCACCCCAAGCCTGGCCCCATGGGTGAGTACTAGGGAGGGAGAGAAAGAGATCTAGAGGTGAAAATTGAAAGCAGTGTTTTCTTAAACGTTCTAACACTTTGGAGCCCAAACAGTGCTATTGTGCTGTCTCCCAAATTGTGCAGGACACGAAGTGAGCAAAGGCCTCTCCCCAGATCATGCACAGACAGCCAGGGCAGATAAGGCTTATGGGAGACACCAGGACAGTGATGGTGGATTTGGGGGTCACTGGCAGTGGACTCGTGGCAGCATCTGACAGACGAAACCCTCTGGGCTTCCCAGATATTAGTGAGGGGATGGGGAAGTCTTTGTCCAGCTTAGAAGTGCTCCTTTAGCAGAGAAAGGACTAATGAAATTTGGACTCTAACTTCCATCGACGCCCATCTGTCTTCACTTAGGGTGCTTTGGAAGCAGGCGCTGAGACAAGAATTGGGTCCAGGTAGTTTATTTTGGAGGTGATCCCAGGAACCCCAGTGTGGGAGGGAAAGAAGACAAATTAAAGCCAATAAAAGGCATGTGAATGAATGGGGGATGCTGTGAGCACCAAAGCCTCAATAACTCTGGAGAACCTCTGAGAAACCACACAGAACCTGCTTCGTCCTTCCAGAGGATGGGGGACTGAGGCTCTTGTCCAGACACCTGCTCCTGCCAGGTGAGAGGTGGCCCCGGGAGCATTTGTTCCTCAGCACTTTCAGGTCACACCTTGCTCTGTGGAGCAGGCTGTCAGCCCTCAGGCAGAGAACGGATGGGAACCGAATACCACTGCTCAGAGCTGGGCTCCAAGGACACAGCGTGGGTGCCAACAGCCCCTGGGCCACCCAGGCACACTTATGGTGCATTTTCCTCTTGCGGATTGAGAACACGATGTCATTATTTAATGTTAGCACAGTTTAAGGCCCACCCTTCTAGGCAAAAGCCACTGAGTCCCCAGGATGAGTAAACTAGGGCAGTTTTTTCAGATTCACCCTTGGGAGAGAACCTACAGACTAGACAGTGAATCAGTCACGGAGAACAAACTCTTGGAGAAGCTAAGAAAAACTCTTGGCTCATAAACTCTCACTTGTCTCATAAACGGCCCCAATCCCTCCCTACCATGGCAATGTCAAGTCTAGCCCCTCCCCTAAAAGGTACATGAGGTCTTGTTTTTTTACGAGGAACATGCAAGATCAGGGTCATTTTTAACTTGAAAGAGAGTTTTAACCAGATCAAAAATGTTAAAGTGGAAGAAAGGTGCTTGTTTTAATTATCTATTGCTTCAGGACAAACCGCCCCCCAAAAAAAGTGGCTTAAGTAAAAAATAACTAGTTCTCATGATTGAGTGGGGTGATGAGGTTCAGCTGGACAGTTTTACTCCCTGAGATGTCAGCTGGGTTCTGTGGTCATCTGAAGGTTCATCTTGACTGGACATCCCTGGTGACTTGCTCACACACTGGCACTCGGTGCTGGCTGTTGGCTGGGAGCTCGGCTGGAGACATCAATAGAAGCACTTCAGTTCCTTTCCATTGCCTCACCGCAAGTACTGGGGTTCTCACGACACTGCATCTGAGCTCCAAGAGAGGGAGTCTGTGGAGCTGCAACCTGAAGCCGAGCTCTCCTAAGCCCCAGCCTCAGACATTATACAGCATCACTTCTACTATGTCCCGTTGGGCAAAGCAAGGCTCAGGCTATTCTAGATTCAATGGGAGCGGAAATGAACTCTGCCACTCAATGGGAGACGTGACGAAAATGTCTAGCCATATTTAACCCATCACTGCCTGCTACACTCTGGGTATGACTATTTACAATTCTTCCATGTCCAAATTACACTCACCCCCACTCCCTGAGGCCCTCATAAGTCCTATTCCATTAGGATAGCAGACCCAAGCTAGAGGTCAGGATCTTGTCATCTAAACCAGGTCCAGGTGCATAGGAGGCACTTTGGGTTTCATTGCTTGAGTGTAGCTTCCACACTGTGATTCCTTGAGACTCATAAACTGAAAATACAAATCATCTGCCTACACACACCCAGTATACAATGGAAGATGGAACCAGGATGTCCACAGTGGATACTGTCATTCAAAGGATGGGATGGAAGCTCATGGTTGTCACTGGTCCAAAGCAATTCTGAAATCTAGCTGGGCCTGTTTTACCAATTCTCCCTGCTCTTGGAGAAGGAAATGTGTCTTGATTTCAGCCCAGTTCTTCCCTCTGGGTGTGGGGCTCTGCAGCTATTGACTCTCCCCTTGGAGTCATCCTTCCTTTTCCATAAGAAGTGGCCCATGTTTGTAGCTGAGTAGTTTCCTCAGCCTGCTTCCTCCTAAGAGATCCCTTTTATTTTGGGCTTTCTTTTGGTTGAAGCTGAAAGAGTTCTTTCAAATGAGGGAAGAGATGTTTTATATATGACATTTTAATCTACTCCATAAGATACAAGATATACTCATAAGTCCTCTTGACACAGACATTTCCCTACTTTGGATTTATGTGAATCTGAGTTGGATGTTATAAGACAATGCATTTAAGATCCTTGAAAGCCCATCAGTCTAGCTTAGAGAGTCTAGGGGCACCACTTAAAATCTTTCCCAGTTCTTACAAAGAGTATTCCAGCTGTGCCCTTGGACTGATCTTGATCTCAAATCCACATATTACTGACAGCACCTGGATTTGATATTCTCTCCAGGATTTAATTTATTTTCAGGATACTTTGCTGCCTGGGGAGACTGTCCTGAGCTCTTCTAGGTCCTTTAAATTCGGTGTGAAAATTGAACAGCTGTTTCTCCAATTCTTCTATGTCTTTCTCTCTTCATATGCATCTAAAAGAAGTGAGTTAGGAACTCGAACAATGAAGAAATAGCCTTGGCCAAATCCACAAGTTCATGGGGTACCTTTCCTGTTCTCCACATTACCACTGGCAAAGGTTTTATTCATTGTACTGGTAGGTCCTCTTTTCCCTAGTCCCCAGTAGTGACTTCTTCACTGCCTTCATAGCCTCTGCTAATAGTCTCCTCATTGACCTATAGGTCTTCACCTATCTTCTAATCTCAGAGCCAATACCACGGGTTTAAAATTTTTGTTACAGTTGCACCCCACTTCTGGTAACAATTTCTGTTTCATTATCTACCACTGCATTACAAACCATTTTAAAACACAGTGGCTTAAAACAGCAACAAGCGGAGTAGCTTGGTTTTCCTCTTAGAAAGTGGCCTGGCTTCTCACTGAATGGCAGGGGCTTTCAAGAGGGAGTGTTCTAAGCATATTCAGATGTTTTAAGACCCAGCCTCAGAAATTATGCAGTAATGCTTCCACCACATCCCATGGGTCAAAGGAAGTCTCAGAATGATCCCAAGTTCAAGAAACCACCTTCTAATGAGAGAAACAGCATAGAATTTGGGTCTCTCCACCACAATGCTCATACAGAACCCTCCAAAGCCACTACCACTGCCAGGAATGACCCTGTCCACCAGCTTGAGTCCTTTCTCTCTCTGCATTAGAGATTTTCATGGGAAGCACCAGACTAAAGAATCACTCATTATTGCATCGGCTCTAGCACTATTTCCCCACAGGACCCCAAGCCTTTTCAACTCTGAAAGCCTGTACCATAGATTTCACCACCTATACCCTGCTGCACCTGCTCTTGTTTAGCAAATTCCCTCCCATGACTGTGAGTTTCTGCCCTCTCTTTTTTGCATTCAGTCGACCTCTTACCCCCTGCCCCCACCACTGTCGCAGTGTCTCTTAAAACTGTGCATTACTTACTTAGACTTAGTCCCCTGATAGGCTCTTCTTTCTACTGATTCCTATACACTTATTTATCTCTTTTTCCTCTCTATAATTCTTGGGGGGGAAAAACTCTGAGATTGACCTTGAAAACACAAAACCCTTCACCAGTATTGACGATTTGTCTCCATCAACCAGTTTAGCATTGGAATGACATCCCCAAGGGAGTGTGAAATGGAGTGTATGGAGTGGTGAAACTAAACCATGAGCCTGGGAGCCAGCACTCCGAGGCCTCTTCTCGGCTCTGTGGATCTGTGTGGTCTTGAGGGCCATTCATTTGTGACCCTGGTGCCTCTGTTTCCCAACAGAAGTATAAATATCAATGTCCTTTCCTGCTTCAGGATTTCGTCCTCCAGAAACTAAAATGTTGGACTAAAAATACTTGCTTGAATGTGAAAATGAAACCACAGGAAGTCATATGAATATAAGACAACTGTATTATCTTCTTCTGTGTGGATGTGTGGTGGAGTCCACAAAGCACTGACACATAGGAGAAGACTGGGGTTCTAATCCAGCCTGGAGGTTAATATGCGGCTTTACACAAGTCATTTAGCCTTCTTAGCCTCAATTTTCCATGTGTAAAAACAATACTGGACCAGATTAGCAGTTTTCAACCTTGATGGCACATTAGAGTCATATGAGGAGATTTGTTTAAAATTTCAGTCCCTAGACATCACCACTGCAGACTCAGTAAGTCAGAATTTCTGGGTGTAAGTCCTGAGTGGACTTGGAATTTTAAAAAATTCCTTAAGTGATTTCAGTGTGCAGCCAGGAGTAAAAACCCCTGAATTGGGTTCATAGTTTTAAAACTATTTTTTAATCAAGATTCATTTTTTTAAAATAAAAGTTACATTTAGAGGCCCTGTGTGTGGAGCAAACGCCCATGCAGTTATTGTGTTTGAGCAGGAGAGGGGTCCAAAGTTCTGTCCATGCAGCCACACCCAACCCTGGAAGGGCCCAGGAGACCCCTTCCAGGGGTCAGAGAGTAGACAGCTTCCGAGATCATTTAAAACCGTCAGAGAGTAGACAATTTCCAAGATCATTTAAAGAAATAAATGACTGGTCGGGCGCAGTGGCTCATGCCTATAATCCTAGCCCTTTGGGAGGCCGAGGCAGAGGGATCACTTGAGGTCAGGAGTTCGAGACCAGCCTGGCCAACATGGTGAAACCCCATCTCTACTAAAAATACAAAAATTAGCCAGCATTGGTGTCGCGTGCCTGTAATCCCAGCTACTCGAAAGGCTGAGGCGGGAGAATCGGTGAAACCTAGGAGGTGGAGGTTGCAGTGAGCCAAGATTGTGCCACTGTACTCCAGCCTGGGGGGCCTGGGCGACAGAGCAAGGCTCTGTCAAAAAAAAAAAAAAAAAAAGAACTAAATGACTAAAATCATATGATAATAGTCAACATTTGGAGTGTCATCTGGATCATAAATATCCCCACAAATCTACCTTCTTGAGGAAACCAGTTTCCACCCTATATTGTGTCTGGTGATGGAACCATGGGGCAAACTTGGCTACAGTCAGAAAACTCAGCCAGCTACTGATTTTCATAGGTGCCCTCACCAGTCATGGGGCTTCCCAGGGTCCACTTCTTCCAGAGACTAAGAGAAAAGAGTCCACAGTGCTTCCATTTGTGTGGCAGTGGGCAAGGAATGGTTTCATCAGAAATACCTCCAGAACACTGCAGCTAATGATGCAGAGGGAAGATTATTTGTGTTACACAGGAAGTGCAGGGAATCAATTTTCACATGCAGTGAAGGGGGCATTGTTGTCAAAAAACAGAACCAATCAGGAGGTCCCAGTTCTAGCCCTGAAGTATTTAAAAGGAACTTCCCTATGCTGTACAAGCTCAGGGCAACGGGTAATTCTACATGTCATCTTCACTGAGCCATGGGGTGCCCAGATTAGATGCTGTTTCTGGGTGTGTCTATGAGGTTGTTTCCAGATGAGATCAGTATTCGAATCACTAGACTCTGAAGACTGGCTTCCTCAATGTGGGCGGGCACCATCCAGTAAGTTGAGGGCCTGAGTAGAACAAAAAGGTGGAAGGAGGTTGAATTCCCCCTTTTCTTTCTTCCCGCCTGCTAGAGCTGGGACTCTGGTCTTCTTTCGCCTTGGACTGGCGTGTACACCATTGGCTCCCCTGGTTCTCAGGCCTTTGGACTGCAGCTGGAACCACCCCCCACCCCCGCTTTCCTGGAGCTCCGGCTTGCAGATGGCTAAATGTGTGAGTTCTCAGCCCCTGCAATCACAAGAGCCAATTATATTCTGCTGGTTCTGCTTCTCTGGAGAACTTTGACTAACGCAGTCAGAAAACATAAACGTGGCTGGGCGCGGTAGCTCATGCCAGTAATCCCAGCACTTTGGGAGACTGAGGTGAATGGATCACCTGAGGTCAGGAGTTTGAGCTCAGCCTGTCCAACGTAGCAAAACCCCGTCTCTACAAAAAAATACAAAAATTAGGCAGGCGTGGTGAGTGGATGCTGGTAGTTCCAGCTACTCAGGAGGCTGAGGCAGGAGAATCCCTTGAACCTGGGAGATGGAGGTTGCAGTAAGCCAAGATCACACCACTGCACTCCAGCCTGGACGACAGAGTGAGACTCTGTATCAAAAACAAATAAAAACAAAACAGAAATGTGCCAAATGTGGCCTGGAGAGCACGGGGCCAGAGTCCTCAGAAGAGTGCCAAGTGGCAGGCAGAGGAAAAAGAAGGACCGCACAGAGCCCTTCATCAGATAATAAGAAAAGTCAGCCTCAGTGCCAGCAACCAGGATCCCAACCAGGTGAGGTGATCGAGGCATTCACCTCACGTCTAACTGTAAGCCAAAAAATAAATGTCTAAGCCCCCAACCAACTGAATGGGCCCCTCTTCTCTACAAGGGCATTCCAAAGTTAAAATGAAAAACCAGTTGAGGCCATCATAGGAAGGGGGAGTCAGACATGCCTCATTATACCTGCTTCCCTTTTGCAATTACTGATAGAACAGACTCTTGAAGTCTGATAAGAAACACTGACAATCTATTCTCCCTGCTACCTGGAGATTTCATCTATGTGATAAAACCTTGGTCTCCACAACCCCTTAGAATAACCCAGACGTTCCTTCTCATTGATAATAATTCTTTCAGCCAATTGCCAATCAGAAAAACTTTGAATTCACCTATGACTTGGAAACCCCCACTTCCAGTTGTTCCACCTTTGCAGGCTGAACCAGGGTACATGATTGATGTCTCATGTCTCCCTAAAATGTATAAAACCAAGCTGTGCCCCTAACACCTCGGGCACACATTCTCAGGACCTCCTGAGGGCTGGCTCATAGGCCATTGGTCACTCATACTTGACTCAGAATAAATCTCTTCAAATATTTTATACAGTTTGACTCTTTGTTAACATAACCTTTAAGTAACCACCAAAAAAACTCAGTGATCAACATAAAAAATATTCTAACGCAATATTTTTGAAAAGTCTAAATTAATACAAACAATTTCATGATAAACAGCATCAACAACATATGAAAATTTTAAATAAAGGATCCATATTCCTGATTTTTAATATTGCCACAGCCTCCAGCATAGCTCAGCTTGGTACTAACAGGGTCCTTTGGAGAAAAGCAAAGAAAGCTTCATTGAGTCTCCTACAAATGACAGTTCCACTGACAGTAAACAAAACTATGTCATCATGTCATCAGCAGCCCATCATCATCCTATTTGTTATGATGACTGAGGACACACCAAGGGCCAGGAATTATACAAGCATTATCTGCATTTAATTTTCACAGCCATTCTGAGAGGTATAAGTTTATTATCATTTTACTGATGAAGAAACTGAGGCCTCAAGACAAATCCTTTATCCAGGTGAAAGAAGAAAATGTGGGCCCCCAAGAAAACCATCTGCAGAGCCCAGCAAGGGAGGAAGGCTCTAAGCCAGACAAGAACAGAGGCATCCTGGCCAAGGTTCTCCCTGCCTCCTCAGCCAGGAGTAACTGGACTTTAATACTGAGGCCCACTGCATAGTCTCAATCATGGCCAGGGGTAATTGGGATTGTTAGCTTTACAGAAAAGAGGATACAATGTTACACTATATTATGCACTTAGTCAAGTCATTTCAGCTTTGCAAGTCAGTTTGTTCTGCTGTAAAACAGAAGGACCTAATTCCAGAATCACCTACTTCTTAAGTTGCAGCTAGGTAACAACCTGTGCTTTTCCCAAGAAAGGAAGTAATTGCCCCAAGGCTGAGGGGAGAGGAATCTTTCAGTTTTGCTCTCAGTCTTTTGTAAATTTTTTTTTTTTTTTTTTTTTGAGACAGAGTCTTGCTCTGTCGCCCAGGCTGGAGTGCAGTGGTGCGATCTTGGCTCACTGCAAACTCCGCCTCCTGGGTTCACGCCATTCTCCTGCCTCAGCCTCCCGAGAGGCTGGGACTACAGGTGCCCGCCACCACGCCCGGCTAATATTTTGTATTTTTGGTAGAGACAGCATTTCACCATGTTAGCCAGGATGGTCTCAATCTCTTGACCTCGTGATCCGCCCGCCTCAGCCTCCCATAGTGCTGGGATTACAGGCGTGAGCCACTGCACCCAGCCAGTCTTTTGTAACTTAAGGGGCCATCTTTACAAATTTGTCTTGACCGTCACATCCTCGATTCTGGTGGGCAGATCAAGTAGTTAACCCCCTTGCTGAATGTTGCTAAAAGAGGATGATTGTCTGACTCAAGTTTCTGCTCAATAGGTTTAAGTAAAGCTGCAAAGCACAGCACAGCTGTGCACACCCCCAACTCTGTTCATCCAGAGACCTGAAGATAGAAGGTGCAGTAATGACAGGGAAAGCCACAGAGGCCTGTGTTGGGCCAAGGGGTCCCTCATTCAACAGGTGAATAGATAAATAAACTGTGCTATGTTCACACAATGAAATACTATACTGCACACAAAAAGAATAAACTAGTAATACCTGGCTGAATGTTGAGTGGAAGAAACCAGGAACATGAGAATATATCCTGCATGTTTCCATTTATGTGAAGTACAGAATAGTGGTTATCTCTGAGAAGTTGAGCCTTGACTGGAGAGGAACCCCAGAGAGCCTCTTTTGGGTGCTAGAAATATCCATAGCTTGAGCTAGGTGGCTATATGGGTATAGGCAGATATCCAGTTCATTGACCTGTATGTTTCAGATTTGGTCACTTCATTACAAGTAGGTAATTCTTCAACTAAAAATAATAAAAGATGCTTCTTGGCCAGGCGCAGTGGCTCATGCCTGTAATCCCAACCCTTTGGGAGGCCAAGGTGCGCGGATCACAAGGTCAAGAGATTGAGACCATCCTGGCCAAGATGGTGAAACCCCGTTTCTACTAAAAATACAAAAATTAGCCGAGCCTGGTGGTGCGTGCCTGTAGTCCCAGCTACTCGGGAAGCTGAGGCAGGAGAATCGCTTGAATACGGGAGGCGTAGGTTGCAGTGAGCCGAGATTGGGCCACTGCACTCCAGCCTGGGGACAGAGCGAGAGTCCGTCTCAAAAAAAAAAAAAAAAAAAAAAAAGGTGCTTCTTCCCTGTTCCACTGCCTTTAGTGGCTCCCGTCACCTTCAGGAGAAAGGCCATGTTCTTTAGTGTGGCACAAAGGCTCTTGTTCATGACTTCCAGTCCTCTGCCATCCTCAACATTCTCATTCTGTAAATACCAAACTCCTCAACATCCCAGACAAGCTGTGCCCATTGTGTCTGTGTGTCTTCACATGCTCGTCCTTCTGCCTGGAGTTAATCTCCCTTCTCTTTTCTGCCCTGGGAATTCTCTGGCATCCTCAGGGCTCAGTTTGACGGTCACCTCCTCCTTGAAGCCCCCCCTGATCTTCCAGGGAGGAGAAGTCACTCCTCCCATGTGCGCCCACAGGTCTTCACACACCTGTATTTGCTGTATTAGTTTTCTGGGGTAGCCATAACAAATTACCACAAAACAAGAGTGGTGGCTTAAAGCAAGAGAAGTTTATTCTCTCACAGTTCAGGAGGCCAGAAGTTCAAAATCAAGAAGTCAGCAGTAGCCTGCTCCCTCTGGAGGCAACAGAGGAGAAACCCACGTCATTCTCTTCCGGTATTCAGCTTCCGGTATTCATTCAGCTTCCGGTATTCATTCAGCTTCCGGTATTCAGCTTCCCGTATTCAGCTCCCGGTATTGGAGTATTCCTTGGTGTTCCTTAGCATTCCTTGACTTGCAGACATCTTCCCAGTCTCCCTTCCATCTTCACATGGGCTTCTCAGCTGTGTGGTCCCTGTATGTCCTGTCTCTTTATTAGGCCACCCTCAGTGAATTTAGAATTCACTCTAACAAAGTATGATCTCACGTTGATCCTTAACGCATGACATCTGCAAAGATCTATTTCCACGTAAGGTTTCATCTTGAGCTTCTGGTGGATATGAATTTGGGGAGACACTCTTCAGCCCAGTACAAACCTCTTTCATCGCAATTTCCATTTGTGATTATTGTCCATCTGTTTCAGGTGACAGTGAGTGGCCTCCCTGAGAGCAGGACTGTGCCATCCTCATGCTGTGTCCCCAGTGACTAGCTCAGTCCTCCGCAGACAGGAAGCTCCAAGCAAACGTCTAGTAAATAAGTGAATGAATGAGTGATCAGAATGCACTCTTCTTTGTTGGTGCCATCCCTTAAGCCCTTCTAAGTGTGACTTGTTTTGACTCAATGGCAAGTCCATTGACTTAAATACCTTGACCAGTTCTCTCATCCTAAAGTGTCTGGGAGTGTACAAAAGCAAAAAGAGAACACCAAGTTGCTTAGTGGCTCTTCTGTTTGTTTTACTTTAGTTGGGTCCCAGAAACTCGAAAAGCCAACAGCCAGGGTGATTTAGCAAGTCCTGGGAACTTCAAGCCTCTGCCACTGAGCAGTATGATAGGAAATGACCAAATCTGTGCTTTTCTGTGTGGGTGGAGAAAGCCTGCTGTGAACATTTTCCAGGAGGGGAGAAGCTGGGGGACTTTTTATGAGTGTTTGTTCCAGCTGTTGGTTGGTGATTTGGTTCCTGGAGCAGCTGGAAGCAGGCAGCAAAGGCCTCAGAATTCCAACCTGCTTTGAAATTACCAAGAAATTATGTGGCCTACAAATTGGGTAATCCCTGTAAAACCCAGTCCCATTAGTAGGAATACCCCACCTGTGTTCCTAGGGAATCCAGCTTGCACATACTCTCAAGGTCTCTGGGTTTTTCCTGGGAGCCTGCAGGATGTTAATCCGGGGTCGCCAGCCAGGCCTCTTGTGTTTACCGGTGACTCCGGTCACCTCACTGATGCCAATTTCCTGCCCAAAGCCTGTCTCCCGGCAAGCTAAGAAGCCCTTGGACAAAAACAAGAAGATTCTTCTTCCTCTGGCCTCATGTGTCCTCCAGCATTCCGGGCTCTGTCCATCTTGTTAGTCCCCAGCATGTGGTCCCACCTCCTGGATGAAGGTGGTTTCTGGGGAAAGAGAGGAAGTGGCAGGGAGGCAATTTCCTTAGAAGCAAGAGACACAGCAGCTGTGTAGCTGTTTCCGTTCACGTCCTAAAGGTGTGAATTTGCTCACATGGCCATACCTGGCTTCAAGGGAGGCTGTAGGTGGATGACCAGAGACCTGATTAGAACTTGGGGGGACTTTATTAAACAAATAAAGAGGGAGAGAAAGGTACTAGGAGGCAGCTAGCTCTGGTCTACAGCAGACCTGCCTGCCTAGCAGTGGGCTTTTGTGAAGACTGGACACATGCTCACTGAGTGAGGACAGGAAGCACCCACTGCAATCTTGAACTCCTGCCTCTGTCTGGCTCTTGGAAGGGGAGGAGAACATCTGTGTCCAGTTCCCTTGTAGGAGCTACCAAAGAAATGTTCAAAATTAGGTCAGAGCAGGTGACCTTATGCACTGTTGGAGGGTTACAGTTTGCAATGAACTATTCAATTTGGAAAGAGGTATCAAAAATTTTAAATGTAGAAATGATTTAATCTAACAATTAGATTTTGAAGAATTTATTCTATAATTATATTCCCACAAGAGGCAAAGATATATCTTTAAAAATGCTCAATGTAGCATTATTTGTAATAGCAAAATTCTAGAAATAAAGTGTCCACCAATAGGGAACTGTTTAATAAATTCTGGTATATTCATAGAGTGGAATACTATATACCCATCAAAAAGAATAAATCACATCAGTGAATGCTGATGTAGAGCAATCATCAATATATATATACATTTTTTTAATTAAGAAGCCAGATAAACAGGAGATGACATAGTATATTTCCATGCATCCATGGGTAAGCAGAGGGGGATAAGCTTGTTTGCACCCTTGTGGGCTGTTTATAAGGTCACACAACAAACTGACAACTACTGCTGGGCTCCAGGTGGAGACACAGAGACTGGGAGTGGGAGAGAACTCCTTCCACCATCTACTCTTTGTGTATGTCGATTTGAATACCCATGTGCATCCTTTACTAATTTTAATTTTAAAAACCAGACAAATAAATAAATAGGTAAGTAAGTAGGCTTTAAAGATTCCTGTGGGTGAAAGCTCACTGGTGGGTGGACTTATACTGTCACCCACTGGTCTCCACCAGAGCTTGCCCACAGCCTGGCCAGACCTTCACCAGGACTGACACTCAGCTCTGGAAATCATCTCAGGGATTCTCCTGTTTACGAAACCTGAATTCAGCAGCCACCCAGCAGAAACATCCCAGATCTTTTGGCCAGTTAGTTTCCCAGCAGGCGCTCTACTGCTACACGGTTTTAATTGCAGTGTTTACTGGGTCTCCACAGTCTAATTAGATCTGTTCTGTCCACAAAGCAGATATTTCAAAGACTTCCCAGGACAAAAGCCACCCTAGACAGTGGGATTCTACACTTGCAAAAAAACAACGTCAACAACAAAAACAAACCAAGAGACACAAAAACATCAAAAGTAAAGCAGCAAAATGTGTGTATTTGGAATTATAGGCACCAAGGTGCTCATGTGACTTGGTTTCAACTGGTAGGATAGTATTGTCTGTTTTCTCCTTTTCTCTGACTATGTGTAGTTTTTAATTTTTCTGAAGTGAACCAAAAAAACAAAGAAGTTTGTTTTTTAACTGCTTTGTTGAGATACAATGTAATACCTTATAACTGATTTATTTAAAGAGTACAATTCAATGATTTTTAGTATATTCAGAGATAATGTGCAACCATCACCATCATTGATTTTAAAACATTTCATCAGCTCAAAAGAAACCCTGTGTCTCTAGCAATCACCATCAATTTCCCCCAAATTCTAGGCAACCACAAATCTACTTTCAGTGTCTAGGCATTTGCCTGTTCTGGACATTTCATATCACTGGAGTCAAGCAATGTGTGGTCTCTGTGTCTGGCTTCCTTCAAGAAGCATCATGTTTTCAAAGTTCATACATGTGTCAGAACTTCATTCCTTTTTATCACTGCACAATATTCCCTTAAATTAAATATTCCATTTTTTTATTTAAAAATTTTTTAATTTGAGACAGAGTTTCACACTGTTACCCAAGCTGGAGTGCAGTGGTATGATCTCTGCTCACTGCAGCCTCGAGTCTCGGGCTCAAGGTTTCCCCCCACCTCCGCCTCCCAAGTAGCTGGGACTACAGGTGCATACCACCATGCCTGTCTAATTTTTGTGTTTTTTGCAGAGACAGAGTCCCACTCTGTTGCCCAGGCTGGCTTCAAACATATGGCCTCAACTAATCCTCCTGCCTCAGCCTCCCAAAGTGCTGGGATTACAGGTGTGAGCCTAATTTCAAAATTTTAACAGCTACCATAAAAGCAGCAATGAAATGTGATGTGACTGCCCAGCTGCTCTCAGCCTCTGGAAACATTGCACGACTGTTTCCCAGATCCTTTCTCTGCTTGTGGGGACCGAAGCCCATCTGGGACCCTCCCAGCCCTCCCCTCTTTATGAGGTTTTGGGGACAGAAGTTCACTTCTTAGCTTCCTGCTGTTTTTAGTCCAGGCAACTCAAGGGACCAGATGGGGAAATAATTCAGCTTGTAGAGAAAATATTTTTAACTAAAAATTGGACATTTAGAGGTCTTTCTCTCCACTGGACCTGCCCCATGCTGTAGCTGCCAATCTGCATGAAGGAAGGAGGGGGATAAACATGAGCCCAATGCAATCATTGGTTTGTTCAGCAGTGATTGTAACTGCAGTTGGGGAACGTTAGGAGAATTGAAAGAGCAAAATCGTGTGCCAGGGCCAAATGGAAGAAGAGCTTGCTAAGCCTTAGCTCCCCTTTTTCTCTTTGAACTCCTGTGCTATTTGTTATCCAAGGAACACCTAGGAACTCAAGAACACTAAGGAAAATTCTGGGCAAAACATATCCAGTCCTCAACTTTACTATGGGTATCAGGAAGGCAAGAACCAAGCTTTCCTCATCTCTGTAGAGCAGACCTGGTACATCAATTGGAACATGCTGAATGAACACAACAATGAATGAATGTGGAAACACCTGGAGGGTAGAGACTAGGCTGTCATCTCTCTGACCCCAAGGCCTTGCACACAGTAGGTGCTCCACTGGTTCTAGTTCATAACTTGACAATAACACCATGATCATTTCTCTTCAAGAGCTTTGAACTTTTCCCCTCTTAGTTGGATTTTTTTTCTAAAACCCTTTACTTTTTAAAGGATAGTGTGGTAATACAAGCCAACCCTGAACTATCTGTTTAATCTTCTTTCCCCTAAATATTAGCTCAGTGGGAAAAGGAGTCTAACCTCTCTGTATATTTTTCTCTGTGTATACTTTTGGCCAGAAGGCTGGAAAAACCAGGACTAAAGCACGGTGCTTAGAGATTCTGAGAAAAGATGGGGAGCAAAGGCCGGCCAGAGGCAGGAAGAGGGGTGTCAGGAGGGCAAGAACAGATGGGACCCATCTCCCCTGGAAGGGCTGTGTCTGAGGGTTTGCTCGTCTTATGTGTGAGCAATTCTCCATGACAAGCCACTTGCACCTCTGCGACCCGACCCGAGGGGAGGACAGTTTCCAGCTGTCGCCAGTGCTCAGACCCACCTGAGCCCGCTGGGAGTGCCCTTCACAGAGCTCAGAAAACGCACAGCGGGCACCTTTGTGGTGCGCCCCTGCTCACAGTGCCATGTGGGCGCCAAGTGAGGCTGGGTGGTAGTGATGGTTGTACAACCCGCTCAATTTACTAAAAGTCGATGAATGGCACATTTAGCCTGGCTGGGTTTTATAGCCTATAAATTATAGCTCAACAAAGCTGTTAAAAAATAAAACATGCTCTTTGGAAAAATTATATATACATATATACAAATATATATGTGTGTCTGGACACATACACGTACACACATATGCATGTCATATCTATATAGACAAATATATACATACATATATGGGTATGCAATTGAGGTTATAAAGAAGAAAGGCCCTTTCTAATGGAAGAGTCCCAGGTTGCCAGGCAGGGGACCTGATGAGTGGGCAGGGCCCTCTTCCCTCTCTGGACCACGTCTGTGAAGCTCTCCCTTTCTCTCTAGAATCATTTCTCAGCGCGGCAGCCAGGGTAACCTTTTGAAAACATCAGCCCTCTGGTCCAAAACCCTACAATGGCTTCCCTCTGTCTGCGTAGAAGCCGAAGCGCTTACGATGATCTTTACCAATCCTTACAAGGCTCTGGACTACAGCTTTCTGTGATGATGAAGTGTTCTAGACCTGGGCTAGCAGCCACCAGCCACTGGTGACTCTCGAGCACCTGCAATCCAGCTGGTTGATGGAGGAGCCGATTTTTAGCTTGACTTTCTTTTGATTAAACTGAAACGTAAGGAGCCGCAGGAGGCTCCTGGCTACCGAATCGCCCAGCGCAGCCCCAGACCACCTGCCCCTTCCCACCGCACTCCACCACTACTTCAACCTCCTCTCCCACTATCTACCCCTACTGCTGCTTTTTTCGGCCCCAGGCACAGTCCTGCCCCAGGGCCTTGGCATCAGCTGTCCCCTTGGCCTGAAGCACCCTTTCCTAGGCACACACCTGGCTTGCTCACTCCCATCCTTCAGGTCTTTGCCCAGCGTCACCTTCTCCCTGAGGCCTACTTTGGCCCCTGTCTGAAGCCACTCCCTTCCCCGTTCTGTGTCCTGTGTCCCAGCACAGCTCACCGGGTTCACTGGCCAGCTGTCCGGGAACCACTCTCTGTCTCCTGCCTCCAGAACCCAAGCTCCGTGAAGAAAATGGGCTGCTGCCTGCTTCGTGCAGTGGTGCTTCCTGAGCTCCTAGAACAGTGCTTGGACATGGCAGGGGCTCCACAAACATTTGTTGAATAAAAAATTTGAACAGACTTCTCGTATGGTTTTGCTGGTGGAGAAGGACTGTCTGATCATTGAACTTGCCACATCAAACATTCTTTTGCTCTTTCTGCCTCCCAGGATCCCAGATCCCCTAATTCTGTCAGGTCCAAGGACATGGGAATCTTGGGACTGAAATGGCAAGTGGCCCACCCCCAGGTGTCCCGGCTCCACTCACACTGTTGACCTGGCTCTAACAGGCTGTCGGGAGAAGGGGCTCTGTCTGGACAGGCAAGGTCCCCCTTGGGTGGCTGAGCCCTGCAGACCTCTTCCCCTTCCCCAGCCCCCCAGCATCTATGTTTCCTGAACACTGCTGCCCTTCTGCCTTGAGTGGAGAGGCTGGGATGGCGCATGTGCTGTGCGGGACCTTCCGACCCACTTCAGTCCTCACGGCTCCAGGTCTGCGAGAGAAGGCTGGCTCTTTAGTGGGGCCATAAGTTTGAATTCCCAGAAACACCCGCACACACCAGGGAAATGAGAACTCATTTCCCTCCTGGACCACCCCCAGTCGTGTGTTTCCTGGGCAGGGGATTGGTCTATTTTTCTCCTGGAAAATTCACCCTTAGAAACTCTCCGTGGACCTGAATGCCCCCGAACTGTAGCTGCACCCCTAGACTGTGTCCCCTCTAGAAATTCTGTTTTGCTTTTCTTCTGCTCCAGAGCACTTTGTTTCTGTGACAATACTCAGATTCCCTGAGATGTTGGGGAGGCTGTTTGTTTCCTGGTTGATAGATTCCCTTATCCCGAGCTCACTGTGGCTCGGACACCAATTTATAAATACAAGGCCGCTTTCCTCGCTCAAGAAGTGCGTTAGTCCTGCGGCCAAACGACATCTTTAAATGGTAGCGAGGCATTTAGATTTCTCTTCTGCCCAGCTGACAGTAGGTTTACAGTTTATAATCTGGCCTTTGTAAAAGCATTTGTCAGCCTGGATATTTCATTTTTAAGCCCGACCACCCATGCAGAGGGCCAGGCAGGAAGCGGCCCTTCGTCTGCACCCAGTCAGCTTAGAGGTTGGCCGCAGAATCCCAGGATCCAGTCACAAAGGGGGACTTTTTTGGCATTATCTACTTCGCATCTCTGCAGCGAAAGCAGCCCTTGTTTATACGAAGCTATTCCTGAATGCTAAATTTGGAAATTCCACGTATTCCTCTAATCCGCCAGGCCCGGAGCCGGACGGGGCCGCCTCTGAGAAGCCTCACCACTTTCCTGGCGTTCCTCAGGTCTCCAGTTGAACCTCCCAGCGTGACAGGGGAGGCTTTCAGGGCTGGGGACCCAGTAGTGAGGCCCCAGCCAGCACCCAACCCAGCCGCTTCTCCCGTCAGCCAAAGAGGCGCTCTGTAGCCAGGCCGGCGGTTTTATTTAAGTGTCTGTGTACAAATGTGTACAATATGGCTCCCTCTGGGCCAGCCCGGCCTGATCTCTGGCAGAATCTCAGGGCTCTGGTCCATAGGAGGGGGCCCAGCAGGAGGAGGTGGAGGCTGGGCAAGAAAGCATTAATTGATAAGGAATCTCCGGAGCCCAAGCTGGCACGATGGCAGGAATGCAGAATCATAAGTCACACTCAGGTTTTATCTACGCTGCTTGAAGATGTTTTCAAGGGAGGAAATCACACCGTTTCAGGCCACAGATAAAGGGGATAGTCAGAGATGGTTCATTTACAGAGCATCCCCCAGCCTCCTCCACCTGGGCAAAAACGCTGGAATTTGGCCCCCAGCCTTCCCGCTGCCGTTGCAACCTCTTATCACATACCGGCGGCCTCCCCGAGGCCCAGCCTCTCTCTTCCACACCTTCTGATGCTCTGCTCCCACCCTGCTCCCGCCTCCTCTCCACCGCCTTCCCGTCACGGCTCACGCCGAGGGTGGTCTGAACTCTCCCTGACATGGTCACCTTCAGGGAGGCAAGGACCAGCTGGCTGATGGAGACAGACACGAATGAGACCGAGGCACAGCTTCCCAAGGCACTTCCTGACTTTTTATCTTCACACTTTTTCTTGCCCTGGAGCTGGGGTTACCTTTCTGTCCCCTAAAACTGGGCACTTCCCAGGCTCCAGGACTACCCAAGACAGAAGGAGAAAACTGATTGTCAGTTAGGATCATGTGCCACATGCCAGAGGTACATGCTCGTTCACTTCTTCCTGTCCCAGGTGGGGTTTTTCCCAGGCAGAGCCTGAGACAAGGATTCTAGCACAAATAGATTATCTGGAAGGCAGTCCTGGAAAACGCAAGTCAGGAAGCTCGTGCAAGTGACACAGGGAAGGAAGAAGGCAATACAGGGGGTCGCAGTGAGCAAGTTACCCCTGGGGGGTCCCTAGAGCACTGTCTTGGGACGCCCCATGGAACAGCGTAGGGCATCCTCCTGGGATCGTTCACCTAAGGGGACAGGAGCTGGGGATGTGACCCACTCATTCCATTACCACTGGCTGAGGGACCCTCCCTGCAGCATTATTTCGCCGACACTGCCATCCTGCCATGGGCAGGGCTAGAGCTAGTTCCTGTAGCCAGATGGAGCTCAGGCAAAGGAACACAGGTGCAGGCAGTTGGAAGCCAGTTTGGCATTTGCTAAAAGTTAAAGATGAGGGATACGGGTCAGGCGCACACAGCCTGAGATCACTCAACTAGAAAGGAATGGAGACAGAACCCAAGCCTAGGTGGTCTTACATCCTTACCCATCACACCGCTGCCTTATCCATCAAGCGTGAAACCTGGCTTGTTTGGCAGAGTGCCCTCTCCCCAAACCAGGCTTTGGTTTCTGTTCATGCCTTATTAATTCAAATAAATGCCCCAGTTTCTTATAAGAGAAGCATATTTTATTTGGATAGATTTCTCATGCACCATGTTGCAAATACTCCAGCTTCAAAGGCTAATGCTACTCTTAAAGTCTTCCTAACCAAATTCTGTTAGGAACATCCATGCTATAACCAGATCCAACAGAAGTTTATGCCAAAACTTATCCTCTAATAAATTAAGACTAATTTATAGCAGAGCTGTGGAGATTGATTTTTACTCAATGACTACATGGACATTGGGTTGGGCTGAGCCTTTTGTCATGGAGATGTGTGTGGAGTAACTCCTGGTCTCCTAGAATACAGATGGCCGAATGCAGTTTTTTTCTCCAAGGAAAGACAACCTAACCTAGAATAGGGATAAAATCTAGTAATGCCACCAATAATGATATTAAAAATCTGGGGGTGAGGGTACTTCTATAGGGACGGATATGAAAATTGTTCAAACTCATTTATCCAAATGAATAGGATGGTGTTACTCTACTATTTGTTTTGTTTTATTTTCTTTTGTTTTGTTTGTTTGTTTGTTTGAGACAGAGTCTCGCCCTGTCACCGAGGCTGGAGTGTAGTGACGTGATCTCGGCTCACTGCAGGCTCCGCCTCCCGGGTTCACACCATTCTCCTGCCTCAGCCTCCCGAGTAGCTGGGACTAAAGGCACCCTCCACCACGCCCAGCTAATTTTTTTGTATTTTTAGTAGAGATGGGGTTTCACTGTGTTAGCCAGGATGGTCTCAATCTCTTGACCTCACGATCCGCCTCCCTCGGCCTCCCAAAGTGCTGGGATTACAGGCATGAGCCACCACGCCCAGCCTCTACTATTTGTTTTTAACAGTGTAAAATTACTTAAAATTTTTCAAAAGACATAAAATTCTTCTTAATCTGAGGATCAATTTAGCTCATAATGTTAATTATTATCCTCACACTGTTTGATGTTCTAAAAGCTCTGTAAGGATGGCTGCATTCCCAGGATCATTTGTTGACAATGCTCATATGAACCAAGATACTGATTCTGCTGAATGAATGTGACATAGACCTGTCATGTCGCCCAGATATTTTTGTATAGTTATTTCTCAATTTTTTTATTTAACAGCAATTCTTCATATGAAGTCTTATATGGAACATCCATATGTGAAGTAAATATACATGAAGTGGTTTTGATATAAATAGGGTAAGGAGTTCTGGTTGAAATCTATATTTTTGGCCAGGTATGGTGGCTCACGCCTGTAATCCCAGCACTTTGGGAGGCCGAGGCGGGCAGATCATGAGGTCAGGAGATCGAAATCATCCTAGCTAACACGGTGAAACCCTGTCTTCACTAAAAATACAAAAAATTAGCCGGGCTTGGTGGCAGGTGCCTGTAGTCCCACCTACTCAGGAGGCTGAGGCAGGAGAATGGTATGAACCTGGGAGGCGGAGCTTGCAGTGAGCCGAGATTGTGCCACTGCACTCCAGCCTGGGCGACAGAGCAAGACTCCGTCTCAAAAAAAAAAAAAAAACTATATTTTCACACACCCCCAAGGTATTTGCTCAGACACCTCCATGCAACCACAAGGACTGAATAAAAGAGAATAAAAATCAGAAATTAAGGCTAAGTTCTATACCTGACATATGGGAAAAGCAAGGCCAAGTGATGGTAAGTCATTTGAGTAACACTGCAGAGAAAGTCTGCAGGCAAACCCAAACTAGGATTCAACTCTCTTAACTTTGTGCTACCCTCTAGAGCCATGGATAACGCAGGGTATTCAGTAGAGCTCCCAGAAGGGTCACACCTTAACAGTAGGGCTTAATTGGCCCTAGAGTAAAGGACCTTCCCTTTAACAAACACTTAAGCCTCAAAAGGATCAAGTAACTTGACTGCCTGCCATGATAAACATCAATTCTCTTTCAAGGAAAACTACTGAGTCCAAAAATTCAAAAACAAGCATTTGTAATGCCTGGCATCCAATAAAAAATTACTAGACATTTGAAAAGCAGAAAACATGACCCATACCAGGAAAAAAAATCAGTCAAAAGAAACAGAGTTCAAAGTGACAAATGATGGAATCAGCATGGGAATACTTTAAGCAGCTTTGATAGATATGCCAAGGATTTAGATGAAAATATGAGCATAATGAAGAAACAATTGGAAGATATTTAAAAAAGAACCAAATGAGATGTTCAGAGCTGAAAATACTATATCTAAAATAAAAAATTCACCAGGTGGCTTTTACAGAAGATTAATCATTGCAAAATAACAAATCAGTGAACTTGTAAGCAGAGCTATGAAAACAATATAAACTGAAACAGCTTCATGGGGCAACATCAAAAAGTCTAATACGCTCGTAATTGGAGTTCCAGAAGAAGACAGACAGAGAGAAAAGGATAAAAAAATGCTTGAAGAAATGATAGGCAAAATTTTTCCAAATTTTATTAAAGCTATAAACCTACTGATCCAAGGAGCTCAATAAAATCCAAGCATACAATGTGGTAGGCACATTATAATTAAATTGCTCAAAAACAGTGACCAAAAGTAAAATTTTAAAGCTGGAGGAAAAAGAACACATTGAATCTAGAAGAACAAAAATAAGAATCCCCACACATTTCCTATCAGAAAAAAATACAAGCCAGAAGGCAACACACCAATATATAAACTGTTGAAAGAAAAAAAATTATCAGTCTAGAATTCTATGTCTAGCGTAAATCTCTTCCTTAAGGAAGGCAAAATGAAGATTTTTTTTTCAAACAAATGAAAGTTGAGAGAATTTATCACCAATGGACTTGAACTACTGTACAAGAAATGTCCAAGGAAATTCTTCAGGTAGAAGAAAAATTATAGTATGTGGAAGTGTGGGAACAAAAACAAGGGTACCAGAAATGGTAAACACATGAGTAAATATGAGATATTTTATCTTGCTTTTGAAAAAGTTAAAAGACAGTTGACTAGTTAAAAACATAACAATAAGCCTGTAGTCCTAGCTACTCAGGACACTGAGGCAGGAAGATCACTTGAGTCCAGGAGTTCAAGATTACATTGAGCTATGATTGTGCCACTACACTCCAGCCTGGGTGACGGAATAACACCCTGTCTCTAAAAAACAAAATAAAACAAAAACAACAAGAGGATTTTAAAACATGCAGGTGTAATAGTAAAAAAAACACAGGGCAGTGAATGGAAATATGCTGTTGTAATGTCCTTACACTATATGTGAAGTGACATAATATCATTTGAATGCAAACTATCTTGAGTTAAATATTCACATAGTAAACCCCAGAGCAACCACTACAAGTGTAAAGCACAGAAAAATAACTAGTAAGTCAAGAATGGAGATAAAATAAAATACAAAAAAAGTCAATCCAAAATAAGGAAGGAAAAAAGAACAGACAGAACAAATAAATGTATGTTTGGCAACTAATTTCAGTTATAACTTAAGTATAAAACATACATACAAGGATAACTGCATGAGACTGTCTGGTCAGCTAATTTGATATCCTCTTTAGTGCTCTTTTAAGAGTGCCTTACTCTTTTTCCCTAGGTCCTCAGGCTCCTGGCCCACACCCTTGGAGTCTGGAAGTAACAGCACCTGTTAGTCATGAGCACACCTCATGCCCACCATTCTCCAATAACAGAAACTAGGGCTTCTTGAGAAAATGGATGATTCCAGGACCAGGACAGGAAATATATCAAATGAGCTTGGAGTACCTTATGGTGCCAGGAAGTAAGGAAGTGCCTCTCTCTCTCCCCCCGCACCCCCCCCTACACACACATACACCCAAAAAGATGGAAGTGTGTCAAAGGAACACAGGAGCCAAATGAAAGAGCTCTCAATGGTCAAAGACAGAACTATCTTAGCAACAAAATAAACAAAGTATTGGATTATAACCCAAAGTGTAAAACAAATATCCATGGGTTTATAGAGATATAAATAAATGATTGAATAAGTAAATGAGGGAGAAAAGACAAATCTCCTATGCAGAAGAATATAGTTCACACAGACACTACACCTGAAGGAGGAGGAACGTCACTGCCCACTCTTTAAGTGTAGGCTGTGTATAGTCACTCACTTTCAGGAAGTAAAGGATGAAAGGGGAAAAAACAGAGTAATTCTACAGTGGAGAAACCTGGCAAACACCATCTTGGCCAGCCAGGTGATCAAGATTAATACCAACAGGGCAAGTCATGTAGATAGTTGATGCACCCTTGAAATAATGAGGCAGTTTATCTCTGGGGTCTTCCTAAAAAAAATTATATATATATTTTATATATATTATAATATACATTAATTCTATTATATATAGAATATATATATTCTATATATTATATATCATATATTATGTATTATATATATTTATATATTATATATAAAATATTTTATATATATAATTATATATTAGGTATTATATAAAAATTATATATTATATATAATTAATATAAAAATTATATATATTATATAAAATTATATATAATATAAAAAATTATATAAAATTACATATAATATAAAAATTATATATTATATATAATTATATATAATATAAAAATTATATATATTATATATAATTATATATAATATAAAAATTATATATTATATACAATACAAAAAATTATATATATTATATACAATATAAAAAATTATATATTGTATATAATATAAAAATTATATATTGTATGTAATATAAAAATTATATATATCTAATATAAAAAATTATATATCATATAAACAATTATATATAATATATAATATAAAAAATTACATAAATTATATAATATAAAAAATTACATAAATTATATAATATAAAAAATTACATAAATTATATAATATAAAAAATTATATATAATATATAATATAAAAATTATATATTATATATAATATAAAAATTATATATTATATATAATATAAAAATTATATATAATATATAAAAATTATATATAATATATAATATAAAAATTGTATATAATATATAATATAAAAATTATATATAATATATAATATAAAAATTATATATAATATATATAATATAAAAATTATATATTATATATAATATAAAAATTATATTATATAATATAAAATTATATATAATATATAATATAAAAATTATATATTATATATAATATATAAATTATATATAATATATAATTTTTATATTATATATAATATAAAAATTATATATTATATATTATATATAAATTATATATTATATATAAATTATACATATTATATATAATACATATTCTATTATATGTAGAATATATATATCATATATAATATATTCTATAATGTATAGAATATATATATTATAGAATATATATAGATAGATAGATAGATTTTCATCTGTGTTTCAGGTTGCACTCACTCCCCTGGCTTGGGGAATGTTTTCCACATTCTGGCCCTTTAGCTCCGAGGCCAACTTTGTAGCCATTGAATCTGTGCTTTCTTGGCTGTCATCAGTTTGTTTTAAAATGTTTTGGCTACCAGATCTTCCCTGTCTGCAAAAGAAATAAGACAATACTAAATATAATACAATACAATATAATACAATACAATACAATAAAAAGTAAATCTCTGAACTCTTCTGATTCTCCCGTCTTTGTCCAGTATTTGATCTGCTGCCTCTCTCTAGTGGGTGTCTCAGGGTGGGTTCCCCTGGAGGCAGAGGCTGAGCCAAGGACTTGAGCTCACATAATTCCTTTGGGAGGTGACCCCTGGAAGCACAAATGAAGGAGTGATGACATGAATCAGGAAAGAGAGACAAGCTGGTAAAGAGTGCATTAATGAGAGGGTTACCTCTGTACGTAACTGAGGTTCAGTCCCCCAGACATCCTCCAGTGAACCCTGTGGAAAGCACTTGGAAGTTGTCCCATTGAGAGGTGGGGAACCTGGAGCATTTTCCTGCCAACTCCCACTCCTCAATGGTTGAGGGTTACTCTAGGGGGGCATTAAATCTGGGAATTTCCAGGCTGCCCTATGTGAGGGCTGATAAATGTCCCAGTGCTGGAGAAAGCTGTCAGGGAGAGGTGAAGAGAGATGCAGAGGCTTGAGGTGGGCAGTAGTCAGGGTGCACGGGGACTGCTCAACACCGTAGCTGGTGGACTCCAAGAGAAACAATGGGGCTGTGGGAGGGGCAGCACCCACACCTGCTGCAGAGATATCATCACTACCAGGTAGCAGGGATCCACATATGGCAGACACTGTGGACACTTCATATGCACTGTTTTATCTACCTTCACACGGATTCCACACGAGCAGTATGATCCATCTCCCCATTTAATAGATGAAGAAGGTGAGGCTTTGGGAGGTTAAGGATCGTGCCCAAAGTTGTATAACTTTTTTTTTTTTTGAGATGGAGTCTTCCTCTGTCGCCCAGGCTAGAGTGCAGTGGTGCAATCTTGGCTCACTGCAAGCTCTGCCTCCCAGGTTCATGCCATTCTCCTGCCTCAGCCTCCCGAGTAGCTGGGACTACAGGCACCCACCACCACACCCGGCTAATTTCCAAAGTTGTATAACTTATGACTGACAAAGCCAGGATTTGAATCTAAGCCTGACTCCAGCCTCATAAAAAAAGGTTACTTCTCTCTTCCTTCTGCCGTGACTCTGGGAGGTCTACCAGTTTCTGACTTCTGACCTCTGACCTCTGGCACATCCCAGCTTCATTAAAGCATATCCTGCCCTCCTCCCAGTCCCTCTGTCCATGTTTGACACTCTTTGTTCACGAAGGGATGCTCACCACCTTAACCCCAGAGCTGTGAAGACTTCCAAGAGGCCACCCATGCTGGGCCCATCTCTGAGGATGCTGCAGGCCTGCTGTGCTCACAGGGCCCTTGCCCTCATGTGCAACTAGGGAGAAGAGGAGGACCCATATAAGAAACAATTGTGCAAAAGATGCCACAGGGCTTTGTCAGGGAATGCCAGCCTCATGTGACCGGTGCCCGGGGGCAGAGAAGTCAACCCTAATGACTCCTGGGACAGCAATAAACCCTCCTCTGACCGCACTGAAGAGGAGAATTTCAGAAAGAACAAAGAGCTGGTGGACTAGAAACCAGCATGATCCCGGCCTGGTTGGTTAGGGTAATTCCAGGACAGCAGATGATTAAACTTCTTATGGTTTTGGCTCTGAACCCACAGAGCTCGAGGCTAAAGGAGATGATCTAAGAGCCAGGCCCCTGTGGAACCTTCAAAAAATGATCAGAAGGCTGTAGCAAAGCCCACCCACCCCATCCCACAGGCCCTCTCTCCTCACCACCCGGTGCCTCATGGCTGAGTGAGACTGCAGGAGAAGGGAGGACCCAGGAGTCAGTGAGACCCAGGTTCAAATCCCCGTCCTGTCATTTACCAGTTGGTGATGGTATCAGTTCCCTAAGGTTACCATTACAAAATACCATAAATTGTGTGGCCTGAAAGGATAGAAATTAATTCTAACACAGTTCTGCAGTCCCGAAATTCAAAATCAAGGTGCCAGCAGTGCCTCACTCCTTCTGAAGGCTCAAGAAGGCTTCCTTGCCTCTTCCAGCTCCTGGTTCAGCCTACAACCCTTGGTGTTCTTGGGCTGCAGCTGCGTCTTTGCAATTCTTGCCTCCGTTTTCACATGGCTGTCTTCCCTCTGTGTGTGTCTCTGTGTCCAAATCTTTTCTTCCAAGTACATCAGTCATTGTATTAGAGCTAATTCCAGTCCAGTATGGCCTCATAGAACTTGATTACATGTGCAAAGACCCTGTTTCCAAATCCAGTTACTAAAGGTTAATACATGGACATATCTGTCGGGAGGACTCGATTCAACCCAGAACAGTGACTTTGCAGAGGTCCCTTAACCTCTCCAGACAATTCCTTCTCAAAGTGTGTTCAGAGGAAGGACCGCTGCTGGTCTGCTTAGAAACATTTACAACAATATGTCATGGCCATGCCACCCAATGTTCTTAACTATTTGGTGAAGGATTAGATTTTGTTACTTCAATTCATCCTGGATGGACCCACAGCCCAGCTACCCACATCTAAGGACCTGCCTCTTATGCCCACAGCCCACCTGGTGGGTTTGGTTGGCAGAATCTGGACTGCTGTTTTCTGGTCAATGAGATGAGTTCATGGAATGGATTAACATGGAGCTCTGTGTCACACAAGCACACACATACACACGCACACACACACGCGTGCACACACACACAGAAGCACACAGACAGCATCTGCCCCTCCAAGAGCCAATCCATCATCTTCCTGCCGAGTTCCCTCCCTGGTAGCCGAATCTTCACCTCCCGGACCAGCCGCAGTCCCTACTGCTATGCATGCTGGTCCCATCTTTCCTGTGGAAGATCATTCCATCCTTTCCAGAAACTCCACAGTTGAGAAACTTTAGTTTCAGAAACAGGTTAGAACATCTACAAAACTGGGCTGCGACTGGATTTTATAATAGATTGTATGGCCTAATTTGACATTGAAGAGTGTCCCATTGATAAATGAAAATTAAGCTGCTCTTCAAGGAGGAAGCCACTGCTTCCTGTGCCATCATTCCATCTTTAATTAGTTAATAATGCAGGCATGCCAAAAGTATCTATACTCACTTAACACCCGTTCAGGTGCTGGCTATGGCTGAACCCCTACCTCATGGACGGTGGCAGCAAATGGAGCCTCTGAAGGTGACAACTTGGCAAGCTGCAATGTGGCGCTCACAATCACAGGGCCAGAAGACAGCCCTGACCCCGAGCTGTGCAGGACTAGCTGAGTGGCACTGAGTAAGTCAGCTGATGGCTCTACTCCTCATTCTTCATCGAGGTCTGGGACCAAACCCACCTTCCCCGGGCTGTCATGGAGATTCCATGCGATGATGGGCAAAGGGCTTCGCAAAGTATCTGATGCTTAGAAACCAGCCCATGACATAGTTTGAAGGTTTGTCCCCTCCAAATCTAATGTTGAAATTTAATCCCCAATATTGGAGGTGGGGCCTGTGGGAAGGTGTTTGGGTCATGGGGGTGGATCCCTCATGAATGGCATATTGCCTTCTCTACAGTAATGAGTGAGCTCTTGCTCTGAGAGTTCACCCAAGAGTGAGTCGTTTAAAAAGAGCCTAGGCTGGGCGATGTGGCTCACACCTGTAATCCCAGAACTTTGGGCAACCAAGGCAGGTGGATCACCTGAGGTCAGGAGTTCAAAACCAGCCTGGCCAACATGGTGAAACCCCATCTCTACTAAAAATACAAAAATTAGCCAGGCGAGGTGGCATGAGCCTGTAGTCCCAGCTACTTGGGAGGCTGAGACAGGAGAATGGCTTGAACCCAGGAGGCGGAAATTGCAGTGAGTGGAGATTGCACCACTACACTCCAGCCTGGGTGACAGAGTGAGACTCTGTCTCAAATATATATACATATATTATATTATATATATATATATATATGTATTATATATATATATATAAATATAAAAATAAAAAGAGCCTGGCACCTCTTCCTCTCTCTCTTGCTCCCTCTCTTAGCATGTGACTGCCTGCTCCCCCTTCACCTTCTTCCATGAGTAAAAGCTTCCTGAGGCTTCACCAGAAGCTGAGCAGAGGCTGGCATGGTTGTATTATACCATCTACATAACCGTAAGCCAAAGAGATATCTTTTCTCTAAACATTGCCCAGCCTCAGGGAAACATATAGCAAGGCAAAATGGACTAAGACAGCTCGTATTTTATGACTGTGCTTTCAGTACCCTACCCCCTGCTCACTGCTGTCCCGTCATGCCCATTGCTAAGAGTCCCTCTAAAATAGGATGTTTAGAACTTATTTCCTAATCCTACTAGCTAGGTCTAACAGATCAGGCAGGGTAGAGGGGATAGGACTTTCTTTACCTATTCAGGAAGAGCTTTGGGCTTTATTAATTGTTATTCTAGCTTTTAAAAACATTTTAATGAATAAATGGATAAAGAAAATGTGGGGTTTATATACAGCGAATATTTTTCAGCCATGAAGAAAGAAATCCTGACATTTACCACAACATGGATGAACCTGTGCAATTTCACGCCAAGTGAAATAAGCTAATCACAGGAAGACAAAGATGGCATAATCTCACGGAGAAAAGATGACCTCATAGCAGCAGAGAGAAGAATGGAGGTTGCCAGGGACTGTGGGCGGGAGAAATGGGGAGATGTTGATCAAAGGGAACAAAGGTTCAATTATGAACAAAGGTTCATGCTAAGTAAGCATGGTGACTCTAATGAATAAAACAGTATTGTTTACTTGAAATTTGCTAAGAGAGTAGCACTTAAACATCCTCACCGTCACCACCACCCCCATAGACGGTGATAACTATGCAAAGTGATGAATCTCCATATAGACTAGATCATCATGTCGTACACTTTGAATATATGCAGTGTTTATTTTTTAATCATATCTCAATAAAGGTGGAAAAATGTTTTAATGACCATCACATTCATGCAGAAATGGCACATGGTATTAAGTGTAAGAAGGGTAGGAGCCTATCAACAAAGGTAAATGCCTGCTAACACCACGAAGTCACCTACAATTGTGTTAATTTCTGCAGTATTTACAGAGAAAATGCACCGAATCTATAAATGTGAGCTCCCATTAATGGGTCCACCTTGCAATAGCTACATTCCCATGCTCATTTCACAACCAAGAGCTGCCATCTCTAGGGTGTTGTCCATGGGCCAGGCACTGCTGGGCACTTGGCAGACACCATCTCACTGAATCTTCAGTGCCCATCTCCCACCCTTGTGGTAGGCATAGCCATTAACCTCACTCCAAGGACAAGGACACTGAGGCACAGAGTGTGTCCTGGACTAAATGTTGTGTCCCTCCAAGTTTATATGTTGAATCCCTAACTCTCAATGCGATGGTGTATTAGAAGGCGGGGCCTTTGAGAGGTGACTAGGTCGTGAGGGCTCTGCCCCTATGATTGGAATTCACATCCTTATAAAAGAGGCCCCAGAGAGATCTCTTGCCCCTTCCGAGGACACAGCAAAAAGCTGGACGTGGACGGACCAGGAAATGAGCCCTCACCAGACACCAAAATCTGCCAGTGGTCGGCCAGCGCCTTGATCTTGGACTCCCAGCCTCCAGAACTATGAGAAACAAATTTCTATTGTTTACCAGTCACCCTGTCTATGGTATCTTGTCATAGCTGCCTGAACTGTTAAGACAGATGAGGTCACAGGGGAGGAGGGCCCCCATGCTGGGATTAGTGTCCTTATAA
Organism: Homo sapiens; assembly: GCF_000001405.40. Classification (NCBI taxonomy): domain Eukaryota; kingdom Metazoa; phylum Chordata; class Mammalia; order Primates; family Hominidae; genus Homo; species Homo sapiens. The sequence goes on along the minus strand of NC_000016.10, from coordinate 86,138,742 downwards.
GAAGAGGACAAGAGGCCAGAGCTCCCTCCCTCTCTGCCGTGTGAGGACACGGTGGGAAGGTGGCTGCCTGCATACCAGGAAGCAGGCTCTCACCAGGAACACAATCAGCTGATACCTTGATCTCGGTCTTCCAGTCTTCAGAACTGTGAGACATAAAAGTCTGCCTTTTAAGCTACCCCATCTGTGGTATTTGCTACAACCACCTGAGTAGACTAAGACAGAGGGGCCCAATCCCTCACCCAGGGCCACTTTTTGCATGCCTGCATTATTAAGTAATTAAAGATGGAATGATGGCACAGGACTCTACAAGACCACCCACAATGCAAACATAATCAGTGCATCAGGTCCCACTGCTCTGTGAACAAGGTCACGTAAGGCACAAAACACGGACAAGGCCACCCTCCCCGACTCCTGTGTCAGTGTGAACTCAGCCCCTGCCAAAGCATCTCGTAATTATTTCTGGGACACCCCACCCCATCCAGGGAGGCCTTGCATGTGGAACCCATTGGTGAGAATCCCCGTGTGGGGTCCATTCCAGGCTTCCCCTACTCCTTGGGCTTCCACTGGCCCCGCACACCCAAAGCCCTCTGAGGGCAGCTCAGCCCTGCCGTTTGGAGAGTGCTGTCAGTTTCAAACCCAAACACCTAGGTGCATCTCTGCATAGACCACCCCTTAGCCATCAAATACATCCTCCTCTTCTTCTGCAGAAACAGAACAGTGGGTGAGCACACAGCTGCCCGTGCTGGAGAACACATCACCCTCCATCCTTTGCAGGTCAGGGACCATGTGCCTAAACCTCAATGTGAGTGTAGGTGATCTGAGATGCTTCTCAGCCTGGGCCTTCTGTGCAGGTGCCCCTCCATTATTGTCGCCTCCCCAGGAGGTGGAGCACGGAGGTGGATGCCAGCTTCCACCTTGTAGATGAGCCCGACCCTATGGGAGATGGCAGAGCAATGGGATGGAGGGGACCTGGGTCCCAAAGAGCTGCATGACACATCCAGGCCCCTGGGCCACTGTCTTTAGGACCACAACACGGGAGATAAATCATACGCTCTGTTCTTAAAGCCCTGTATTCTGGAGTGTTTCTGGTTAAAGCTGCTTGGAGTTTACCCTCACCAACACAGCGTGAGAGGATATAAACTAGATGGCGTGTGAGCGTGTTCTGCTGCTATAAATATCACCTCGATGTTTAAAAAGCCCCTGGAGAAACACCCAGTACAATGAATGTCAATCTCTCTAATGCTTGTCACAGTCTGCATATTAGGGAGCTTTGGGTGGAATCAGGAGGTCCTGGGACCTAAAGGGTTGGTAACTGAGTACAAACAGAACCAGTATCCACTGGAAGATAAGAAGAGGCTTCAGGGAGGGGACAGCTGGCAATTCCCAAACAAGGGAGAGCATCAGAATTGCCTGGGACACTGGTGGAGATTCAGATTCCAGGGACATGTTCTCTGTCAACACTGGCTTGGTGGGCCTGGGAAGGGTCAGGAAACGACAGGCTTAACAAATACCCCCCAGCGACTCTTTTAGGTTAAATTACATTAAAATCACCCTTATTGAACATTTTTTAACTTAAAATGCCAATTTCATATGGTTAGAGGCTTAATAATGCAAATAACTAATAGGTTTGTGTTTGTGGATCTCTAAACTAGATTATTTTAATGACCCTTCCTTCTGTATTCCTAAAGATAGACAGATAGATAGGTAGATAATAGGATAGACAGGCAGATACATTATTAGATTGATGATAGACAGATAATAGGATAGGCAGATGCATAGATAGGCAGATAAATTATTAGATAGATTAGATAGATGATAGATATGATAGATAATTTTAGATAGATAGAAGATAGATATTTTAGATAAATAGATAGGTATTTTAGATAGATAGATATTATTCTCAAGCCTCCTTCCTGCTCTCCCTGCTGAGAATTTCTGGACATGGTTGCCTGGATGGGTCCCCAGGGATGTTCTACATCTTGTCCTCCAGGTGTCTAAGTTCAGCTTCATCCCATTCCTTCCTTCTTGGGCAGTGCCTTCTCCTCTGATCGCTGCACCTTTCTATGAAGCTGGGCAGGCAAAGCTCTTCCTTGATCCCTCCAGCAGGGACAGCAGCTGTGCCCAGAGCAAAGGGCACCAGGTACCCTCCCAGCAGGAAGACAGGCTGCCTACACTCCCAGGTCATTCACACAACCCTCCTGTGGCTGGTTCTCTCCTCCAGACCCTTGAAGCTCCCTACGGAAACATCTCTAAAACCCCACAGCTATCAGCTACTCACAGTCTCATGGAAACTGAAAAGCTGTGAGACATGGGGTCATCCTAAATTGAGTGAACATTTGAGCCAAAGAGGCATCAAAGGCCGCCTAACTCCAGCCCTCCAATTTTACAGATGAGGAAGCCAAAGCCTCAGGAGGGGGTGGCCTCAGGGCGTGGCATGGGGTGTGGCTGTCAGTGTGCCCCCGACGTAAGTCCTAGCTCAGAACCCACTGCAGGGACATGGGGTAGGAGAGGGGACCTGCAGAAAGAGCCTGCATTTCTTCTCTTCCGACATGATGGAAATAATACATGCTTGAGCCTTTCGTGATCTTTTCATTGGAAAGATTAAAGGTGGCAACTGAATAGCATTCCCCAAGTTATCTATATTTATTTCTCAGAGAATCCAAATCTTTGGGAACTTCTGAGCTACAAGAACCTGGTCCTCTGTCTTAGATTGTATGACCTTGTCCAACCACCCCACCTAGCGACCTCCTTTTTCAGAGGAAGACGTTTTGGCCCAACGAGGGAAACCAACTTCCCAAGATCCTAGACCAAGCGAAGGACAGAGGCAGAGGGCAGCCAGGGTAAGAGCTTCATCTACAGGCCTCATTTTCCTGTGTGCAAAGTGGGCGGAGTGATGGCCCTTCCTCACGGGCTGCTGTGAGGATGAAGTGGAGGAGTCCAGGTCACGGGTATAAATATTCTAACCAACAGAGCTAAACAAGGCTCATGCCTTCAACAGTAGGGAAGAGGCTACTCTATGCTACAGCAGGTTGATGGAAATCTTGCTCCAGCCGGTGACTCAGAGATCCAGGCTGTTTCCATCTTGTGGCGTCCACCCCATCACCATGTGGCTTTTCCTGTGTCCACAGCAGGGAGTCAGACTGCTGAGCATGGAGAGCTCTGACTGCTGCTAAGCTCTCGGCATAGAGGGGCCACTTCACTTCCACTCCCAGCCTGTGGGCTGGAGTCAGGTACACGGCTCAACCCAACTGCAAGGGAATCTGGGAAATAGAATTTTCCCCGTGCCCAGGAAAAGGAACAGACACGAAACATGGAATTGCTCCACCAGGCCTGCACAGATTTGTTCCTCCAATGGTGAAACAAGGCCTGAAATCCCTCCCATTTTTTGCATTCCTCTGAGGCCTCTGAGGCGACTTGCAGAAAAACCACACCGCCCAGGAAGAGCAGAGTGGGAGGGAGAGGTGTGGCGTCCAGTGGGCCCAAAGCAGAAGTTTGTTCTGAGCACACGGTCCAGGGATCTGGCCAGTTTCACTATCATGTTATCACTATCATGTTATCACTCCACAGCATGTCAGCAAATTCTTGAGCAATCATGATTAAGTAGAAAGAGCACATTTGATCATTCCTCTTTAATAGTCCAGAATGATAGCCTGTTCCATCTGCACTGGCCTCACAGCGAGCCTGGGACACCCGGGTGCAGGGAGGAGGCAGGTGGGGGGAGACCCAGCCTCCCGGGTATGACTTGGCACTGTCCAACCTGCCAGGCTCTGGGCGGGGAGACTTGGACCTTCCTGAGGCTCACTGCAGCGCTTCCCCCCAGTGCAACCAGCAGGCAAGACCGGCTGATGGTTCCTTCAAGGACCGTGAAGCTGATCAGAAATTGGTGCTCCTAGAACCAATTTCTCCTGCATCTGGTCCTGCAGCTCCTCTGCCCCTGCTAATGCCCAGACAGCTCAGACCCAAGCTCTCCAGCTCCTTCCCATCTGCATGCCCTCCAGCCCTCCCTGTCTGTCTCTTCAGCCCTCAAGACCCAGCTTAAATGCCCGCTCCCCAAGGAAGCCACGCCCATAAGAGTGCCCACTGAGAGAGGCCTGTCCCTCCCCTGAGATCCTACAGCCCCTCCTCCACTTCTCTGCCAGCCAAATGCATGGGTGTCCGCCACGGCAGAATCTCGCTGTCTTCCCTCTGCAGCCCGCGTCAACCACCGCCTCTGGGCCAGGCCTTGTGCTGGGCACTTCGAGCTCCAGTATGTCACTAGGTTGAGGGGTTGAGGGATGGCTCTGTGTCTGCCCCTTCCTGTGTCCACACCCTGTGCCACAGGTCTTCATGGCTGTTCCCATGCAGAGGTGGCCTGTATCTCCTTACTCCGTTCAGAGTTCAGCCCGTGTCTGCCAGCAGATGTGGCACAAGCAGGGCTGGAGCAGGCATGTGTGCAGCTGTACTGGCTCCCTTGTCCCAGTCACTGTATCAGCAGGATGTGCCTGGGCCACCCCTTGGTCCCAGGAGTGAGCGGGAGTCACAAGAGCTAAGCCAACCCAGTGGCACTGCCCCGCTCAGCCCCGCCCAGCCCCACCCAGGTCCCTCCAGAGTAGATGCTTGCTGTTTGTAGCTACTGACTTGTGGCTGGTTTGTTATTGTCTTGGGCTGCTCAGGCTGCTGTAACGAACATCATGAACTGAGTGGTTTATAAACAACGAATGCATTTCTCACAGTTCTGGAGGCTGGAAGTCCAAGACCAAGGCAGCGACAGACTTGGCTGGTGTCTAGTAAGGACAAACTTTCTGGTTCATAGATGGTGCCTTCTTGCTGTGCCATCACTTGGTGGAAGGTGTTAGGGGTCTTTCTCAGGCCTCTTTTACAAGGGCACTGATCCCTTCAGTCAGGGAGGGCCTCGCTGAGGAGTGACAGTGGAGCTGGGACCTGCAGAGGAGGAGATCCAGGCCTGAGACTATCTGGGGAAGGGTGTTCCAGGAGGAGAGGCAGGTGGTGCAAAGGCCCTGAGGTAGAAAGAGCCTGCCTGGACAACTGGCAGGAGGCCAGGGCACCAGGAGGGATACAAGGGGGACCGGGCTCATCACGCAGGGCCTTTAGGCCAGAATGAAGGATTGTATCTCAGGACAGCGGGGCCGCTGCTGTGCTGCAGGCTGGGGTGTGGTGCCATCTGACTCATACAGTGAGGCCTTGGTCCTTTCAGGGAAGAGGCTACTGCAGGGGGCTCACTGATTGTGCTGGACGAGCCCATTGACATCATCTCCTGGAAGACAGACAGGCTTGTGAGACAGCATTAGTGTCCCCATCATAACAGAGGAGAAACCTGAGGCTCGGAGGTTACCAAGATTCGCCCAGGTTCACACATGAGAGACTGGGGCAGGCCTGCCTGATGCCGGGTGTAACCGTGGCCAGTGAGAGGTGGGCTCCACTCTCTCATCTGCACGTTTGTTCATGGAAAGCGTGGGATGATGGGATGTGATCCTCAGTCATCTATTCCAAAAGATCGACAACCCCCAGCCTGATAGAAAATTGTGAAGGCTGGAGGGTTCTGTCCAGGTGTGTACATCACACTCTTTTCTCCACCTGTTCTCACTCCCAGCCCAGAAATGCCTTCTTTCCACTCACACGAACATGCCCTTGTGTTCTCTTCTGTCATAACGCTGCACTCACGAAATATCCTGGCAGCCTCATTCACCGTGACACGGAAATGACTGAGGAGGTTTTAATGACCTCCAGTCCCTGAGGGGTTGAATTTTAAATGGAGTAGGAGAGTTCTTAGGCCAAAGAAAAGAATTCCTAACGGTCAAGTTTTCAGAATCAGCCAGTCTTGCTGGGTGGCAGGCTGAGGACAGGAAAGATTCCCTACGACCATCAGGGTCCCAGGTGGAGGTGGTCTCGTCTACCCCACTCCACCCCCGCCGGCTCTCTCAGACCCACCTCATCCCCACTGATACTCTTTATCTTTTAATATGTTCCCCTTTTTTTGGATCAAACTTCCCCCAATTTCTCCCGGGCCCCAAATTTTCTGCACATAAGATACTCCCTGTGGTTGGCCACCTTTGAAAAACTTATTACATATTCCAGACGTTAAACGAGGTATAAAGAATAATAAGGCCCTGTACACTCACCATCCCGATTCAGGAGCAATGCTTTATGGTTGAATCCCCCGTGAGCCCCGCTCATTCCCGTATCTCCCCCTTCTCCTGCCAAGGAAATATTTTCCTGAATTTAGTGTCCATCATTCCCATGAATTTCAATACCGATATTCTATTGAATTCTTTTTATGAATGCCATGTAGTATTGTTTTCTCTCTCTCTGTGTGTGTGTGTGTGTGTGTGTGTGTGTGTGTGTGTGTGTGTGTGTGTGTGTTGAGACAGGGTCTCCCTCTGTTTCCCAGGCTGGAGTGCACTGGTGCAATCATAGCTCACTGCAGCCTGGAACTCCTGGACTCCAGTGATCCTCCTGCCTCAGACTCCCAAAGTACTACGATTACAGATGTGAGTCGTACTACGATTACAGGTGTGAGACACACCACCCAGCCCATGTTTTTCATCTTTGCTCTGCTGCAACGTTTCTCATCCAGTGTTTTATCTGTGAGACCCTCCCATGTGGGTGCATGTAGCTCTCCTCATGCGACGTCGCTGCTGTGCAGTATCCCATCGTTTACAAGAACCATCTCATTTCTCCATCCTCCTGTTGGCATCCCCTGCAGGGACATTGGCCACGGGGCCTTGGCACATGGTGGAGCTGCCTCAATGTCACCAGGTGACATTTTTAGTGATGTCTACACCAACACAGACACAGGAACACAGACCCTGCCACTTATTATCTCGAATTTTTTCTGGCCTCAGTTTCCTTATCTGGCACATGGAAGTATTAATAATACTGACTTCACAGGGTTGTTGTGAAGACTGAAAAGTCGCGAAGCACAGGCACGCCTTGCCTTGTTGCATTTTGCAGGTAACGCTTTTTTAAAAAACAAATTGAAGGTTTGTGTCAAGCAATTCTGTTGGCACCATTTTTCCAACATCACCTCCTCATTTCCTGTTCCTGTGTCACATTTTGGTAATTCTCACAATACTGCAAACTTTTTGTTATTATTATATCTGCTCCGGTGATCTGTAATCAGTGATCTTTGGTGTTACTGTTGTAAATAATTATCTTGGGGTGGCACAAGCCACACTCACAGAAGACGACAAACTTAGTTGATAAATGCTGCGTGTGTTCTGACTGTCCCAGTCACTGGCTGTTCCCCCGTCTCTCTCCCTCTGCTCGGGCCTCCTTATTCTCTGAGACCCACACAACAATATTGAAATTCAGCGCATTTCAATACTGGGGGGTCTAAAGTGGCCTCCGAGCCTTTAAATGAAGGGGAGAGTCACACGTATCTCAGTTTAAATTGAAAGGTAGAAATTATTAAATTTAGTGAGAAAGGTATGTTGTAAGCTGAGATGGGCCAAAAGCTAGGCCTCTTGTGCCAAACAGTTATTAGCCAAGTTTGAATGCAAAGGAAAAGTTCTTGAAGGGAATTAAACCTGCTACTCCAGGGAACACACCAACAATAGGAAAGTGAAACAGCCTTATTCCTGATATGGAGAAAGTTTTAGGGTCTAGATGGAAGATCAAACCAGCTACAACATTCCCTTAAGCCCAAGCCTGATCGAGAGCAAAGCCCTAACGCTCTTCAATCCTGTGAAGGCTGAGAGAGGTGAGGAAGCTGCAGAAGAAAAGTTTGAAGCTAACAAGAGGTTGGCTCCTAAGGTTTAATGAAAAAAAAAACGCCATCTCCATAACATAAAAGTGCAAGGCAAGCAGGAGGTGTTGACAGAGAAATTGCAAGTTCTCCAAAAGATCTAGCTAAGGTCATTGATAACGGTGGCTACACTAAACCACAGATTTTCCATGAAGACAAAACAGCTTTATATTGGAAAAAATTACACCATATAGGATTTTCATAGCTAGAGAGAAGTCAATGGCTGGTTTCAGAGCTTCAAAGGACAGGCTGACTCTTGTTTGGGGCTAATGCAGCTGGTCACTTTGAGTTGAAGCCAATACTCATTTACCATTCTTGAAATCCTAGGGCCCTTAAGAATGATGCAAATGGTGCTAGATCTACTCTGCCTGCAGAATGCCAGCACATCTGTTTACAGCATGGTTTACTAAATTTTTTTTTTTTTTTTTTTGAGACAGAGTCTTGCTCCCTCGCCCAGGCTGGAGTGCAGTGGCGCAATCTCGGCTCACTGTAAGCTCCACCTCCTGGGTTCACGCCATTCTCCTGCCGCAGCCTCCCAAATAGCTGGGACTACAGGCGCCTACCACCACGCCTGGCTAATTTTTTGTATTTTTAGTAGAGATGGGATTTCTCCATGTTAGCCAGGATGATCTCAATCTCCTGGCTATGACCTCATGATCCACCTGCCTCAGCCTCCCAAAGTGCTGGGATTACAGGCATGAGCCACCATGCCCAGCTGGTTAACTAAATATTTTAAGCCCACGGTTGAGACCTATTCCTTTCAAACTATTCCTGCACATTGACAATGCATCTGGTTGCCCAAGAGCTCTGATGGAGATGTACAAGGAGATTAATGTTGTTTTCCTGTCTGCTGACACAATCATTCTGCAGCCCATGGATCAAGGACTAATTTTGACTTTTGAGTCTTACTCAAGACTCTTACTATTACTATTACTGTTACTCTTACTATTTAAGAAATACATTTTGTAAGACTATAGCTGCCATAAAAAGTAATTCCTCTGATGGATCTGGGCCAAGAAAATTGGAAACCTTCTGGAAAGGACTCACCATTCTAGGTCCCATTAAGAACATTTGTGATTCATGGTAAGAGGTCAAAATATCCACATTAACAGAAGTTTGGAAGAAGTGGATTCCATCCCTCCTGGATGACTCTGAGGGATTTAAGACTTTAGTGGAGGAAGTCACTGCAGATGTGAAGCAAATAGCAAGAGAACTGGAATGAGAAGTACAGCCTGACGATGGGGCTGAATGGCTGCAAGCTCATGATCAAATTTCAACAGATGAGGAGCTGCTGTTTATGAATGAGAAAAGAAAGCAGTTTCTTGAGATGGAATCTACTCCTGGAGAAGATGCTTTGAACATTGTTGAAACGACAACAAACGACTTAGGCAATTATGTAAACTTAGTTGATAAAACAGCAACAGAGTTTGAGAGAATTGACTCCAATTTTGAAAGAAGTTTTACTGCGGGTAAAATGCTATCAAACTGCATTGCATGCTACAGAGAAATCCTTTGTAAAAGAAAGAGTCCATGGATGCAGTAAACTTTATTGTTGTCTTGTTTTAATAAATTGCCACAGCCCCCTCAGCCTTCAGCAAGCACCACCCTGATCAGTCCAGCAGCCATCAACATCGAGGCAATGCCCTCCAGCAAAAAGATCACAGCTCTCTGAAGGCTCAGATGATTGTTAGCAGTTTTTAGCAATATTTTTCGGTAAGTTACACGCATTGGTTTCTTTAGACACAATGCTATTGCACATTTAATAGACTACGTACAGCATAAGCATAACTTTTTTTTTTTTTTTTTTTTTGAGAACGAGTCTCACTCGGTAGCCCAGGCTGGAGTGCAGTGGCGTGATCTTGGCTCACTGCAACCTCTGCCTCCCAGATTCAAGCAATTCTCCTGCCTCAGCCTCCCAAGTAGCTAGGACTACAGGCGCCCACCACCACGCCTGGCTAATTTTTGTATTTTTAGTAGAGACAGAGTGTCACCACATTGGCCAGGCTGAGCATAACTTTTATATCCACTTGGAAATAAAAAAAATTTCTGTGACTTGCTTTATTGTGATACTCACTTTATTGCAGTGGTCTGGAACAGAACCCACATATCTCTGAGGTCTGCCTGTGTAAAGGGTGTAAGATAAAACCCAGTAAGTGTTTCCTGAGTGTTCACCATCGGGCAGCTGCTTTCATTACTGATTCTGTGATGTCCTGGGGAACTCTCATTGGAGATAGCACCTGGAAGACTGTAACACCATACTAGAATGTGACCTCTGGAGCAGGGAGTACTGGGTTTGAATCCTTGCTCTGCCACGTACCAGCTGCTGTTCAGGGGCACTAATCTGAATGTCCATGCCTCAGTTCCTTCGCCTGTAAAATGGGCTCAGTGACAACAGTACCAGCCTCGGGGGGTCACTGCAAAGGTTAAGTGGGAGAATCTAAGCAGAGCTCCTAGCCAGTGTCTAGCAGAGGGCAAGCAAGAAATCTGAGTGGTTCACGGGGTAACCAGCACCTGCTTCTGGTCTTCCCAAGTGTGTCCCAATGACACACACAAAATGCCAGCAATGGGCCGGGCACGGTGGCTCACGCCTGTAATCCCAGCACTCTAGGAGGCCAAGGAGGGTGGATCGCCCAAGGTCAGGAGTTCGAGACAAGCCTGGCTAACATGGCAAAACCTCGTCTCTACTAAAAATACCAAAAAAAAAAAAAAAAAAAAAAAAATTAACTGGACCTGGTGGCATGTGCCTGTAATCCCAGCTACTCGGGAGGCTAAGGTAGGAGAGTCACTTGAACTCGGGAGAGAGGTTGCAGGGAGCCCAGATCATGCCACTGAACTCCAGCCTGGGTGGCAGAGCGACACTCCGCCTCAAACAAACAAAAACCAAAATGCCAGCAATGTCATCAGCCCAGGCCGAGGACCACTCAGGACCCCTTGAGAGCTGTACCCCAGGGGTTCTAGCCTCAAGTATAGGGAGTTGAGGCAGAGGGGGATCAAACTCTGGCTACAGACATTTGGGATGAGGCTGAAAGAAGCTCCAGTTCCTATCAACGTGTTTGCTCTGGTCACAGAGATTGACGCCACTGAATCAAGTCAGAGAGGGTAAGAGAAACCCTTTTAAGGCTCAGGGACAACCGTGGAGAAAAACGACAAAAGGCAGGGGCCATTTCTCTCCAACTTCAAAGGGCCGCATCCAAGCGGGGCCCAGGGCTACCAGGGTCTGCCCCCAGCTCTCCCACCCAGCCCCCACCTCTGCTTGGAGGAGAAAAAAAAAATCCTTGGACAGGGTCCATCTTGAACTCGCTTACTGTGTCTGAGGCCCAGACACACGCTGTTTAGACAGCCTGTTTCGGTGGGTGGTCAGGTCGGGAGACCCGAGCGCAGAGTTTACAGAAGGCCCTGGCACAAATGAACTGTTGACGACCAACTGGAAGGGCTCAGTGAAATCACAACATGTAAAATATGAAAAGGGGGCCCTTTGTAGGGTGAGGAAATAGAGAAAAAAGGAAAGAAAGGCCCGTTTGGAAGGAATTCAAGCAACCACAACAAGACCACGCACAGAAGTCTCCCCATCAAACACATGCGTCCGCCTTGAACATCCACCACCCCCTTCCCTCTCCGCCAACACACACGGCTTTTTTTTTTTTTTTTTTTTTCGAAATTTCATAGATTTAAATAGTCTTTCTGCATCAAATACAAGAAACAGACCGACATTTTCTCACCCCTGTTATGTGGCAGGCTAATATTTGGCCATTTACGCTCCATTGGAGACCATTTCTGGGAGAACACGGCCCCTTTCCAGGTTGGTGGCCGCCCACCCTGGCCACCCGCACCCGCCTTGTCCGCCAGCACTTCCCTGCTCTTCCAGCTTGGGAACAAAGCCTTGGCGAGCATGGAGCTCAGTTTCCCAGCGTGTCAAACCCATAAATACATCCTGCAGAATGGGCGCTGGACTGAAGATGTGGAAAGACACTCTTTGTAAATGTGAGCACAGAACAAGTCAGGATGATCCACCTCGGAGGAACTGTGTGCACTGCACTGTGGAGGTCTGGAATCCGGCCACGGTAGCTTCAGGTTTCTCTTCCTTCAGGAGTTCAATCACTACAATGGTTTTGAAGACTCCCTATCCCCCTCCCAGGTGCTCTTCCTCCCCAAAAGTCACCCTCTCGTGGCATTCCCAGGAGTGTTTTTGTTTTCGTGTTTTACTGTTACTCTTGTACGTATCCAAAACAACCCACGGCATTACTTTTCTTTTTCTTTTTCTTTTTTTTTTTTTTTGGAGACAGTTTCACTGTTGCCCAGGCTGGAGGGCAGTGGCACAATTTCAGCTCACTGCAAACTCCACCTCCCAGGTTCAAGCAATTCTCCTGCCTCAGCCTCCCAAGTAGCTGGGATCACAGGTGTCTGCCACCACACCCAGCTAATTTTTATGTTTTTAGTAGAGACAGAGTTTCGCCATGTTGGCCAGGCTGGTCTCGAACTCCTGACCTCAGATGATCAGCCTGCCTCGGCCTTCCAAAGTGCTGGGATTACAGGCGTGAGCCACCATGGCCAGCCTACTTCTCATTTTTTAAAAAAATTTCTTGTTTTCAAAGACAGGATCTCATTCTCTGCCCAGGCTGGAGTGCAGTGGTGCGATCGCGGTTCACTGCAGCCTTGACTTCCTGGGCTCAAGGGATCCTCCCACCTCAGCCTTCAGAGTAGCTGGGACTACAGACATACACCACCACCCTAGGCTAAATTTTTTTTTCATATTTTTTGTAGAGATGGGGTTTCGCCATGTTGCTCAGGCTGGTCTTAAACTGGGCTCAAGGGATCCACCTGCCTCGGCCTCCCAAAGCACTGGGATTACAAGGATGAGCCACTGCCCCTGGCCTTAAAAAGCGTTTCTAAAATATCATATAAACATTTCCTTTTGAAACTTTTTCTACCCCAAAATATCTTTTCAGAGTTTGTGGAGATAAATATCAAGTATTCTATTAAATGACCTCTGTTATCGTTTCACATCCTTATTCTATTAAACTTTGTAACTACCTTGAGGTTCTAATCCATTAAATAAACTGTGTTATTTTGTTACTGTGTTGCCATCTCTGAGAACAGCGTTCACTCCCATCCAGTCTCCTGTTCCATACTATTAGGTTGATGGCAGGTTTCACTGTTACATTATTGCAGGGAACATTCTGTCACATACACATCCATGCCGATAACATATGCATTTGTAAGCATTCTCCAGAAAATTGACTTAGTGGATCAATTTTACTAGCTATTGCCAAATTACTGTAGAGAGAGAGTGCTCTGAGGTACATTTCCACCGCAGTAGACACAGGTCACTTGGTGTACCTATGAAGTGTTCTCACATTTCTGAGTTTTTTCAGTATGATGAGCCTGAAAAGTTACCTCATCCGTTTTTTAAATTATCACTTCCCTGGCTATTGGTGAGGATACGCACCTTTGCAGCAATGTATTATTTGTTTCTATCTTCTGGGAATTGCCTGGACATGTCCTGCATACTTTCATTTGGTTGTCTTTTATTATTGATTTGTATAAAAATATATTTTGAACTTGGATAATTACAATACTGACAACCCCTACTGCCTATAATGTACTAAATGCTCTCTAAACCCATTGCAGATGTCATCCAATATAATCCACAGGGCAGCTGATAGATGAGGAAATGGGGAAGGCTGCTACCATGACGTGCATCTGTACACCTGCTCCTGGGACATAACACCAGGCCAGAGGCAGTGGCTTATGTTGAAAATATCTTCTTCCAGTCTGTGGCTTTCCACCTTATTTTGTTAAGGGTGTATTTGTTAAGAACAAGAGAATTGTGTCTTTTCATTTAATATAGTCAAATTTATCAAATTCCTTTGTAGATCATGATATTTTCATGTTAACAAAGCTGCCTTGGCTCCAACGTCATGAAGATATTCTCCTATATTCCCCCTTTAGAGTTTTAACATTTCCCCTTCCACATTTCGATGTATATCAAATTCTGTTTCTATAGACAGCTAATTTTATTTTATTAGGCAAACTTCTACCATTACTTTGAGGGGTCACTAACTGATTATGGTTTGGTCAGCGTAGCTGTCAGACACACAGAGACTCACTACCAGGGGGCTTGGGGCTCAGTGATGTTTGGGAAATGCCGGAAAAGTCATTAGAGGGGAGCTGGGTCATAAAAACATTGAAAACCCTTGATCTGCAAGCAAGGTTTATTGCCTTTGAGATTATTTGGAGGACAGAAGGTTACAATTCCATGAAATTCTCTTAGGTCTCTTTGGCCCTATTTATAGACTAACCAGTCAATGATCCTCCCATCTTGACAGAGGCCCAGGTTAAAAGGTTCACAAAGTGGTATCCCCTTTACTACCCCCATTGGCCGCCAATAGCTGAGAACTGCAGCCTCTGCTAGGAAACCAGCCTGTTCAGTGCTTTGGTTAGCATTTCACCTCCCATCTCAGGATCCCTCTGAAGTCTGTGTCATTATCTCCATCTTACAGCTGCTTGGACCCTGGCACTCAGGAAGGTGACAGGCCCCGTGCCTATGGGGCGGATCTAGTATTCAAATGTGAAACAAATTCCCATGCAAGCACTCTTTCTATCCCGTTATTTCCCAAAGAGCAAGATCTCTGTTTCTGGTGGCCAAATGACTTTAAGTAGTATGTACAGAATAGCTTTTTGTTTCAATATTCCATATTGGTTTTTTTTTTTTTTTTTGAGATGGAGTCTCACTCTGTTGCCCAGGCTGGAGTGCAGTGGTGCAATCTCAGCTCACTGCAACCTCTGCCTCCCGACTTCAAGTAATTCTTCTGCCTCAGCCTCCCAAGTAGCTGGGACTACGGGTGCATGCCACCACGCCTGGCTAATTTTTTGTGTTTTAGTAGAGACGGGGTTTCACCGGGTGGCCCAGGCTGGTCTCAAACTCCTGAGCTCAGGCAACCCACCCACCTCAGCCTCCCAAAGTGCTAGGATTACAGGTGTGAGCCACCGCGCCTGGCCTCCATATTGATTTTTATGTGAACTGGAGATCATAAAACAGTACTCAAGCATATCCTGTCAAGCATCACACTGCTTAGGCGATGGTAACAAGGCACTGCAGGGCTGGGTGTGGCTGGTTATGTGCACAGGTGTGGAGCCCACCTGCCCCCCAATCCCAGCCAAAGTCCAGCCATGTCCTAGCCAGTGACCTGGCCTCTGGCAACCTGCCCTCTCCCTGCCTCTATTCCCCTATGTAAAATGGGACAACTATAGTTTTTACCTCAGCCTACTGCTGCAAAGTTTAAATGCCAAAATAGGCAAAATGCTGAGAACAGTGCCTGGTATGAAGTAACCATTCTGTTATTATTAAATATTAGTTTGGATTTTTGGCCAGGTGCGGTAGCTCACTCCTGTAATCTCAGCACTTTGGCCTGGGCAACAGAGTGAGACTTCATCTCCAGAAAAAAAAAAATTAAAAATTGGCTGAGTGTGGTGACTACTTAGGAGGCTGAGGCGGGAAGATCACTTGAGCCCAAGAGGTAGAGACTGCAGTGAGCCGAGATGGTGTGGCTGCACTCCAGCCTGGGCAACAGAGTGAGGCCCTGCCACAGAAAGAAAAAAAAAAAAGATTTTTAAAGGGATACTATTTTTTAAAAAGATAGTCCTGTTTCAAATAATTTGAATACTACTATCTAAAACATTTGCATTTATAGAAAAAATGCTACTGGCATGTTGTGGCTGTGGAGGTAAATCATGGCCCTCGCACATCCCACCTCCGCACTGACACTCAGCATTTTCAGCACATGGTTCTCTGTCCTGGGTGCACCTTGGAGTTTCCAGGGTAGCATTTAAATGCCTAGCAGCTGTCCCCGCCTCAGACCACTGGAGGCAGAAACCCTGGGGTACAGCCTGGGCATCAGACTCTGCGGAGCCCCCGCTGACTGCAATGTGCAAGGTCGAGAGCTCCTGGTCCAAACATCTGCCTTCCTCTGGGTCCAAGTAGCAGGGCAGAGTCTCCAGGAAACCGGCACACAGGTGGGGACTCCGTGCCGCAGGAGGAGGAGCTTCGGCCCTCAGTGTGTGTTCTGCTGCGGAGGTGAGTGCACCTGCAGAACAGGACAGGAAGTAGTCCAAAGCATTGAGGGCTGAGGGCTGGTGCCCCAGGCCTTAGTGGGGGCCGTGGGGGCCTGAAAGGAGGGTCGTGGAGGCGGGGCCAGCCTGGGAGAGAAGCTGGAGGATTCCCACCTCTGGCCAGAAAGCCTTGGCAACTCGCCCACAGTCCCAGAGCAGCCAGGGCAGCAGCCAGTCTGGGGAGACCCCACAGAGCCCCTGGCCTCACTCCTCCGCTCCCCCGACTTCCTGCTGGACCCCCATTGGCAGAATCAAGGGTGCTGTCGGTGCAGTTGGAAGAGGTCAGCTTCCAGGGCCCACAGGCTTATCCACTCTGGAGGCTCTGATCATCACCTTGGGAGACTGGGAGAGAGGAGGAGAGAGCTGAAGACCAAGCACAGAGAAGAAGGCTGAGAGGCTAACGAGGAGGCTAAGGAGGAGGAGAGACCACTGAGCGGGGATTCGGACAGAGTAAGGAGGGTGACACAGCCCCACTCGCTGCTGCAGCCCAAGCAAGGCCTCTCCACACCCAGTCTCTTCACCTGGCCCAGGAGATTGTTGGATGGAGGCTCTAAGCCAGCTCTGAAAGACACTGCCCCAGAGCAGGAATCGTTTCTCCTCCCCTTTTACCCCATGAGCACCAGTTCTGGAATCTGAAGTCACACCTTGGTCCCAGACTTCCTGACCTCGTGAGTCTCATCCTCCTCCTTTGCAAAATGAAGAGCATTCACCTCTTGCAGTTGTGGGGGCTGCACGTGGGGGATGCACGCTCAGCACTGTGGGCTCAGTTGTGCTGGCCTTGATCTGCAGTGTCTGGTCACCAAGAGTCACCCTCAGCATCAGCCCGGGCAGCAGCTCCAGATCAAAGTGGAGAAGGGGCAGGAGAGAGAGGAGGATGGAAGGGAGGTGGGGAGGGACAAGGAGAAGGAGGAGGGACAAGGAGGAGGGAGGAAGGGAGGACGGGAGAGAGGTGGGGAGGGACAGGGAGGAGGAGGATGGACAAGGAGGAGGAGGAGGCAGGAGTAGGAGGGAGGAAGGGAGGAAGGTGCGGCGGGACAAGCAGGAGGAGGGAGGAAGGGAGAGAGGTGGGGAGGGACAAGCAGGAGGAGGAAGGACTAGGAGGAGGTGAAGGAGGCAGGAGGAGGAGGAGGAGGGAGGAAGGGAAGATGGGAGGGAGGTGAGGAGGGACAAGGATGAGGAGGAAGGATGAGGGCAGAGGAATGGAGTATAGGAGGGAGATGGGGAGGGACAGGCAGGAGGAGGAGCAACAAGGAAGAAGAAGGAGGAGGAGGGAGGAGGAGGGTGGAAGGGAGGATGGGAGGGAGGTGAGGAGGGGCAGGGAGGAGGAGCAACAAGGAGGTGGGGGGATGATGATGAGGGGGAGGAGGGTGGAAGAGAGGATGGGAGGGAGGTTGGAAAGGACAGGGAGGAGGAGGAGGAGGGAGGAGGAGAAGGAGGGAGGATTGCAGGGAGAAGGAGGAGGGAAGGGGAGAGGGACAGGGAGAAGGAGGAGGAGAGGGAAAGGAAACAGGAGTTGGTTTGATTATTGTGAGAAAGTAGCCCTGGGATCTTGTCCTCATTTTAAATATGGGCTTTAATTACACATATGGGGCTGGCAAAGAAAAATATGAACCCCCAAGAGATCATGACCCTAGAATACGTTTTTCAGTACAGGGGAAATTCCCAATTTGATGCTGCTAGATAGGCCATGTTTTTGTTCTTCCCCCTCACTAAAATCTGGCTCATAACCTTAAGCCAAAAAGCAACGCTACCTTGACACTTTGCTTTTAACATTTAAACAGGGTCTAAGGCCAGAACTGGTTGTTCAGGATGAGATATGGGGGTGTGAACTGGCACTCCTGCTGGCCATAAATCAGGGCAAATCCCACAGATGCACCTCCTGTTTGGATAAGAACTGCGGAGCCAGCTTGGAGGCTGGTGGGGAGAAAGAGAGAGGGAGGAGAGGAAGAAGAGCTAGAGGAGGAGGAGGAGAAGGGGAGGAAGAGGAGGAGGAGAAGGGGGAGGAGGAGGAGGAGGAAAGGGGGGAGGAGGAGGAGGAAGAGGAGGAGGAGGAGGAAGAGGAGGAGGAGGAGGAAGAGGAGGAGGAGGAAAAAGGGATGTGGTGCTATGCATGGCAGCAACTTCCTGCACTTAAAACAAGCTAGTTATGCTTTTTTGCTATCAAAAAACAAGTGCTAGGTTAAGGTCTAACTTACTAACAAGCTGTGACTCAGACCACCACGCCTTGTAGCTCATTTCCTAAGCAACAGAAAGAAACGCAGCCACACTGTAGCTAAGCTGCCCACCTAAGCATGTGCGGGCATCATTTGTGCTGCTTTGATCAACAAAACTTTTAAACATTTCAATCATTTTATGTAAGTTTTTTTTTTCCAAAATAAGCTTCACATTTCTCACAGAGTTGAAAAGCTATTCTGAATTATCTGGAGGCTTTCTACTCATGGAGATGAGTATGAATCAATGGGCAGCTCCCACAGCCATGTTCTCTGGAGGTACATTTGTTCATTTCATCATTCGCACCTATTATGTGCCACAGCTCTCGTGGGCACTGGAGATTCTTCAGAGAATAAAACAGACAAGATGCCTGCCCACAGGACACTGACATTCTCATAGAGAAAGTAACACAGAAACACACATCATACAGGGCTAGATGGGGCTGTGCTATGCCGACAAGAAAGCAGGGAGCAGGTGCAAAAAGACACTGAGATCAAGGTGTCTTGCTCTGATGCCTAGGCTGGAGGGCAGTGGCACGATCTTGGCTCACTGCAGCCTCTACCTCATGGGCTCAAGCAATCCTCCCACCTTAGCCTCCCAAGTAGCTGGGACTCCCAAGTAGCTGGGACTCCCAAGTAGCTGGGACTTCCAAGTAGGTACATGCTGCCACACCTGGATAATTTTTGTATTTTTAGTAGAGAAAAGGTTCTGCCATGCTTCCCAGGCTGGTGTCAAACTCCTGGGCTTAAGTGGTCCTCCTGCCTCAGCCTCCCGAATTGCTGAGATTACAGGCATGAGCCACCGTGCCCAGCCTATACCAACTATTTTTTAATAGCTTTTTCCTGTCTATTCTTCATTGTCATCCTTGACTAGAAATTTCTGAGCACCAAAAGAGATGGGCAAAGTCCAGTCCCCTGAAGCCCCTGAAGCCCTTAGAGCTTACCCACAGGTCCCTGCTATTGGTATTGTACTTCGTCCACAATGTTAGTACATTTGGTTATTTGGTCTTTGATGTCAGCACATACTAGAAGCAGAAAAGTAAAAGGAATACAAGGGGAATACAAGGTCAGTATTAAAAAAGGGGATGTTGAGTTTTTAATTCATTGGGATTCCTTGACAGATTTTACAATTTACTTTTAGATATTTGACTAAGTAAAGAGGTTCTGGCGGTCAAGGGGTGGTTCTATTTCTGCTACATTCTGATTTAGCTGGGTTTTGCTAGATCAACTTGGGACCCTAAAAACCGTGTCAACCGTGGTGATGCAGGGATGCTCTCATGATGAAAATAACCTGTGCTCTGAGAGTCTGTCCTGCTCCCCCTCAGACAGCCAGCTACAGCAGGATGGCACTGTGACAACCGGCCCTGAGCACCTCCTGTGTACAGAATAAAGGACTGCCCCCACCTGCTACAACCCCAAGGCACTGACTTTTGCTCTCTAGGGCTCTGGGGGGAACCCCTCACTCCACGCCTGAAACAGCAGTTGGGCAGGGAGGCCAATCTGGGCCCCAGATGGCAGCTGCTGTGTGACCCTGGGCAGGCTACCTACCCTCTCTGTCTACCTCAGAGTTCCTGTCTCTAAAGCGGGGATAATAGCAGCCTTCACTTCATAGGATTGTGAGAAAATTGGATGAGTTCATCCACTTACAACAGTGCCTGGGATACAGCAGGGCTCAGCGATTGTGAGTCACTCTTATTATTTAGTTTGGGAGACTTGTGCATCGGGCACCACTGGCAGTCCAGAGTCCCCACAGCTGATAACACAACACAGGGCCTGGCGCCTCCAACATCTCTGTGCAATGAACAAATCATGGGCCTCACACTTGGCTGCAGCTTAGAGTCACTTGGGGAGTTTTAAAACTCCTGATGCCCCAGCGGAACAGGTACTAATTAACCACAGTCCCCGGGGCTGGCAGGTACTAATTAACCACAATCCCTGGGGCTGGCAGGTAGGTACCAATTAACCACAATCCCCGGGGCTGGGACCCAGGCGGCAGAGACAGCAGAGGTCTCAGGTGGCTTCTGTGTGGGAACAGGTTTGGAACAGCGGTTAATCTGGAACAGAGGTTCTCAGAGGGAGATCCCAGGATGAGCCGCCTCACTTGGGAACTCGGAAACACAGATTCTAGGGCCCCAGGCCAGACCCACTGAATCAGAAGCTCTGGGGTCAGGGCCTGGCAGTCTGTGTTTTAACAAGCACTCTGTGTAATTGTCACAGTGCCAGAGTTTGAGAAGAATTGATCTAGAAAGTTCTAAGAAGCAGAGCAAAACATATGCCTTTTCATTCTATGTTTAGCTATAAATCTTTGTCACATGTGTGCTATGAAACACGGCAAGGTGTTAGCAAAGAAAAATATGAACCCCCAAGAGATCATGACCCTATAATATGTTTTTCCCTAAAGGAAATTCTGGCAACCGGCCTCTAGAAGCACTGGCAGAGCTCTGGTTGAACTACTGCATTCCCCTGATGCTCAAGAACCCCACACTTCCTCACCGTTGTGTAAGGGACCCTGAAGAACAGCAGCTGCTCAGTGAGGCTCCTGCAGGATCCCAGGGCTTCCCAGAGCCCCCAGGTTCATCATTCCATTGCAGGCTAGCTGGTGCTTCTCCCTCCTACACTGAGCTATCTCTTGTTCCTCACCCCTCCGCACCCCCACGCACTCCTCGCCCCGACACGCACTCACAGCGCACCAGGAAGCAGAGCGTATCGACAGCCATTTTTCTCCTGTCTGGGCTCTGCCATGTGGATGATAAAGGCAGTCCTGGCCTCTGCTGGAGACTCCATGGCTAATTAGATCCAGATGTGGCTTAATTAGTCCGTCGGCAGGAGGGCTGTCCGGCCTGGCCGGCACCTGAGCCCTTCCTGACGCAGTCCCAGGACCCTGCGGCTGGGGAGGGGCACGTGTCATGCCCTGTCCCCGCTCCCATCCATGGAGGAACCCATTGACTCAATGTGTCTTCTAAAGCCTCCCAAGAAGGCGTGTCCCCAGGGGCCCTGCTCAGTTCTCTGGAAACCCTCAGGCAGGGTGGGTCTGCGCTGGGACCTCAGGGGCACATTCCCTTCTCCGGGGCTCCTTCTGGAGTGAAAGAGGCTGTATTTTCCTTACAGCCTCCTGGATCAGTTGTTGTCAAGCTCATGGGCCATGAGAGGAGAGGGCTTATTCATACTCAGCTTGCCAAGCTCCACCCCCAGAGTCTGTGGTGCAGGGGGTCTGGGGTGAGCCCCGGAATCTGCATTTCTACCAAGTTCCGCAGTGACACTGATGCTGCCAGTCCAGCCTCACTCTGGGAACCTCTGCTCTGGATGAGTGCAAGGTCTCAAGCTTGACAGCCCAGGAGAACCGTCTCAGAGGCTTCAGCGTTCTAAGGCCTTCCACCCTCCTCCCAGGAAATGAATACAGGGTGGACTTTGGGGGCCTCAGCAGCCATTTCCTCTTCTAAGTAGGGGAACAGCAGCACTGCAGACAGGGGTGGACCAAACTGTCAGGGGCTCCCATGATGCCCCAGGACTTGCCACCATTTGGGTGGGCCTTATCCATCCCATTTTGCGGATGAGAAAACTGAAGCCCAAAAACCTCCAGAAGCCAGGTGCAGTGGCACACACCTGTAATCCCAGCACTTTAGGAGGCTGAGGCAAGAGGATAACTTGAGCCCAGGAGGCTGAGGCTGCAGTGAGCTATGATCACACCCCTACACTCCAGCTTGGGCAGCAGAGCAAGACTCTGTCTCAAAATAAAAGCTCCAGAGATTCACTTGGGGTTACTCTTATTTAGGGACTGTCTGATCCCAAATTTATGCTGTTCCATCAAGTCCTGCAGCCTCCACTGGACTCTGCAGCTTCCATTCGTCTCACCTTGCCCAGGTCTTGGAGACTGCTCTTCCCAGAAGTGGGGCCTGAGGCTGTGGCTGGGAAACCCAGGAGGTAACCTGGCCCTGCCCCAGAGATGATCGCTTCTTATTCCCACAGAGTCCAAGACAGTGATCCTCGTGATCCAGGGGCCCTCGTCCAATGGTGATGAGGACCCATGATCCTTCCAGCTGCTGGCTCTGCCTCTCCAACCAGGGACTTCAGAGCAATGCACGCACCTGCACCAGGCAGGCCAGGAGTCAACAGCAGGGAGGCAGTGAGAGGCTTTGCAGCGGCATCACTCCCACTCATGTTCCATCACACCCTGGCTTGTGGCCTCACCTGAGTACAGGGGCTGCTGGAAAATGTGCTCCAGCTGGGCCCAAGGAGGGGAAAGAGGCTTGTGAATGGCCAGCCAGTCACCACCACCTCTGAGACTGAACATAATGTGGCAGGGGGACTCCACTCCGAGGGATTTACCCAAAAGAAATGCAGACATTGCTGCAAAAGACACGTTCACAGAATGTTCACAACAGCCTTATTCCTAACCGCCCTCCAGCTGGAGGCAACCCAAACGTCCTCTACAGATGAATGGAGAAACAAAGGGTGGTGCATGTGAACAATGCAGCACTACTCGGCAACAACAACCAAAAAAAGGTAAATCAATGACTGATAGCAGCGGCAGCAAGGAAAAACCTCGGAAACATCACCCTGGGTGAAAGAAACCAGAAACAAATGGGCACATGCATGTGATCCCATGACACGGCATTCCAAAACCACCCTCAAGTGGCAGAAAGCAGATTGCGGGTGCCTGAGGCCAGGGTGGGGAGGGGGTGGCCTGCAAAGCAGAGGGAGGATGGAGATGCCCCAGGTCCCCCTTGGGTGACAGTTACATGGGTGTGTACATTCATCAAAGCTCAGCAAACTGTACACCTCAAGTGGGGGCATTGTACTGGAGGTAAATTATTCCTCAATAAAGTTGGATTACAAAGTACACACACGTGTATGCAATTATGTATATAGGTAGATGCATATGCATATGTATGTGTATATATGTATGCCTTTGTAGGTACATGGCTTCATGGATAACCACGTCCATATTTTAAACCCCACATCATGGGACGCTGTCTGGTGAATACCCTCATCTGCGGTAAATGCCGCATCTTACGCAGTTCTGGAGTGAGATAAAATGGATTTAAACTTTCTCAGATAGAGGTAGTCAGTGGAGTTTCTCAAAACTCAGCCAGAGCAGGAGCGGTGTCCCCGTGCCCGTGCATCTCCTGAGCAGCTCTTTGTGACATGGAATGGGGCTCACCAATGCCTTTCAGGGCCTGCTGACCCTAACACTGCTCCTTTCCACCGGCCGATCCTGTCCACCCGCTGCCTAGGCCTCCAACACAGGACACGGGCACCTCAGCTCCATCCTCCTCCATGTCCCAGGCCCTGCTCTCCCCTCCTCACCTTGGACCTCTTCTTTTCCAAGTCCACCTTCTTCCTGACCCTTGAATTTGTCTCTATTATTTTCCCCTTAATCTTGACACCCACACTTGATATTTATTATCAGTTTTAACTTATCACAATAAATATACTCTTTTTTATCTGTTAGAAAAACAAATGTAACCCTGCCTTTTTGGGGACAAAAATTTCATTGCAGAAAAAAATGGCAAGACACCTCTAGAAGCACTGTCAGAGCTTCGATTAAAATGCTGCATTCCCTTAATGCTCAAATGAAACAGAAAGCAAGAGAATACACTAAGTATAATGTTTCTAAGAGAATTCATTCTCAGATCCATGCCACTAAAATTGTAGCAAGAAGGTATGTTTACATTGAATTACCTAATGTATGCCTATGGTACAGCCAAAAGAGATGCATACACATCAATGGCTATTGTTGAATTGTAAATATAAACACATTTGCATACTTCTGTCTTTATAATCCTTCCACCTCTCTGCTGCTCACCTAATGAACAAGCCTTGATATACACTGCTCAGAGGCAGCTTAGCAGTTCCACGTCTAAGATGCATCTTTTCTATCAATTATAACAAAAAGATGTTTACAAGTTGGCTAATTCACTAGCTCCACCTTTTTTTTTTTTTTTTTTTTTTTTTTTTTTTGAGAAGGAGTCTCACTCTGTCGCCCAGGCTGGAGTGCAGTGGAGCTATCTTGGCTCACTGCAAGCTCCGCCTCCTGGGTTCACGCCATTCTCCTGCCTCAACCTCCCCAGTAGCTGGGACTACAGGCGCCCGCCACCACGCCCGGCTAATTTTTTGTATTTTTAGTAGAGACGGGTTCCACCGTGTTAGCCAGGATGGTCTTGATCTCCTGACCTCGTGATCCGCCCAGCTCAGCCTCCCAAAGTGCTGGGATTACAGGCGTGAGCCACCACGCCCGGCCCACTAGCTCCACTTTTTATCATACCTTGTCACCTTGAGGCATCTATAATGCTTAGATGTTGTAAAATAATGAACTTTGTCCATAATAAACACAGGCACTTTATTGAAAATGCACACAAAGACTTGCAGTTTTCATTTAAAACCACCTTAGAGCCATGGAGAGGCTAGTAAGGAGCCCTTCCCTCCACCCTTCCTCTTTTCCCTCTTCCACCATCCCAGTGGCTAAGTGCAGGACTACATTCAGTTCCAAGAGGTGGATTAACAAAGGTCTCTCCCAGAAGACAGGCCTTCCTAAAAACTAACAAAAGGACGTTTATAGGTTGGTCACAGTGGCTCATGTAATCCCAACACTTTGGGAGGCTGAGGTGGGTGGATCGCTTGAGGTCAGGAGTTGGAGGCCATCCTGGCCAACACAGAGAAACCCCGTCTCGATAAAAATACAAAAATTAGCCAGGCGTGGTGGCACCTGCCTATAGTCTCAGCTACTTGGGAGGCTGAGGCAGGAGAATCGCTTGAACCCAGGAGGCGGAGGCTACAGTGAGCTGACATCACGCCACCGCACTCCAGCCTGGGTGACAGAGCGAGACTCCATCTCAAAAAAAAAACAAAAACAGACATTTATAAAGGGATTATTTTAACACACTTTGAGCATTAGGACTTGTTTATCTTTTAATACACAACAATGTTCACTAAAATGCACATACAGAACAATGGTGAGACCGTCTGAACTAGTCTAACTCATGAGCACAGAACCCTTCTCTCTGCCTGCTTCCTCCTCCCCGCACCTGCCACCACCCAGGGAACAGCATACTCTCCTAAACATCAAGTTTAACAACTTCATTCCCAAATGCAACCACTCTTATGAAAATTTAAAAAAAAATGCATAAAGGGTGTACTTTAGCCCTCTGCTTTTAACATATATTGTGTACCTTTAAACATCTGGAAAGAGTGGGTGTTTCAAACAGGACTTAAGTTTTCTACTATCTACACAGCAGCATTGAATAAATGGTGCATATACACCACACAGGCTATGATTTGAAAGTGTCTTCTGAACAGGAACATTCTGGCCTAGAACCCTTCCCCTTCCCAGCTCTATCAAACACAATGGACAGGTAGAAACATCCATAATGCTTAGAAGAGTTTTGTCTTTTGCTTGTTTGTTTTGTTTTTTTCTGAGACGGAGTCTTGCTCTGTCGCCAGGCTGGAGTGCAGTGGTGCAATCTCAGCTCACTGCAACGTCCGCTTCCCGTGTTCGAGCAATTTTCCTGCCTCAGCCTCCCGAGTAGCTGCAACTACAGGCACGCACCACCATGCCCAGCTAAGTTTTGTATTTTTAGTAGAGGCGGGGTTTCACCATGTTGGCCAGCACGGTCTCGATCTCTTGACCTCATGATCTGCCCACCTCAGCCTACCAAAGTGCTGGGATTACATGCGTGAGCCACTGTGCCTGGCCTAGAGGAGATTTTAACAATTTCACTTCCATAAGTGTTTTTAAGAACAGTCTTTCCTGTGAATTTCAACACAAAGTGCGATCAGCGTATGAGTTTACTAACTCCACGTTTATCACACACTGGCAACCTCTTTAACATCAAGAAGGACCAGCTGTTGTAAATTAGGACTCGCTTGTCCTTTACATGCACCACGTACCCAGCACTGTAAAAGAAGATGCACAGACAGGCAGGACAACACTCACTCATGCCTCCCATAAATGCAGTGGGGCAAAGCCCTTGCACTTTCTTCTCCTCCTCCCACCCCGAACCAGCGTGAAGATAATCATGTGTACTGCTCAGAGAAGTGGTTTGATCGATTTTCAAAAGACAGTGTTTCATATGAATCTTAACAAAAGGACATCTACAAATTGTGTTATTCACTACCTCTATTTTTAACATACTTTGTGCACTTTTAAACATCTAGAAAGACAGGATGTTTCAAATAAGGACTTCAGGTTGTCCACTATTTACACAGTTGTATAAAGTGTCTTCTAAACAGGAACATTCTGGTCTAGAAACTTTCATTTCTTGCAACTCCTCTCCACCAAAAACCCAGTGGCTGCTGGCATGCGTGTCACTGAGAGCAGAACATCACACTGCCTGAGAGCTCACGATGTCCCAGGCACTCTTCCCAGGGCTTTATATATGACAGTACCTTTAATCTTTACAGCTGCTTTTTTTTTTCTTTTTTTTTTTTAAGATGGAGTCTCACTCTGCCGTCCAGGCTGGAGTGGCAGTGGCTGTATCTCGGCTCACTGCTACCTCTGCCTCCCACTGGGTTCACGCAATTCTTCTGCCTCAGCCTCCTGAGTAGCTGGGATTACAGGCGCGTGCCATCACACCCGACTAATGTTTGTATTTTTAGTAGAGACAGGGTTTCACCATGTTGGCCAGGATGATCTCAATCTCTTGACCTCATGATCCGCCCACCTCGGCCTCCCAAAGTGCTGGGATAACAGGCCTGAGCCACCACGCCCGGCCTATAGCTGCCTTCTGAACTCCCGTTTGCAGACGAGGAAACTGAGGCAGGGGGAAGTTAGGTAACTTGCCCAGGGTCACCAGCTAAGAGGTGGCAGGGCTGGGCCTCAGGGACAGGACAAAACCAACAGCCATTCCACCACCATCCCCTAGGGATTATTCTACCCATAGCATCTCAATTTTCACCAAAACCTGTGACATAAATCCTATTATTATCCTCACGTTGCTGATGAGAAAGCTGTGACTCGTAAATGTGAAGTGACTTGGCTGTGGTCACACTGCTAGTTGGAAGAGGAGATGAGATTTGAACTTGTTGACTCTGAAGCCCTGTCCATGTCCTTCAGTGTGACCTGCTCCTGCCCCTCCCCTCTCCCTCCCAGTGCCTCAGGACAGCTACTGCCCCAGCTATGGTACCCAGGGCCCAGACCCTAACACCCACCCACTAGGCCAGCATCCTTCCTAAGCCCTCCTGGGCTTCCTACAGATTGGTGCCTGGAGATACCCACCGCTGCCCACTTCATCTACAGAGCTCTTTGAGGTGGATGGCCAGGTTATACCATGTGATGGGCCCTGTCCTCACCTAGCAGGCAAAAATTCTAAGTCATGGGTAGCCAGAAACGTAGTCTGCCTGGCCAGAAGAGATGTGCAGGACCAATCACATGAATCTGGAATCGAGATCCCTGGAGACAGGTGAAAGACCCAGGATGTATAGGGTGATGCTTTGCCTGTTAGCCTCACCCTACTGGGTTCTAAGGACAGCTTGTCCTCGACTGTATGAACCTGCTTCTAGCAGGCACCACTCGGTCTCTCATGACACCACCCTTTGGCCAGAGATGACTGGACCAAGGGTGGAAACCTGACCTCCACCAGCCAATCATGAAGCACTGCCACCCTGGCCAGAACAGATGGGTTCAAGGCCGGGTCCCCAGCCATGCTGGGCCAATTGGAACCTTCCCCTGGGTTTTCTCTGAACCAAAAATGAGGGTGAGGCTCTATCCCTCTCTACCAGAGACAACTTTTGCACACAGGTTGGGAATAGCTGGCGGCTGACTATCCTGCCACAAGGAGGGCAGTCCACGGGGCCAGCACACTGATGTGGAAAGACCCAGAAGTGAGAGACATGGGGGCGGTGGCCTGCTGGTACTCAGCTCCAGCTGTTCCTCAAGGCACTCTTTGCCCTTCCCTTGCCTCCTGTAGTTTGATAGTTCAATCACAGGAGAGCTTCCAGCACCCCTGCCACCAACACCTGACTAGTTCAGGGTGGTTGCGTTGGCCATTTGCAGGATGAAGCAGAAATCATGAGCAAACAAAAGACATCACTCAGCCAAGAGGAGAGGACAGGGCCAAGGTCCCAGGACCAGAGGGGCCACATGACCCCAAGAAAGAGACATCACTCCCACAGAGGCCCCAGCAGCTCCTGGTGAGTAATGAGCCCAGTTCCAGCTCCATGAGGCCTGCCTGGCCTATAGTTTCTGCCTTTAGACTTTCATAAGCCTAATGGGCACTGTCATGAGCCTCCTCTTCTACTCTTCTATGAAGCTCCTGTGTGATCCCATGAGCCTCCTCTGCACTCCCATCAGCCTCCTCTGCTTTCCCATGAGCCTCCTCTGCACTCCCATGAGCCTCCTCTGCTCTCCCATGAGCCTCCTCTGCACTCCCATGAGCCTCCTCTGCCCTCCCATGAGCCTCTTCTGCACTCCCATGAGCCTTCTCTGTGATCCCAATTTTTTTCTGTTTTGAGAGGAGGCAATAGAAAAGAAGGAGAAGCCAAGTGAAGAGGCAAAGGCTACTTCCAGTGGCCTGTCTCATAAAAATGGTGCAGCAGCCCCAGCGAGGCCCAAGGTCTACCAGAAGTGTGTCATCCACCCAACAATGGGGGAACATCTGGGAAGGCCTCCTGCACAAGCGGGTGAATCACGTGGTTATCAAGAACTCATTGGACATGTGTAGGTGTGGTTTATCCACATAAACCATGGAAGTGGAGCTAGCACGCAAAGGACACTGTTTCCCGGATGATTCTGGACACAGATCTGCCAAAGTCCCCATCTATTTTGGTCCTAGAAAGCGAAATCTGGCTCATTGTGGAAGCACAGCTTAGAAGCTCCCAGGTGTTCCCAGGCAGCGGCAGCAGCCAGCCGTGAGAACAGTTTGGAACTCCTTGCACGCAGCCACCCCAGCAAGTCTTCTCTGAGGCTCGGTGTCAGCCTGAGGCCAGCTACAGAGCTCAGAGCTGATACCAGGTCCCAGCCTGGAGCCAGGGGAGCTGTGTCCTCAGCAGTAGCCACCATGATGTCCGAGCCTGCAGACAGCTTTGTGGAATCACAGCCTGCATTTGCTTCCCAGAGCTGCTGTAACAGAGCACCATGAACATTGTAGCTTAAAAGAGCAATTTGTTCTTTTACATTTCTGGAGGCCAAAAGCCTGGAATCCAGGTGTCGCCAGGACAGTACTCCCTCCAGAGGCTGTAGGGGAGGATCTTTCCTCGCCCCTTCCTTCTCGGTGGCTATTAGCATTACTTGACTTACGGCTGCATCTGCTTTGTGATCATGTGGCTTTCTCCTCTTCTCTGTCTTTTCCTCTTTGTGCCTCTTGTAAGGACACTTGTCACTGGGTTTAGGGCCCACCTAGGTAATATGGAATCAGCGCCGGTCTTAAGATCATTAACTTAATTATATCTTTTGTCATGTAAGGTAGTAGACACTCCTTTGTCATGGAAGGTAATACGCATGGGCTCCAGAGTTTAGGATGTGGTCATATCCTTGGGGGCTTAGGTGGCACCATTCAACCCTACTACACAGCCTTAGAGTTTTTTTTTAAAAAAAAACTGGGCAAGACCTTAGAGAGGGCTTCCTCCACGTCCTTCCCATTTACAAATTGGAAACTGGAATGCAAAACAGTGATTTCTAAAATAAGCTGGTACACAAAATCAGAATGTACATAAAATAGAGGGCTGGGACAGGCACCCGAATTAGAGCATCTCTGAGAGGAAGAGACCAACAAGAACACCAACAGTACTAGTAGTCATAGCAGTAGTAGTCATGGTGGTAGTAGCAGTAGTAATGGTGGTAGTAGTAGTAGTAACAGTGGTAGTAGTAGTCATGGTAGTAGTAGTAATGGTGGTAGTAGTAGTAGTAGCAGTAGTAGTAACAGTGGTGGTAGTAGTAGTAGTAATGGTAATAGTAGCAGTAATAGTAATGGTAATAATAGCAGCAGTAGTAATGGTGGCAGTAGTAGTAGTAATGGTGGTAGTAGTAGTAGTAATGGTGGTAGTAGCAGTAACAGTAGTAGTAATGGTAGTAGTAATGGTGGCAGTAGTAGTAATGGTAGTCGTAGCAGTAGTGGTAATAGTGGTAGTAGTAGTCATAGTAGTAGTAGTAATGATAATAGTAGCAGCAGTAGTAATGGTGGTAGTAATAGTAGTAATGGTAGTAGTAGCAGTAACAGTAGTAGTAATGGTGGTAGTAGTAGTAATGGTGGTAGTAGTAATGGTGGTGGTAGTAGTAGTAATGGTAGTAGCAGTAGTAGTAACAGTGGTAGTAGTAGTCGTAGTAGTAATGGTAATAGTAGCAGTAGTAGTAATGGTAATAGTAGCAATAGTAGTAATGGTAATAGTAGCAGCAGTAGTAATGGTGGTAGTAATGGTAGTAGTAGCGGTAACAGTAGTAGTAGTAATGGTAGTAGTAACAGTAGTAGTAATGGTGGTAGTAGTAATAGTAATGGTAGTAGTAGCAGTAGTAGTAATGGCGGTAGTAGTAGTAATGGGAGTAGCAGCAGTAACAGTAGTAGTAGTCATAGTAGTAGTAATGGTGGTAGTAGTAGTCATAGTAGTAGTAGTAATGGTAGTAGTAGTAGTAATGGTAGTAGCAAAAGTGGTAGTAGTAGTAGTAATGGTAATAGTAGCAGCAGTAGTAATGGTGGTAGTAGTCGTAGTAATGGTAGTAGTAGCAGTAGTAGTAATGGTGGTGGTAGTAGTAATGGGAGTAGCAGCAGTAACAGTACTAGTAGTAGTAATGGTAGTAGTAGCAGTAGTAGTAATGGTGGTAGTAGTAGTAATGGGAGTAGCAGCAGTAACAGTAGTAGTAGTAGTAGTAATGGTAGTAGTAGCAGTAGTAGTAATGGTGGTAGTAGTAGTAATGGGAGTAGCAGCAGTAACAGTAGTAGTAGTAGTAGTAACGGTAGTAGTAACAATTCCTCCAGTATTTATTGAGCATTTTTTATGTGCCAGGCACTATACCAAGTACTGGGGACACATTAGTAGACAAAAAGTCTCCACCTTCATGGAATTCACTTTCCAGCTGGAGGAAAACAGACACTCGATGAAACTCACTGTATGTTAGATAGACAAGCGTTACGAAGAAAAAAAAATCAGGGAGGGAGGATAAGACGTGTCAGAAGAGGGATGCTGACAGTGTTTAGAGACAGTGGCCAGGGAAGACCTCACCGACAGAAACCCTGAAGGAAGGGAGGCAGGAGCGCTCAGATCGCTGAGCACAGCATTTGAGGCAGAGGGAACACAGCATGCACAGCCCCGGCAGACGTGTGCCAGGCACGTGGGTGGGTCAGCCAGGCCCGTGCTGGAGCGGTGAGGAGGCAGTGAGAGATGGAGAGACAGGGTCTCTGCCGTCCCAGGCAAGGGCAGGCAGGAGACAGTTTCGCAAGGACCTGGAAGCCGTGGTAAGCTTGTCGGCTTTACTTCAGATGAGCTGGGAACCCCTGGGAGGGTAGAATCGATGCGTTGTGAGCACCCTGGCTGATGTTGGCGGGGGGACTGTGGGGATAAACACACAGAGGGAGCCCAGTTAGCAGGATTCCAGTGAGGAATTGGTGCCCCACAAGAGGTCACCAGGGAATTGGGAGAGGAAATTGGATTCTGGGTATATTGTGAAGGCAGAGCCGATAGGATCTGCAACAGACTGAAAGTGGCCTGACAAAGGAAAGATACAAGGTAGACCTCAGGGTGTTTGGCCTGAGCAACTGGAAGGAGAATAATCAGTTATTCTTTCTTTGATATCCAGCTGGTAACAAAACAGTAAAGGCCCTGGGTGGACTGTACAGCCCAGTATGGGGGGAACTCTTTAAAAACATTAGTGCAGATATGAAAAATGCGTATAAATGATAAAAGTGCTATGCAAGACAAAAGGAAAACGTGCACCCCATAAAAGTGCTTGCTCGAGGTGGGCAGGGGCACCTCGCCATTCTCTGCTGTGTCCCTAGTATCTAGGAAGCACCCAGTAACAGAGCAGCCCGTGCAAAAGAACCATTTGTTAGAACACAAATGAAAATGGACAAGGCAGGTCACAGTTAGTGAACTCTTAGTGTGTGGCAGGCACTGTGCAAAGTACTTTCATGTGTGACGTCTCAGATGATCTTCACAACAACCTTTGAGGTAAGTCCTGGCGGTACCCACATCTCATTGATCAGAAAATGGAGTCCCAGAGAGGCTAAAAACTTACGCAAGGTCAACAAGCAGGTAAGAAGCAAAGATGGGATTTGAACCCAGGCAATCTGGCTACAGAGACCTTGCTCTTCACAGTCACAGAATTCTGCCTCCAGTTAACCTTGCTGATCCAGCTGTGGGTCCACTCAATCATCCTCCAGCCAGCCAGCCCTCTACCTACACATTCATCCACTCATCCATCCACCCATCCACCCATCCACCCATCCGCCAAGCCATTCAAACTACCATCCGCTCACCCAACCATCCACCATCCACCAAACAGCACTTATTAAACACCAGCTGTGTGCCAGGCAATGGAGATAGAATAATGAGCAGACCACACAGGCTCCTCACGCTCCTGGCGGTGCCAGTCTGAAAGAGGGGCTGACAGGAAAGTGGAAGCTTGGAGGGTGAGTGGGTGAGCCATGGAGTAAACAGAGACACATCTGTTAGCCGGTGGAATTGTCTCCACCTGGAATGAACTGTCCTTGCATGTGGAAGCCAGAGCCTGGCCTGGAGTAGCTGAGAACCCGCTCAAAAGTTCTGCTGTGGGCCAGGCACAGTGGCTCACGCCTGTAATCCCTGCACTTTGGGAGGCCAAGGTGGGAGGATCACGAGGTCAAGAGATCGAGACCATCCTGGCTAACACAGTGAAACCCCATCTCTACATGGGGTTTCAAAATACAAAATACAAATTTCAAAATACAAAAAATTTCAAAATACAAAATACAAAAAAATTAGCCGGGCGTGGTGGCGGGCACCTGTAGTCCCAGCTACTGGGGAGGCTGAGGCAGGAGAATGGCATTAACCCAGGAGGCGGAGCTTGCAGTGAGCCAAGATCGCGCCACTGCACTCCAGCCTGGGCGAAAGAGCGAGATTTCCGTCTCAAAAAAAAAAAAAAAAAAGTTCTGCTGTGACATGGCTGACCCAGGAGGAAAATTGTGAAATTGTGCAGCTTGTTCACAAAGTCTCTCTATTTGGAAACTTCCAGCACCCACAATGGGGTCTATCACGCTATCCTCTGAATGCCAGAGCCTCCCACTCATGCTTCCTGAGCTCCAGAATGTTCTCTCCCTCATAGCCTGCTTGTCCTCTGCCTGAGAATCTCGAGTCCCTGCCTGTGCTAAAGGACACACTGGGTGCTAATAACTTGAGCAGATAACTCTAGGCCCTGTTAATATGCGAATGAAATCATCTTGTTAGGGGAGCAGGAGGATAAAAGGCTCTATTCTGAAGAAGCATTTGAAGGAGGTGTATCCAATGGTGGCATTGCTGGCACTGTGCTGGACAGCCTTTGCTTGACCACCAATCTTCATTCCTCCTGTTTCTGGGGTTAGACTCTCAATTTCCTTTTGGAAACTATCCCTATACCATTCTCAGTCCACAAGATTCAGGTGGCTGATGACAACACCTCCCAGTTTCAGGGGTGAACACGGGACCTAGGCCCAGACAAAAAAAGTCACATTGATTGGCTCAGAGATGGCACATGACCAAGCCAGTAAGAGTCAACCCCAGGACATTCCTCGAACAACGGATAATGAACAGGCTCTTCACACTGGCATTACTAAACGGATAGTGTGGAAGTCGAGTTGCCAGAGGCAAGCCCTTGGAGAAAAACTCCCTGAAAATGAAACCAACCTACAGCAAAATGGAACCAAGGGAAGGGAGAGGGCAGATTTTTACAACAGGATCTGAGCACCTGGATCCCACCATGCCTGAACTCCAAGGATGGGGTCCTTGTATTATATATTTTTCCATAGATGTAAAGTCATTCTGTCACTTAAAACTGAATGAATCCTGACTAGTATGACGTCAGAGGAGTCAGACAGGACCACATATAGGGCTATTCCTGTAGGGACACTTCCTCCAAGAAGGTCCCCTGACTCCATCTTCTCCTCTCTCAGGTAGATGTAAAGCCTCTCCCTGCCGTTTCAAGTGCCCCTGAGCTTCTCTAAACCTTTACTGGGCACTTCAGACTTAGGTATTATCAGGGGGTCACCTCCTCTGATAGAGTGTGAACTTCTGGGGGATAGAGAAAGAATGGAGGAGTCTGGAGAGATGTGCCCCTGAGAAGGGCACTTCCCGCTCTCAGGCTCTGTTTCCTCACCTGTTAAGGGTGGCCAAAAATATCAGCAATAAAAGCACCGTACAGTGTCACTGGAGGACTCAGTGGCTGCTGCAGGGAGCCCTGCAGAGTTCGCCTGCAGCCCTGAACATGCAATAGGTGAAAAGAAGGAGGGCTAGGCCCTAGGAAGTAACCCCACAGTGATTCAATAATTATCTTTATACTTCAAAACCATAGGGCCCCTCACTTTTTCAATAAAGCCGTTAGCTTGTCATTATATTTTGAAATGAGTGAAATTAGGCAATGTACTGTACATAGGCCAGCTTCCCCTCCCAATGTCAAGAGAAGAAAGAAAGACAGAGAGAGAAGTCAGGAAGGATATAACCAAAGTGTTAATGGTGAATTAATTATTTCTGGATGGTGGGATTTCAGATTACTTTAATCCTTTTTGTTTAGCATTTTATCAATTTCATATCATGATGATACATTCCTTTTCTAATCACATCAAAATTAATTTTATTTTAGAGGAAAGAATGAATTGAAAACAGAAATAACTTGGACTTCAAAGTTGGCAGGAGAGAATGAGTTGGCCACTGACATAATAGAAGCAAGGTGGAGGGGATTTTCCAGGGGAGGAACACTAACTTGCTGGTGTTATTGTTGTTGTTGGGAATTTCAGTCCATTGAACTTTATCTAAAATGGCGGTGAACGTGGGTTTTTGGTTTGAGTTGTTTTGTTTTGTTTTGTTTTGGCTAAGTCTGTAAAGAAAGTAGGCTGCTAAAGCCCAGTGCAGCTTGGAAAACAGAAATAGACAAGGTGCCTGAACTAAGAATATCAGAGTTTTCAAATGATAGAGGCTGCTGATGTAGATTACAGATGCTGAGCCTGAAGAGACAAAGCTCTCCACACCCATCCTCATGCAGACATCACTAATTGATTGCTGCATTCCTTCCAGTGAGCCCAGGCAAATCTTCATGATGTTTCTCAAGGAGCCACTCCCACCAATGGAGTCAGCACTGAGTTCGCATGCAGGATGAGACCCTAAGCCTCAGGGAGAGCACCAGACTTGAGCAGCAAGTGCTCAGCTGAGGTGAGGTGAGAACATCAGAGCAAGTAGATGTGTTTCATGCACCAGTGCAGACGGTCTCGGGTTCAAGCCTGCATCGAATTACCTAAGAGTTTGTACACAGATTGCTGGGCCCACACCAAAGTTACTGATTTTGCAGTCCTGGGATTGGGCCTGAGAATCTGCACTTCCAACAAGCTCCCAGGGGATGTAGATCCTGCTGGTCTGGGACCTCACTTTGAGAATCAATAGATTAGAGTAACAAGATCAAGAATTAGTAACAAGACTTTGCGATTGAGGTTAATTAGAGACCAGTGATTCTCATCATTAACTGTGCATTCATATCACCCAGGGAATCTACAAAATAAACTGATCTGACTCTCCACCAACCCACCCTGAGATTCAACTTTAGTTGGTTTGTTGTGGGGTCACATATTTTTAAAAATCTTCCCAAGTAATTCAAATATGCAACTAGAGTTGAAAGCCACTGCTATAGACCATTGCAAAGTATTAGATTTCTATTTCCCTTACCCCTTGCTCCTTCTGTTTTTGGTATAAATTAGTTATAATTGTTCATGGCTATGACTTCAGCTCCTAAGACAGAGCTTGGTCGTGGGCATTTAGTAATTACTGGCTGAATGACTCAATTTCCATGATGAACGATACAGGAGTCCTAATATGGATTTAACAGGAATTACAGAATCTAATAGGGACTACTAAACATAAAGTTTGAAGAAGGAATAAATAAATAAATAGTTGAGTAAATCTGCAACATGCTGTTTGGTGCAAGAACAGTGTGGATAATTCAGCCATGTTGAACCTCTAATATGTTGTAAAAGGAAAAAGGAAGCAGAGAGATAAAGGAAGGAAGGGAGGAGAGGGGAAGGAAGGAAGGAAGGAAAGAAGGAAGAAAGGCAGGCAGGCAGCAAGGAAGGAAGGAAGGAAAGAAAGGAAGGAAGGAAGGAAGGGGAAGGAAGGAAGAAAGGAGAGGACCCCTAATATGTTGTAAAAGGAAAAAGAAAGGGGAGAGAGAAAAGGAGGATGGAAAAAAGGAGAGGGAGAGGAAGGAAGGAAGGAAGGAGGAAAAGAGAGAGGGAGGGAGGAAGGAAGGAAGAAAAAGAGGAAGAGAGGGAGGGAGGGAGGGAGGAAGGAAGAGCATCTCCAGCTGAACTTTAAAGTTGATGTCATAGAGCTATGTGCTGATCCCCCAGCTGAAATGCCCTCCCCACCTCTGTAACATCCATCTCGACAAAACGAACTCATCCTCCTGCCTTCTCTTCCTCAGTGTAGCTGCCTCTTTCCCTAGCCCTGTGCCCAGCCCTGCGATGTCCCCACTCCCATCTCTCCCTGTCTAGTCCTCGCCGCCAGGTCATGTCATGGGTATCACTTTCAGCCTCTCACAGATGGGGAAAATGAAGTTCCCCAAGGCGCAACTTGGCAAAGCTAGGATTTGAACGCGTGCTGGTTTGATGCCAAAGCCCAAGCTCTTTCCAAAAACCCAAGACAAAGGGAGTGCTGCCTCCACACAGGGCCAGAATTCTGGAAACCCAAGCCCTTGGTCTGAGAATGGAACCTGTGTCAAGGGCCCCAGCCGTGATATCATTGTCCCTGGCTCCTGGGGGAAATGGATCGGGGGCCCCAGCTGTGACGTCATTGTTCCTGGCTCCTGGGGGAAATGGGTCGGGGGCCCCAGTCGTGACGTCATTGTTCCTGGCTCCTGGGGGAAATGGATCGGGGGCCCCAGCCGTGACGTCATTGTTCCTGGCTCCTGGGGGAAATGGATCGGGGGCCTGAGCTTTGGGCAGCGTGGATGGGAACCTGCTGTCGGCTCTATGCGGACTTAGCCACAACCCCAGGCCTCCCTGTGATGTTTTGATGACCCCCCTGGGATCCAGAGTGCTGAGGCTGCTGGATGTGGAACTCTGCACCGGGAGAGATGAGCCCTGTGTGTGCTGCTTCCTGGCCTCACCCTGTAGGTTACCTGCGGTCCGGGACTATTGTGGGAACCCAAATCCAAGGAGCTGGAGGACAGGGTCAAGAACCCCTGGGAGTGTACCCAGCCCCAGCCCGAGGAGGCAGGACTAGGGGGCTGGAAGTGCCCCAGTCTAGCCTGAGGCCACACATGATTGCAGGGCTATTTTTTAAAAGATACCAATCTTCACACAGGGGCCTGGGCATAGCAGGCCCCCCCTCCCATGGGGCGTTTCTGCAGCGGAGGAGAAGGGGGCTGCTCCTTCCCAATCAGTTCCTGGGATTGAGTCGTCTTTCTCTAAATAAGTAAATTAGCTCTAATACCCTTATTTGCTATCAACCTTAGAAACCTAATGCAAACCAGATGGGCCCCGCTTCCCGAACCCCCCACGCTGTATGGCCCAGCCTCCCCGGGCCTGCCTGTGGCTAACTGGCTTCCTCAGCCCCGCGCTCCTCCCTCCCACTCCCATGTAAACAGTCCCTCAGTAACGAAGGGGCCTTTGGATTGCTTCCCATGCAACAGGCTTCCTGGGCAACTCCCAGGCCTTCTCAGGAGGCCCACACTCAGGAGCTAAACAGGGATGGCTCATTTCCAGGGTCAGGCCCAGTGCCACCCTTTTTCTGTTTCCCTATCCCATAATTTACTATCTTATAATTAAAAAGCCCTTATAATTTTTCTTCTTTATTATCAAAAGTGATGTTTCTGTTTCAGAAACTTTACAAAAGACAGAGATATAAAAAGAAGAAAACGTAAAATCACCTATAGTCTTCCCACGGAGACAGTAAATATTCTGGGCCTCCCAAACTTTGATCTGGAGCAGAGGTTAGCCAACTTTTTCTGTAAAAGGCCAGGTAGTAAGCGTTGTGGACTTTGTGAGCAGTCTCTTGGAACTGCTGAATTCTGCTGTCGTAGTTCAAAAACAGCTATAGACACTATGTCAACAAATGGATGTAACTGTGTACCAATAACATTTTATTGACAAGACAATGGGCATTGGCCATGTTTGTTTCATGAGCTATCATTTCCTGACTTCTAGTCTAGAGCAGGGCTGTGCAGGAGAAACAAAGTCTGCTCAGGTGTGGTGGTTCATGTCTAATCCCATCACTGTGGGAGGCTGAGTCTGGCAGATGGCTTGAGTCCAGGAGTTTGAGACCAGCCTGGGCAATATAGCAAAACTCCATTGCTACTAAAAATACAAAAACTTAGCCAAGCATGGTGGCATGCACCTGTAGTCCTAGCTACTTGGGAGGCCAAAGTGGGAGGATCACCTGAGCCTGACAGGTGAAGGCTGCAGTGAGTGGAGAGTGTGCCACTGCACTCCAGCCTGGGTGACAGTGTGAGACCTCATCTCAAAAAAAAGTCCGAGCCACACACGTAATTTAAAATTTTCTACTGATCACTTTTAAAAAGTAAAACAAAACAGGTGGGATTAATTTTCAGAATATATTTTATTTAATCCTGTATATAAATATGATTTCAATATGAAATTCAGGATATAAAGATTATGATGGGTATTAAAAATAATTTTTGTACCAAGTCTTTGAAATCTAGACCTCCGTGTGCACTGACGACACATCTCAGTTCGGATGAGCCACACTTGAGATGCGCAGAAGCCGCCTGTGGCCGAGCTGCTGAGCTGGAGGCTTGGACCTGCACCCACTTCACCTCCCACTCCTTTTACAAGATGGCATCTTCCACTCACTACACATATGGCTGTGAACAATTATTTAACCTCTCTATGTTCCCATTTTCTCTTCTGTGAAGTAAAGGCCACAATATAGGGGTCCCCAACTCCTGGGCCACAGACCCCTGGGACCAGTAGGTGGCCTGTTGGGAACCAGGCCACACAGCAAAAGGTGAGCTGCAGGCAATCGAGTGAAGCTTCATCTGTATTTGCAGCCACTCCGCATGGCTTGCCCGCCTCGCCACCTGAGCTCCGCCTCCTGTCAGATCAGACGCAGCATGAGATTCTCACAGGAGCTCCAGCCCTATTGTGAACCGCACATGCGAGGGATCTAGGTTGCACGCTCCGTATGAGAATCTAAATACCTGATGATCTGTCACTGTCTCCCATCACCCCCAGATAGGACCTTCTAGTTGCAGGAAAACAAGCTCAGGTCTCCCACTGCTTCTACATTATGGTGAGTTGTATAATTATTTCATTACATATTACAATGTAATAATAATGGAAATAAAGTGCAAAATAAATGTAATGTGTTTAAATCATCCCAACAGCATCCCCACTGCCCCCGTCCATGGAAAAGTTGTCTTCCAGGAAACTGGTCCCCTGTGCCAAAAAGGTTGGGGACTGCCTGTTGTCATACATCTCATAATGTTGGTGAGGAAGATGATGAAACGTCACTAGCCTAAGATCTGGCAAACAAAAGATGCTCAATAAGTGTAAACTCTTACGCTTGCTGCAAAGCCACAGGAAAACATGGTTCTTGTTAGCATTCTTATCCTCCCCTCACCCAGACTGTAATGGCCTTTAGAGATCAATGATCCCACCCAACTCTCAATGTACAGATGAACCAGCCTGAGGCCCAGAAAGGTTAAGTGACTTACCCAAAGCCACTCAGCCAGAAAGACCTAGAAGCCATAAGTAATCATGCATACATTTAAATACCTTTAAAACTGTCATTAATTTGTCCATTAAAAATTCAATGAGCTTAAAAATCAATGAATATAACTTATCACATTAATAGATTAAATAAGAAAAACCATATGATTATCTCAGTTAAATATGGAAAAAGCACATCAGTAGATATGACAAAATTCAACATCCCCTGATGGCTAACAAACCTCTCACAAAAGTAGGAATACAAGGACATTGCTTAGCTTAATAAAGAGACACCTACAAAAACCTATGATTAGCATCAGACTTCATGGTTAGAGACTGAATGCTACTCCCTTAAGACTGGAGAAGGCCAAGGAGTCCTCTCTCCACGTTCTATTCAGCATAATAGTGGAAGTCCTAGCCAGTGCAAAAAGACAAGTAAAAAAATAAAGGGCATACAAATTGAAAAGGAAGAAATAAGACTATCTTTATTTGCTGTTGACATGATTATCTACTTAGGAAAGAATCATTTTTAAAACTCCTAGAATAAATAAATGAGCTTAGCAAGGTCATACGATACGTTATCAAAATACAACAGTCAATTGTATATCTATACTAGCAATGAACAGTTAGGATTT
This sequence comes from Homo sapiens, assembly GCF_000001405.40. Lineage (NCBI taxonomy): Eukaryota > Metazoa > Chordata > Mammalia > Primates > Hominidae > Homo > Homo sapiens. The sequence continues at coordinate 86,098,235 of NC_000016.10, read as the reverse complement.
GAAATTACAAAAATAATACCATTTATAATACTCCCCCTCCCCTGTAAACAAGAAATACTTAGGCATAAATATAACAAAATATGATAGTGCGTGTATGCTAAAAACTAAAAAACACTAATGAAATAAATAAAAGATCTAAATGCATGAAGAGATTACTGTGTCCATGGGTTGGAAGACTAAATACTGTTAAAATGTTGTCTTTCTAATTTTATCTACAGATTCATTGCAATTTCAATCCAAATCTCGGTATGCTTTTTTTTATAGATTTAGACAAATTGACTATAAAGTTAATATGGAAGGCAAAGGAACTAGAATGGCCAAAACAATTCTGAAACAGAAAAAAGTTGAATGATGCATATTCCCAGCTTCAAGACTTACTATAAAGCTACAGTAATCAAAACAGTATGGTATTGGTAAAAGGACAGACATAGAGGTCAATAAAGAAGAACAGAAAGCCCAGAAATTGACCCCCACCAATATGAGCAACTGAATTTTGGGAAAGTTGCAAAGGCAAATAATGGAGAAAGAATCATCTTTTCAACAAATGGCACTGGAACAATTCGCATATCCATATGCAAAAAAATAAATAAAACTTGACACATACCCCACATCTTACCCCAAAAATAACCCAGAATGGATGATTAACCTAAATGTAAGATGTAAAACTATAAAATTTCTAGAAAAAATATATGATAAAATCGACATCGTCTCATATTTGGTGACGAGTTTTTAGATATGGCACCAAGAGCACAATCCGTATGGAACAAAATTGAGAGGCTGTACTTTGTCAAATCCAGAACATTAACTTTGTGAAATATACTGTTAAGAGAATCAAAAGACCAGGAACAGACTTGGAGAAAATATTTTCAAATCACATAGCCATTAAAGGGACTTGTATCCAGAATATATAAAGAACGCTTAAAATTCAACAATAAGAAATCAAATAGACCAATTTTAAAAATGATCCCAAGATCTAAACAGATACTTCACCAAGGAGCATACATGGGTGGCAAATAAGCACACGAAAAGATTTTCAAGGCCATTTGCCATTTGGGAAATGCAAACTAAAACCACAATGAGATATCACTGTGTCCTTATTAGAATGTCTAAAATACAAAACAGTGGCAGGAATTCTCATTCCTTGCTGGCGGCACAAAATGGCACAGTCAGCTTTAATGATGGCCTCCGAGTTTCGGGGACCGCAAACTCCACCTGGATGATATCCCCTGGTTCTCAGCCTACCTCACCACCACAGCCCAAAGAATGCAAATCGTGCTTCAGCTCGGTCCTGTTTTCTTTCTCTTTATAGAATCCTGTTATCTGTACAGCTTCCTCTGAATTTATGTCTTTAAAAAATTTTTATAACCAACTTATCCTATGTCTCCCGACTCATCCTTAAACTTCCCAGCCCAAATACCCGTCTGACTTATCCGTTACACACACAGATTTCAAAGGTTCCCTTGGCGCAGACTTCTCAGAACCACTGATGCGCTAAAAGACGTAACGCCCCAGCCGGGAGCTAGGCATCAAGCGTGCAGTGTGCAAAAACATGTTTGACTGCAGGCTAGTTTTTTTTTTTTTCCCCCACAAATACTTTCATGGGACTGGGTTGTACAGGACTCTAATTTGGGAAATCCTGGACTAATAGTTTGAAAGACACTTCTTCTCTGGCTTGAACAACTTCAGATAAAGTGACCTGTACAGGTCTCCCAGCAAAGTCCACCCAGGGAGGTGGCGGAGTGGCTGTGTGGCCCCAAGTCAAGACAGGAACATGAAGCAGGGATGGGATCCATCTAGGCTCTGCCCACTTCTTCTGGTCTGACCTAGGGCTGGGACTGGGGGAGGCATCTACCAGGCAGTGGAGCAGGGATGGGGACCCATCTAGGATCTGCCCACCTCTTCTGGTCTGACCTAGGTTGGCACGGGGGGAGCCATCCCTGGGGGGCAGTGGAGCAGGATGGGGATCCATCTAGAATTTGCTCACCTCTTCCGGTCCGACCTAGGGCTGGGATTGGGAGAGGCATCCCTGGGGCAGTGGAGCAGGGATGGGGACCCTTCTAGGATGTGCTCACCTCTTCAGGTCTGACCTAGGGCTGGGACTCGGGGAGGCAGAGGCAGCACTGAGGAGTTATGGCAACCATGTCACCCAGTCTTCCCTGAGACTCCTACCCGCTTCTCTATCCATCCCTTGCCTGCTGGCTGCCAGTGAATACCCCTCCCAGGGTGTGTGTGCATGCCACTCAGTGACTCCTGGACATGCAGAGGCCACCAGGAACGAAGCTGGGCTGAGGAGTGGTGGGAGGCACTGGGAGGTGGACAGAGCCTCCTTAGACATTGAACAGGCTTTGCAAAACTTCTTAAGAGCCAGACCCAGGAGCTCTGAGGCCTGGGTGGAGGTATGTGTGGAGAAGGCTACATTCCTAAGTCAAGCCCCTGGCCCTGCCACCTAGGCCCCAAGCCAGGACCAAGGTATCTCTTCATCCTCTCTTCTTAGTGAAGTCAGACGTGGAGCAGGGACCTACCTATCCCCAGCTTCTCGACACTTCCCAGGGTTAGAGCAAACTTACAAATATCAAAAGCAGAATGCAGGTTTCTTTCAGCATGGCTAGGCACACACATAGTCCCCCACACATGTGCCTACATGCATGCATGTGCACACACGAACACGGGCCTGTATACACACGCAAGCATGCAAGTGTACACAGGCAAACACATCCACACACATGCACCTATGCGCGCATCCATACACATCCATGCACATGGGAACACACACGTATACATGTAAACATGCACACAGCCACTCACAAACATGTACACAGGCATGAACATACATGCATATGCACGTGCAAGCACACAGCCTTCCCTGGAGGGTGGGAGGCCAGACACTCGTTCTGTGCCACCTTCTCCCAGCACCTGTGTCCAGGTGAAATGGAGCACTGAGAAGTGGACAAGCCTGGGCCATAGAGGGGGTGGATTTGGAACCAAATCCTCTCCCCGCGGCTCAGCTGGGTGGCCCAAGCCTGGCAGGAAGCTGATCCACACGAGGACACGGCATCATCTGCCTCATCCACCACCGTCTCCCTTGCACCAAAGACAAGACCTGGGACTCAGAAAGTATGTGTCCAGTGAATGAGTGAGTGAGTAAATTAATGAAGACGCTTCCCCTTTCTGAGCCTCTACTTTCTCATCCATGAATGGAGGCCTCAGAGCTACCTCCCAAGGCTGCCAAGTGGAGGGGTAAGGCATAGAAGCTCTGAGCACAGCACTGGACACACAATGCGCTCAGCAGGAAGAAATGCGCCGTCCCGCTGCCACGCTCCCAGCAGCCAGAGGGAAGGTGATAACAAGGATATCATCGTAAGAGCAGGAACAGTACTGGGAACACGGCTGAGACGCCGAGGACCTTCTAGGACTGTGCAAAGGGCTTCCGCACAGATGTCCCCACTGAGTGCTCCAGCAGCCTCTTAGATGGGTGCAGGTATCAGCCTCATTTTTCAGGTGAGAAAACTGAGGCCTAGAGAAGTTAAGAGACTTTGTTCAAGGCCACAGGTCAGTATACGGGAGCCAGGATTCTGACCCAGGCAGCTGGGTTCCCCAACCCACCCGGGTTGGAGCTTCTCTGCCCCTGTGGGGACCTGCCTCATGCCTGGAAGGAGCACCCCAGCCCTGCAGGGAGTGTGCAGCCACCCTGGACCCCTCTTTCCCAGTGCTGCCCAATCCAGCAGCTCCCAGGCCAGGCCACTACATCCTGGACACACTCAGGGCCCCTCCCATACATGGCTGCACTCCCAGGCTTGGGTGCTGCCCAGCCTTGAGCACCCCACCTCCTGATGCCAGAACCCTGGAGCTCAGAACTTGGCCTCCTGGCCAGGTGCAGCTGCAGCTGCCAAGACTCAGTCCAGGGGAGCCTGAGGGGCCAGGCACCCAGGAAGATGACCTGGTGCAGGCCTTTTTCGGAAAGTGAGTCCAAGCCGGTCTTCCAGGGAAGGGGCCAGAGGCCTCACTACGGACAGCATTTCTGGACTCCAGTCTCTCCAGGGCCCAGTGAGAGGTGGGGACAGTGGACAGGCTTGTATGGGAGGTGGCGGTCCATGCTGCAGCCAGATTTGTGTTCATTTCCCTTCTGCAAGCACCCCGCGCTGTGTTTGTTCCAAGACCTCGGTGCTTTCCTGCGTTCCTGGCAGCCTCCTGTGCCCTAGTTAGGTGGGCCCACCCGCAGCTGTGGCCTCACCCGGGACCCAGGCCTGCCTCCCAGGCCACAGGCACCCAAAGGAGCCCCAGTGTCCTCAGTCTGCCAGGATCCCCAGTAGCACCCCCTGCAGGCCTGCCCAGAAGAGAGCCAGGAAGCGACCACTCACTGCCCTCCAGGTAAAAAGGCCATCGGATCTATTCCAGACATGCACCTCCATTTGGGGAGAGGAGAGAGGGGTTGGAGGACAGAGTTCATGAGCCTAGATGGAATTTTTCAGACAGGGAGCCAAGTTGAAAGTGAGCAAAACAGTTCTCAGTGTTCCTAACTGTAAAATAGGGCTGAAGCTAGAACTTAGCTTGAAAGGTGACCATGAGGACCTATCAGGCAATAAATGCATGGCTCTTAAAAAAAAAAAAAAAAACAGGGCACAGAGTTACGGTGAGGGCTAGGAGCAGGGGTAGCTTATACAATAATGAATATTGTAACCACAGCCACAATCACCATCTCAATAAACCCATGTGGTGCGGATACAGCCCTGGTTAATCTTCACGTGCCTCTCAAAAACCATCCACAGTTTTCCTGGGTCCTTCCACAGCCTCTTCCGCATCCTGTGACTGCTTCTTAACTGTTGCATAATTTTGCTGTTTGGAGGAGGAGGAATTCGGGAAAACCTCAGGCCTTCCCACCTCTGGCGTCTGTCCTGTGCCGAGGCCGGCCGGGAAGGACACCTGGGGAGATGCAGGCTCAGATGGACTCAACAGTTTGCCGCTGTGTGACCTTGGGCAATTGCGTCAATGCCCCCAGACCCGGTTTCCTCCTCTCTACATAGAGGATGGGGGTTGTTGCAAGGATTGAGATTTGGGGCACTGAGTACTTAGCCTGGGGAGTGAGTGGAATGGTGGCCCCCGATAAGAGATGTCCACAGCCCAAGCCCTGAGGCCTGCGCATGGGAGCCCACTTGGAAAAGCAGTTTTTGCAGATGGGATTAAGTTAGGGATCTGCAGATGAGAGTGTCCTCAATGAGGTTGGGCCCCAGATCGAACGACAGGACTCCTCATAAGAAACAGAAGAGGAGACGATGTGTCCACATGGCGGAGATTGGAGCGATGCAGCTGCAAGCCCAGGAATACGCGGGGCCACCGGGAACTGGAGGAGGTGGGAAGGATCCCCCTCTAGAGGTTTTGGAGGGGGCACAACCCTGCCAAGGCCTTGATGTTGGACTTCCAGCCTCCAGGACTGGGAGAGGACACGTTTCTGTGGCTGTGAGCCTTCCAGCTGATGTGTTCTAGCATCGCAGGAGACACAAACAGCCCAGGTCCCGGCCCGTGTTCCAAGCTCAGTAAGCGCCAGCAGTTCCTCACCCGCCCAGTGTGTAGGGAGCCCCTGGCACTGGAGACCACGGGGGAGTCATTAATAATAACCATTCACATGTTATTATTAGCCTGTTACGCTGGAATTGCAATACATTACACTTTCTCGTCATTGGGGGCCTTCTTAGTAAATGCCCTCAGGAGAGTGTCTTTTTTTTTTTTTTTTTTTTTTTTTTGAGACAGAGTCTCACTCGCCCAGACTGGAGTGTAGTGGTGCCATCTCAGCCACTGCAGCCTCTGCCTCCCAGGTTCAAGCAATTCTCCTGCCTCAGCCTCCTGAGTAGCTGGGACTACAGGAGCCCACCACCATGCCTGTTTTCTTTTTGTATTTTTAATAGAGGTGGGGTTCCACCATGTTGGCCAGGCTGGTCTCGAACTCCTGACTTCAAGTGATCCACCCACCCCAGCCTCTCAAAGTGCCAGGATACAGGCGTGAGCCACCACGCCTGGCCAGGATGGTGTCTAATCACAGCAAATCCCAACTCCACGGGGAATTCCAAAACCCTAGGCACAACCATCTCTTCATTTCCCTTCCTCGGTCCGGGCCTCCTCTGCCTCCTTGCTGAGGCCTCTTTGCATATTCTGCAGGCTTCTCCAAGCCCCGATTTGGGAATGGCCCATTCTGCAAGCCCTTCCAGAGACACCTTGAGTAACTTTCCCAGTAACTACTAAAGATGCCCTGTGAGTGGCCTCCTCTCGGAGATTTGTAAACTGAGGCTGGCACATACTGGTGGGGGTGGGGATCCAAATTGTTTCACGGACTAATATTGGCCCTGAATGAGCTTTTAAAGCCCCTGATCCTAGAGACAATGGGACATCATTTTATCACCACTCCTTTCAAAAATCCACCCCAAACCCACATAGCTCCCCTGTCCTCACCGTGGTCTATTTTATTTTTACAATCTTTATTGTCTCCTATCCAACTACATATTTTACTCCTTTGCTATGTTTTGCTATCTCACCACTGGAGGATAAACCACAGAGGGCAGGGATTTTTTCGTTTGTTTGTTTAGAGGTTTATCTCCCTACTAATGTTATCTCTTATTCCTAGAATAGTGCCTGGTACACAGCAGCTGCTTAATAAATATTTCTTCAGTAAATGATTAGAATCCCCCTGTACCTCATATATAATTCAAAGTAAGGACAATGTGGCCAGGCATGGTGGCTCATGCCTGTAATCCCAGCATTTTGAGAGGCTGAGGTGGGAGGATTGCTTGAAGACAGGAGTTTGAAATAAGCCTGGGCAACATAGTGAGACCCCCACCACTACAAAAAAAAAAAGTTAAAAATTAGCCACAGCTACTTTTTGTGGCTAATTTTAATAATGGTGGCCTGCAGCTGTAGTCCCAGCTACTTGGGAGGCTGTGGTGGGAGAATTGCTTGAACCCAGGGAGGCTGACGCTGCAGTGAGCGGTGATCGCACCACTGCACTCCATCCTGGGTGACAGAGGGAGAACCTGTACCCTACCCCCACAAAAAGAGAATGCAAATAGAATTCCTCTTTGCTGACATTCAATAGCTAGATTTTCTGGTTGTGGTGTTCTGGAAAGTTCATTGGAAATAGGACTTTTCTTATTTCTCTGGGGCCCCTTGAGTTTCTGATGTCTTAGATCTAGAGAGCCCATACAGGCTTCACAGCTTTCAAGCCCACCCCTTGAACCCAGGGTCCTCAACTGTGTGTCCATGAATGCTCTGGCTGAGGAGTTCACCCACCCCTTCCCACTCCAAGCCTGGAGCCACCACACACAGAAACCAAGACCCTCCACTCCCACAGACACTGTTCCCCTGTAAGCATCCATCCTGATTCCAAAGAGCCTACTGGATTTTTCCTCCCAGAGAAAAACTGAGTCAATTCTTAGAGATCTGAGCCCTGTGGTTCACACCAAGGTGACTTCAACAGGGTCTGGCCTAGGAGTGGCTGAGTCCTCCCTCGGGCCACCCGCCACCCAAGCATGGTGGCAACTTAATCCATCCCACATGGAGCCCCCGGTAGATGCTGACCTTTGCCCTTTAACCCCAAGACCCGGCTGCCCTGGCAGAACTACCGTGTGTCCCTTGATAACCTCCCTGACATAATTCAACTGGACTCACACAGGCTGCAGAGATGGCCCGATAACGACGCTACATTCTGGGGTCAAGTTAGAAGGGCACAGCGACAGCCCACACTGCCTACAAAAAAAAAACAAAAAACAGTCACCAGACCCCTAAGAACAGACACCACTGTGTTCTAAAATGCCTTTGCTCTGGAAACCCAGGGAAAGAACACAGGCTAGGGCAGAGACTAAAGGAGAGACTCCACCGTGGCAGACAGCAGCCAAACCCACCCAAGAAGTCTCTCGTTCATTTGGGAAAAGCTCCCAAGCCCTGAGGAGGAACAACCAGGGTACTGGCCTTGTTCCTGTTTTTCAAATACAAATTGCAAAAGTGGACCCACGGGCCTTAAGGGAGAGTCCCCAGGGGCAGGGCCATAGCACATGGTCCCCAGGAAGTGGGTACAGGGCCCTGAATCTCTTAGGCATGAAAATGAAAGTCATGTCTCGGTGGAGGCTGCTGAAAGTCACCTGGGAAGTGACCTGTGAGTGCAGACGGTGCTTCCTGGCCAGGGAGCAACAACCTTCCCTGGGGGGCTGCAGAGTCACCTGGGCCTGGGTTCAAATCCCAGCTCCATCTCTTCCTAGCTGAGCAACACTGGCAAAGTCACGCATTCTCTCTTGGCCTCAGTTCCCTCATCTATAAGATGGGGCTGAGAAGAGGACTGTGGAGGGAACATGGGGAGATGATGCTCCTAGCAGCACGCAGCACATAGTTAACAGGTAGGAATGGTTCCGTCAATAACATCCCCTGCTCTCCCTGGGGGTGTGGTCGAGATCCCCCTGAATCCCCTCACTGGGAAGGCAAGAGAGCCAAATCCAGACCCTCCCAGCCCAGCTCCCCCTCGGGCCTCTGGCCCCTGCGTCTGGCTTCCCTGTGAGTTTGTGTTGCAGGAACAGGGCTCCCAGTTCCAGCTGCCAGCGTCTCCCCCAATCTGAGCCCATTTCCTCACCTGTAAACGCGAGTCACCCCATGCCTGTCTGCAAAACGGGCATCACAATAGGCCCTCCCTCCCGGCAACCATGGAGATTGAATGAGCTGGGCCAAAGAGCAGGAGGCACAGCCCGGGCTCAGGGGCCAACACTGAGCTGCACACGGAGCTGGGGTATGGTTACCCTGCTCAGAGCCTGGGATCCCTCGGCTGCAGCGCAGGCTCAGGGACACCTGCCCTGACAGGGGTGTTGCAGAGAATGACATCCATACATGGCCTGGCACACAGTGGTAGGTCTTCCACTTCTGCTATTTATTATTGCCATTCTTGTTATCATCTACCTGGCTAATGAGGATCACCTCCTTGAGGCAGGTGGAGGTCACCCACAGGGCAACTGACAGGGGCCGTCTGGTCCCCTGGGCATTCCCCATCCCCCCCATCCCCCACCTAGAAGATAATGTCCAACAAAGACCATCTGAGCGGGAGTGTCAGCCGGCAGCCTCTCTGAGTACAGATGTGTCAGTGGCCAGAGGCCACTCCCAGGCTGCAGGTAAGCCAGGCAGCTTTCAGGGGCGGAGCGCATCCAGGGAGGGTCCAGAGACCCTGGGGCACCCCTGTGGGAGCCTCAGCTCTGCCTGCCCTTACGTCCATTGCTCCCGCCTTGCCTTGCTCAGCTGGCTACACCGGGCACTGGGAGATGCTCAAAGAGCGAGCTGGAGGGATGCTGGGTCCCCTTAGCCATGGCATGCCAGAAATCCCTCACCTACCTGCCTTAAGCGAGCAGACCCAGGGGCAGGGCCACAGCACATGGTCCCCAGGAAGTGGGTACAGGGCCCTGAATCTCTTAGGCATGAAAATGAAAGTCACATCCTGGGGTGGGGGGCGGGGTGGGAGGGGTGGGGGGTTGGGGAGTGGTGCGAGATGGGGGTTGGGGAGCTGCTGAAAGTCACCTGGGGCTGCTGAAATTCCTTTGTCTAGAATTAGCCCCTGGAGTTTCATTTGTCATCTGGGGTCAGTTGAAAGTGCGACATAGCAACCCTGCATCTTGGCAATCTGTCCTCACATTGACCAGCAAGCAACTCTGTACACTGAGGACGCCCATCTCAACACGGAATGTGATGCAAAAACTTATTTGGACACAACAGAAGTCTCACATAACAGTGATGACGAACATCTTGTCCATGGCCTGACTGGGAGTTCCCTCTGCAACCACAGGTTAGCTTAGAAGACAATATTGCTTTGCTTTGTTTAATTGTATAACTCATCCAAGCTCATAGAATTGGAAACTGTAAACAAAGAAAAATCTGCATCTCCTGTTGTAACACACCACAGATAAGCCTCATGTATCACCACTTTGGACGACATAGTCTTGTCAAGTCTATGAAAAAGATGTGGGGCGACCAGGTGGGTTCAGAACGTGGAGGCCAGAGAGGAGTGAGAGGTGCTGTGGGGCCCCAGCTAGGGGTAACCCCTGCTGGCTTGATGAATGGACCTATCCCCTTTCGACAGGCCTCGCAGACACCAGGCCAGATAAGCACATCGTCCGTCCAGGCCATTTTTCCCCCGCTATCTCTTGCTGAGGCGATGCTAACATACCGCCAGCCCTCTGTGTGATGGATGGCCTTGGGAAGCCGGCTCACCCCCACCGATTACACCAACCCTCGGAGGGGCTTCCCAGTGCCCGCCTGCTCATTTTCAAGACTGGTTCCCTTGGGGGTAAAAAATGAGCACCCCAGGGGTCCTTTCTGGGGCTTCACACACGTTCATACACATCTGTGCCCACGTGCACACACAGGTGCATTTGTGCCTTGACCCAGCCAACGTTTAAAGCTTGGAACTTGGCAAGTCTAGTTCCCAGGAAGTCGCCCAGGATCACACGGCCAGACATTTGCCTCTTACTAACACTGTGTTAAGTCTCTATCGGGATCCCCTCCAGTTCCAAAGCGGCTGAGACACAGACAAAGCTATCTTGGATGAGACCTGCCAACCGCCACCCCCTCGGCTCATCTTGGTCCGAGTCAAGCACCAGACACCTCAGACCCCACTATTTCCTGGGAAATGTAGAGCAATGGTTTCTCTCCTGCCAAAATCCTCAAAGGCAGCCAGAAACAGTAGAGTGATTAGGAAGCCTTACGCTGGACACACTTCCAAGCTGCAAGCTTCCTGTGAAGCAAAACAGAACAGACTTCATATGGTGGAGTCAACCAACATGGGCGCGTCCCAGGGCCCAGCAGCATAAACATCGGGCTCTCTGATCCCGACCTCCCGACATACCCATTTGTCCTGGCCGCTCCTCGGACACATGAATGCCTGTCTCAAACCCCACCCTTCACCGCCAGCAGTCTCCGGGGAAGTGACAAACACCGGATAGAGCCAATGGGCCCCCGGAGTCCGGATGCCCACCATCCGGGGCTGTTTATGTTTGAGCCCATCTTGGAAGAAAAATGTGAGAACGCCTGTTCAGAACATGGTGGCCAAGCCGGGTCCATCCGGTGCCAGGGAGCCAAACACAATGGGAAAGGAGGCGCAGACGCGGCGGAAGGATAGGGCCGGGCATGGCCCGCCGAGGGAGACCGCTGGGCCAGGTTGGGTCCTTCCCTGCGCCCTCCTTGTCCCTACGCTGTGAAAAGGCACCTGGGTTCTTCTTCCCTCCACCCGGGACTCTCTGATCACTCATACCTCCCTCTTGGCCCACCGAGTCGTGTGAGCCACATCCTTCACTCTGCCCGTAAAACCACCAAGTTTTAGGCAGCGGACAGTCAAGACAGACAGGCAAGAGTTTCTTGTGAGAGTTGTCAGTGAAAGCACTTTCTCGTAGCAGAGCCTTATGTTATTCCCAGCTGAAATGCTGTTGCTCTTTCCAAGGAAGGATAGGTTTCTTCTGGAGGAGAGGCAGAGGTGTGCTCTCCAGACCCCACCGCCATGCTGGGCGCGAAAACAGCCCTCCTTCAGGAAGACACCAGCCTTTGAGCAACCTGGAGTCCTGAGGCCTGTGGCTTCCTGGGAACCTATAACCGCATCAGACGTTGAGGCAGAGTTGCTGTTACCAGTTTCACATCTTAGTAAGAGCCACCGTTTTTGACATGTCAACAACCCTCCCAAAAAAGCACAAATCAATCAGTGTTTATTAAAAGGCCACCTTGTGCAAAGGGCTGTTGGTTAAAACACATCAATGCCTGAGATACTCAGGGAAAGGCTGGTTGCCTTTGGGAAGCAGGAACCCTCATCTTGGATTGTCAGAAGACTTGCTTTGGGGAGACCCTCAGTTCCTGTTTCTAGTAAGTTTCTGTCTTTTGATTCATGACGTGACTGCAGGCAAGTGCTCGGGGTTTTTCAACTGCAAAATGGAGATAACAATGGTACCCACCTCTCTCGAGGGGTGGCTGTGAAAATTAAATGAGATGATGCACGTAAAATTATGATAACCGTGCTCTTAACCTCAAAAATCTGCATTAGAAATTATATGGTTTGAACCGCGTCTAACCAAGACTCCAATAAACAAAAGTCCATTTCTCTCGCTCATGGAAGCCCAAGCTCTGATCTGCAAAGTCCACAGGGGCTCCAGCTCCCTCCGCCTTGCTGTGCGTGTCCCCCTGGGAGTGTGTCCTCATCTGCAAGGCCCTGAGCAGCTCACCCTCACCCACAGTGCACACCCCGAGGGTAGGAGGATGAAGGGATGCTGGGCAGAGTCACGTGGACACACCCAGCTCTAAGGGAGGATGGGAAATGGAGTCTTTATTTTGGGCAGTCATTTCCTTTGCTTAAAATTGGGAGGATTACAACATACAGGAAAGGAAAATGGATAAGGGTGTTAATAGGCCGTCTCAGCCACCCCCTAGGAGGTAAGGATTGTTATCACATGTTATACATGGCAACACCGAGGCTCAGAAAGGTGAAAGAAATTGCTCCAAAGTACACAGCTTCTTAAAAACCCTCAGTCTTGCCCACTGGGCTGCACTACCTCCTAAGCAGTGGTGAGGAGGTGGTGCTTTCTCTGCGCTGACACGTGGAATTACACAGAAGAACAGGGTGGTCACTGGGAGCCTGGGTGGGTGGCGGGCAGCATAGGTGAGCTGACACCCATTTGTCCTGGGGGCCTCCCAGGGAAGAGAGACCCCCATTCCCAAGGCAGGGGCAGGTTCTCAGGAATGCGGCTTCTCCAAGCAGGAGGCAGTCCGGAGGCCTTTTCCACACTGCTCATTTCTTCCACCGTCCTGAAGGCTTAGGAGAGCAGAAGGGAGTCTCTCCCAAGCGCCGGCTGGTGGGCGCACCTCCCCGGTGCTCCCTGCAGGGCAGTGCCCAGTGGGGTGGGGCCTGGGGGGGCTAACAGCTCCAGAGCCACGCTCTACATGCGATGGGGGCTGGGAGGAAAGAAAACCAGGCTGGCAAAGGGGTCAAGGCGGAGGTGGGTGCCCCGTGGGGCAGACTCCCTACTCCTGCTTATGGCCCCAGACCCCTGCTGGGTGCTGGTCTTGCATCTCACCCAGCACAGGGCCAGGCACTTCACCCACATGGATGACCCACCACTACTGGCAGCAGCCCAAAGAGGTGGGTACTGCTACTATTCCCAATGCCCAATAAGGATATCAAGGCCTAGAGACACGAATTAACTAACTCAAGTGATTCAGGGAGCCCAGAAGGGGCTTTGAACTCAAGTGGTTGGGCACTATGACATTAGCCTGGTCCCATGAATAATCACCGTCTTTGCAGCCTAGGGAAAGTTCAAAGGCAATGCCGCTCAAGGCCACCTCCCAACAAACGCCTCCACCAAACATCGTTTATATAGACATTCCGGAGACACCCCTCAGACAGGTCTGGGGGTCCAAGAGATTTCCATTCGAAAAGAATATCTCAGGCTGGGCTCAGTGGCTTACGCCTGCAAGCCCAGCACTCTGGGAGGTCAGGCAGGCAGATCACTTGGGCCCTCCTAGGAGTTCGAGATCAGCCTGTGCAACACGGAGACCCCGTCCCTACAAAAAATACAAAAATTAGCTGGGTGTGGTGGTGCATGCCTGTGGTCCCAGCTACTCGGGAGGCTGAGGTGGGAGGATCACTTGAGCCTGGGAGGTAGAGGCTGCAATGAGCTGAGATCACACCACTGCACTCCAGCCTGGGTGACAGAGTGAGAATATGTTTCAGAGAAAAAAATAGGAATATTTCTGCCCCAAGGGTATTGGGCTCACACTGCCTGTGTGCAGATTGTGATTCTGCCTTCCTAGCTGTGTCTCCTTTAAGGATCTTCTCCTCTCTGGCCTCAGTTTCCTCATCCGTAGCATGGGGAGGAGAGTGCTCCCTGCAGGGCTGTTGGGAGAAGGCCATGAGGGCTGTTGGAAGAAGGCCACCTCTCAAATAGTGACAGGCGTTGGCATTGCTGTCCTTTGTCGTATTATTTATGAGATATTCTTTATATTTCAAATTAGATCATAATTTTTAAAAATTAAGTGCAGGACAAAAGAAACAGAGGGGAACCCACAGATGAAAAGGATCTTAAACCAGATTGTAGCCAACTACAAAAGAAACCTCAGTCATCATCATGGGCCACACAGCCCCTTTGTGTACCTATTGATTATACAACTACATAAATATGTCACTAACAAAAATAAATGCATGACTTTTTTTTTAATTACTTAAACTTTAAACCATGGTTCTTGCCCCCAGAGAAGCTGGTCTGGACACAAATAAACCCAATCTAAGGGAGGCATGCTCAGGGCACTGAGGTCAGCCCCAGCTGCCATGCATGCAGGTGACATGTGAGGTGCCATTCTGGTGCCAAGATTTCCTCAAAACAAAATGGTGCAGGTCGCAGGAGGCTCATCTCACTGGGGAGGAAGCCGAAGCTCAAGGAAGCCACTAGTCCCAGTTACGCCACTGGGCTGGTCAGTGCAGAGTTGGGACTGCACTCCAATTGTGTCTGGCTCCAGAGTCCCAAGACAGCATGGCTGGGCTTATGCCCGGCCCCCCACAAGCAGACCCTGAGACAAGGATTTGAGCATGAGAGTTGATTTGGGGGATGACCAGAGCAGCAGTGAAGTGGAGAGGCAAGGTCGGGGAGGAGGGCCACAGCACAGGGACCTCACAGAGCAGGGGCTTCATGGCAAGTGGGCTCAGTCCCCCCAGAGAGCTCTGGGAGTGGTGGAGAGCTCGCCCCCAAGGCATCCTCCCAATGCGAGAGAGAGCTGGGGTGCTGACCCACCAGCCCCCATCTGTCACCAATCCTGAGAGACTCCAAGGCCTTTGTTCCCTGCCCTTTCTGGCCCGCCCTGTAGGTGGACTGAGCATTTTCCCATGGTCAGAGAAAGTCTCTGGCATGGATTCTCACATACGTTGGGGTGGGAAACCATCAGCTTGTTCAGGAGCCTTGAATGCTGAGAAAGTATGGGCGGGGCTGCAAATGCCTGACCCCCACATGTGCCTGCACAGAAACCCTCCACCCCTGCAATATGATCCAGGGACCCACACTCACTGCTCTGTGTGGATGGCTTACATTCCATTTCCGTTCCTTTCTCTTATCTCTACTTATATAAATATCCTTTATAACAAGAAAAGAGCAATAAAAATAATTGTGAATTTTTAAAAAGACACAAGAACTATTCCCCAAACTGTTTCCCCAGAAGAGTCAGCATTGCATGGAGCAGGCGGGGAGTGGGAGGTGACTGGACAGCCCCTCAGCGTCTGGACAGAGCTTCCTTCTCACAGGGTCCCTGCCTCCTCCTCGGACACCTGTGGTCTGTCAGGTGACACATCATTCCTGTCCATCAGCAGCCCCAGGCCATCGCTGCCAGCTCTGATAACCCAGTCATGACAAGGCCCCCTTTGGATAGAAATTCCTCACTTCCTGGTGGTCAGGCTTGCACTGACCCCCATGGTCAGTGTGGGAGCTGGCCGTTTTTATTTTGGTGCATACAAATTAATATCAGCCCACTGCCTGTGGAGAGAACGCACCCGTGGTGCACGAGCATCTGCATATCCCTCACTGTGTGGGCTTAGGGTCTCCACGGAGACACCTGCTTCCCTCTCCTCCCATCCTCCCATTGCACCATGGGACATCAAGGGGCAGCAGCTCTTGACCCCTGCTGATGCCCAGCCCTCCAAACATCAGCTGTCCATCCACGCCTCCTGCTGCAGATTGCATGCCACACTCACCATCCCAGGGCAAAGTGCAGTGAAACAGCCCATGCCCCACTTCTCTCTCTTTGATATTTTTTCCCTGCCATCCTTTAAAAGCTTGACCCTCTCACTGTCTCCACCTTCATCCCATCAAAACCTGCTCCAAAAAAGAATATGTCAACAGTCATCCTCACCACGTGTGAATCAGATGGGTCACAGGATGATGGTTTGGGGGCAAAAGGGTCTTTACAAACTGCCAGGAGATGTGCAGCAGCTTTTATGAATGCTGAGCCTCTGCCTGCCCTGGGTCCCAGCAATTGCAACTCTGGGTACACATGCAACAAAAATGCTTACGGACATTCACAAGAACCCATATGCAAAAATGCTCATCCCAGGCCGGGCGCGGTGGCTCATGCCTGTAATCCCAGAACTTTGGGAGGCTGAGGCAGGCGGATCACAAGGTCAGGAGATGGAGACCTTCCTGGCTAACATGGTGAAACCCCGACTCTACTGAAAAAAAAAAAGTTAGCCGGGCGTGGTAGCAGGCACCTGTATTCCCAGCTACTCGGGAGGCTGAGGCAGGAGAATGGCATGAACCCAGGAGGCGGAGCTTGCAGTGAGCTGAGATTGTGCCACTGCACTCCAGCCTGGGTGACAGAGAAAGACTCCATCTCAAAAAAAAAAAAAAAAAAAAAAAAAAAAAAAAAAAAAAAAAGAGTGCTCATCCCAGAACAATTGATAATCATGAAGAACTGGAAGCCACCGAAAGCTCATCACTGGGAATGCAGAATGGATGGTGACATGGGCTGCGTCCACAGCACAGAGTGCTCTGCCACAGAAAAAACGAAGCCTCAGGCCAGCCCAAACTAGCTCCATGGAGAGGCCTGGGATGCTGTCCGTTCATTTGCCTTCAACAGAGAACCAAGGTCACCTCCTGAGCACAGTAAATTTAGAGCCACTTCTCAGAATTCTGCATCTCAGGGGGCAGAGGCTTGGCCTGAAACCCTGCAGAAGCCAGCCGTGCTGTGTGACCACGGGCAAGAGGCTTAAACCCTCTGTGCCTTTGCTTCCTCTCTGAAAAACGGAGATAATAATGGCACCTGTCATCAGTATAAATAAAATAACATATACTCATATAATTTAATAATATAATTAAGCAAGGATAATGGTAACCACAGTGTTTGTGGCAAGGATTTGATCAGTTCCCGTGTGTAGAGCTCGCGAAACATGGCCTGGCACACAGCAAGGGACCTCGGCATGGTTATTAATATTTTTATTATTATTATTAGGCAGAAGGTGGAATGGTAGAAAGATCATAAGCTTTGAAGACTGAGAAATCTACTGGCTCAGTTACTTACTGTGTGGCCTTAGGAGAGCCACTGAGCCTCTCTGAACCTCAGTTCCCCAGCACAAAATGGTTGTTGTTGTGGCCAGATGAAATAGTGCAGTGTTTCCAGAAGTTCACGGCAGTGATCCTTGGGTGGTCACAGGAGATGACTGGTCAATGCGCAAACTTGGTATTTTCACCATTAATGTATTTATTTTAACATTTATTAGAAAAATGTGTAACAAAAGTATCAAACCCATCATTTCGGGGAATTATGATGATTGGGGCTGAGTTTCCTTTAATATAAAGCAACTCCAGTTAAAGAAAAGTATTAGTGAAATGGTACAGGGGGAGAAAAGGCAGGGCAGGAACAGGGAAGGCGGTGCATGGAGGAAGTTAGGCTGGTGCCCCGTCCAGAGCCACCTGTGCTCCTGCGGCTGGGTCTGCACTGCTGCTTCTCAGCCTGCACTGGTGGAATTGCTAAGACCCCCAATCAGAAGCCTGGAGTATGGGGGAACCTTCTAGCAATGACTGGTATCTCTGCGGGTGAAGGTGTCAGCTGTCCTGTCCACGGTGAGGTGATTCTGCAATGATGTCAGGTGCCCATGCGGCAGCCCGGCCATTTATCAATCACCTGTATTAGGTAACCCTTTATTGCCTGCCTCCCTGCCTCGTCAGTTTCCTGCAGCCGCTGTTACAGGTTACCACAAACTTTGTGACTTAAAGCCACATAAACTTACTATCCAACAATTCTGAAAGTCAGAAGTCCTAAATTCAAGCTGTGGGCAGAGCTGGTTCCTCTTGGGGGGCTCTGGGGAACCCATTTCCTGGCCTTTTCCAGCTTCTAGATGCTGCCTGCACTCCTTGGCCCCGGCCCCTCCCTCCACCTGCAAAGTCAGCAGTGCAGCCTCTTCCCAGGTTTCTCCCTCTTCCGCCTTCTAAGGGCCCCGTATCTGCAGGCTCTGAACTCACAGATTCAACCAACTACAGATCGAAAATATTTGGAAAAAAAAATGAATGATTCCATCTGTGCTGAACATGTGCAGACTCTTCTTCCTTGTCATTATTCCCTAAACAACACAGTAAAGCAGCGACTTACATAGCATGCACATTGTATTAGGAATTATAAGTAATCCAGAGATGATTTAAAGTATACAGGAGGCAGTGCGTATGTTGTATGCGAATGCTCTGCCGTTTTATATGAAGGACCTGAGCATCTGTAGATTTTGCTATCCACGGGAGTCCTGGAGCCAACGGCCCTTGGATACCAAGGGATGACTGTAACTACACTGGGCCCATTCGAATACTCCAGGATAATTTCCACCATGTTAAATCTGTAGCTAATCATATCCACGAGGTCCCTTTTCCCACATGAGGCCACTTATTCCTAGGTTCCAGGGATTAGGACCGTGAACATCATTGGGGACCATTACTTTGTAGACCACAGGCTTCCAGGAGGCACCCCTCACCCCGAACCAGTAAGCAACCTGCACCCAAGTCCTTGTCTCAGCTGTTTGTGGGGGACCCCAGCTCACCCCTGAGATCATGCAGTTCATCACTGTACACTCTTCCTACGCTCTCAGGGGCCCACGCGAGGCTTTTGTAATGAATTTGACGTCACTCTGGTGTGATTCTCGGTTAAATCCACCATCTGCCAGTGTGGTCCTTGGCTTTTGTGTTTCAGCTGGCTGCTGACATATCAAGTTTTGTCTCAAAGTTAACTCTGCCAGCCTGTTTCCTTAAAACAAAGACCCCAAATAAGACAGCGTTGGCCGCTTTTCCCCAGACTTCCCAGAGCGCCTCTGTATCCAGCAGCTGCAATCCCAAAACCACTGGCAATCGGCACATAGTTAGGAGAGAACGGACATCATGCCCGGCCAAGCCGCTGAGGCCACAAGAAATGGGGGTCACTGGCATGAGAGGGGAACATTGCTCCCTCAGTTCATGAACTTGAAGTGGAGTTTGGCTGCTCCGGGGGTCAAATACCAGCTCTTCTACTTTCTATTAGGTTGGTGCAAAAGTAATTGCGGTGTTTGCCCTTACTTTTTTTTTTTTTTTTTTTTTTTTTAGATGGAGTCTCACTCTGTCACCCAGGCTATAGTGCAGTGGTGCCATCTGGGCTCACTGCAACCTCCATCTCCTGGGTTCAAGCAATTCTCCTGTCTCAGCCTCCCGAGTAGCTGAGATTACAGGGGCACGCCTTGACGCCCGGCAAATTTTTGTATTTTAAGTAGAGACGGGGTTTCACCATATTGGTCACGCTGGTCTCGAACTCTTGACCTCAGATGATCCACCCGCCTTGGCCTCCCAAAGTGCTGGGATTACAGGCGTAAGCCACCGTGCCCGGCCTGCCCTTACTGTTAATGGCAAACACCGCAATTACTTTTGCGGCAACCTAATAGCTAAGTGAGACTGGGAAGCTTGTTTAGTTGCTGTAAGCCTCTATTTTCCACTTCTGTGAAATGGGATGATGACATTTACCTACCTACAGGGGTGATGTTCAAAATATCTAACAACCCATGTCGAGCAGACATCAGCCGATCCAAACACCCCAGACATAAACAACCAATATGGCAGGCCCAGCCCTGAGAGCTGGAAACCAGCCTCACCCACTCCAGAGAAGAACTCTCGTAAAACTCATAAAACACAGCACGCCTTCAAGCAGTGGTGGCTGTGATGAACGGTCATTATTCCACCGAACGTCATCAGGTTATATCATGGGGCTAAGGCACAAGTCCGTTGGCTGGATTCAAACTGGGTCTTTTGAAAAGCAAGTTCAAATAATTGCACGGAAAGCAAGCATCGTTGATTAGACGCCGGGGTGACGCAGCAGAAGCCAAGGCTTGGCTGGAGGAAAAGGCAGGACTGGGCTTGGCCACAGCTCGGCCAAGTCTGGACTTTATCTTGGAAATCAGAACACGCCTCACTTTGGGCTCACTCTCATTGCTCAGTTTGAGCATGGGATCTTGGCATCTGCTCGTTCAGACAGTGGACCACGTCAAGATGAGTCTCCAATGCCAAAGTCCTCGGGAGGTCAGGAGGCCGCCAGCACCCAGGCAACTGCCGCTGTGCTCTGGGAAGGGAAGGCAGAGGGCAGTCAAGTCTGCTGGCCGGTTTGGAAGCTCAGGAAGAGGTAGGGACAGGATGACCTGGAGCCCAGAGAGGCCAGCTGCAGCATCTGTCCCAAATGAAGCCAAAGTCCAGCTGTCCCGCTACCTATTAGGGGACACAAATTCTGGAAAGGCCCAGCCTGGCTTTGGAAACCAAATGTGGATGATTTCTATGCTCTGAGTCACTTTTGGTAAAGAGCGTTCATGGACCACGTGCCACACAACGAATTCTCATTTCCCATTTTATTCCCTCCAGGTTCTCATCTGGTCTCGGGCCTGCAAGAAAGTGGGATGGGACGTGGAAAAGGACACGTCCTCAGCCTCGGGGTCCTGACAGAGAAACGGAACAGAGGAAAATAATGGGTGGGACAGAGACCCGGTGCTGCCCCGGACTGGCGTCCCAGAGCCCATCTACCAGAGAGGACCTTCCTCCAGGCAGCCCCAGAAGACGGGTAGAAATTCAAAGCTAATCCTATAGCTTCTGTCCACAGAGAACTCAACCACACATCCACACACAGTCACAAAACAAGAACAACGGAGCACTTAGGGCCAAGCCCTTTACATATATTATCTCATCCAATCCTCACAGTAATCCCGCAGTGTCAGTGCTATGTGTCATTCCCATTTTACAGATGAGGAAGCTAAGCCCAGAGAGGTTAAGTAACTTGCCTAAGGGCACACAGCCAATGAGTGGTGGAGCCTGGATTCGCCCTATGGTCTGCAAGATGCTGACAGCATGGATAAACTTCAATGCGCACAGTGGACAGACTTGCCGTGTGTCTTCTTGACACACACCCAATGGAGCCACCAGTGGCATTGACCCAAGGAAACAAAGAATGCAGCCACCATAGGTGAAGTCATCTGCTGAAAGGCAGAAAGAGATCATTTTTCTGAAAGGAGAACCTGAAACCAGGGCCAAGCCCTCTGATCACGGGTGGCTGCTACTTTGGGGCAGGATGGATTTAAGCTGGAACGAAATAGCCCCCCTCAGACCCAGCCCAGCCTCATGTTGGAGCTAAGCAGAGCCCAAAAACAAAATCTTGTGTTGTGCCTGTGGCTCATGCCTGTAATCCCAGCACTTTGAGAGGCCCAGGCAGGCTGAAAGCTTGAGGTCAGGAGTTCAAGAGCAGCTTGGCCAACATGGTGAAACCCCGTCTCTACCAAAAAATACAAAAATTAAGCCGGGTGTGGTGGCCTGAGCCTGTAGTCCCAGCTATACTTGGGAGGCTGAGGTGGGAGAATCGCTTGAACCCAGGAGTGGAGGTTACAGTGAGCCGACATCGTGCCACTGCACTCCACCCTAGGCAACAGAGTGAGACCCTGGCTCAAAAACAACAAACAAAAACCTTGTACTTTCACTCCCAGCCCAAGTGGATGCTGGCAGGGATCTGCCTACAAAGACCATTCCAGGATCTGGACATATTAGCACCCAGGTAACTTCCAACTGCTGGGGTTGGCATCTCTATGCCTGAGAGCTTTACAATATACTGAGTTGAATGGTGTCCCCTCAAAATCTATGCCAACTCAGGACCTCAGAATGTAACCTTATTTAGAAATAGAGTCTTTGTAGATGTAATTTGCTAAGATCATACTGATTCATGGATGGACCAACTCAATGTATGTAGACATAGTAACTCAACTCACAAGAGACTGATGTATATACTGGGACACATATGTAGTAGGGGCTCTGCCTTTCCAGGAACTGGAGTTGTCCCAGCTCCCGGGCACCTTTCTGGTGGGCTGACAGATATAAGGCAGCTGGGTGAACATGGACCTACCCCACCAATCAAAATCTTGATGATCCTACAGCCTAAATACTGAATGTGTCCCCCTTCTCCCATCCCCACCAAGGGCAGGGACTGGCTCTGTGTCATCTGCAGCTGCATTTCCAGGGCTGGCACCACGTAGCTGTATACATTCAGGTAATGCCAACTGCTACACCAAGACGACACACGGCAAGTGTACCCACTGTGCACGCTGAGGTTTATCCATGTTCTCAGCATCTCACAGACCATGGGGCGACTCCAGGCTCCACCACTCGCTGGCTGTGTGCCCTTGGGCAAGTTACTTAACCTCTCTGGGCTTCAGCTTCCTCATCCGTAACATGGGAATGCTGCATAGCACTGACGTTGTAGGATTACTGTGAGGATTGAATGAGATAATGTATGTAAAGGGTTTGGCCCTAAGTGCTCTGTTGTTCTTGTTTTGTGACTGTGTGTGGGTGTGTGGTTGAGTTCTCTGTGGACAGAAGCTATAAGATTAGTTTTAAATTTCCTCCCGTCTTCTGGAGGAAGGTGCTCTCTGGTAGATGGGCTCTGGGGCGCCAGCCAGGGGCAGCACTGGGTCTCTGTCACATCCCATCATTTTCCTCTATTCTGTTTCTCCCAAATCTCAATGTCCTGTCACAAGTTTATGTCTCATGCGTGGACCCTTCCAATGTGGACGTCCCTCTCAGACATTAGCCTTGCCACATGGTGACTCAAGAGCCTGGGCTTCTTCCAGATGGGGCCTTGCTGTCCAGGGGATGTCAGAGTCTTCAGACAGGAGAGGGGAAAAGACAGAGAGTTGTGGTGAATACAACACACTTCCTTGGTGAGCAGCAGCAACCACCTTCTTCTCACCCATTCTCTCAGCAAGAACCAGTGGCCTGTTCCCACCCAGATGCAAAGACACCTGGGAAACACAGCTCCTGGCCAGACAGCCACCCACTAAGGACAGCTCCGCACATGCACACAGGTGCCCACGGCCAGCTGGCCATAGGTGCAGGATAAACCTTTGCTTGGTTCATTCATCAGTGCACCAACTAATGGAAGACCAAGCCAGCCACTCGGAAGAGACTTCTTAGGCGGCTGTTGAAATGTTGAGCTGAATCAGAAACCCGCATGATTAAACCGTGCGAGATAAGGATCTGGGGGAGAGTTCTCTGCTGACATATCCCCCTTTCGTGACCACTCTCCTCCCCACATGTCACCACCAGACGGATCACCCAGCCGGGGGCCTCAGAGGAGTCCCAAAGGCCAGCACCCTCAGCCTCTGCCTCTCCCAGATGGAGAAACAGGCCCAGGGTGGGATCACAAGGCAAATTCGTGGAGGAGGAGCCAGGCCCGGCTGCCTGACCCCAGGCCATCTCTGGGGCCAGGGACAGGCCGGGCCCTCATTGTTCAGCTAATGACTGCAACCCCAGGCCTGTGGAGCGTCTGTGTGGGGCCGCTGTATAAACATTTCCTCTCTGGCAGAGCAGGAAATGAAGGGATGAGGAGGTCAAGTGACTTCACTGGGGCTACTGCTGCCCTGCCCACCGTCCCCGCCCATGCCTGCCCACCACCCTTCCCAAGTCCCCTGAGTCGGGTCAGAACCATAGCCAGGCAGGTGTCCCCAGTCACCTCCAGCACCCCAGGCTTGATTCTTGCTCCGCCACGTCCTGGATGGGTGTTCTTGGGAAAGTTGCTCAGCCTCTCTGAGCATTAGATTCCTCACCCACTGACGCCCTTCCTCCTGGAGTCAGGTAGTAAGGACGAAATGACACTGTGTGGCGAAGCTTCTGGCAGGGGCCTGGCCGATGGTGGCCTCTCAGTGCTTTCCTGCTATTGTAAATTCTCTTTGATAAAAGAGTGTTGACTGGGTTGCACGCTTTAAATGGTTAATTGTATGTTATGTTAATTTCACTCCAGTAAAAGAAAAGATTTGTGTTTTTCTCCACTGTCTGCCCCTCATCCCACTCACACTCACTCACACACTCGCAGACTCACTCGCACACACACTCGCTCACACTTGCATACTCATATACACACACTCGCACATGCTTGCACACTTATACACACTCATCCTTGCACACACTTATACACACCTACACACACTTGCACACTCATACACTCATACACACTCACTCACTCACATAAGCACTAGCAGATCCACTGTACCCCAGGAGGGACCTACAGACACAGGGTGGACGCCGAGATAATTCCCCAAACTCTCTCCCTGGAACCCCACTGACCTTTTCAAGGGGCTGTCAGAGGAGAAATGAACTCACTGGATTAAGGCAGAGAACAGGACTCAGGTGGAAGAGGCCAGGCTGGGGGCATTCTGATAAGTGGGGAAGAGGAGAGACATCAGCCCCTAGGACCACACCCAGACCTGTGGGGCCGCATGTCAGGGAACCCTGGACAGTCCTGGGCAAGCAGGGGCAGCCAGGGTGGGAGGGGGGCTCTCGAGTGAGAGGAGAGAGTCCACCCTTGTCTGTTATCACATTGAAAACTCACACCTCTGCAAAGGTGGACTATGTCCTCAGCCTGTAGCTGGGTAAACTGAGGCTCAGAGACACAAACTGACCTCAGATCACATGTCCAGTTAGTGGTAGCGCCAAGAATCAGCCTCAGTTCCGCTCCACACCCAGAGATAAAGGTGAACTGCAGATCCGCCTAGGTCCACGATATCCGACATAATTAAGCTTTCAGAGGCTTGTACTGCCCGAGGCACCCAGGCTAGGAGCCTTCCCCTCTCCTTTGACTCTGGACTTTTGTGCTAAAAGGAACTTCAAGAGGAGTTAATATGGCATCCCATTTAACGGAAGAGTAAACGGACCAGAGAGGTTAAGTGATTTGCCCAAGGTCTCACAGCTAATTAGGACCAGACCAGACCCACAGCACAGGCTTCCTGCGTGCCCCCCTTCCCCGCCCTCCGCAAGCGGGGTGACTCCCAGGCTCACTGCAGGTGTCTCCAGGGCAGGTCTGCTCCCACAGATTCCGTGACCATGACACCTGCAGGCATTGCTGGGCTGCACCTGATCCATCAGACCTTCAAACACCTGTAGAAACCGAGGTCCATTCCTGAGCTCATCAAAAATCTAACCCACGCCCCCCGCAAGTCCTTCAAAATTCTGGAAAGAGAGAAGGTTTTTTGAAACCTAGAAGGAAACAATTGCCCAATTGCCTGTGCATCAAATCAAGTGATTTTTTCCCCCACTCACACGGACTGTGGGATTTTTTTTTTTTTTTTTTTTTTTTGAATCTCCCATCAATTTCAGAATTTCAAAGAGGAAAAAAAAAGTGAGCCCTTCTGGGCAGAGCAATTCCAAGCGGCTGGGAATCAGCTGCCCTCTGCTGGACAAACGAGGATGTGGCCAAGTTGATGGTTCTTGCTCACGGGCGACTTAAAGAAATATCTGAGCCCCTTGGCGATCCCCAATATTATTTCAGATCCAGTTCAGATCCAGCGTGATAGGATTTGTGCTTTTTATAGCAGCTGGATTTGTATTTTCTGAAAAACTAACAGCTACCCAGAACCCAGAACTGCTTTTAAACTATAATCGCGCCTTTATTGGGCCACTGCTGTCTGCTGAGCCCTGTTCTAGGCACGGGGTATGCAGCTGTGGCCTGGACGGAGTAAACCCCGCCCCGTGGAGGCTGCCTGTTCTAGTTGGGGCCACAGACGATCAGCAAATTAACAAAGCAATTAACAAAAAAGCCAGGTGGTTGTAAATGCTGCGAAAAATAAATCTCTGAGGCAGGTACGGAGTGGTCGGGGTGATGGCTGATGCTGTGTGGTGGGGGCAGGGGGGCAGGCAGGCAACTCTGAGCCAAGATCTGAATGCAGGGAGAGCGGGAGTCACCTGGCGGTCTGGGGGAAGAGTGCTCCTGGCAGAGGAAACAGCCGGTGCAAACGCTTGGAGGATGGGGTGTTTTTGACTGGTTGAAAGGAGTGTAAGAGAGGGCCAACATGTCTGGGACAGAGGGACAGAGGGGAAGCGGGGAGAGAGATGGTCAGGGGCCATCTCAACAGCCCCCGTGGACATTTAAATCAGAGTTAGGTCCCAGTAAATATTGGAGAGAATCACTCCATCTCCGGGTGATGCTCTGGCTTTTGTGAATTGAGGGACTCCTTGAGGATGGGACCACAGTGGGAGGCTAGGGTGGGGCAAGAATACAAACAGGAATCCCAGAGCTTCCGGGAACCAGGAGGACCTGGGAGATCATCTAGTGAAGTCCAGCTTCCCCAGCTTTAATCATAGCAGTGGCGACAGCAGGTCTGACTGGGGAGCCCTGACCAGCCGAGCAGCCCTTTGTGCTGGGTTGAATGGTGTCCCTCCAAATGTGTGTCCATCTGGAACATCAGAATGCAGCCTTTTGGGGAGCTAGGGCCACGACTGCGGATGTAATTAGTTAAGAGGAGGTCATAGTGGAGGAGGCTGGGCCCTAAATCTGAGACTGGTGTCCTTACAGGAAGTCCATAGAGAAACACATACACACACAGAGAAGGCGAGGTAACGGCGGAAGCAGAGGCTGGGCAGTGCTGTCACCAGCTAAGGAGCACTGAGGAAGCCATCAGGCACCTGGAGCTGGAAGAGGGAGGAAGGAGCCGCCCCCAGGGCCTTCGGAGCAAGCACCACCCAGCAGACACCTGGTTTTCAGACGTCCGGCCTCCAGGCCTGTGAAATAATAAATTCTTGCTGTTTTAAGCACCAAGTTTAGGGTCATTTGTTACAAGGGCCACAGGACACTCGCATGCATGACCGCACCCACGCAGCAGCCCCCACAGTGAGAACTCTCTCTCCTCCCATTTCACAGATGAGGCTAATGAACTGGTCAAGGCCCCTGAGCAGTGATTTGACTCTACACCAAATGGGCAGCTGCTCCCAGCGGGGACCATGGGGGAAGGTGTCCGAGGTTGGTGGCTCTGTGCTGAAGGACAAGGAATTCTCTCAGCTCCTGCTTTCACAAAGCAGGAAGATCTGCCTTCTGGGCATCAGCCGTTTCCCCACTTGCCTGGCTGCCATTGCTCTCCAGAGCTGCCCCCTCCTGTTATGGCCCAGAGGAAAGAGAGAAGACTGACTCAGACCTGGCCCCACCTCTGGGTTCTGAACAAATGGCCCAGGCTGCAAAAAAGGGGAGCAGCACCCACCTTACCCCTGACCAGGTATCTAGGGCGACCTACAGCAAGGCTCGCCTCGCCACCTGTCACAGGTGCTGTGCCTCACATGGCTGGGTGCTTTTGAGAAACAAGCACTAACCTTGACCGGGCACTGTGCTTTGGCCAGGTACTGAAGTACTAAGCACTTTATACGCTTCCCTACACTGAATCCTTGCAGTGATCCTATGCAGCCCGCACAGTTAAAGAATGACCTGGTTTGCCCATTCCATTGCTCTGCACCGTCTCTTTATTGGGCACCTATTATCTGTGGAGCCTGGTTCTAGGCACTAAGAATGCAGCTGTAGCTAGGCAGGAAACTGGATGAGAAGCTGAGAATCAGAGGTTCAGCAGCTTGCCCAAGGTCACATAGGTCCCTCCCCTTGGACCTGGGCTGCCTGTGAACTGCTACTCACGGGGGGAGTGTGGTGGAAGTCATGCCTTGTCTGCCAGTCCCCAAGGTCCCCATACTTTGAGGAGGCCCAACCTGGGCATGTGGAGAGGCCATGTGCAGAAGAACTGAGCCCGCCCGCTCCAGCTGACAGCCTCGGCTGAGTCCCCGCCCAGCCCCAGCCTCAGCTGAGGCCAAGTGGAGCTGTAACACACCATCCCTCCAAACCCTACCCAAATTGCAGAATAATGAGAAAATCAATTACACGGCTGCTGTTCTCAGTGCTAAGCTTTGAGGTGGTGTCACAGGAACTCTTGGTGTCAGTGCCCTGAGCCTCCGAGCGCTGTCCTGGCCACAGCCTCTCCCTGACTCTCAGGCCAGGCTCAGCTTGTGTGTCCTGGCTCCCACCTGGCCACGCACATAGAGGTGGCCCTTGTGGGAAGCTGCACCAGGGGAGTAAACAGCCTTCTGGAAGTTTCTGAGCACGCAGGGTGGGGGTGGGCTTCCTCTCCGCATCTCAGACTCTCACCCGGCTTCTTCTAAACTCTGCCCAGTCACCGTCTGCTGCCCTGCTTGCCTGTCCCCCTTGCCTACCCCAAATCCGGCCAGACTGGGCCCGGCGTGCTGGGCAGAGGCCCCGGTGTCCAAGGCCACCCACCGCCCTCATGCAGCTTCCTCTCAGGAAGAGGCCCTGCCTCCCTCTGGCTTCGGTGGTCATGACAAATAGAGAACAGCTGGCCCCTGGCCCCAGTGTCAGAGGCCACCAGCTTGCACCTAGGGGCAGGCAGCATCCGTGAGCTCGAGCCGGGACCCGGTCAGGCGGGCAATGGCTCAGCACATTGGTCGCCTGGAGGAACAGGAGGCAGGGAGGGCACTTCCTTTACAGCAGAGGCCAGAGTGGCCACAGTAGCTGCACCGACCTCGCTGGGGACCTGCGAGAAACGCCGTCTCAGGCCACCCAGACCTGCTGACTTGGGCTCTGGGCTTTCACACACTGCTCCACAGGCTCCTGTACACAGCACGGAGTGAAACCCAGCCTTGAAGCCCAACTCTGGGGCCACCCATGGCTCCCAACCGAACCCCACAGCCCCTGTCCCTGGCTAAGCCACATCCACCACTCACTCTGCAGCCTGGGACCAGCAGGGCATCCCAGACAATCACTGCAAAGGACATCCGTGCTGGGGAAAACAGCCCAGTGCCTGCCACACAGCAGTACCCCAAAATGATAGCATTAGCCAAACAGCAATGCTTATCATCAAATAATAAAAAAGGAAAATACATAAGGTTGAACCACACAAAATTGCCACTGTTTGTCCATTCAGGATGTAGAGAAATGGCAATTTCAACTACTTTAAACCAATATTTATTTTATAAAACTAACAGATTATTGCTTTCACATATGCTATATAGCATATATTATATTACATATTAACTATATTAATACCTTATTGTATTAACCGTAAAACTGTATATTGTTAAATTATAATTATATATTAATAATTAAGACATAATATATTAATAAATATGATAGCAATGTATTCCAATGCCCTTCTTTTTAAACAATGGCTTTATTGAGTCCTAAATGTATATACCGTAAGCGTCACCCATTTAAAGTGTACAAAACAGTGGTTTTCAGTACATTCACAGACGTGTGCAGCCATCAGCACTGTCCAATTTTAGAGCATTTTCATCACCCCAGAAAGAAACCCTGGACCCATTCACCGTCACTCCAAACCCCCAAATCCTTGGGCGCTGGTGATCACACATCTGCCTCTGTCTCTACATATTGACCTGTTCTGGACATTTCATAGAAATAGAATCACACAGCTTGTGGCCTTTTGTGTCTGGTTTCTCTCACTGAGCATCAGTATTTCAAGGTTCATGTGTGTTGTAGTGCGTGTTCATTCCTTTTCATGGCTGAGTAATATTCCACGGCAGGGATTTGCCACATCTTTGTTTATTCATTCACCTGCTGGTGGCCATTTGGGCTGCTTCCACTTTGGGCTATTGTGAGTAGTTCTGCAGTGAACATTCCCAGACGAGTTTCTGGGACGATGGATATTTGCGTTCCTCTTGTTTTCGCATCTCCCAGAAACCCAGAAGGGGAATTGTTGGCTCCGAGAGCAACTACATTTAGCATTTTGAGAGCGACGACATAATGTTAACGATGTCAGTGCTCACGCCTACTTCCACGTAGCAGTTCCACTCCCAAAACTTCAGTTATTTGTGTCTAATCCCCACAATAACTGTATGAAATACGTGTGACATGACCCTGTTCCCACCCCACAAACGAGAGACTGTGCTAACGTCTACTTCCACGTAGCGGTTCCACTCCTGAAACTTCGGTTACTGTGTCTAATGCCCACAATAACTGTATGAAATACCTGTGACAAGACCCTGTTCCCACCCCACAAACGAGAGACTGTGCTAACGTCTACTCACACGTAACGTTCCACTCCTGAAACTTCGGTTACTGTGCCTAATGCCCACAATAACCGTATGAAATACGTGTGACATGACCCTGTTCCCACCCCACAAATGGGAAACTGAGGCACAAAGCGACTGAGTAGTTCGCCCAGCTGGGACTCCAGCCCAGACTACCATATTCCAGAGCCCACGCTCAAGCCCTGCCCTATCCCCTCCGTGAGTGACCTCTGAGTATTGACCACAGCCAGCACTGGGCTAGTGCCGGGCACCTACCCCAGGGCAGCTCCAGGCCCCGACCTCCACAGAAGCTCATCCCAGGTGGAGGCTGCCCTCATCTTGCTGCCCTCCTCATCACACCCCTTGCCCTCTTTCTCTGCCTGACCTGCAGCAGCTCCCAAAGTCCCCCATGGCTCCCACCCCTCCCTGTCTGGGAGGCAGTGGGGCTGTTATTACCTGATTCCCATCAGCACTTTCCAACCACCCACCCCCAGGAGAGGAAAGCACTTCTCAAACACTGACATCTGAATGTGCCAGGGAGGAAGAGGTGCGGGCCCCGCTGGGACTCCCTGGCTCCACCACCCCTGGGGGTCTGAGGCTGCTTCCAGGATAGCTGGAGACACAAGGACCTGCCAGGGTGGGCAGTGGGGCTGCAGGAGTGAGGTGTGGCCACAGCATCCCAGGTTATGAGAAGGACACGTTTGAAAGCAAATGCTGGGATGCAGGGCCCTGGAGGTGTGGCCTAGCGTCATGGCTGGGACCCAGCGGCGGAGTAGGGTGGCCCGGCTCAGCTGGGACGTGCATAAGAAGGGCCAGGTCAGCCCACCACTCTTGTTAGAGACAGCAGCGCCCATTCACCAAACAATCCACGTGCGCCAGACACTCGCCGTGGGGCTTATCCACCCTCGCTCAATTTTTAAATTTTTATTATGAAAATTTCCAAACGGAGAGAAAGTCAGAAATAAAATCACGTGAATCTCATAGAGCCACAACATAGACTCAACAGCTCTTAGCTTTTTGTCAAATATCTGCTAAGCAGATAGATGGTTAAATAGAAATTGCTAACACATATCAAGGTATCTCACAGACATCCCGACGCTTCAGCCCTAGATCCTATGGCAGTCATCTCCAAAAACACAAAGGCATTCTTCTGTGTGACCATACTGCTATTAGCTCACCCAGCAAAATTAACAATAATTCCCTCATGTCATCTTGATATGGGAGGGGGGCAGGGAAGTGCTGAGTAGAGAAGGGTGTTGCCTCTGGTGAGGGCTCCACCCCCAGGCCTGTGCCCACGGACCTAGATAAGGACAAGCATTTCTGTTTTCATGCCCCAATGTTGCATTTTCCAAGACCTCCCTGGCCCACCACACCGCCTTCCTGTGTCTATAAAAACCTCAAGACGCTGGCGGGCACAGACACAAGTGGGTGGACGTCGAGAGGAACGCACCGGCGGAAGAGCACACCAACAGGCACTGGCAGGCACCGGCAGGCCATCGACTGGCGAACAACATAGACGCCGACAGGAATTTGGCTGGGATGGTGGGAGGACAGTCCAGCCGCCGAGCAGCCGGACTCCAGGGACACCTTCCCACTCCCTCTTCTGGCTCCCCATCCATCTGCTGAGAGCTACTTTCACCATTCGGTGAAACCTTGCACTCATTCTCCAAGCCCACATGTGATCTGATTTTTCTGGTACACCAAGGCAAGAACCCCGGGATTCAGAAAGCCCTTCGTCCTTGCAATAAGGCAGAGGGTCTAATTGAGCTGATGAGCACAAGCCATCTGCAGATGGCAAAACTAAAAGAGCACCCTGTAACACAGGCCCACTGGGGCTTCAGGAGCTGTAAGACTTCACCCCTAGACGCTGCTGTGCGGTTGGATCCCCACAACCTGCCCGTCTGCCTGCTCTCCCTAGAGGTTTGAGCAGCAGGGCACTAAAGAAGTGGGCCACATTCCCAACGCACACTCTGCGAGGGGGATAAGGGAGCTTTTCCCGTTTCAGTCTGATACCCAGTCCATATTCAAATTTCCCCCAGTTGTTCCCCAAATATCTTTTATGGCTGCGTTTTAAAATCAGGATGCAGTTAAGAACTGAACGCCGTATTTGGCTGTTACGTCTCTGATTTGACTTAAGATCCTTCAGATGAAGAGCACCTCCCCAATCATCAGGAGAGACACAAGACAGAGAGGATTGCATTACTTACACGTCCTGAGAGTACACAGCATTCCCAGAGGCCACATGCATGGAGGTCAGGGAGCGCCTGGAGCGAGGAAGGGACATGGGGCCACGCCTTGACTATCATCCAAACAGGTTTCCAGCAGAGGGTTTTAAGTAGTGGGTTTGGAGCAAGCAGGCACGGGTCCCAGGAGGTCACACAGTGACTGAGAGGCAGTCATTGAAAATCTGCACAGTCATAGTCATGCTGGGTGTTGGGGTCAGGAGGCAGTCAAACAGGCTGCATCTAGCTGTCCCATAGTGGGGTGGTCCCCAGGAGGGAGTTGTATGACACAGATGTCTGGATCCATCTTACTGTGGAACTGGAGCGGGTGGAGAACTGGAAACTGTGTCAAGGGTGGCCGAGCCCTGCCTCTGGTAGAGGAAAGTCCAACTTATATTTCAAACGGATCCCAAGGGCCAGGCGCAAACACAGTGTCTCATGCCTGTAATCCCAGCACTCTGGGAGGCCGAGGCAGGCCGATCACTCAAGGCCAGGAGTTGGAGACCAGCCTGGCCAACATACTGAAACCCCATCTCTACTAAAAAAATACCAAAATTGGGAGGCCAAAGTGGGTGAATCATGAGGTCAGGAGTTTGAGACCAGCCTGGCCAACATAGTGAAACCCTGTCTCTACTAAAAATACAAAAATTAGCCAGGTGACGCCTGTAGTCCCAGCTACTCGGGAGGTTGAGATGGGAGAATCACTTGAACCTGGGAGGTGGAGGTTGGCAGTGAGCCAAGACCACGCCACTGCGCTCCAGGCTGGGTGACAGAGTGAGACTCCATCTCAAAAAAAAAAAAGCTAGGTGTGGTGGTGCCTGCCTATAATCCCAGCTACTCGGCATGCTGAGGTAGAATTGTTTGAACCAGGGGGCAGAGGTTGTAATGAGCTGAGATCATGCCACTGCACTCCAGCCTAGGCAACATAGCAAGACTGTCTGAAAAAAAAAAAAAAAAAAAAAAAAGAACCCTAAGGCAACGTAACTTCATAAGAACCTCTACAGGCTTTTTACCCTAGAACCATCTCCTACCCTCCTGTTTACCCCAACTTTACCCCACAGTGACACCTGTTGAAGAGACCAGGCAATGGTGTGCAGGGTGGCCTACCTTCATCTTCAGCACGAACTCAGACCACAGATGAGGAAACTGAGGCTGCAGAGGAGGGGGTGGTAATGCAAGACCCACCATTCACAGACACGTCCATCCATCCTGGCGAGAAGGGGGTCCAGTAATGCCCTCAGCGTGGGGCCCACAGGACACCAGTCAGCTAGCCAGGGCCTGCCTGGAACAGAGCCACAGCCACACTGAGATAAAGTGCCCCAAAGGATATTGGCCAGAGCCACCAAAATCCCTCCAAGGACAGTTCAGAATGTGTGCTGAGGCCAGGAAGCGTGGCTGCCCAGGTGGATACCTGGGCGTGGAAGGAGAGGTGAGTCAGGAGAAAGGTGGGAATCCCATGCTGTGAGCTGGAAGCTCAGCTGTAGGCCGTGTTGCCGGGGCTGAGGATAAGCCCCAGCCAGGGGACCTGAGTCCCAGAGGGAAACCTGAAGGAGGGGGGCAGCAGTGCAGACAGTGCAAGAGGGCCTGGGGAAGTCTCGGCTCTGGGAACAAGGAATCACCAGGCCTGAGGCCCAGAGATTCTGCCTTCATTGGTCTGCACGTGGCCAGCACTCTGGGTAGTTTATTTAACTTCCCAGGTGATTTGAATGTGCCTTCCAGGTGGGACTGCCTCTGGGGATGGCCCGAAGGCCGGGGAGATGGGAGAGAAATTAACTCCAGATGCAGGTAGAAAGTTCCAGAGCAAGGAGAGAGGGGCAGACTGAGGATCAGGAGAGGCCAGATTGCACCCCAGGAACCACAGGGCCATGGAAGGGTGGAAGCTGGGGAGTCTCCCTGCAGTCAGGGTCCCTGGGACAGCTCGAGGGACTCGGGGGGACACATCTGGGGATGGAGGAGGAGCCAGTGGTGGAGCAGGTTCTCCACCCAACGGACAGACCCTGGGCTGCAAGGCTGCAGGACAGCTGGGCTCTGCCTGGAGTTACCATGTGTTCAGTGGGTGTGGTCTGGGCCCACTAGGATACGAGCTCAGAGAGCAGGGGCTGCCTGAGGCTCACTGCTGGATCCCAGCAAACAGCCGGCACATAGTAGGTGCTCAATAAACAGGTGCCACCTTGGTGAGAAGCTCAAAGAGGAGTTGACAACCACACAGCCAACGACAGACAGGACAAGCAGAGGCCCAGGCCTCAAATGAGACCCAAGGACCGGAAATGTGCCGGCCAGCCCACAACTCCCTGCGGCTGCTACAGCTCCAAAAGCCCAGCCTCTCTGGCTCTCCCCACCCCATCTCTTCCCCTCCCCACCCTCTACCCTCCCTGCTCAGGCTTCCTCTTCTTCCCTCCCCCCATCTCCCCCCACACTCTTTTATTCTCCTTCCCTCTCCCTCCCCTTCCCTCTCCCTCCCTCTTCCTCCCTCTCCTTCCCTCTCCCTCCCTCTCCCTCCCTCTCCTTCCCACTCCTTCCCTCTCCTTCCCTCTCCCTCCCTCTCCTTCCCTCTCCTTCACACTCCTTCCCTCTCCTTCCCACTCCTTCCCTCTCCTTCCCACTCCTTCCCTCTCCTTCCCTCTCCCTCCCTCTCCTTCCCTCTCCTTCACACTCCTTCCCTCTCCTTCCCACTCCTTCCCTCTCCTTCCCACTCCTTCCCTCTCCTTCCCTCCTTCCCTCTCCTTCCCACTCCTTCCCTCTCCTTCCCTCCTTCCCTCTCCTTCCCACTCCTTCCCACTCCTTCCCTCTCCTTCCCTCTCCTTCCCTCTCCTTCCCTCTCCTTCCCACTCCTTCCCTCCTTCCCTCTCCTTCCCTCTCCTTCCCACTCCTTCCCTCTCCTTCCCTCCTTCCCTCTCCTTCCCTCTCCTTCCGCCACATGCTGAGGCATCACTTTTCCAGGACACTGGCCACACGAGACATGGCAGAGGCAGCAAGTAGACAGCAAAGGCACCAGGAAGGCAGAACCCGAGGGGCAGGTGCATAGGCAGCATGGGCATCGGGAAGGGAATTAGCGCGTGCAGAGGGAGGGAACAGGGAGATCACAGAAGTCTCAGCTGCTGGGCAACCAAGGATTACAGGAGAAATAAAGTCACCCAGCAAACCGGTGGCACATGTGTCCTTGCTTCCGGGGGCTCAGCTGTGAACAGTACAGCCACCCGGGAGCGCTAAAATCCTAGTGGCGGTGAGCGTTCTAGAAACTGATGGCACAGACACTATCGGGCTCCACCCACGTGACCCAGATCCCTGTGAAGGTTTTTGCCTGTTCCTTCCCCAGCTCCTGTGTGTTTCTGTTTCTGTGGGCCTCACCTGGAACTCTCTTCAGAGAACCGTCCTTGTGCTTCTAGGACCACGTGGCGCCATCCCGGCCTTCGCCAGGGACTTCGGAGTGGGGCTGTGAAGGCTGGCCCGCCCATAGCCTGCCCTCCAGAGCCCT
Organism: Homo sapiens; assembly: GCF_000001405.40. Lineage (NCBI taxonomy): Eukaryota > Metazoa > Chordata > Mammalia > Primates > Hominidae > Homo > Homo sapiens. The sequence goes on along the minus strand of NC_000016.10, from coordinate 86,062,692 downwards.
GCCTGGTCAGCCTGCGGCAGGGCCCCCAAGAAACCACTGCTTGCTTGGTGCCTTCTCTTCCCTCTGCTTCCTGGCAGCGCCTTCACTGCCTTAATCATTTGCACACAAATCCCACTGGGGGATTCTCTAGGGGAGCCAGTCCCAGAGAGCCACCTGGCACACACTCTTCCAACCAGCAGCCCCAGGTGGAAACCTGCTGTCCTACGGTGCTTGGCCGGCACAGCCAAGTGGGTGACACGGGCCTGAGTTTGAACCTCAGCCACCCACCTGCAGGCTGAGTGACCCTGGGCAACCTTTTCCCCCTCTCTCTGCTCAGTTTCCTCAGCTGCAAAATGGGTAAAATCCTGGTACCATTCTCAGTAGATCGTCATGCGACTGACAATAACAATCCATATGAAGTCCTATTATTGTTGTTCCATTACTTCAAGTCCTCATTGATTTGCTTGTTTTTAGAGTAATTAAATATGCCCTAGCCACTTAGAAGCCATTTAGAAAGACCTGATTTATTCCAGATCTGGAAATCATAAGTGGTGGTGACTTTATCCCTATGCTCTCACTGAAATCTGTAGACAAGACCGGCGAGGGAGGATTCCACCAGACGAGGAAGCCCAGGTGCAGAGGGCAGGGAAGAGGTCACCCAGCTAGCAGGGGTGACGTGGGCTGCCTTGGGACCGGTCCATGGCTCCCATCCCCTGGAAGATGCTAGAGGATCCCCGGTCCATCTGGGATGCAGCCCAGGAGACTCCTGGGTGCCACAGGCAGTGCTTGCTGTTTTGCTGGAAGGAGTTCTTGCAGGCCGGAAATCTGGGTCTGTTGTCTTTGCTCGCATGTCTTCTGCTGTTCATCAACTTTGGAAAACAGCTGCTAAAATATCGCTTCCGCCTCATGGTTCCCATGCAGATCCCTCCCAGCACTGGGGAAAGTGCAAGCCTTTCAATGGCTCACAACCCTCGCCTTTTCCTCTCCCTTCCAATTCAGGAACTGAGTTTAGTTCCTTTCCCCAAAAATGCTGGGCAAGAGAGGAAGCAGTTTCTGCACACGGCAGCCAGCTCGGGTGGGGGCCTGGGTGGGCTGCTGGCTTCCTGCCTGCCCTTTGCCCCTGTCACCCGTCCTCCACTAATGAACTGACTGTCTTCAGCTGCACATTCCCACTGCTCCTACCAGGCCGCCCACCTGGATTTCCCCATGCATCAGATGGGAACAGGTGTGAGGGTGACTGGGGGCGGGAGAAGGAGTCTCCTTTGAAACCAATGGATAAGCTGCACTCTCCAATGACAACCGTGTGCCCCTCCACAGAGGGCACCGTCGGACCACGCTGGGCTCTGGCACTCAGACCGTCGTAGGCAGGAGATTTTTGACATGGCCATTCTCCTGCATCTGCTCAGTGGAGAGAAACCTAGAGCAAAACAAAGGTAATAAACCCCCATAACAATATCAATAAAAGAACAAGTTGCAGTCACTCCCTGTGAAGCACTTCCTGGCCGGCACCGCGCTGTGCACTTACCTCTTCTTCCCTGGCATTTGTCTAGGGCTGGATTGTACTCCGACTCCGTGCCTCTTCCAATGTTTGAGTCACCCAGGAGCTGTCACCCAGCTCACATGCTCCTAGGAATGGGGAGCTGCTTCTTTTCGACGGCTCTTCCACGTAATGAGATAAAACGTGCCTCCCTGCCCCTTCTCCCGAGGGACCTTCAGTGCCCACAAAGCGAGGCTGGTCCTGGCCCATGAGACACTCGAATGCAGGGACCTTCCTCCCCAGGCTCCTCTCCTCAGCCCCTTCACCCCTCCCTGAGCCTGTCGCCATTCTGCCCACCTCCTCTGGACGGCAGAAGCCTCCACTGGCTGTGCCCATCCTCCAGGCCCAGAGCTTTGCCAAGGTCATCTCAGTGCCCGCAGCAGTGCTGCCACATGGGCACCATTATTAGCCCACCTGTGCCAGAGGGGACGCTGAGTGTCAGAGAGGGGAAGACGCGGGCCCCAGGAGCCAGCCAAGTCCAGAGGCCATGCCTGGCCCTTAGCCTGCAGCCCAGAGGCTAATAAGGAAGGAGGCTCTTCTGTCAACTGAGGGCTCCAGGATCTCCCAGAGCCCCTGTTGAAGGGCAGGGAGTCGGAAAAGGCGGACAGGGCACCGTGGGAGCCGATCCGGAGCGCTCTCCATTGCATGTCCTGCAGGGCGTGAGGACACCTGGAAACCCTCCCCGACCGAGCCCCTGCGCAGGGGATGAAAGGGAGAATTTCTTCCACCCTGGAGTCCTTCTCACTGTCCAAAAGGAGTTTTGCCCTCTGTACTTAATGCCTCTTTGAAATATTTTTTAAATGGAAAAATGAAATAATACGAACCTCTGGAGGGCTGAGACCTCAGAATAGCCATGTGTCCCCCACCCCACAGGGCATGGCAAAGGGTCTCTGCAGAGAGGGATTTTAATCTGTTTGAAAGAAGAAGGGCAAGGGAGGAGAGGAGTGGAGAGAAATGAGAATAGCCCAAGGAAGCCTTCTGGAAAATTTTATTCCGAGCAATTCCTGAGGGAAGGCCGGCTCTGGGCCAGGGGTCAGGGGTCAGGGAGGCATCGAGTGCTGTGGTCCCGCGGAGCAGGGAGGGCCCTGGAACAAGCCAGAAGCTGCCGAGGCCTGCGTTACTGCTTCTCTCTGCAGAGACTCCGCTCACGTAATCACTAGCTTTCATGCTGACCATGGCAGCCTTTCTCAGACACCAGCTGGAACAGACGATGGAGGTTTCTAATTTAGGATATGCTCTGGCCCTGGGCCACCAGCTCCATCCTCACTCCCACCCCCACCCCCTCACCTCCACCCAGCTTCAAGTGAGGTCCCCCACACAATGCCTCAGCTAACGCTGCAGGAAGGGCCAGTCCCAGTGGGCTGGGGGAGTGTGGCTCCCAGCCTGGGCTGCTGCCCAGCCCTGCCAAGCAGAAGAGCCTCCCACTCACAGGCCTCCCTGAGCGCAGAGGGAGGGAAATGCTCCCAGCAGCTGGAATCTTTCCCCCTGCAGGTGCCAGAGCCCTCCCCAGAGCACCTCCACCCACATGCCCTCAAGAATAGCATGGAGGCTCTAGGTTCTCATCAGTTCTTTGCTTCCGATAAAACTGAGTGGGCAAAGAAAAACCCAGGGTAGGGAGCCAACAGGAGTTTGCTGGTTCCTGGGATACAGCCTAAAGGGTGTCTCACACCCTGATGGGGGATCCAGTTCCTACAGCGGTCATAGATTGCGGGGCTTTACCAATCAACAGCCTTAACAATGTCCACACCCTCTGATCCTGCCCCACCACTGCTGGGAAACCAGCCTAAAGCAGCCATTTGATGAGCAAAGATGAAACTGGAGGATGCTCAACTGAGCATGGTTTTGATAGCAGATAGTGGGAACAAGACTCAAAGTCCCACGGGCAGAATTGGATGCTGTGCATGAGGGTACAGACACAGGGTTCGGTACCTCCGCAGCCATTGAAAGTGTGGGTATAGAAGTGGTCTTGTGGATGGGCAAGTATGTTTTCAAGATGCTGTTAAGTGGAAAAAGGAAATTACAAAATAGTAAATGCAACATGACTCTGACTTTGTAAAATACGACATATACGTGAATATGTATGAAGAAAATGACTGCAGCATCATTTTTTACATACTCCAAAATATTAATGGGACTCATACAGTAAAATGCACTTGTTTTGAGTGTATATTTCAACAAGTCTTGACAAATTTAAATCACCCATGTAAATACCACCACAAATGACATATAGAATATTCATTCCATCACCCCAAAATGTCCCCTAGAGCCCCTTTTCAGGCAATCCCTGCCCCCTCCCCCAATCCTGGCCCCAATCAACAGTTGATCTGCTTTCTGTTACTAAATTAGATTTGTCTTTCTGGAGTTCAGATAAGTGGAATCATGCAGTATTTTCTCTTCTGGGATAAGCTTGTCTCATTCAGCCTGTCTTTGGGATTCAGGGATATTATATGTAACAGTTTATTCTTTGTCATTGCTGAGTACTGTTCCATTGTGTGGATATGCCACGATTTGTTTACCTGTTCACGTGCTGATGGACATTTGAATTGTATCTAGTTTAGGACTATAATGAAAAAGTAAGTGCGAACATTCATGTTCAAATCTTTCTGTGGGCGTATGTCTTCATTTCTCTTGAAGAAATGTCTAGGAGTTAAACTTCAGGGTCACATTGTAAATGTGTGTTGAATTCTGTAAGAAACTGTGCCACTTTTCCAAAGCAATGGGAGCTGCAGTTGCTCCAATCCCCGCCAACGCTTGATACTGTCAGGCTTTGTCATTGGCCGTTCTAATGCATATTTATCTCATTGTGTTTTAATTTGCATTTCCCTGATCACCAATGATGTTGAACATCTTTCATACGCTTATTGGCCATCCATATATCCTTTTGTGTGAAGTGTCTTCTACTATTTTCCCCACTGTTTCATATATTTGCTGGTTTTTTGCTATTGAGTGTAACCAGTTTTTGTTTGTTGTTGTTGTTTTGTTTGGTTTTTAATATACTAGATAAAAGTTTGTTATCACGTATCCTATTTTCTCCCAGTTAGTGACTGGGGTGGACTTTTTCATCTTCTTAATGTTGTCTTTTGAAGAACACAACTTTTAAAGGTGGACTAAGTTCAATCATCAGTTTTTCTTTCATGGTTTATGCTTTTTGTGTCTTACCTAACAAATCGTTCACTATCCCAAGGTTGTAAATACTTTTTTCTATGTTTACTTCTTGAAGTTTTACAGTTTTGACCTTTATATATAGGTCTATGATCTACTTTGATGTAATTTATTAAATGCTGTGAGATAATGTTTAAAGCAAATTTTTGTCCATAATCTGTCCAAAATGGTAGCCACTTGCTACCTTAGCTATTGAGTGTTAAAATGTGGCTGGTCTGAATGGAGAAGTGTTGTAAGTGTAAAATATATGCCATCTTTCAAAAACTTGGAAATAAAAAAATGTAAAAATGTCTCGTTCATAACTGTGTTATTGATTACATGTTGAAAATGATAATGTCTCAAATATGTTGGATTAAATAAAATACATTTTAGAAGGCTTGAAATCAGGTGATGTAAGTCCTCTCATTTTATCCTTGTTTTACAAAATTGTTTTGGCTATCCTAAGTACTTTATATTTCCATTTAAATTTTAGAGTCAACTTGCCTGTGTCTTTTATTTTTTAAAAGACTGTTGGGATTTTAATAGGATTACATTAAATCTATGGATCAACTTAGGAAAAACTGACTTCTTCAAATCAGTGAATCTTTCAGTCCATAACCAAGATCTATCACTCTATTTGAGTTTAGTTTCCTTAATTTCTCTCTGCAATTTCTCTCAAACCAAAAAACTCAAGGGTTTTATGGTTTAATTTATCCCTAAATACTTTATGGTTTTGATGTTATTTTAAATGATCTTTTAAATTTTTTATTTTTCAATTATTAATTGCTGCTAGAGTAGACCCACTTACCTGCAGGGGATAGATGCCAAGACGCTAGTGGATGCCTAGAAGTGCAGATACTACCAAACTCTAAATATTCCATGTATTTTTCCATACATACTTACCTATGATGAAGTTTAATTTATAAACTGGTCACAGTAGAGATTAACAGCAATAAGTAATAATCAAATAGAAGGTGGGCATGGTGGCTCATGCCTGTAATCCCAGCACTTTGGGAGGCCGAGGCGAGCAGATCACCTGAGGTCAGGAATTCAAGACCAGCCTGGCCAATATGGTGAAATCCCGTCTCTACTGAAAATACAAAAAATTAGCCAGGCATGATGGCAGGTGCCTGTTATCCCGGCTACTCGGGAGGCTGAGGCAGGAGAATCGCTTGAACCTGGGAGGTGGAGGTTGCAGTGAGCCGAGATCATGCCATTGCACTCCAGCCTGTGAGACAGAGTGAAACTCTGTCTCAAAAAACAAAGAACAATTGTAACAATATACTATAGTATTAATAAAATTTTTGTGAATGTGCTGTCTCTCTCAAAATATCTGATTGCACTATACTCACCTATTACCAGACCACAGTTGCTCATGGGCAACTGAAACTGCAAGAGCAAAACTGTGGTAAGGAGAAACTATGCTGTATAGAAACATAATTGGCGTGGTTTTTAAAATTGGCCTAATAGGGTGCTAATACTGCACTCATGTATTATTAGTTCTAGAAGTTTTTTCTACATTCCTTAGGGTTTTCTTTTTTCTTTCCTTTCTTTTTTTTTTTTTTTTTTTTTTTTTTTTTTTTTTTTTTTGAGAGATGGAGTCTTGCTCATCTCCCAGGCTGGAGTGCAATGCCGCAATCTTGGCTCACTGCAACCTCCACCTCACAGGTTCAAGTGATTCTCCTGCCTCAGCCTCCTGAGTAGCTGGGATTACAGGGGCCTGCTTCTGCACCCAGCTAATTTTTGTATTTTTAGTAGAGACGGGGTTTCACCATGTTGACCAGGCTGGTCTGGAACTCCTGACCTCAGGTGATCCACCCACCTTGGCCTCCCAAAGTGCTGGGATTACAGGCGTGAATCACAGTGCCCAGCCAGGGTTTTCTATGTATACCATGATGCCATTTAGGAAGAATGACATTTTTTTCTTTCTCTTTAATCAATATTTCTTTGTATTGTCTTATCACATTGGCTGGTACCTCCAGTAGACTGTTGAATACTATGTGGTGAGAGGGGGCATCTTTTCTTAGCTTCGGATCTTAGGGAGAACACATTCAGTCTTTACCATTAAGCACGATAGCAGCTGTAGTTTTTTCGCCTATCAATGAATCTTCATCAGGTTGAAGAAGTTTTCCGCTATTCCTAGTTTGCTGAGAATTTTTATCATGAATTGGTTCTGAATTTTTGGAAGTTTTTTTCTGCATGTATCGAGATAAATGTATGATTTTTTTCTCCTTCTTTCTGTTAATATTCTGTTATTTTCATATGTTTTACTATCCATTCCTGAAGTAAACGCTACTTGATAGTAGTAATCTTATCCTTTTATATATTGCTGGATTCAATGAGATAATATTTGTTATGGATATCTGTGTCTCTGTTTACGAGAGATATTAGCCTGTAGTTTTCTTATTTTGTAATGTCTTTGCCTGGCTTTGGAATCAGGATAATGCTGGTCTAATATTTAATTCAATGAGTAGGTTTATAAATATTCATTGATTTTTCCCAATATATTTGACAACAGGCAGCATTTCTCTGCCTTCAAGTCTCCAGTGGCTTTTTATCAGCAAAGATTTCCAAAGTCCTTGGGGATGATTTTCTCATCCCTGCCTTAAACAGCACAGCTATTAAGGGACCAGTTTACCTTCAAAGGTCACTGATGCCCTGAGTGAATCTTGCTGGACACAGCAAATAAAGAGCACAATGTTCAGATGACTCTCGTGGGCATTTGGTTCTACAGAACAAACTGTCTCCCTGAACACCTGGCTAAGACAAGAGGCAGTGGAATCAGTCAGTCCTGGGTGAGCATCTTGCCTCCATCATGATTAGTGTGACCCTCTCTGAGCCTTGGTTTCCTTCTCTGTAAGATGGGAACCATGCAAGCTATTCCTCTGCCTGGGGCATTCTTCTCATGTCTACACAAAGTCACTCCTACCCATTAGATCTTCACGCGCTGGTGGGCTCCTTAGGCAAGCCCACCTTTTTTCACTCGCCCTTCCATAGGGAAGTTCCACCCAGCTAAGCCAATCCCCTCTTCATAACCACTGTGTCCTAGAATAGAGCACCATTTGGTTTCCCTGTGATTATTCGGTCAATGTCTGTCTCTTACCACTATATCATAAGCTTCATGAGAGAAGGCATGCCGTCGGTGCCAACAGCATTTAACACAGCTTTAAACATATTCTAGATATTGAATATATATTCAAATGAATGAATAGCCTATATCAAAGATGGGTTGTAAGTGTAACATGAGGTAATGCCTATAAGGGGCTTCGAGGAGCGCCTGGCTCTGAGAAAGCACGTTCTACCTATGACACGTCATTTTCAACAGCTAACACCAGGGACTGTCCCAAGCCCCAGATCCCACAACCCTTTTAGGAAAAGTGACCCTAGATACCACTGGGCTGACTGTGACCACTGCCAAGGAAAAGGTCTGTGCTGTCAACATCCAGGAAAGGTATTCTTCCAGAAAAGGAATCCACAGACCTCCCCCACCAACAATTCAAGAACTCCATGAAATTAAATGAAGGTTCCTCTTTTTTTTTTTGAGATGGAGTCTTGCTGTTGCCCAGACTGGACTATAGCGGTGCGATCTCAGCTCCCTGCAAGCTCCGCCTCCCAGGTTCACGCCATTCTCCTGCCTCAGCCTCATAAGTAGCTGGACCTACAGGTGCCCGCCACCACGCCCGGCTAACTTTTGTATTTTTTAGTAGAGACGGGGTTTCACCGTGTTAGCCAGGATGGTCTCAATCTGCTAACCTCGTGATCCGCCCGCCTCGGCCTCCCAAACTGCTGGGATTACAGGCGTGAGCCACCGCGCCCGGCCTGAAGGTTCCTCTTTATTTTAACTAGCCCCGTGCTGATACTTAGCACTTTTCTTTTCGATGATGAGTGTAGGCACAAGCCACAGGGGCATTAGCAGTGGCTGTGACTTTATCACCAATAGAATCACAGATGCTTTCTTAACATCTCGAGTCATTACAGTTCTCTCAAAGCGCCGTTTATGCTAATCACCACTTTGCAATTATGGTACTTAGACTCCAGCCCTGCTTCTAGATCTTGTCATCTAATCTGCTAATAAAGAAACCCAACATATATATTTTATCATAGTTTTTTTTGTTTATTTTATGCTATTTTAAGTTTTGGGGTACATGTGCAGGGTGTGCTGGTTTGTTACATAGGTAAATGTGTGCCATGGTGGTTTGCTCCACCCATCAACCCATCACCTAGGTATTTAGACCAACATGCATTAGGTCTTTTTCCAATACTCTCCCCTCCCCCGACCCTAGCACCAACAGGCCCCAGTGTGTGTTGTTCCCCTCCCTGTGTCCATGTGTTCTCATTGTTCAGCTCCTACTTATAAGTGAGAACATGTGGTTGGTTTTCTGTTCCTGCATTAGTTTGCTGAGGACAATGGCTTCCAGCTTCATCCATGTCCCTGCAAAGGACATGATCTCATTCCTTTTTATGGCTGTATAGTATCCCATGGTGTATATGTACCAGTCGGTGTGTTTAATGCTTTTGATAGCTGTTTTCTATATCATAGGCTGTGGGTTTTTGTGTAACCCTGCACATTTTAATGTGTGCATTTACAAACATTTTTCTGAGGATGCCCTCATAGATTTAGCCCACCTACCACAGGGTCCATGACCCGGAAAAAGCTCGGGATCTGATCAGAGCACAGTACAGGCACCCCTCCCCCACGAAGTGTCTCACTCACAATGCCACGGGAGTTGATATGCAGTCAGAGGGTGGTCTTTGCAGACAGACAGGCAGACAGGCAGGGAAGACACCAGCCAACACCAGCTGGCAGAAACCAAGTCAGAACAAGGTCCTTTGGGCCTCAGCCTTGGGGTCTGCTGGCTGGGAGCCAGGAGGCAGCCTCTCTTGAAACTAATATCGCAGCCCCAGAAGGCAATGATCCCTGAGACCCACCGTCTCCCAGGCAGCCATCTGCCTTGTTTGTACTGCACCAGACAGGGCCCCTTGCTCCTCCTCAACTCGCTTGCACCTTCAGCCTCCAGGCCTTTGCTCAGGCAGTTCCCAGCCTGGCCCTCCCTCTGCCCCTCCCAGCCTGGATAACCCACCGCTGCCTTAGGCTTCCTTGCGGGTGCTCCTCAGGGGAGCCCCCGGCTGCCCAAGGCTCTGCATGCCCCCGGCACTCTGTATTGATATTGATAGTTATTCTAGATTTATATTTACTCTACATTTTTGTGTCTATTTATTCTATATTTCTATTTATTCGATATTTCTATTGATTTGATATTTCTATTGATATTGACCATGTACTCTATAGTAATGTTAACATTTATAGTTATTTGGATATTTCTACTGACTTTTTATTTTTATTGATATTTACTCTATATTTATACTTACTCGATATTTTATTTGCATTTACCCTACATTTATGCATAGGTTTACTTTATGTTTACCCAACATGAGGCTGGCCGAGTCATGTGCCCACTGGAAGCCTCAGTTTCCTCATTCCCCAGGGCTGGCGTGCGCTTTGGAGGAGCTGACAGGTATAGAAGTCCCTTTGCTGCCCTCACACACTGAGCCCCCTCCCCCAGCATGTTCCAGGCTGGATGGTCATGGCCTGCACACCCCAGGAAGTGGCTCAGTTTCGCTCCTGTCACACCCCCGACTCCCAGAACAGTGCCAGGCACATCACAGAAGCCTCACATCCACCTGTGGGCCACACAGGGGCGGAGGTCCCGGCCTCACTGGTCCCTTTGTTTTGGAGCACAGGAGCCTGGAGTGCGCCAAAGGCAGGGCAGAGCCGCGGAGGCCTTTCTGCGGGTCTCTCCAGAGAGTTCTGCAGCATCCTAGGCTGGGAGCAGCCCCTGGGCAACGAGAGCTGCCCTATTAGGAGAGGACCTGAGCTCCTGGTGCATGAGGACCCCAACAAGGCGGCCCCGCCCAGGCATTGCTGGGACCAAAAGGCTCTGGCTGTCCAGAGTTCTCAGCTTCCACCACCAATTCAAAGTCGGCCTCGGGAACCTGCACACCCTCAACACAAGCAGGTGTTCCAATCCTGATTTGACAAAACGCTGCCACGGCCGGGTGTCAGGGGTAGTTCAGAGGTCAGAGCCCCCTGGATGCATCCAGCCATTCCCCATGTTGACCTCCCTGGGCATCCTCGGCCAGCCCTGAAGGAAAGGGCACCTCCCCAGGCTGGGACCTTGGGTCCCATCTGCACTTGACCATGGGGGCATCGGAGCTCGGCTTGTCGTCTGGCTCAGTGAATCTCCAGAAATCATGACAAGCCCCAGCATCCTCCGGCAGCTCCGAGGACATAAATCGTGATTTATTGCTGCTGCGCCACGTCCTTTTGTGTTTCCACACTGCCTTGGGAGCAATTCCTCACTATGTCAACAGCCAGCCCAGGAGGAGGAAGGGGGTGTGAGGAAGAGGGAGACAGGGCAGCGCGTGTGCCCTTCCCCCAGGGACCCTCTCCCCAGCGCGCTGCTGACCACCTCTGGCCAGGAAGCCCTCTGGCCCCCAAGTCCTCAGGAGGGGCTCGAGGACCCTGGTGTGACCTGGCTCCTGGGCCCACGGGAGGAGCCCTGGGTCTTCCACACTTCCTGTCCTCCCTGGCCCAGCCATCCTGGCTTTATTGGAACCAGTTGCAGATGAGTTTCCTTGAAAGGAAAGAGGCTGATGTCATCTGCCTCTGCTCAGCAGAGGAAATCATTATGGGGAGAGCTCGGCATTGGGGAGCCTTGGCCTTGGGCTGAGAGCATTGCCAGTGCCACCTCCCTGAGTCCTCACAACCACCCAGGAGGTCAACTCTATCACGGCTGCCATTGCACAAGAGACAAACTGAGGCACAGAGGGGCTAGGTAGTCTGCTTAGCATCACAGAGCTGGAAAGGCCCCAGTCGGGATTTCAACCCATGCTCTTCGGGCTCTCAGCAGGCCCCAGGTTGGCCCCTTCGAAATCTGGCCCCTTGGTTTCTGGTCCCTCCCCATGTATTGCAAATCCACCAACTCTCTCTCCTCTGGAGCTAGGATTCTGATGAGTGACAGTCCGCACCTTTCCACGTGGCGCAAATCCCCCTAGGGAATAAAGGAACATCAGCCACTGTTTGTGGAGCGCTTGCCATGTGCTGGCGTCGTGTGCTGTCTCCTTTGGTCCTAACAACCATTACCATCTCCACGCACAGATAAATAACACGGTCTGAGAGGTCAGGGGACTTGAGCAGGCAGAAGCACTGCCAGGAGGGCCTAAGCACATGATCACAGCTCCCACAGCCCCAGTTACAAACACTTACAGTTACAAAGCACTTATTCAGATCAGGGGTTGTGTTACGTGACTTACAGGAGTCACTCATCTGATGCTTACCAGTACCCCCTGGGCGTGTTGCAGGAAGCGATTGCTGCGCAACCTCTGAGAGGGTCTGGGACATCGGTGCTGCATCCCCTCCAGGTGCCTAGCTCTGTGCCTGGCATGGAACAGATGCTCAAAGAAGAGGCACGATTCTAACCTGCTCTTTGCCCTTTAGACACGTTCTGTGTCCCATGAACACACCTTAGAAAGATCAGCTTCTCTTGTGAAGCTACAGGAACAGTCAGCACCTCTTTCCAAAGAATAAACTCTCAGCACGTCTTGTCTGATCCTCTGCAACCCAGCAGGGCCTGAGGGTTTTGAGAAATTTGCCCACACTGAAGGCAGGTGAGAAGTGTGAACCATGGGCATGGATTTGTTCGGCAGGACTGGGGAAGCCCCCCACCGGCTAGGATGTTTCTAGACGTGGAGGACACCCCCGTGTGTTGCTTCAGAGACTGACCTTCTCACAAACATCTGTCGATGGAATGTCTGCTCCTGCCTTCTCCCCGAGTCTAACTGCTATTATAGCTAATGTCTAATGATAGCTAATATCGAAGGATAGCTAATGTCTAATACTGGGCCTCTTGCTAGGTGACATTATAGGGCAGTTCCCGCACAGGCTCCCAGCCGAGCTCTCAGGGGCTCATTTCACCCTCACAATCACTCTGTGGTCATCCTGTCATTGCCTCATTTCACAGACAAGGCAGTGAAGGCCATGAGATTCAGGTGCTCGCAGGGACAGAACCTCGTGTTCCTCACCACTAAGCTTTACCTCCCCCCAGCAGCTCAGGGGCAGTGGCTCCCCACCACTGGGCCTGGCGCACAGGAGGCTTTCTCAGCACCACTCTCCCCAGCTGAGCCCCGGCAGCCTTGGATACCACCTGTGTTCATTATGCCCATTACACAGAAGAGGAGACCAAGGCACAGAGAGGTTCCAAGTCCTATCCAAGGTCACACAGCTGGTAAGTGGCAGAAGTGAAAGCAAATGCCTCGATTAGGAACCTGCAGAGACTCTCAGGTCGTTCGTACTCAGTAAATACTTGTCGAGTGAACAACGAATACGTGAATGGAGTATAGCTGTGCTCACCACTGATGCCATCCTTTCATCATTACTAGAGCTGAGGAGGTGTTGGGCCAAGGGGAGGATGGCCCACTGGCATCCTGTGGCACATACTGCAGGCTTGGGGGGGTAGGAGAGGCAACAGCGCTGCCTACTTGGCCATGGGGTCCCTGGGGCAGCATCACCCAGCAGTCATTGCCGTGAGCCTACTGGTCATTGATATAAGCCCAGGTGTCATCACCATGGACTCAGAGGTCATCGCCATGGACCCAGGTGTGTCATCACCACGGACCCAGGGGTCATCGCCATGGACTCAGTGGTCATTACCATGGGCTATGAAGGCCTGGGCTCTCCCCAGCTCTGCCATTTATTGGCTGGTCAACATTGAAAAAGAAACATCTGTGCTTCCATCTCACCATCTGCGAAATGGGGTAATAACCCCCACCCCTACCACACCAGGTGGGGAGAACCGGATGAGGCGGTGACAGGTGGGGAGAATTGGATGAGGCAGTGACAGGTGGGGAGAATTGGATGAGACAGTGACAGGTGGTGAGGACAGGCGCCCCCCAGAGGTTGTCAGTGATGAGGGTGTGGAGGCCTCACAGGCAACTCCAAGGGGAGCTCCTTGACCACGGGGCTTTGTCTGTCTGAGCACACAGCAGGGTGCCTGGCACATAGGAGGCAACTCTGTTAGTGTGGAGAAAGGGAAAATGCATTTACAAGCATAGACTTTACAGCCACTCAGAACCGGGTCCAAATCCTGCCATAAAACTCACTGTGGGTCCCCAAACAAGCAGCCTGGCCTTTCTGATCCTCAGTTCCCCTATCTCTAAAATGGGAATAATAGAATCTACCTCCCCGGATTGTCTTGGAGAATAAATGAGATCAATGCATTTGTGCATAAGTAGCAGTTAGGATTATTATCGCTACTATTATTAATCAGAGTCCCTTTGAGAACTCATGAAAAACACCCCATGTCTTTTATCTGCCTAAAGCTTTCAGCTTCCCACGGTGCCAAAAGACAGGTTGGGAGTGGCAGGGAGAAGAGAGAGGAAAGAAAGGGAAGGGAGAGGGAGTGGGAGGCGCCCTCCTGCCAGCTAGAGAGAGTGCGACCATCTCTGGGAACCCGACTGGCGCCCAGGAGCCAAAAGGCAGAGGCCAGGCCGGGGCAGGTTTTGATGCTCTATTGCCCAGGGGTCACAGATGCGGATCTGATAAGACCTCTCCACTTCCTCCAGGGAGCCAGCGGCAGGGGAAAAGGAGGCTCCAGGCAGGGAGAGAACAGCAGGACTGTGCCCCTTCCCCCCTCCCCCTTCCGGGCAGAGTGGCGAGCCCAGGCCCGGAACTGCCTGGGTCCAGGGGAGGAGGGAGCGCCAGCAGGGCTGAGAGCTGACATTTAAAAATTGAGGGTGCAACTGTCATCCTAAGTGTACAGTGTCCATGTATTTTTACATGCAGATACACCCATATAGCCCCCTCCCAGATCAAAAGACAAAACATTTCCATCTCCTCAGGAAATTCTCATTCCAGTCAATATCTCCCCTTCTCCGCCTGTGACAACCACTGATCGCCTTGCTGTCACAGTCAATCCGTGAAAGGACCTGCTCCTGAACATGCAATCGAGCCGTGCAGGAGGTCATCTTCTGTGCCTGGTTTGGAGATTTCTGCAACATGGTTGCATCCCTCCATGAGGCTTTCTTGCTGCTGAGTGGGATTCCAATGTCCCAGTGTCCACATAGACTCCAGCTGGTTGACCCATTCACTACGATGGACACTGGGTTATTTCCATGGTGGGGTAACTATTGATAAAGCCACTGCAGATGTGTTTACACAACTCCCTTGCCTTCATTTATCTTGAGTATACATCTAGAGTGGGAAGGGCTGGATGGATTTTCCAGCATCCTGGCCTCATTTTAGATTCCCGACCAGCACTGCAGGAGGGTCCTGGCTGCCCTACCCGCTCTCCAACCCCTCATATTCTGGTATGTGGCACTTTTCGTATGTGTGACTTTGGACACACACCTGGACATCAGAGTTCCCCATTTTCCTCATCTGCAAAGTGGGGGTAATAATAGAACCTACTTCTTAAAGTTACTTCAAGGATGACATAAAATAATTCGATTTAAAACTTGGCCCCACCGTAAACGCTCAGTACACATGAGTGGGAAACATGAACACCCGCTCAGATCCCCCTAGGACCTCAGCGTCTTCTTCCATTACTCCTCCTTCCAGCTATTTTCCAAGCTCTATCGAGGTCACTCCTTTCCCTAAAGGGTGTCTCCAATCAAGGTCTTCCTCTCCAGTCCCTCTCCAGCTTCCCTCCCTCAACCCTCACACTCCCTATAGGCAGCCCCCCACCACCTCTAACTCCTGTAACTCTAGTCCTTCCCCCACATCACCGTAGCCCAAGCACTCTCCTTAAAGCCTGGTTACATTCACATGTTCACATCAGCCCCTGTTCAAACACCTTCTGAGGCTTCCCATGGCCATGCTTTATCTGCAAATGACACTCATCCTGCCGGTCACCCCAGGTCCTCCCCACCCCTCACACCTCCTGTGGAGTCAGTCCCACCGCCCACCCCTCAGCGGCTGCCCAGCAGCCACTCTGCTTTCTCCCTCTCCTGGCTTTGCCTGAGTTGCACTTTCCTGCCTGGTGCATAGGCAGCATGAACCCCCCAGGCTGCTGCCTCCCGGTCTCATGATATCACCTGACCTGCCACCCCATTCCTGTCGGGGTGTCCTCCTTTCTTCTCAGGACAGAGGGCCCATATCAGCCCTCACACAACAGTTTTCTGGCTTCCCCTGAGGTTTTTAATCTATGGGGTCCACCACGGCTGAGGGTGGGCAAATGCGGGGCAGGGACAACGTGGTCTCCAGAAGCTTCTTTTGGTCTCTGTTTGGAAGAGTTCTAGCTTGCAACAAGCTCTTTATTCAAGATAAAGATTTAACAGTTTAACAATTTTTTATTCAAGATACAGAATACCTAAGTCATATGTGAAGAGCTCCATGATTTTCCAAAAAGGAACGTGCTTGCCAGCCCAGCCCCCTCCCCTGCCACTTCCCACAGGCTTTCTGTGACCCCTGACCTAACCCACCACATCCTCCAGGGTCTCTCAAAGCCACCCTGCTCCTCCTTCCGCACTCCATAAAACATGCATTCCTCTGGGCCCTATTCCTCCAAGCTCAGCCCCGCAAACTTCAAACAGTGGGAGAGGGTCTCTCTTGTTACCGAGCCCAGCCCCTGGCACAGGGCCTGGCACATTGTAGGCGCTCCTCACATTTTATGTGGCTGGAGGAGTTGTTAGGTTTCCCTCCTCACCCCCTCTCACCTTACTGCTCTGATAAGGGAACACTCGGCCCTTTGATCAGTGGGCCAGGCAGCTTCTAGTCTCCTTCTCTGGGGAGCTCCGGAGTTCTGAAGGCGAAACCTGCAGGGAGAACTCCCACTTCCCCAGGGGGCCAGCCTGGCAAAAGACCCAGGACAGAAGCCAGCTCGAGCCTGGTCCCAGGCCTCCTGGGCCATCTTAGGGAGCTCAGATCTTCCCCAAAGGGAACATCAAAGACCAGCCTCCACTTCAGAGGCAGGAATTTGGATTGTGGAGATCACTGGGTCATAGGGTGAGAGATAACCATGGGATAGATAACTGGGTCCCTTGAAAGGCTCTCCCTTCTAGAGCATGAGGCAGGGTCTGCCAGATCTGCACCTCCTGGGATTCTGGCTGGATCAGAAGCCCCCAGTTTGGAGGACTCGAAGGGAAAAAAAAAATTCACCCAGGGGCTCCAAGAACCTAATAGGACATTGTGAGAAATCCAGAAACCTGTGTTGCCAGCGGGGGTTTACTTCGGTCCAACACCGTGGAAGCTCAGCCTGAGTGTCATTCCTGGTGGCTGGGCAATTCCACGCCTAGGCGTGTCCCCTACAGACAGGCATCCGTACAGTCACCAAAAGGTGCATTCTAGAATGCTCATGGCAGTACATAGTATGTGCTAGAATTGCAATAGGCCCAAACTGGAAATTATCCAATGCCCATCAACAGGGAGATAGGTACATGAATGGCGGTGTGTTCATAGAATGGAATACTCCACAATTAAAATGAACATGCTGTCACCACATCAACCGCAAGGGGGGATCTCCCATGATCCCTCAAACAGGAAACTAAGTGTTGATCACTTTGCCACACACAGCCAGCTCCGCCCATGCGCTGGCAGGTGCTGCAGGAGCTTGGCTCACCTGGGCCCCAGAAGCCCAGCACAAGCCATGCAGCCCTCCTGGCCCTGCTCCAATGGGAACCTCGTGCAGCTGGCTCCCCTGCCACCCTCGTGGCCACACAGCCCATCTTATCTTGGAGCCAGGCCCAGGCCAAAGTCAAGGAGAAAGAATCAAATCCGCATCAGTAAGCCTGTGTCCTGTGGCCTCATCATAAAGGACTACAACTTGGGGAGGGGAGAGGAGGAGGCTTAAAACAACAGAAATGTATTCTCTCCCAGTTCTGCAGTCCAGAAGTCTGGAATCAAGGTGTCAGCAGGGCCCCCAATCCCTCCAGAGGCTCTAGGGAAGGCTTCTTCTTATCTCTTCCAGCTCCTGGGAGCTCCAGGCAGCCCTGGGCTGTGGCCACGTAGCCATCATCTCTGCCTCTGTCCCCGCAGGGCCTTCTCTCTGTGCCTCTCTGTCCTTTCCTCTTCTTGTAAGGACACTGGTCACTAGATTCAGGGCCCATTTGGCTGATCCAGGATGATCCCATCCTGAGATCCTTGACTTAATTCCATCTGCAAAGACCCGTTTCCCCAGTGAGGTGACATTCACAACATTCATAGGTACCAAGGTTTGAGACTTTAACATCTGTGTCCGGGGGTCACCACTGAGCTCATAACATCTCCGCTGCTCCTCGGTAAACCAAAATCCCACACAAGGTCTGAAATGGGCCACTGACGACCTCAGAGAATGACTGCCTTCAGGTGCGGTGCCCACGCTTGCTCTGGAACCATCCCTAGAGGCAGCCAAAGGCCTTGGCATAGAGTGTGGGTGGGAATCCAGGGCTTCATGAACGCCCAGGCTCTTGTTGGATGTGGGTTCCCCCAGAACCAGGCCCTGAGATGAGGCTTCCAGTGCAATAGGCGTATCTGGGAGGTGCTCTGGGAAACCAGCAGTGGTGGGTGAGAAAGGGGAAGACAGGGAGGCCAGCAAATGGCAGTCCCCAGGCCAGCCAGCACAGTGGGCACCGGGAGGCCAGCTTAGGGGAACGGGAGATGCATCGCGCCCCCTGGTGGAGGCCATGTTTGTCCACCACACCCCCATCCCACAGTAAGGGCTGCTTTGGGAACGTTGACTTTCCTGTGTTGCCAGCTCGCCCCGCATGGTCTGAGGAAGCTTCTGCGGTTGGACAAAGGCCTTGGCTAGAACCCAAGTGTGCGGATGATAAACAGCCTCCAGCTTGCAGAGGGGAATGCAGGAGGGCACAGGCAGGGTCCGGCACCCACCACGGGGTGCGTGGCTGGGACGGTGGGTCTGTACAATCCATCTCCTGTATAAGTCTATGCGTTTTGTTTTACGGATTTAAAAACCTTATTCCAAGAAGAATTTCCTGTGGCTGCTGTAACAAAGGACCCAAAACTGAGTTCACCTCGCAGATCCATTCTCTTACAATTCTTAGGGCCAAAGTCCCAAACAACCTCACTGGGCTGAATCCAAGGTGTGGGCATGGCTGGTTCCTTCTGGCGGCTCCAGGGGAAAATCTGGCCTCTCACCTTTTCCAGCTTCCAGAGGCCACCCGCATTCCTTGACTCACGGCTCCTTCCCCCATCTTCACAGCCCTCAATTGCATGGCTCCAACCTCTGCTTTCACCCTCACAGCACTTCTCTGACTCTGAACCTCCTGCCCCATCCCCAACAGGGACCCCACAATGACGTTGGGCACCCAGATAATCCATGATACTCTCCCCATTGCAAGGTCCTTAACCCAGTCACATGTGCATGCCACAGGGCAGATACTCATGGGCTCTGGAGATCTGGGCATGCATAGCTCTGGCAGTCATTGTTCTGCTGACCATGAGGCCCTCAGGCTCCACCAGACAGCAAGAGGAGTCCCAGCAAGGCAGGAACCCCGCAGAGACACCAAGAGTGCCAAGCTTCTGGAGGTTTGGCCAGTCCAGAACGTGACCGCTGATTTCAGGCTGAGCCAGTCCTGGCAGAAAACAGTGACCCCCCTCAGAGAGTTTAAGTGAAAACAGCACATTGCAGGGCCCATTCACCGCACAGCGGGCAGAGCCAAGGGGACAGGTAAGGGATATGGAGACCCCAAGATGAACGGCAGCAGGAAACTGTGACCACCCCAGGGCCGAAGGGACAAGGGAAGGAAATAGTGTCACCAGCCAGTGGGAGAGGGAGCACCGAGCAGGAGAGATACAGCCATGGTCAGGGCTGTGGTGGCAGAACAGGGTGGGGACAGGATAAGAAAAACCCCAACCCTGCCACCTCCTGTTCTTGGGATTTGCCCAGTGGCCCCAGCAGCCAAAGTCACTGGGAGCCAGCAGGTGGGAGCCCAAGACGTGGGTGTGTCAACTGTCACCCGCAGCAGGTACAGGGCAGCCAGGGTGGAGCACGAGGAGCCACCAGCCCCACCTCAGCATCTCTGAGCCACATCCCTCGCAAAGCTTCTCTGGTTTTATAGCCCAGCTGCTGCAAAATTCCTGGTGATGGGGCAACTCACACCTGGGAGGCAGGGACTGCCTGCACCCTGGGGTGGGGGGCAGTGAGGCCAACCCCGATAACTTCATCTGAAGCCAGGGGAAGCCAGCACCTGCCAAAAGGAATAAAAATGAAACCAATGTTACATGACTTGACAGGATCCCTGGAGTTTTATTCACGGACTAAGAAATAAGGATTAAAACAAGGAGCAAGGGAACAAAGGCTTGTCGTGCAAGGAATGGATTTGCCTTTCGACCCAGAAGACAGGCCATTTATTTGAACGAGAACTCTCACAACTCTCTCTTTATCCCCTTTGGAGCATATTTTATGTCGCCAAGAATTTCAAGGCGATTAAAACCAGCAAAGAAACAAATCCTTTAAAATTGCCTATTTATAGCAAAGGGTAGGCAGGTTTTCAAAGCAGCAGGAGTGGCAAGACTTTAGAACCTCTTTTGAAGTTGACAGCCGGCAGGATTTACTGACGCTGAACACACAATCCCCCTGTGACCCAGAAATTACACTTCTGGGCAGATTCCCACCCCAAACAGGGATACGCATTCACCAAAAGGCACAGTCTCGAATGTTGGTGGCTGTCCTGCCGAAATGTCCATCGATGGTAAAATGGGTAAGTGAATCAGGACAGTCTCCCCGTGGAATACTACACAGCAAAGAAAATGAGAATTTGGCAACCACACAGTCACAAGCACAAAGATGATCAAAAAAGTCCACATGCCACAGCCATAAACTCAAACTCAAACGACTTCTCAGTGGTGACAGAGGTCACATTGTGGTTCCTGGGAAGGGTAGTTACCAGAATGGAGGAAAACGGGGGGCCTTTTGGGAGTTGGGGCATGTTGTGCCCCTTCACCTGGGACCTGAGCCCTGCAAACCTGTGACGCCATCTCCCAGGAGGAGCTCAGAGGAGTCACTTCTCCCTCCCAGTTCGAGTAGGGGCTGGGTTAGATCTGAGTTCCTCAGATTTAAGTCATTCAAGGGGAAACAACCACACTTTGGGGACATCTGCATTCCACCAGTGGTTTCTGTTTACGTTTACTCACTATATTTCAACTTTTTTCACTTAAATATTATTTTATTTAAGGGACAACTGCATATCATTAAGATCATAGAAAAATCAGCCCTGCTTTCCAGAAATGGAAGGTCACCATAAAAACTAACACAGTGCCACAATCCCTCATTCACAACCCAAACCCAAGGCTCTGAAAAGCAAGAGGGTTTTGTTTGTTTGATTTTTTTCTTTTTGTTTTTATTTATTATTTATTTGTAAATTTGGTACATTCTCCTTTGGTGGCAAACCTGACTTGAACTGACTTGGAGCTCTCTGTAGTCTCTCTATTCTACTTAGTGTGAAAATCACATTTTTCGCTGAAGAAACAGATAAAAAAGAGACAGTAATAAGGGACTCCCCAGAACCCACTAAAAGTGTTAAGCAAATCGCTGTACAGACACCATACTGCCCAAGGGAAATTTAAACTTCGAACGCACAAGGCTTAGGATTTTGGCGAAGGCCTGGTATTCCTGTACCAGACCGCGAAACAACGGCATTCACTGATTTCTCGCGATATCCTTGTTATTTTGCTTGCCAAGGAGCTGTGATCCGAAGCCTATTCTCTTCTTCTCAGAGGGGAAATTAGCAGAGGTAGAGGAAGATGAAAGTCACATGAGGCTCCTTGAGCAAGGGGCAGAGGTGGGATCTTTTAGACTTTATAGCCAAAGCAAACAGAAAAACATGCAAATGCCTTTTTAAAACTAGAAAACAAGGACATGCTTGTAAACGTTCAAACAACACTAGAGCTTATAAAGTGTGGCACTTTTTAAAAACTCATCCCATACATGTTTATTCATTTCTCTTAATTGACAAATGAAGAATTCTATGTATCTATGTTGTGCCACTTAATGGTTTGATACATGTGTACGATGTGAATGATTAAATCAAGCTAATTAACATAAAGTGTGGCAGTTTTAAAACATGACCACAGCATTCTTTGATCATCCTCTCATTGAGAGGTAGTTCACGTCTCCTCCCCATGAATCAGGGTAGGATCTGTGGTCACTTGGCCAAAAGAATCAACAGAAACGATGCTGCCTCACTGCTGAGGCCAGATCAGAGGAGCAGAGAGCTTCTGCCTGGTGCTACTGGGACGCTCGCTCTGGGGGAAGCCGGCTGCCACATAAGAAGTCCAACAACCCTGAGCCACCACAATGAAGGGGGCCAGCACAGGGGCCCCGATTCACAGTCCAGCTGGACTACTGGATGCCAGCCACAGTAACTGCCAGCCACAAGGGAGAGCAGCATGGACATCCAGCCTCGAGAGAGGGACAGCGCCGATGTCCAGCCTCAAGGGAGGGACAGCGCGGACGTCCAGCCTCAAGGGAGGGACAGCGCGGACGTCCAGCCTCAAGGGAGGGACAGCGCGGACGTCCAGCCACAAGAGCAGCTTCCCTGAGCAGGCCCCTCTCCTGAGAGAGGGAGAGGAAGACAGAGAGGGAGAGGAAGAGAGAGAGGGAGAGGAAGAGACAGAGGGAGAGGAAGAGAGAGAGGGAGAGAGAGAGAAAGAGAGAGAGGGAGAGAGGAAGAGAGAGGGAGAGAGGAAGAGAGAGGGAGAGAGGAAGAGAGAGGGAGAGAGGAAGAGAGAGGGAGAGAGGAAGAGAGAGGGAGAGAGGAAGAGAGAGGGAGAGAGGAAGAGAGAGGGAGAGAGGAAGAGAGAGGGAGAGAGGAAGACGGAGAGAGGAAGAGAGAGGGAGAGAGGAAGAGGAAGAGAGAGAGGGAGAGAGAGAGAGAGGAAGAGACAGAGAGGGAGAGAGGGGGGACAGAGAGAGAGAGGGAGAGAGAGAGAGAGACAATAGATCAATATCTCCTACTGGTTCTGTTTCTCTGGGGAACCCTAATACCCCTATTGCCTTGCTAAAATCCAAAAACAAACATGAATTTCAAAATACATCTGGCCCAAGGTGCTGAATCAACATTTGTTGAATAAATGAAGTTACGAGTGAGTAAGTGAATCCACGAACACACCACACACCAAGGGAACGGAGGATGAGCCCTGTGCTCTCATGAAGTTCCAGGTTCTGCCGTCAACAGGCCTGGATGTCCATGCTAGCCGTCCCTCGTGGCTGGACATTCGCGCTGGTCCTCTGTCATGGCAGGCAGCTGCTTCTGGCTGGAGCTCAGCCAGACTGAGGACCGGGGCACCCACACCTGCCCCTTCAGCATGCCGGCCTTAGGGTTGTAGGACTTCTCATATGGCAGCCAGCCTTCCCCAGAGCAAGCATCCCTCGAGCACCAGGAGGAAGCTGCATGGCCTTCCCTGACCTGGCCTCCGAAGTCACATGGCACCAGCTCCACTGAACTCTATTGGGGGATGTGGTCATAAGCCCCCAGAGTCAAGGGAAGGGGACAGTGACCCCATCTCTCAATGAGAGGAGTATGGAAGAATGCAGTGGCCGTGTGTTAAAAGTGCCTAGTTTACAAGCTGCAGTGTTGTTTGAATTTTACGAGCGTGTGCTTCTTTCTCATTAAAAGATATTTGCATATCTGTTTGCTTTGGAGCACGGCCATAGAGTCCGAAGGATCCCAGCGCTGCCCCTTACTCAGGACATAATGCCAGGCAGGGAGGCCCTGGCATTACGCAGAGTGGCTTTGCCAGACTCAACTCATGCTTCACAATCTATGTTGCTGCTTTCACGTAACCTCAGAAGTTATCTGTGGTCTCCATCAGTGACGATCACGTCCCGTTGGGGGCGGAACGCTGCAGGGAGAACAGAGGCTCCACTAAGCCACCCCCATGCCACACCAACAACGACCCTCTGGGAAACTCCCTCTGGTCCGCCCAGTCCCCTTCCTTCCCCACTCACCCACCCACCACCCCCTTCCCTCCAGGCTCCTGCACACTGGGAAGTCCAGAAGCATCCAGCATCCTCCAGGCCTCCTTCCTTGTGCCAAGCAAGGGCCCGGGGGAGAGCAGAGCCTCAAGGCCGAGGGAAGGCGGTCATCCTGGCGCTGGGGATTCCGTGCCCCTCCAAAACTCCACACGGACGGTGCTCGGCAAAACAGCCTCGGAGTTCTAGGTGGTTTCCATGGCTTGGAACTTATAACCTCATTTTCTTTTTTTCCCAGGCAGAGAAAATGCCTTGGCTCACAGCCAGCCTCTGGCCAGCAGCTGCTAATTACCCACGTGTGGAGAAGGGTGGCAGGGTGGAGGCCATGGGGAGCGCGCTGAGTCCTGGGAAGCAGGACAGGAAGCTGGGAAACCTTCCTCCTCCCCATGGCACAGGGAAGCTCTGCAGGGAAGCCCAGGCCAATGCGGGGAGGCCTGGACACTCTAACAAAGGCTGTGCCCGCTCCATTCCCTGCTGCCTGGAAGTGCAGCCCTTTAGGGCAAGCAAGGACCAGCCCCTCCCCCACACTGTGCTAGTCCATGTGCCCACCACTGTGACAAGCAGGGGGGTCACACAGTCCAAGTGTGCTTCTGCTCAGGACACAGTCCGGGGGCCGCTCTGCAGGGAGCTCCACACACTCATGCAAGGCCCAGAATGGCCCACACCGCTCCTGTTCCCATTCCTTCAGCAAGTGAGGCACCTGGCCCACCTAGATGTGGGAGTTGGAGCATAGAGACCTCCTGGAGCCGGGAAGGAGAGGGGTCGCCGCACTGTGAGCTGATCCTATGGGTGCTGCAGGCACTCAGGAAATACCGGGAGAGACCGATTCCATGCAAACCGAGCCAGCAGCACTGCCCACTCTCATCAGGGTGAGAGTTTCAAGGATCCACGTGGAGCAGCTTTCAATATTGAGCGCCCGAGATGGCCATTTTGAAGATGCAAGTCTCTACAAAGGAGAGATTGGGCAGGAATACTCTCTCCACCCCACCGCTGCAACCAACAACAACCCTCTTCCTTCTCTGCAAATGTATTCCTCATCCCGGAGACCTTCCCTCCAGATTCCTAAGTGGCCTCAGGAAACAGAGGGCCCTTACGGTATTTATACATCTAGATGATAGGCAAGTGCTTTTAAATGGAAATGCCATTCCAATCTAGAAATCTTGACATTCTTCTCCATGGGCACAGAGCACTTTCATGGAAATCAGGAAAGGCTCCTGTGTGCAGTCAACGACCTGCACAACTGTGCCCAGCAACCCTGTTGCAAGCGCCATCACCTGCTCAGCCTGCGAGAGGAAATAGTGTGAGCCAGTCCTCGGTCGAACCATGAAGTCACAGTAGAAAGGAATTGGGGTCAACGAACCTGGTGGTGGTTTTCAAAGCTCTACCCCTCTCAAGTTCCCCTCAATACCCTGAATCCACCAGGCGAGTCCCGTCCTTAATTTGGTGTTGGAAACCTGAGGTCCGGAGGGAGCTCGCAGTTTCCCCAAGTCACAAAGCCCTGTATTGGTGGAGATTAAAACGCACATCCGTTCCAAACTTCCAGCTTGGTTTCTAGACCAGTGCTGTCTAAAAGAAATCATGCAAGCCATGTATGTAATTGTAAATTCTTTAATTGTCACATTGTAAAATTTTTAAAAAGGGGGAGAAATACTAATTTTAATAATGTATTTTATTTAACTCAAAATATCCAAAACCTATAATCCATATAAAAAGTATAATGGCAGCCCAGGCCTGGTGGCTCATGCCTGTAATCCTAGCACTTTGGGAGGCCGAGGCGGGTGGATCACCTGAGGTCGGGAGTTCAAGACCAGCCTGGCCAACATGGTGAAACCCCATCTCTACTAAAGATACAAAAATCAGCCGGCTGTGGTGGCAGGCACCTGTAATCCCAACTACTTGGGAGGCTGAGGTGGGAGAATCTTGAATCGGGGAGGTGGAGGTTGCAGTGAGCCAAGATCACGCCACTGCACTCCAGCCCTGGCGACAGAGTGAGACTCCCTCTCAAAAAATAAATAAAGGGGGGTATTTTACTTTTTTTTTTTTTTTTTGAGACAGGGTCTAGTTCTGTCATCCAGTCCAGAGCGCGGTGATATGGTCATGACTCACCGCAGCCTCAATCTGCCAGGCTCAAGGAATCCTCCCATCTCAGCCTCCTGAGCAGCTGGGGTTACAGGTGCATGCCACCATGCCCAGCTATTTTTTTTTTTTTTTTTTAGAGACAGGGTCTGACTACATTGCCCAGGCTGGTCTAGAACTCCTGGGCTCAAGCGATCCTCCCACCTTGACCTCCCAAAGTGGTGGAATTATAGACACGAGCCACTGCATCTGGCCTACATTCTTTTTTTCATACTAGGTCTTCAAAATCTGGTGTATATTTTACACGTACAGCACACTTCAATTTGAATGTTAAATTTCCATTGGAAAGACGTGATCTGTATTTAGAGTTCATAAAATTTACAGTCAAAAAGGCAGATTCACATAGCAGGTTGTTCCAAACATACGTGAGTTTTCTTAATAACTGAATCAAGGACCGGAGTTTAAATTAAAATTAATTAAAACAGAATTAATTTTAAAAATTCAGTTTCTTAGTTGCACAGGCCTCATTTCAAGTGCTCGCTGGGCACATCCGGCCTTGGCAACCAAATCACAGAGGAGGTCTGGAGCTCCAGCCAAATCTGCAGGGACCCTGACACCCTTCATGTTGAGGAGGATCTGTGAGAATTGCTTCTTCCCCAGGCCCATTGGAGGAAAAGAGCAATCGTCCTGGGAAAATAATAGAGGCACCGCGACTGCTCATGGTTCTTATTTTTCTGTCTTTGGTTGTACCTCTGGCTTTCCGGGGCTCTTGTTTGACAAATGGCAGCATCGCACCATCCCCATGCTTGCAACGGGGAGGACAGCCAAACCGTCAATAATAGGCTCAGGTGACCAACTCGAAGAAGGCCTGGACAAGGTGCAATGTGGACGAGGACGGATGGCTTTGAGCAGAGCCAACACCCTGAGATGCTGACGGCCTGAGGCCACATGCCCATGGCGACTCGAGAGGCAGTGATGACAGGATCTCAAAGACTGAGGCTCTCAGTCTCCCTCGTATTTGCTTTCTGGGGCTACCACAGCAAGTACCCTGATCTGGGGTTGCTTAAAACAACAGAAATATATTCTCTCCCAGCTCCGGAGGCCAGAAGTCTGCAATCAAGGTGTGGGCAGGGCTCCACTCCCTCCAGAGGCTCTAGGGAAGTACCTTCCTGCCTCTTCCAGCCAGCCTTCTAGCTCCTGGTGGCTCCAGGTGTTCCTTGGTTTGTGGCCACATCACTCCAGCCTCACGTGGGCTTCTCCTCTGTCTCTGTGTTGTCTCTTTTTTTTTTTTTTTTTGCAGACGGAATCTCCCTCTGTCGCCCAGGCTTGAGTGCAGTGGTGCGATCTCAGCTCACTGCAACCTCCACCTCCTGGATTCAAGCGATTCGCCTGCCTCAGCCTCCAGAGTAGCTGGGACTACAGGTGCATGCCACCACACCTGGCTAATTTTTGTATTTTTAGTAGAGACGGGGTTTCACCATGTTGGCCAGGTTGGTCTCAATCTCCTGACCTCATGATCCACCCACCTTGGCCTCCCAAAGTGCTGGGATTACAGGTGTGAGCCACCGCACTCGGCCCTTATCTAATGTTTTATAACAACACTTAGTCATTGCATTTAGGGCCACCCTAGATGCAGGATGATTTCATCCTTAACCAATTACACTTCCAAACATCCCGTTTCCAAACAAAGTCACATTCTCAGGTTCTGCAAATACATGAATTTGGTGGGACACTCTTCAACCCACTACACCCATCTTCAGGCAAACCCAAGGCAGTCTTAGCCTTGGGGGAAGCTCCGCCCCTCACAACAACAATAACAGCTAACGCATCTTCACCACTTGCTGTGCACCAGGGATAAGTACCTTGCCCGTATTATTTCACCCAACCCAAATAAATACAATTATTGTCCCACTTTACAGATGAGTAAACTGAGGCTATCAGAGGCTGGATAATTTATGCAAGGGCACACTGTCAACAAGTGGAAGAGCAGGAGATGGCTGCAGACGGGCTGACTTCAGAGCCGACATTCACACGTGTTCCACTGCATGGCTATTTGGGACCCCTCAAAATCCAACATCTTCCTGTGCGCACAGCAGTGCACTCCCTTCAGCTCCATGGGGAGACAGCATTTCGGGGAAAACTCAAGGACAACAGTTAAAACAGTAGCTAATGTGCACGGAGTGTGTAGGACGCATTCAACAGCTTTAGCACTTAACCTCCTGCCGTGTATTCGTGAACCAGGGCTGCCGAGACAAATTAGCATGAACTGGGGGTTCTTAAAACAGCAGAAATGGATTCTCTCCCAGTTCTGAAAGCCACTCCAGAAATCAAGGTGTCGGCAGGGCTGTCTCTGTCTGGAGGCTCTGAGGGAGGATTGCTCCAGGCCTCGCTCCAGCTGCTAGTGGCTAAGGGCCACCTTCGGCATTCCTCTGCTGGAAGCTGCATCTCTGCAGTCTCGGCCCTCTGTGCGTCTGCATCTGAATTTCCCTCTTCTTTTAAGGACCTCAGTCAGATTGGATTTAGGGTCCACCCTACTCCAGTATGGCCTCACCTTAACTTGCTCACATCTGCAAAGGCCCTTGGTACAAATAAGGTCACATTCACAGGTAGGAGGGTGAAGACTTGCACATATCTTTTTGGGGACACAACTAAACCCACGGCACAGTATGTGTTAGGACTCACACGTATCTTTCTGAACCCACTATCCACCCCAGGGAAGCCTAGTTTTACAGATGAAGAAACTGAGACCTGGCGTGCTGGGGGCCTTGCCCAGCCTGGCCTGAGACCTGGCGTGCTGGGGGCCTTGCCCAGCCTGGCCTGAGACCTGGTGTGCTGGGGACCTTGCCCAGCCTGGCAATGGCAGGGCTTGGACTCAAGGCTGGTGCCCTCCAGAGCCTAGCTCTCAATCACTCCCTCCAAAGACTTTCTGGGACTCCCCAAGGCTCTTCCAGCCCAGAAACAAGGACACTGGTTGCCCAGGGTGATCTGAAAGTCAGGGCCAGTCTGCCCAGGTTCAAATCTCTGTTACAAGACCCTGACCCTGGATGACACTTCCCATAGATTACAGTCACTCTTGTGGCACTGACCAGGATTTTGGAAAAGACAACTCGATATTTTTCTGCTGCTTCTAACCTCAACAAACCTGGAGCAAAATATGCAAAACTCTGTAATGAGACCGCATCAAGCTCAAATTCTCCCTGTGCCCATGCAGCTTAGAAGGGATCTTCCCAGCTGTCCTCTGCTGAAGCAAGAGTTCTGGGCCCTTAAACCCATTGATCAGTCAGTGGCTGTAAGCTGCTTCACCCTGTCAGAAAAGGTGCAACAGTAAAAATGAAACTTTCCCCTAATTGACTAACGAGAGGAAGGCCATGGATGGCTTGAGTTTCTCCCTGCAGAGCGTCCCCCAACCCGGCCTTCTGCAGCCCCTTCCCCCAGTCTCATCTCTCAGAACCTCCCTGGCCCATGCACAACCCAGCCCTCAGCTGAGAGAAAAAGGGAAAGAAGGCAGATGCTGAGGCTCCCCCAGGAGAATGAAGCCATAGCCAGCAAGTCGCTCACAGCCCGGACAGGCACGTGGGAAACCACGTTCTCACTGCCTCGAGGAGGCAAGACAGAGGAGCGCCCTGGAAACTCCGCAGGATCCCTCCTCAAACGTGGCCAAACGGGCTCTGGGGAGAGTGTGTGAAGCCAACCGGGGACACCAGGAGGGAGGCGCCGTGAGGTCCTCCCCACAGTCCAGGGAGGCAAACTGCCTGGAGAGGCTGGCCGGCCATGGATGACGCCTGGGCCAGCTGGAGGCTCTCCTCAGGTGGCAGCGGGAGGGAGGATGGCCCAGCTGCAGTCACAGGCTTGAGTTTGGGGAGGACACGGCTTTGATCACAGCCCCGCCTCTGCCGGCTGGAGCCCAACCATTTTCCTGCCTCTTATTGCGGGGAGCTTTGCACCACAACATTGGACAAGCCTGGCATTCTCTGTGTGACCTCGCGAAGGCTTGCTCTTTGTGGGATAAATGAAGCCTGCTCCAATTACTCCCATAAGAAAAACCTCTTAGAAAATGCAAGCATGCAGGCAAAAGAAGGCTCTTCCCGCCTGCTTGGGAGTGGGGCTTAGAAATCCCAGGCTTCTTCTCCAAATACACCCTGAGAAGAGCCTGTGTGAAGTAGGGGACGCCCTCGGAGAGTGAGTCCCTGAGGGGCCTCCGCAAGGCAGGATAGAGGAAGTCTTGTCTCACAAATTGGCAGGTGAAATTGAGCATTAAGGGAAAATTGGCCTGGCCAGGTCAGGGTGGAGGCAGAAGGAATTTGGCTTTGGTAGGAAGCATAGTGGAGAAAGCGAGAGAGAGAGAGAGAGAGAGAGAGAGAGAGAGAGAGAGAGAGAGGTGGGGGCGGGGCAGCTATATCCCAAGGGCTGGGTTTTCCTGAATTAAGGATGCTTCGTGGCCCTAAAGAACTTGATCTGAGGTTGTCTCATCTGGGTTTGGAATCAATCTGTGATTGATTGGATTGCTGCTCAGAAACATGCACTCCCCACCCACACTTCCAAGAAAGAAGAAAGAAAAATAAACCTTCCAGCAAAGGACTGTAGCAATTGTCCTGTTGGGCTCCCCAGGAGGCAGACTCCTGGTTTGCAGATGGTTTGGGTGGTGGGGGCTGCTGGGAGGGGAAAGAAAGGAAAGGAGCTGGCCTGTGCAGAGGCAGCAGTGGCTGTAATGCAGTTTCAAGAGGAGCCTCAGCACTGCTGATTCCTGCGGGGACAGCCAATGCCTTTCTTGAAACTGCATCACAGCTCAAGTTCTCCCTGTGCCCATGTGGGGTAGAAGGGATCTTCCCAGCTGTCCTCTGCTGGAGCAAGAGGTTTGGGCCCTCAAACCCCCACATTGATCAGTCATTGGATTTGAGCTGTCTCACACTGTCAAAAAAAAGTCATAAAATTATGCAAGGTTGGCCAGGCATGGTATAGTTAGTTCATGCCTGTAATCCCAGTACTTTGTGAGGCTGAGGCAGAAGGTCGCTTGAGCCTGGGAGTTCGAGACCAGCTTGGGCAACATAGGGAGAACCTGTCTCCACAAAAATAAAACAAAAAATTAACCAGGCACGGTGGGATGCTCCTGTAATCCCAGCTACTTCGGAGGCTGAGATGGGAGAATCACTTGAGCCCAGGAGGATGAGGCTGCAGTGAGCCAGTTGCACCACTGCACTCCAGCCTGGGCCACAGAGAAAGATCCTGCCTCAAAAAAAAAATATTATATATATATATATATATATGCAACATAACTATCCACAGTGGTCTAAGAATTAGCTCACAGTTGCAATTATACATCTAGTTTTATTAAACACCGTATTTTTATGAGCTTATTTTCATAATGCTGGGGTATTTTTTCAGATAAAGTCCCAATTTGCTCTGAAAGGTGGGTCCAGTTTTAAGTGGATTCGCTTTCTCAGTGCGTAACTCACTTGCCTTTCCGCTGCTACTCCCCACCCACAGCAGACATCACTAATCAATCACAGAGCACATCACACTCCCTCTAATTTGCAGCCCTTTCCATTCACCTACTTGGGTCTCAGGTTAAATTCTCCAGAACACTTTCCTGGCCATTCCCAAGCTGGGTCAGCCACCCTTTCCCCATGCTCACCTTTCATGATGTGGGTCACATGGCACGTCACATCCCTGCTTTCTCATCTGTCTCTCACAGCAGGTCTGAGCTTCTGAGCCCACAGGTTAATGTCCTGTTCACTGTGACCCCAGGGCCTGGTACAAAGCCTGGCATACAGTAGGTGGGCATCACAGAGGTGTCCCCAAGATCTCCTGCATCCTGCCTTTTTGTGATTTTAGACATAGGTTGGGGAGGGGCTGATTCTACTGCAAGATCAGATGTGAATCCTTGTCAGCACGCTCACCCCTGGTAAGTCAGACCTAAACCAATCAGAGTGAGTTATTCCTCAGCCCAGAGGGATTGATGGAGAAATGGGCATGTGACCCAGCTGGAGCCAGAGAGATGGCATGGGGATGTGCTGGAGGCTTCTGGGAAAGAAGAGGCCTCTCCTAGCAACCGGCTCTTTCTCCTTGTGAATGAGGTGGTGTGTAAAGGGATGCCTGGAACTCCTGCAGCTCTTTTGCAATGAAGAGGGAAGCCAACCTGAGGATGAACTAAAATGGCAGACAGCACAGCAGAGAGAAGGAAAGAAATTGGGTCCCTTGGTAACACCATCAGGAGCTGAAGCAAACCAACTCTGACACCCACCCTGTCTCCAGAACATTCACTTACATAGACTGAAAAACCAAGTCTTTTATTGTGTCAGCCAATACTAATGGGCTTAGCCCCATTCCGGCTCCTTTGACTTGGCCACTTTGCTGGGGTCACTTTGTCTCATGGTCTTGGGATCCACAGGTCTTGGAAACAGATGACCTGGGTTCAGATCCCAACCCCAGCACTTCCTTACTACGGGGCCTGGGGTAAGTCACATCCTCTCTTTGAGCCCCAGTTTCTTCAGACACAAAATATCGCAAATGAGAGGCTCCTCCAGCTCAGGGATGATGCGTTACTTCTCCTCTCAGTCCGTCCCCTGTCTTCCTTTCTACCCCGCCATGGCTGATAGTCAGGGGAGAATGGACATTCTTAATACATTCGAGCAGAGGACCGAGGATCGGGGTCTCTGGTTGCTAGCTCTTACTAGAATACAGGATTTTTCAACAAACACTGATATAGCGCTTGCTCAGTGCCGGGCTGTGTTCTGTGTGCTTTGCAAATATTAACTTATGCCACCTCAAAACGCTAGGGAGTGGGGGACCCTGGCTATACCCATTTATAGGTGAGAAAACTGAGGCCCAAAGAGGTCAAATGACTTGGCCAAGGTTACAGAGCCAGTGGGTGGTGGAGCCTGGGTTTGGACTCAGGGGGCCAGGCTGCAGTCCAAACACACAGCTGTGACATTGTATTATAAGAATGTGCATTTGCTGGGTCTAGGCAGTTTACGTGAATATCTTACTTAATCCTCACAGCAACCCCATGAAATAGGTACTATTATTACCCCCACTTTACAGATGACAAAGCCATGTCTGAGAAATGAAGAAATGCTACATTTGCCAGGGGGTGAATGAGTGAATGAATTATGGTTAATCAGACCTGTGGAATGGCCTTGGTTTGACCCCTCTGTCCAGGCCAAGAGTGGACTCAGGAAGTCCCCGTTACCCCCGGAGTGTGCTCTTGGGACCGGGAGCCTCATCCTGTCTCTGATCCCTGAGAGCAGCCCTGGGCACTGAGTTCCCAGTAGCTTCAAAGGGAGCCTGAGCGTGCTGAGCTCCCAGGGGGCGAGGAGAGCCCGCCCCCACCGCTGCCGGCTGGGCCCCGTTGCCAGACGTCAGAAGTGCGCGAGGCTGCTTTGGTCTCAGGCCACAGCAGATGGAACCAGCTCAGTGCAGAGCCAGGCACTGCTGGGAACTGAGCTGGCATTTCCGTGTTTTTTCAATTCCACCAAAGCGCCCTAGAAACCACATGCAGAACAAAGTCGATGGGGCGCTGCCTGGAAGGCGAGAGGATCAGAGAGGGGAGAGGAGGGAATGCCTCCAGAGTAGCCTCCTCCAGAGCTTGGGAACTTGTTCCCACTCTCCCGGAAATGTATGCACTTCGGCTCAGCCAGCATTTCTCATCATAACAGTCACCTGAGGAGCCACCCTACTTCCTAGTGCAGGGTCGCTAGCCAGGTGTGCGAGCCAGGCATGCTGATCACTTCCAGCCTGAGCTCAGCCATCCTCAGAGCCCTGGGGTCGGGCCCTGCTTAGGATGGTTGAGCGCCTCCTGGGTGATGAGGTGGGGCTTGGACTTTGGACTTGGATGAGCCTGTTATCAGCCCTCTCTTGCATCTGAGAAAGCTGAGACTAAGGGATCAGGTGCTGCTCCTCACCCATTTGGGAAGAGGTGGAGATGGATTCGAGGCCAGGGTCACCGGTCTCCAGCCCAGAGCTCATTCCCCTCCACTGCCCCCCAGACACTGGACACTGTGTCCAACCCTGAGTGGGAAATGAGGGCCTAGAACATCCTGCCCTCGAGGAACGTGGCCTCGGGCGAGGGAGATGGGATAAATGCACAAATACCTGCACCTCCAAGGAGGATGGACAGTGGGAAAGAAACTCAGAGGAAGGTTGGCCACAGTGTAATCCCAGAACTTTGGGAAGCTGAGGTGGGAGGATCGTCTGAGGCCAGGAGTTTGAGACCAGCCTGGGCAACATAGTAAGACCCCATCTCTACAAAAATAAATAAATAAGTTAGCCAGGCATAGTGGTGTGCACCTGTAGTCTCAGCTACTCGGGAGGCGGGGGCAGGAAGGTTGCTTGAGCCCGCGAGTTTGAGGCTGCAGTGAGCTGTAATCATATGACTGCACTCCAGCCTGGGCAGCACTGCAAGACCCCATCTCTAAAAAAAAATAAAGAAATAAAAGACACTCAGAAGAAGAGAGGCATTCACCTTGGGTGTTACTGCTTCATGAAAATGGTGTTGAACAAGAGGTGCAGGGAATAGTGGGTCCAAGTATTGGAGGTAGAAGGAGTGGGTGCAATCTTCTTATCAAGTCACAGAAACTGCTTGGGCAGAAGCAAACCGTGAACAGCAGGTGTAAGCTCAGGAAGGTGGGAATGGCCTTCAACACCTGGCCAAGAAGTGTGGGCCTTCTCTATGAAGGTTTTTGAGCTGTAGTTTGTGATGATAAGAATTATGTTGGAGATAAATGTAAAAGCCAAGCCCAGCATGGATCCCCCCAAACACACTGTAACATGCTGGCTGATCCAAACACATCTGTGATAAACTCCACCTCCCTGCCAGGATGGACCAGTCCCTTCCCATCCTCACTTCATACGCCCCTGTCGATTCATTAGGTTAAGTTCAGCTAAAACATCTCAGATTAACAATGTTTTTGAACAAGATAGAAATGTGTTTTATTGTGTGTTCAAGAAGCCCAGTGGCAGCCAAGGGTTGGAGACCCAGGGTCTTTCTATCTTGTTTGTTCCACCAGGCAAGGATTTCTAGTACCAAGGTTACCTCATAGTCCAATGTGGCTGCTAAAGCTCCAGCCATCACATTCACATTCTAGCAAGCTAGGAAGAGGAAGATAATGGCATACATGTGCACCCCATACTCTTTAAGGACACTTTCCCTTACATGCCACTGGCCAAAATTTTGTCAGTTTGCTACATCTAACTGCAAGGAGGCTCAGAAATGTCGTCTTTATTTCCAGTGATGTCTATGTGGCCAGCTAAAAACTATGATTTCTATTATTTAAGAAAGACCCTGGGGAACATCTGTCAGTCTCTGCCAGGCCACCGGCTTTGGAACAAGGCATTTTATTGCCCGACATCGCACTTTATCACGCTTGCCGAGTTCCCTGTATGAGTCATAAAAATAAATACAAGTTCAATGATGGGGACTTGCAGGTGAAACGAGGCAAAACAGAGTCCGCAGCACTCGGTGAAGAAGGAGGCTGCAGGGCTGGGCCAGGTTCTGGTTTTTCCTCTGCTGTTTCCCTCGCCTGGTCTCAGCTTGCTCATCTGTAGTACGGGGAGGGAGGGGACTGTCAGGACCCCAGCAGTTTTCTTCTGGTTCCAAAGCACCAAGTCTGTTCACATACAGAGGCCCAGCGGTGAGATGAATTTGCCTTTCTAACAGCAGCATTACCTTCCATTTCCTGAGTGTGTGTGTGGAGTGTCTTTACACAGAGCATTGCCTGGGGGAAGAAAAGGGTTTTTTCTGCCGCCTTCTACAGAGGCTTGGAGGGTTCAGGACTTGCCTGGGTTAAACAGCAGGGAAGAGGCAGGGATGCAAGGGAGACCATTACGATGCCAGGTCCAGACTTGGAGCAGGCTCTGGTCAGCGTCACCAAGGGGCCTGGGGGCTTCGCGGGGGAGTGGGGGTTGCAAGTACACAGGGGCACATTTTCAAACCATACAAATGGCTGATGTTTGCAGGCTCCAGTCAGGAGCTAGGACTGTGCTATGAACCCTGAGAGGTAGGTGCTATTCATATCTCCACTTTACAGATAAGAAAACTGAGGCCCAGCAGGGTGGTCCCAGGGCAAACGGCAGAGCCGGGGTACCAGCCCCAACAGCGGCCCAGGCTCCGCTCTCACTTCCACTGTAGCGCACATCACAAGGGCTGAGATCAAATTCCTTTGTACAAAGTCCTCGCCAAAGCTAAGGAGGCGGGAAGTGAGAGGGTGTGAAGGATGGCTCACAGGTACAGCCCAGAGCCCGTGTGGGAAGGAGCAGGCTGCTTAGTTGGAGCCAAAGGCCTCAGGCAGCTGCCACAGAGCCCCAGCCCCGAACCCCCAGTGGAGGTGGGGCTCACTTACAGAGCTCTGCTGCCCACCCAGCAACCTGCTGGTGTGGGACCCCCGGGGAGGCCCCAGGATGGAGGACCCCAGGGGGAGGCCCCCAGCATGAAGAACCAGGCTCCTCCAGGAAAGTGGACTGGGATACACACTCCCCTAGGCAGGCCTGCACACACACACACACACACACACACACACTCTCACACTCACACTTCCTGGTGTACCCACAACCCAGCTCCCAGGTCCCGCTGGTGCCCCAGGCAGGGCAGGATGGGCCTCTAGGAAGGGTCAGTGGAGGTAGCAGCTCCACCTAGCCCACGCGCATGCTTAACCCCCAGGCCACAGTCCCGCCCCCTCATCCAGGGATGCCCCACTACCTGGCACGTGCAGCGAGGCTGGCTGCCACCGCCCTGTCTCCCTCTGCCTGCCTCCCCCACTGCTCTCAATGTCTCTCTCTCATGGTGTCTGGGCTCCTTGGTTTCTTTGGATCTCTGTAATTGGAGCTCTCTCTCTCTCTCTCTCTCTCCCTCTCTCTCTCTGTCTCCTCTCTCTCTCTCCCCCCGCCCCTTCTCTGTCTCTGCCTACCCCCACTAATTCGTCTTCCCACTCCCAGGGGCCTGTCCCATGGACATTTCCAGGGCAGTCCTCTATGAAGGCCACAGCTGATCCACTATGGGACCTGGCTCTCCTGGCTCCTACAGCTCAGTCCTCCATGTTCCCCAGGAGACAGGCGTGGGCCCTCAGGGCATCTGCAAGGAGGTGGAGAGCAGGAAGCCAATGGCCTTGCCCACACATCCTCCTCTGTCCTCCCCCGGGGGTGGGGAGCCTCCTGACTTGGAGGGTGTGCTTCTTATCCAGGGCCACTCCCCTGCCAGCCTGGCCTGGGCTCCCTGGTGCAACCTACCTCAGAATGTGCAGGGGGACTGGCTCTGCCCTCCTGAGATGAGCTTGCCTGGGAAGGGTCTGGGTTTTCAAAACTTAGAGGGTCCCAAACCTGCTTCTCCTTTCTTCAAGAATATGGCTTTTTTCCTTTCCCCAAATCCCGACCCTCCTGCAAAGAAGAACCGAAGCTGGCAAAGAAACCAGGTCTCCACTTGTCAGAACATTGGACTGATCTTGTCTGCTTGAAAGCAGGGCCGCAAAGCCTCAGCCCTGGCCCCGGGGCTGTGCTAAGAGACAACTAAGGAGGGTGAAGAGCTGTGGGGCTGTGGACCAGAGATAGGGAGACAGAGCAGGGAGACAGGGAGACGAGGAGAGAGATGCTCACAGAAACCAACAGAGATAAGCCAAGAGACCTGCAGAGAAGTGGAAGAGACAGAGACAGAAAGAAAGAAAGAAGAATGGAAGGAAGAATGGAAGGAAAGATGTGGGAGCTGGGGAGGAAGGGAGGGAGTGAGGGAGAGAGGGTGGTCTGGGCAACCTTGAAGAGCATGAGCAGGTGGCATATGGGTGCATGCGGCGCACCACTAGATGGCAGAGAGGCCACTCCTCCCCTTTCCTCCATCCCGCCCCCAACACCTGGGCTCGGCAGCCTTGGGAACACAAGAGCCCTACAAGCTTCTCTATGGCTGCACCTTCATGATATTTTCAAAACAGCTACAGAGCCACCCTTTCTCTCTCTTCTTCTACCAGGAGAGTAAGGATCTCATGGCAGAGGGTCTGGAAACAAATACGGCCAAGTAGAAGGTTTCCCAAATTTAGACCATGCAGTCCACCTTCACAGTTTCTGCCATATCATCACATGATGGTCAGGAACACGGAGTCTGAGCCAGGCAGCCTGGGTCCCAATCCCCACTCTGCCACTTACTGGCTGTGTGGCTTTTGGCAAGTGATTTAACCTCTCTGTCCCTTTGTTTCCTTAACTAGGAAACAGGAATCATAATCTACATCATGACGTTATCTGAGAATTAAATGAGTTAATACTTGTAAAGCAATTAGGAAAATGCCTAACAGAGAGTAACCACTCTGTGAGTGTTAACTGCTATTTACTCAATATCTTATTCGATCAGCTCACTTTTTTACTTAAATTAACTTTAAGGAAAACTTCATGACTGTGATATGTATGTATAATGTAATACCATTAAAAAACCATTCAAAGAAATATACTCAAATATATAAATGGAATTCTTTTTAAAAATGTTCAAGTAACCCATAGAAAGATAGGAAAATGGAAATAGAGGAATGATGCACAGAAGGAAAAAACAGAATCAATAAAATGGGAGATTTAAGTCCTACTCTGTCAAAAATTACATTAAATGTAAATGGCCTAGATACACCAATTAAAAGACAGAGGTTGGCAGAATGATTTTTTTTAATGACCTAACTATACACTGTCTAAAAGAAACTCACTTCAAATATAGTTACATAGGTAGACAAAGTTTTAAATATATATATATGTATGTGTATGTATGCATATATATATATATATATATATTTCAAGCACATTAATCCATACAAAGGAGGCCTGTCTATATTAATATCAAATAAAGTGGACTTTAGAGCAAAGAAAATTATCAGGGACCAAAAGGGACATTGTACAATGATAAAAGAGTCAATCTACCAAGAAGACATAGCAATCTCGAATATGTATGCACCAAACAGTAGAGTTTCAAAATATGTGAAGCAAAAACTGATAGAACTGAAAGAAGAAACAGACAAATTCACAATTATAGTTCAAGACATCAACGCCCTTCTCCCAGCAACTGATGAAACTACTGGACAGAAAATCAGCAAGGATATAGAAGAGCCGAACAGCACCATCAACCAACAGGATCTAATGGACATTTATAAAACATTCTAATGAACAACAGCAGAATGCACACTCTTTTTAAGGCTCCATGGAACCTTCACCAAGATAGACCATACCCTGGTCATAAAACAAACCTCAACAAATTTTAAAATATTAGATATAATGGAATTTATATCACAACCTTAAAAGGAAGCTGATGCTGCCAGCAATAAACAGAAAGTAATCAATCATCCAAACGAGTTAAAACGAAAGAAGACAACGTTATTAAATCCTAGCTTGAAACTGAGGGCTGTCTAAGGCTCTGAGTCTTTTTCAAACAACTGGGGAAAGTTGAGCATGGTCTGAGGGTTGCATGGCAACAATGTGCCAGTGTAGCTGCTGATTTTGATGACGCTTTTATAGCTCTGCAGGGAAAAGTCCTGGTGTGTAGGAGGCTTACACCAAGCATCCAGGGGTGAAGGCACATCAGGTCGGCAAGTTACACTCTAAGGTTCAGTTGTTGCACACTGGCAACTCTTCTGTAAGCTTGAAATTATTTCAAAAAGAAGTTAATATATGAAAAAATTAAAACAAACAAATTTGTATCCAAAACAAACAACAATAACAATAAAATCCCAAGAGAGATGAGCAAATGCTACTGAGGGTTAAAGACCTATTGGAACCACCCTGAGACTTTCTCCTTCATGTGAACAGAAGGTCTCAGCACAGCCTTTTCTCTCCCATGGTGTCAGGACTTTTTAGGGCCCAGAGTCAGCCCCACCCGCCCCTCCATTTGGGAAACTTTGGGGAAAATCAGAAGACACTGAGCTATAGTGTCAGATAGACCTGTCTAAAACCCAGCTCTGCTTCCTAGCTGGGCAGCCTTAGACAACTTACCCTATCTGAGCCTGTTTCCTCATGTGAAAAGTGATGCACTAATACCTACCCTCAAGTTATTGTAATAAATGAGACAAGTATTCAAAACGTAGATCTGCAGCCCCACATGGAGCTGTTTGTAGCTAGTTTCTTGTCAATTCTCCAGGCCAGCAGCCTGTTAGACCAGATGCAGGCCACCACCTGGCTGGACAAGGTCCCCTCTGGAGCCACTGAGCTCCAAGGCCTGGGGGAAGTGGGGGCCATAAACCTCCTCCCCCACTCCTGTCACTGCAGATCAAACCACTATCAGAATCAAAGCCGCCCAGCTGATGGATGGGTCTGGGGGACCCAGAGCCCCAGCAGCCAGCCAGCCCCTCACGGTTACAAGGAGCTCAGAGTGACTCCCGGCATGTCCTCAGGAGCCTCTGCGGTTTAATTTGTGCCAGAAGGTGACCAGTTGCCTCCTTTAGAAAGATGCTTATCTCTCCCTCTGCAGAGAAGGAGGAGACACCCGCAGAGGTGTCAGCAGACGGGCAGGCGGGGTGAAGAGGCCATGCTGATAGTGAAGGCTTCCCTTCCCCCACAGGTACTCAGAGCCCCAAATGGTGTTCAAAACCCAGGGAGCCCTGAGCTTGCATTTCAGCAGCAAGCAACAGACCTACCAACTCAGGGTTTTATTTCAAGAGCCTCTGGTGGGGACAGACAAGGGGTGTTGTCACTTGGAAACAGATCTACCAACTCTGTTTTATTTCAGGAGCCTTTGGTGGACAGAGACAAGGACCAGGGTCACTTGGATCCTCTGGACTCTTAGCCTCCCACGAGAAAGAGCTGATACCAGGGGTTGGAAGACTCCAGAAAGGCCTGGCTACGCTGGAAGCTGAGTCAAGCCCCAGTCTTGGAGGGTCCCTGAAGGAATTAACAGACTCTCAGGGATGCAGTTTTCACCATCGCAGAGTCCTGGGAGCTCCAGACAGAACCTTCAGCTGGAAGGAACTCAGTCACTGCTGTAGGAGGAGTAAGAACAGGTGGTCTGTGCAGTCGCCTTTGTGCAAAGCTGCCTGGCCTCAAAGCTTGGCTCTAGCTGCGTGGCTTTGCCCCAGTGACTTCATCTGTCAAACAGGGAGGGGTGAAATTTCCCCCTTCAAAGCGTCATCATAGAACTGAAGGAGCTCATGGCGTGCAGGTTATAGCAGGTCCCAGCATGTGCTCCAAGTCGTATTTTATTATTATTATTATTAGGACATGGCGGTGATAAGATGTCAACTGAGAATCACCTGACAGCACATGGGCAGCAAGTGGAATCTGGAAAGAAAGACACGCAAACGGCTGGGCGCAGTGGCTCACGCCTCTATTCCCAGCATTTTGAGAGGCCGACAGAGGCAGGCGGATCACCTGAGGTCAGGAGTTCGAGACCAGCCTGACCAACATGGAGAAACCTCATCTCTACTAAAAATACAAAATTAGCCGGGCATGGTGGCGCATGCCTGTAATCCCAGCTACTCGGGAGGCTGAGGCAGGAGAACCGCTTGAACCCGGGAGGTGGAGGTTGTGGTGAGCTGAGATCACGCCATTGCACTCCAACCTGGGCAACAAGAGTGAAACTCCATCTCAAAAAAAAAAAAAAAAAAAGAGAAAGGAAGGAAGGAAGGAAGGAAGGAAGGAAAGAAGGAAGGACACCCAAATGCCAAGAACAGTGGATGTTGAGTGTGCAAATGAGTATTATTTGTGTATTTTCCAAATCTTTTTTCATGAGCCTGAATTTCCTTTTTAAATGGGGAGTCTAAACCTAATCAAGTAGTCACAGACGCTCCATGCAGCCAGGCCCAGCGTAGGGGTGATGGTCTGAGGAAAGATGGCATCTTCCCCTGACTGCTTCTTGGACAGAGTCTGAGACCCGCGGCCCATGATGCCTGACTCCCGGGCTCCTCCAGGTGTTTCCCTCTGGGATAAGCTCCTGCTGCTGCACAGAGTTCCTCGAGATGATTGCAGCTTTGCAGCCTTATATACAAGGGCTGCAGCCAGAGGAGAGCTGCTGGTCCTCACTCTGTGCCTGCAGAGTCTGGTCCCAGAGATGCGCTGTCTCTGTGCTCCCAGACTGAGCTCCTCTGGGCAATGCTGCCAGCCTGCCAGTCCCTCAGCCTTGCATGCCACCTGCCTGCTCTGGATCAGCCTGGCTTTACATGCAAAACGACCTGCAAAATGAATGAATGAATGAATGAAAATTGCAACATAAAACCGTGTGGGAGAACATATTAAGTGGGATGGGAGGAGTGCAGGCTTGAGCCTGTAGGGAAGGCTGATTTTCATAGCTCCCGGGCTGGAAGGCTGAGAAGTAGAGGCAGAGAGGAAGCAAAGGGCTCTAGAGAAAAAGGGGCCTGGGTTCAAATCCTGCTCTGTCCACACTCTGTGTGTGACCCTGGACACATTGCCTAATTCGGGCAGCCTTTGTTTTTTTATGTGCAAAACTGGTTAACAATTTTCCCTTGTGCGGTGGTTTGTGAGGATCAAATCAGATGATACCCCCAGCACACAGTGAACACTCACACCAGGTGGTTCTTCAAATACTAGAAAGAACAAAGATGCTGTGCAGTCCTCAACCTGGTTTCACATTACAAGTATCCAGGGAGTTTGGGGCATAGGAACGCCAGAGCCCAAGCTCCTTGAAGAAATGGCTGATTCCAGGGTGGGCAGAAGGCAAGACAACCCCAGAACTCAGTCCTTAGGGAGAGCCTGCAGCCAGGCACAGAGGCAAAAGAGTCCCCAAGAGCCAAAGCCCTTGGAGGAGAAACCTTTAAGCAGTGCTTCATGGGTATTAGTTCCTTGTCCCTGACAACAGCCCTATCGGAGGGGTACTACTCTATTATCCATTTTATAAGGTTCTGAGAGACGAAACTACTTGCCCAAAACCCACAGGTTGCATTTGGCAGAACCAAGACTTGAATACAAAAATATCTAACTCTGCAGCCCAAACTTATATCCTACCCCGTGTAGACCCCATGTGAGCTTCCACAGGGGATCTTTGTGGGATCTTTAGCTGGAGCAAAGTCAGCCCTAAAGTATCTTAGAATAGCTTTCAGCTTCACAGCTCCAAACTACGTAATGCAGAGAGAGAGAGAGAAAGGGAGTTTGTGTGTGCATTATGTGTGTGCATGTGTGCATGCGTGTGTGCATGTGTACATGTGTGTGCATGTGTGTGCATACGTGTGTACACATCAGGACACACACGTGTGTGTGTGTGCATGTGTTCAGGAGCCTGGTCTTTCGGCTGTGCGATGTTGGGGAGGTTTTGTCCCATCTCTAGGGAGACTGGAAGTACCTCTGGCCCCAGCGACCTTGGTGTTTTATTGCCTGATGCTTTATTTGGGAGAACGGAAGCTGAGCACCTGGGTGTGCCTGGAAGGCGCTGTCCTGGGGGCCCCACTTCAGTGGAAAGCCAGCGTTCCTCAGGCTATGCAAACCCAGTGTTCAACAGCGACACAGTGTGGTCACCACTGGCGCAGCAGCTCCAGCGAGAGGCTCAACCATTTTAGGACCCTCCCTCCACCTGCAGTTTGAAGGTTGCTGACCTCCCCCATGGACCCAGAATGCCCCCAGACTTCACGGACAATAGGGAAGGTGAGGATCTTCAAGATGCAATACTGGACTTTCTACAAATAAAGACAACTGGGATGTAAGTGATTGTTTTTTTAAATTTTCAATGTGCTCATATGACATTTTCTGAATGTGTGCTCCCCCAAAATTCACATGTTTAAACTGTAATCCCCGAGCTGATGGCATTAGGAAGTGGGGCCTTTGAGAGGTGATAAGGTCAGGAGGGCAGAGCCCTCATGATGGGATTAGTGCCCTCATGAAAGAAACGCTGGAGAGCTGCCTCGCCCCTTCCACCACGCAAAGACACAGCACAAGGCGCCATCCATGTAGCAGGAAGCAGCCATCACAGACCCTAAACCTGCTGGCACCTTAGTCTCAGACTTCCAGCCTCCAGAAGTGACTTATCACTTTCTGTTGTTTATAAGCCACTCTGTTTATGGTAATTTGTTATAGCCACCCAAACGGACAAGACACCGTATTTGACCCCCAACCTGGGGATCGAATTTCACAGCCATATTTCACAGACCCCACAATTTGAGGGGGATGGAAAGACATTCTGGAATCATAATATATGTCTATGAGAAAATGAGATCTTATCTGCAAACATAACACTCCAAAAGTGGGAAGAGGGGCAGGTCTGCGCTTTGAGGACCCTGACCCAGCCCCAACGCTTACTGCTTCCTCTTATTCCTCTGCGTGCGTGAGTTCCCCAGAGTATCTTTCCTCATCTGACCCTGCCATGTTCTCTCACTGTTCTGTTTTTCTCACAACAACTGGTTGCCCAGGAAACCACTTTGCAGCCCAGAGTCAGACCCTGCAAGGAAATTCAGTCCTTACGCATCTCTCCCTCCACAGCAGCCTCTTGGCGTGACCTCAGAAAACCCTGCCAAACCCCAAGCAAGGAGCCCACCCCACCCACCACTGGGATCTTTCCCTGGGCGCTGAGCACAGCTGAAAAAAAAAGAAAAAA
Source organism: Homo sapiens (assembly GCF_000001405.40). NCBI lineage: Eukaryota > Metazoa > Chordata > Mammalia > Primates > Hominidae > Homo > Homo sapiens. The sequence continues at coordinate 86,018,513 of NC_000016.10, read as the reverse complement.
AAAAAAAAAAGGAAGCAGGGCTAGACTGAGAGAGCCGAGGCACAGCAGGGCCAGAATGACCCCAAGACAGCCCCTTATCCCACCCTCCTTTTTTTAAGATGTAAATGTTTTATGGAAATGTGACATATATAAAGTGCACAAATCCTTGGCATACTGCTTGAGGAATTTCACAAACTGAACACACCCGTGTAACTAGCACCTAGAAAAAAGGAACAGGACATCAGTCAGCCCCTCCAGGAGTATCCAGAAGCCCTTGTGATCACCACCCTCCCCGCCACCTCTCCCTCTCCTCCAGAAGGGTAGCCACTCTCCTGACTTCTAACAGCACAGATTGCTTTCACCTGCTGTTGAACTTATTATAAACAGAGTCACACAATTTGAGGGGGGTGGAAATACATTCTGGAATCATAATATATGTTGATGAGAAAATGATATCTGATTTGCAATCATAAAACTTCAGAGGGGGAAAGGGGGCAGGTCTGCACTTGGGGGGCCCTGGACCAGCTCTGCAGAATCTAGACTATTTGCTCAACATCATGTTGCTAAAGCTGTGCTGGCTGTAGCCTGTGGCAATAGTTTCCCGACCTCACTGCTGTCTAAACTGAACCATGTCGCTACGACGTTTCTTCTCTATGTCTTTAGGTAAACAGATGTTTACATTTCTCTTGCATACATACAGTTTTCCCCGCTTACCCTCAGGGGATACATTTCAAGACCCCCAGTGGATGTCTGGCACCTTGGATAACACCAAGCACTATATATACTATGTTTTCCTGTACACACAAAGCCATGATAAAGTTTAATTTAAGCACAGTAAAAGATTAACAATAATAACTAATAATAAACTAGAATAAGGCCGGGCACAGCGGCTCACGCCTGTAATCCCAATGCTCTGAGAGGCCGAGGAGGGCAGATCACTTGACACAAGCCTGGGCAACGTGGCGAAACCCCATCTCTACCAAAAATACAAAAAATTAGCTGGGCATGGTGGCATGCGCCTGTAATACCAGCTACTCTGGAGGCTGAGGCACGAGAATCGTTTGAACCCGGGAGGCAGAGGTTGCAGTGAGCCGAGATCACACCACTGCACTCCAGCCTGGGTGACAGAGTGAGACTCCATATCAAAAAAAAAAAAAAAAAAAAAAACCAACTAGAATAATTATAATAGTTACCGTAAGAAAAGTTATGTGAATGTGCATGTACATTCTCTTCCTCTCACTCTCTCTGGAATTTTCCGTTTAATATTTTCAAGCTGAGGTTGACCAAGGGTAACTGAACCCATGGAAAGTGACACCTTGAACAAGAAGGGACTGTACCCAGCAGAGGAGTCTTTGCGTCATGGGGGATGGATATAGTGGACATTGCCACAGAGTCTTCCGAAGTGGTTGCAACAAATTTCATCCCATCAAATCGCATGAGGGCTTGAGTTGCTCCACAGCCTGTCCGGAATTTGGTGTTGTCTGTCTTCTTCTTTTTAACCATTTGCCCACCCCTTTTATTTTACAGTTGAGGATGCTGAGGCCAAAGAGATGTGTCATTCCCAAGACTCCACAATTTGCCCCATCTCTAGTCCAACCCACTGGTCTTATGGATGAGAACAGAGAGGCTCAGAGAGCAAATGGCCTTGCCCAAGGTCACAGACACAGCAAGACCAGCAACCAGGTCTTCAGACCCCACATGCTCCTTTCCTGGCCCCAAACTGCCAGGGAACGTGGTTCTCAAAGTACAGTCAGAGGACCTGCAGCATCAAAGTCGTCTTGGAGTCTGTTAAAATGCATATTTCCAGGCCCCACTCTAGACCTGTTGAATTCAAATCTCTGAGGATGAGGCCCTGGAATCAGCATTTTAGCCAGCACGGAGAATGTTTTTGAGAGTTAGTTGGGTCCTTGCATGGATCCTGAAGGAACATCGTGTAATTTTTTAGTTTGTTCACTAGAGGGAGCCAGTGCCCCAGGGACACAACCATGAAGCTTCCCTGAGAACCGCAAAACAGCAAGTTTCCCATCTGGGACCAGGTGGCTGACAGCGATGGCTGCTGTTTAGGAGAGATGCTCCAGTCACTCCAGTCAATAGAATTCAGAAAAAGGGAGCATCTTAATTAGACAGGAGTCAGAAAACCTGAGTTCTAATGCAACCCCGCCACCTGACCTTAAGCAGCCACATCTGTCAGATTCTCCGTGCAGCCTAGGCAGAACCCTTCACTCCCCGACCCTGTTTCCTCGTCTGTGAAGTAGAGCTTTGGGCCCAAATGGCTTCTGAGACACGTTAATGTCTACAAAACATTAGGAAGCCGGAGGCGATCTTGTCACACAGATGTTGAGAGGTTATCGTGATGCCTCTGCTGTTATTTCACGGGTTTTATGGTACCACGCCACACATCGCATACTCTCTAGCCAGGGAACGCAATGGAGATTGTTGTGCCTGCTTGCAAGGTCTGGAGCCAGGGCAGCCGTATTGGGCCCAGGAGGGAAGATATCCAAGAAATACATGCTGAGAATAGCAGCACTAAAAATGGAAAGAGCCTCAGCTATTCACCATGTCACTGGCTTGCCGAATGACCAACCCCAGAGCTTCTCTACCTTGGAACTTCTTGTGATGTACGTTGATAAACCCCTGGTAGCTCACCCCAGCTGGGGTTGAATCTTCTGTTTCCTGCAGCTGAAGGCATTCCATCTGGCTTGCTTCTCTCACGTGATTGACCCATTGTCTTCCTGGTGGCTAAGAAACATGACTTTCTCATGCCAACAGTGACCATGAGCACTGCATCAGACCAGGCCCCACGGCTGATACAAGGAGTTCCCAGGAGACAAAGCCCTGTCTTGGGAAGTGAGGTTAGAGAGACAAGACAGAGGGGCGTGGGAAGTTGACAGCAAACCTAGAGCAGTCACAAGGACAAGGAACGGGGCAGTGAGTGCTCTGGCACCTCATGGTTCACAGTGGGCCAGACTGTGGGGGCACCAGGGAGGGCTTCCAAATAGTCATAGCAAAGGATCTTTCTGCATCTGATTACCAACTCCTTCACTGTTCTACCATTCTTTAAGGTAAGCCCAAGATTTCTTAATTTGTACAGACCATGGTTTGTGATGAAAACCCTCCTCCCCTGAGAATTTCCACCCTTCTCTGTCCAACCAGGAGGCCCCACGTGGAACTGGCGTATTTCTTACATGGATGGCTGTCCTCCCTAGACCATGGTTGATTCTGACCTACAGAACATTTCCATCATCACCCTAAGTTCTATCAGAAGGCACTGCCTTTGAACTGCCTTGAATCTATTCATCTTTATTTTATTTTATTATTTTATTTTTGAGACAGAGTCTCACTGTCACCCAGGCTGGAGTGCAGTGGCATGATCTTGGCTCACTGCAAACTCCACCTCCTGGATTCAAGAGATTCTCCTGCCTCAGCCTCCCAAGTACTGGGATTACGGGCGCCCGCCACCACACCCAGCTAATTTTTGTATTTTTAGTAGAGATGCGGTTTCACTATGTTGGCCAGGCTGGTCTCGAACTCCTGACCTCAGGTGATCCTCTCACCTGGGCCTCCCAAAGTACTGGGATTACAAGCATGAGCCAACATGCCTGGCCTATCTACCTATCTATCTGTAACTAACTAATGCTGGTGCTTTAATTTCAGAAGGTCTTATGCATTCCTGTTGGCCTCATAAGAGCCCTGTGAAATTTGGATCAATGTGTTATTATTCTCATTTGTATAAGGAAACTGAGGTTCAAAGAGTGCCTTGCCCAAGGATCCACATCTGCAGCAGCAAAGCCAGGGCTCACCCCTGAGCTGTGGCTTCTCATTTTATGCCCGTTTGCTAAGTGATGCTGCCTCCCCTTGAGGTTGAATCAGTTGAAGTGCCAGTTTCATCAAATGGATGAGGCATACTTTTAAACCCATAATCTTTAGAAGGAAGGCTCAGAGTTTGGCAATTGCGAAACTGTCCATGGATGAAGTAGAAAGACTGCTGGAATCCACAGAATAGCTATGCCTGTCTCTGAAACAACACCTGATTATTCTGGTAAAGAAATGGGAGCTATTTATGAAGATGCCAAGACTGAGACTTCCTCAAAAGAGCAATTATTTCATGGCAAAACTATCATCAGATTTTGTCTGAAATAACAGCTTTGCCATCCCTGAGCACAATTGAGGGGCAATCATGAAGATGGTCAGAGGCCCTGTATTGCCACCTACTGATTTCATTACAATCAGGGTAGGGATTAAAATCCAAAAGATTACTTCACCCTACCCTCTAAATATCATTGTCCTAAGAACTTGATTACTTTTTCTACTGCATAAATCCTACCCCACTGCTCCCTGTAACTCTTCACCTAAGACTGGAGAGCTGGCTTAAAAAGGTAGCAAGCAAGGCCATGTCTGTTTGTATAATGACGACAATGATAACTGTAATGATGACGGTGATGGTGGTGGTGATGATGAGAGTGATAAAGATGATGGTGATAATGATAAACATGAAGATGAAGGTGATGATAGTGATGAAGATGGTGATGGTGGTGATGAAGATGGTGATGATGGTGGTGATGGTGGTGATGATGATGATGAAGGTGATGATGGTGATGAAGATGGTGTGACAATGATTATGGTGAAGGTGAGGGTGATGATGGTGATGGTGATGATGATGCTGATGATGGTGGTGATGATGATGGTGATAATACGATGATGGTGATGGTAATGATGTGACAATGATTATGGTGTTGTTGATGATGATGGTGGCGCTCATTTGGTTAATGATAACAATCCAATTCATTGATCATTGTCCTTTACTGGTGCTTGTGACATACCAGCCACTGGGCTATGTGCTTCTCACATCTCACTTAGTTTTCTCCCTATCCCTGAGGACTTCAGCAAGGAGCATGAACTTCTAAACCATAGCTGCCTCCGTGAGCTGGGACCCACTGTACTTTCTGAACCCCCCAGCCACACTCCAGGTCAGAGGCTAGGATGGGGGCCTTTTCCCATCCCACTCAGTACAGTGCCCAGGGTACAACAGGTGAGGCTGGTTCTTCTCATGGAACCACCTTTCTGTGGTCCAAAAGCAGACCACAGAGTCCAGAGAATTTCTACCAGAACCTCTGAAAGCAGCCACTCCATAGAAGAGGGGCCCTAGGATCATGGCTACTGAGCTCAGACAACCCCTCCTGGAGGCTTTTCCCAACCAAACCCCTTTCACGTCCTTGGGAACCTCAATGGCCTGCCCAGTCACCTCCTAATATAGTTTGGATGTTGTCCCCCACAAATCTCATGGTGAATTGTAATCCCCAACGTTGGAGGTAGGGCCTGATGGGACGTGATTGGATCGTGGGGGTGGATTTCTCATGGATGGTTTAATGCCATCCCCTTGGTGCTGTCCTCACAATAGTGAGTGAGTACTAGCTGTTTAAAAGTATGTGGCACTTCCCCTCACTCTCTCTCTCTTGCTTCCACTCCTGCCATGTGACGTTCCTGCTCCAGCTTCACCTTCTGCCATGAGTAAAAGCTCCCTGAGGCCCGCCCAGAAGCCAAGCAGATGCCAGTGCCATGCTTGTACACCCCACAGAACCATGAGCCAATTAAACCTCTTTTCTTTGTAAATTATCCAGTCTCAGGTATTTCTCTACAGCAATGCAAGAATAGCTTAATACAGCTTTCCTTTGTCTACTGTTTTGTGCGTGGCTTGGGTATTTGTTGTAGTCCATCTTTAGCTCCTAGAAGAGGAGCTCCCAGAGGGAGAAATTTGTGTCTAGTTTATTTCTGCATCTTCTGCATCTAAGAGGGTCTGACACACAGGTGCTCCACAGATGTTTGTTAAATGAATCACTTAACTAGTTCTCAGTTTCAAGGTTCATGTGGCTTCTAAAGATTCCTAACTTAGAACCAGGAATAACTCGGGCCCTGGAAGAATCTGATTCCACAGGTTTAAGGAAGAAAAAGCCATGCAGCGTCATTTCTGTCATCCAACCAATGGTGTGTTTCCCTTTTCTCAGTAGAAATCACATGATGTGCTGTTTATGCCCCCTTACAGCATTCCCCTACAGGAGCCATTCAGCAATGATAAAATTCAGTCAGGGACTTTTACAGTAAATCAGAATTAAACGCTTGGAAAAAGAGACTCAGCTTCCCACTCCTGATGGTTCCCAAGTGGAAAGGGAAACAGGATATCCTGCTTCATATGGCAACTGGCACGTATGGCCTGTTATTATTGGCACCAGCTCCCCCAGGAATCTCTGGTGCATCTAATCCTCTGTTGGTGTCTGCTTCTTAGAGGACGCGAATGAGCACATGAGCACACCTGTCCAATATACCTGACATAACCTAGGCGATGCTTCCAACATCTCTGCAGCCACCGTCTAGGTCGGCTACGACGATGGTCTTAGAATCAATGTTCAGAAGCATGCTGTTTGGGTAGCACTTTGAAGTTGTTTGATTGATTGATTGATTGATTGACTGAGATAGGGTTTCACTCTGTCACCCAGGCTGGAGCGCAGTGGTGAGATCTCGCCTCACTGCAACCTCCACCTCCCAGGTTCAAGAGATTCTCCTGCCTCAGCCTCCCGAGTAGCTGGGCCACTTTGAAGTCTTGTGATTCTACTGGAAACTTCAGAAAATATATGTTCAAAGGTGTTCCCACCAGGAGAGCCCCTGGCCAAACTGTAGGCCCAAGAGCCATGGGAGTGGCCCAGGCGCCCTCTGGGGAAAGGACGTTTCACAATGGCTCACTGTCATAGAGCAGAGACCCAAAACCAGAAGCAGCCACAAAGCAGCTTCTTCCACACCTCAGCACATTCTTCCTCATCCTTGGGATTGGAGTTTTCTAGACTCCACCAGCAACGTTTTGATTCATCTTCTGGTTTCGATGTGCACCTTTGAAAGAGGAAATGGCCAGGAGACCTCAGAGCAGGGTTTTGTTTGTTTGCATGTGTTTTTAATATTTTTTTTTTTTGATACGGAATCTTGCTCTGTCACCCAGGCTGGAGTGCAATGGCATGATCTCGGCTCACTGCAACCTCCACCTCCCAGGTTCAAGCGATTCCCCTGCCTCAGCCTCTCAAGTAGCTGAGATTACAGGCACCTGCCACCATGCCCGGCTAACTTTTTGTGTTTTTAGTAGAGACAGGGTTTCACTGTATTAGCCAGGATGGTCTGGATCTCCGGATCTCGTGATCCGCCCGCCTTGGCCTCCCAAAGTGCTGGGATTACAGGTGTGAGCCACTGTGCCCGGCCTCTTTAATCTTTAGGAATGAAAATGGTGGCAGCTCTCCCTCAAAATGCTCCCTGCCGAAGGATGGGTGAAGCTGTCTGTTCTCTGGAAGGAGCATAGACCACAGGAAAAGGGAAATAAGGAAAAGCAGCTGGAGGGTTGCGAATCCAGACCTCAGTGGAGCTCGGGGGAGGCAGGGGAACCCTGCTGCGGGGTTCTGGTGATTGCTGTTGACTGTGCTTGCCAAGGCCCTGGGCTCTGAGCTACACCCTCCCCTTGCGTGGTCACATTTAACCCTCAGGGACGTGGTGTGATGTCCCCATCTTACATAGGAGCCAACAGACACTCAGGCAGCTGATGCTGCTTCCAGGAAATGGGGTGGTCAAGGCCCTTAACTGTCACCCCAAAGGATCCCACTGTGTCCACAGCCCCAGATCTCTGACCTCAAGTGCTCACCAGCCACCAAGAAGATGGGCCCCAAGCACCGAGATCAATGGAAAGCAGTCACTCCCAGGCATGGCCAGGTGCTGCTGCAGCCACAGCCTCCGTTCCAACAGGCACTCACTCTGTGGTCTTGGACAGGTGACTTCCCCTCTCTGTACCTCAATATCCTCATATGCAAAGTGGGGTTCTAGGTGCCAGACAGTGGGGTGGATCAAAACAGGGGCTTCAGAGCCAGACCACCAAGGCTCAGATCCGGGCTCTGGTGCTTCTCACTGAATGACCTTGACCAGGTTACTCAACCTCTCTGTGCCTCAGTTTTATCACCTGCAAAATAGGTATAAGAGTCCCCTATAATAGGCTTGTTATGAGGATTCGAGAGTTGCTGGAGGCAAGCACTTAATGAGCACTAGCTGGGGTTAACTACATCTAAAACAAAGGGATGAGAGACGTGACCTCCAAACTCCCTGCAGGTGTGTGAGTCTGCTACGAGACCCCCTACCCCGATTCTATTTCTACCTTCTTCTTTTATTTATTTATTTGTATTTTTATTTTTTTATTTTCCTTTATGTTCTGGGATACATGGGCAGAACGTCGAGCTTTGTTACATAGGTGTACATGTGCCATGGAGGTTTGCTGCACCCATCAACCCGTCATCTAGGTTTTAAGCCCTGCATGCATTACGTATTTGTCCTAATGCTCTCCCTCCCCTTGTCCCCCACCCCCTGATAGGCCCCAGTGTGTGGTGTTCCCCTCCCTGTGTCCATGTGTTCTCACTGTTCAACTCCCACTTATGAGTGAGAACATGCGGTGTTTGGTTTTCTGTTCCTGTGTTACTTTGCTGAGGATGATGGTTTCCTGCATGCAACTCAGAACCTGGCTTCACTAGAAACGCCACTAAAAACACATCCGGACAGCCAATCTGCAGCTTCTCCATGGCCAGCTAGCATCAGCAAGCTTAACCTTAATGAAGACACCTTAACAAATAAGGTGTCCAGACAGGGCCTTCACCAAGCCCCTTCTCCTTGACTATCCACTTAGGATATGATTTCTTCCATGCCCTCTTTTCTAAAGTGCATGAGAAAATGTTGGTGAACTTGAAGACAATAGAAAGAGACACGATCTGAATAATACACAGAGAGAATAAAGACTGAAAGCAATGGGGCAGGCACAGTGGCTCACGCCTGTAATCCCAGCATTTTGGGGGGCCATGGTGGGAGGATAGCTTGAGCCCAGGAGTTCGAGACTAGCCTGGGCAACATAGTGAGACCCTATCTCTACAAAAACTAGAAAAATTAGCCAAACATGGTGGTGTGCACCGACAGTCCCAGCTACTCAGAGGGCTGAAGTGGGAGGCTTGAGCCTGGGAGGTTGATGCTGCGGTGAGCCGTAGTTGTGCCACTGTACTCCAGCCTGAGCAACAGAGTGAGACCTTGTCTAAGGGAAAAAAAAAAAAAAACAAGGCTGAAAAACGTGAGCAGATCATCTGTGAGGTGTGGGACATCAAGCACCCTAACATATGTGTCATTGGAGGCCCTTAGGATGGGGAGGAGGGTATAGAAAAAAATGCTTAAAGAAATGTCTAAAAAATACCTAAATTTGCCCGTAATCCCAGCACTTGGGAAGCCGAGGAGGGCGGATCACGAGGTCAGGAGATCGAGACCATCCTGGCTCACATGGTGAAACCCCATCTCTACTAAAAATACAAAAAAATTAGCTGGGCGTGGTGGTGGGCGCCTGTAGTCCCAGCCACTCAGGAGGCTGAGGCAGGAGAATGGTGTGAACCCAGGAGGCGGAGCTTGCAGTGAGCCGAGATGGCGCCACTGCACTCCAGCCTGGGCGACAGAGCGAGACTTCATCTCAAAAAAAAAAAAAAAAAAGAACCCTAAATGTAATGAAAACTCAGCACCCACAGATCTAAGAAGCTCCACAAATATCAAGCAGAAGAAATGAAAAAAACCACAAGGCCATGATAATCAAATTACTCAAAACTAGTGATCAAGATGAAATCTTAAAGGCAACCAGAGGGGGAAAAAATATTAGGTAAAGAGGAACAAAGGTAAGAAGGAAAGACTTCTTATACTATATGGGAAGCAGTGGAAGAACATTTGAGAGTAAGCTGTGATAAGTTAGATATGCATACAACAAACCACTAAAATAACACAGCAGAGTTAAAGCTAATAAGCCAGCAATGGAGATAAGTGTACCATTAAAATAATATTCCATCTAAAAGAAGGCAGAAAGAAAAAGGAACAAAGAACAGTAGAGACAAATAGAAAATATCTTCCAGATTGGTAGATTGAAACTCAACCATGTCAACAATTATATTAAAATAAATGACCTAAACACTGAAAAAGCAGATATTGTGAGACTGAATAAAAATGCAGGACCCAGCTTTAGTCTGACTATCAGAAACTCACTTTAAATATGTATAGAAACAAATAGGTTAAAAGTGCCACAGGCAGGTGGGGAGGGCCAGGAGAGACACAGCGTTATGCTAACACCGCAGACAGCAGGAGTGGCCGTATTAATATCTGACAAAGTAAATTTTATAGCAAGAATATGACCAGGGAGAAAGGGCCATTTCATAAAGATTAAGGGGTCTATTCATTAAGAGGCCATATGAGCCTATGTATTATCCACCTAATAACAAAGCTTTGAAATACATGACTGAACTGCAAAGAAAACTGGCACTTTCACAACTATTGTCAGAGTGTTCAGCACCCCTCTCTCAGTAATTTACAGAATAACAAAAATAAGCAAGGATACAGAAGACCTAAACACCACTATCACACAATGCGATCTACCAGCATTCATACAACACTCCATCCAACAATAGCATAACACACATTCTTTGAAAGTGCATGCAGAATGTTTACCAAAGTAAACAATATTTGAGTCATGAAACAAGTTTTAATAAACTCAAAATAATTTAAGTCATACGATGTATTTTCTTTGACCACAACGAAATTAAAATGTTTGATAACAAAATGATCTCCAGAAAAATCTAAGATTTAGAATGCAATTAACACACTTCTAAATAACATATGGGTCAAATGAAAAATGAAAATAGGAGTTAGAAAGTATGTTAAAGAGAATGAAAATGAAAACACAGCGTATCATAATCTGAGTAATGATACTGAGGCAGAACTTCAAGGGAAATGTAGAGCATCCAACCCATCTAATAAAAAGAAAAAAGTGCCCAAATGAATGACCTGATTTCCACCTAAGAAACCAGAATAAGAAGAGTAGGGTAAAACCAACACAAGCAAAAGGAAGGAAATCGTGAAGATAAGATCAGAAATGAAAGAAATAGAAACTAGAAGACAATACCAAAATCAAAGAAACCAAAACTGGTTCTTTGATAGATCAATAATATTAATAAACCTCTAACCAGACTAACAAGGAAAAAAAAAGAGAAGACACAATTACCAAAATTAGAAATGAAAGAGGTAACATTAACATAAATTCTACAGATAGTAGAAGTATAATAAGGGAAAATTATAAACAATTTCCATAAATTTGACACTTTGAGTGAAGCTGACAAATTTCTTGAAAAACACAAACAAAGCTCACTCAAAGAAAAAATCTGAATATCCATACATTTATTAAAGACAGGCTTTTTGCAGTTAAAACCCTTCCCAGAATGAAAGCATCAGATTCAAATGGATTCACTTATCAATTCTACTAAATATTTAAGGAAGAAATTATGTCAATTCTTCACAAATTTATTCATAACAATTGAAGAGGGGGGGAATATTTTCCTACTCATTTTATGAGACTGGTATTACTTTAATGCCAAAACCATTTCTTTTCTTGTAATGTCTTGTAAATGTCCTATAAAGACCTGCCTGACCAACTTAGTGAGACCCTGTTTCTACTAAAAAATAGAAAAAGACATTACAAGAAAAGAAAATGATAGACCAATATCATTCATGAATATAGATCAAAAGTTTTTAACAAAGTTTTAGCAAATTAAGCCCAATAATATAAAAACATTGGGAAACCCCAACAATATATAAAAGGAATAAGACAATATTATGGAGCAGAGGCTATTGCAAGAATATAAGGTTGGTTTAACATAGAAAAGTCAACAGCTAATTTACCATATTAACAGACTATAAAAAGAAATACCATATGATCACCTCAATAGATGCAGCAAAAGCATTTAACAAAATCTGGCATCACTTCTTATTTTTAAAACTCTCAACAAATTTGAGGAAGAAACAAACTTCCTCAACTTGATAAGGGCATTTAAGATAACATTACCCTAAGTAGCGAAAGACGAAATAGTTTGTCTTAAGGTGAGGAAAAAGGCAAGGATGTCCACTCTCACCACTTCTATTCAACATTTTACTAAACATTCTTCTAATTTGTGCAATAAGGCAGTAAAAAGAAATAAAGGCTTCAGTATGAGGAAAGACGACATGATGTCATGATGCTTCATGTCAAAAATCTAGTGAAATCTACAACAAAGCTAGCAGAACTAATATGTGAATTTAGCAGGATTGCAAGTTACAAGACCAATATACAAAAATCAGTTGTATTTCTACATACTAGCAAAATCCAAAATTGAAATTTAAAAACAATACCATTGACAATACTATTCAAAAATATGAAAACCTAGGGACAAATCAGTCAAAAGATATACAAGCATGTACACTGGAAACTACAAAATATTTCTGGGCTAACCTAAATTAATGAAGAGATGTACCATGTTCATGAGTCAGAAGACTCTTCAACACAATCCTGATTAAAATACATGTTTTTTTTTTTAAAGAAATTTACAAGCTGATTTTAAAGTGTATATGAAAATGCAAAGGACCTTGAATAGCCAAAACAACCCTGGGAAAGAAGAAGATAGCTGGAGGACTTACACTATCTAGTTCCAAAACTAATTATAAAGCTATAGTAATCAAGACAGTGTGGCATAAGTATAAAGATAGATAAGTACATCAATGGAACAGAATAGGGTTCAGAAATAGACCCACTTGTATATTGACCAACTGATTATTGACAAGGGTGCAAAGGCAATTCAGTGGAGAAAGGTGGTCTTTTCAACAAATGGTGCTAGAAAACATCTATATCTACATTCAAAAAAAAAGAAAAAACTAAACTTAAAATCCATGCATTGTATGATATATAAAAATTAACTCCAAATGGATTATATACTTCAATGTAAACTCTGAAACCATAAAATTTCTTTTTTTTTTTTTTTTTTTGGAGTCAGCTCTCACTCTGTTGCCTAGGCTAGAGTGCAATGGTGCAATCGTGGCTCACTGCAGCCTTGAACTCCTTGACTCTAGCAATCCTCCCACCTCAGTCTCCCAAGTAGCTGGGACTACAGGTATGTGCCACCATACCTGACTATGTTTTTCTATCTTTTGGTAGAAACAGGGCCTTACTATGTTGGTCAGGCTGGTCTCGAACTCCTGGCCTCAAGCAATCCTCTCACATTAGCCTCCCAAAGTGCTGGGATTATAGGCATGAGCCATCAGGACTAGCAAAACTATAAAATTTCTAGAAAAAACACAGGAGAAATGTTTTGTTATCTTCGGTTAAGTGAAGGTTTCTTACATATGACACCAAAGCATGGCCCGTAAGAGAAAAAAGTTGACAAACCAAGAACTTCATCAAAATTAATAACTTCTTTCTTTGAGAAACATTGTTAATACCAGAAAAGACAAGCCACAGACTGGGAGAAAACATTTACAAATTACCTACCTGATAAAAGGTTTGTATCAAAAATATATAAAGAACTCTCAAAACTCAATAATAAGGCCAGGTGCAGTGACTCATGCCTGTGATCCCAGCACTTTGGGAGGCTGAGGTGGGTGGATCACTTGAGGTCAGTTCAAGACCAGCCTGCCCAACATAATGAAACCCCATCTCTACTAAAAACACAAAAAAATTAGCTGGGTGTGGTGGCGTGCACCCGTATTCCCAGCTACTCGACAGGCTGAGACGGGAGAATCACTTCAACCTGGGAGGTGGAGGTTGCAGTGAGCCGAGATCGCGCCACTGCACTCCAGCCTGGGCGACAGAGCGAGACTCTCTTTCAAAAAAAAAACCGAAAAACAAAAAACAAAAAACTCAATAATATGAAAACAATGCAATTTTTTAAGTGGGCAAAAAGAGTTAAATAAACACTTTACCAAAGAAAATATATGGAAATCAAATAAGCCTGTGAAAAGAAGCTCAATGTCATAGTTATTAGGGAAACGCAAGGTAAACCACAATGTCTAAAATTCCATGTTAAAAAAAAAACGTCTAAAATTTAAAGGACTGGCCCTACCAAGTATTGACAAGGATGTGGAGCAGCAGGAGCCCACATACCCTGAGTATAAAATAGTACAACCACTTCGAAAAACAGTTTGGAAGTTTCTCAAAAAGTGAAACATGCCCCTACCATATGACCCAGTCATCCCCCTCCTAGGCGTTTACCTAAGAGAAATGAATACATATGTATTAGTTTTCTATTGCTGCCGTAATGAATTACCACACACACTTAGCAGCTAAAACAGCACCTATTTATTATCTCATTGTGCCTGAGTCTCAAGGCCAGGCAGGCTTGGTGGGGTTCTTGGCTCAGGGTTTCACAAGCCCAAAGTCAAGGGCTGTGTTCTTCTCTGGAAGCCCTGGGGAAGAATCCACTTCAACCTTGTTCAGGTCGCTGGCAGAGTTCAGTTCCTGGGGCTCTTGGTGTGGGGTCTCCATTCCCTTGCTGGCTGTCAGTTCCTTACGTGGCCCTAATGCCCCATCACATTGCTCCCTCCATCTTCAACCCAGCAATGACACATTGAGTCCTTCTCTGACCTTCTGCCTCCTCTCTCTCCCCTTCTGCCTCCTCTCTCTCCAGCCAGAGAAGCTTCTCTACCTTTAAAGTCTTGTGTGATTAGATTGGGCCCACCCAAATAACCCAGGACAGCCCCCGTATCATAAAGTCCATAACCCTAATTATATGAATTCTTTTTGCCATATAATGTAACATATCCACAGGTCCTAGAGATAAGAGCACAAACATCCCGGAGGGAGGAGAGGTAGGACGTTCTGCCTACCACAGCACATGCTGTTCATGAAAATGCTTGTACACAGATGTTCAGAGCAGCTCTGTTTGTAACCACCAAAGCCCAGAAACAACACTAAAAGGTAAGTGGATAAAGAAATTGTGGTATATGCATATAATGTGATGCTACTCAGCAAGAAATAGAATGAACAATCGATTCATGCTATGTCTTAGTCAGTTCCTGCTGCTATAACCATGTATTTTAAACTGGGTGACCTATAAATAATAGAAATTTATTGCTCACAGTTCTCCAAGATTAAGGCACCAGCAGGTTCAGTGTCTGGGGAGGGCTTTTGCTCTCGGCTTTGCAGATGGTACCTCTTGCTTTGTCCTCACATGGCAGAAGGAACCACAAAGGGACTAACTCACTCCCTGAAGCCCGTCTATCTGGGCACAACTTCAGTCTCCCAGGTGGAGCCCTCCTGACTGATCACCTCGCAAGGCCCCACCTCTTAGTACCATCACCTTGGAGGTTAAGTTCCGACGTGTGAATTTTTGGGGGGATACATTTGGACCACAGCACACTGCAACACAGACGACCTGTGTTCAGTGAGAGAAGCCAGACACCTCCCCGCCCCACTACCACCACCAAAAAAAAAATACAAACTATGTAATTCCATTTTTATAGAATTCTAGAAAATGCAAACTAACGCACAGTGACAGAAAGCAGACCCGTGATTGCCGGGGCTGGAGGTGGGGTGCAACAAGGAAGAGCAGGTGGGGGGATGAAAGCCAGGCCTGAGTGAACTTTTGGGATAATGAGTCTGTTCCTTGTCTTGAGTGTGCCGATGATTTCAAGGGGACATGTGTATGTACAGCGTATCAAATTGCATACTTTAAATATGTATGGCTCATCATATGTCAATTACACCTCAATAAAACTGGTATCGGAAGGCTGTTCTCTAAAATGGGGTACATACTTCATCAAAAGAGAGAGAGAAGGCACAAATATAGCAAATGTTAAGTTGTTGAAGCCAGATAGTAGCTGTACAGATGATCCTTGTACTAATCTTTCAACTTCTCCAAATACTTGAAAATTTTCACGATAAAAAAAAAGCTAGAGGGAAAGAACATAGGCTTGGGGGTCAAAACTCCAAGAGAGGAAGGGTGATTCTGGCATATCCCAGCTGTGTGAACTCGGGCAAGGGACCATGTCCCGTGCCTTGTTTCTTCATCTGTGAAATGTCCTGATCATCACATGAAGCTCATTGGATTGCAAGCATTAAATTGGATTAATGCATGGAGCTGGCTTAGCAGGAATTTGGGGTGTGGTGAACACTCCACAGAGGTAGCCTTCATTATTAAGTTCACCTTCCTTATCTGAGAGGCACAGAGACTGTGAATCAGCAAGGCTGAGACCTAACTGAGGTTACACATCTAGTGCCAGGTCTCTGTCTCCCCATGAAAAACTACCATTTGGGGACACTCAGTGGCTCCCACATGTTTTAAAACTCTGAAGTAAATAGGTTATGCAAATAGTGGTCACGCCACCCTACCTAGGATGAGGCCCCCACTCTGGCCAACAAAGGAAGCCAGACCTAGCACCCAGACATATTTTTAACAGGGTGGAAATGTGCGTTTTGCATATTTTATCTTTTTCATAGTTCGAGGCAGGGGCCCCAACCAAAATCAGGTATTTAAAAATTTGTTTGTTTAGACAAGTAAAATCTCATAGGTTCCAGCCGCGCTGTCAAAACCCTTTCCCTAGTGTAGAATTGGATTCTGATAAATACATTCCTAAAAATGCATTTATGCCTTTACTTGCATTTCTATCTCCAAGGGTCAAACAGAGTTAGTCAGGAGTACACAGCACAACGCCATGCACAGCTGCCAAGATGTGTAGGCCGAGAGGCAGGCAGCTGCTCTGCAGAGACACAGCGAGTGAGGGGAAGGGTTTCTAAAATCAGGGAGAGTTCCATGAAGTCATTCCTCTCTCTACTTTGGGGCAGTAGCTACCTGATCTAAGTGATTTTTGTTAAAGGGAATGAACATAATCGCAGACAAGGGGAAGCTGAAAAAGTTAACTACGAATAAGAAAACAACTTGTGGGTAGTCAAGGTCTCACTCTGAAGGTTGCCCAGACTGGAGTGCACTGGCACAATCCCAGCTCACTGCAGCCTCCACCTCCCAGGCTCAAGAGATCCTCCCACTTCAGCCTCCCAAGTAGCTGGAACTACAGGTGCGCACCACCACACCGGGCTAGTTTTCTTTATTTTTTATAGAGACAGGGTCTTACTACGTTGCCCAGGCTGGTCTCAAACTCCTGGACTCAATCCTGCTGCCTCAGCTTCCCAAAGTGCTGAGGTTACAGAAGTGAACCACTGCACCTGGCCTTTATTGACCTTCTTACCCACATGCCTACACTCCACTGAGAACACACCCAGGAAAAATGCAAGGATTTTTTTGACCGTCATACAAGAGGAACATGTGTCATATTGAATTATTTATTGCAAAGGATTCATTTTGGCAAGATGACCACGAGAGCTAGCTGGGACGGCTGGGATGACCCTCGGACCTGTGCTGTTCTAAGGGTGGCTCAAGTGCGATCCACAAACTATTAGGTGCCGGTTCACAAGGAGTGAAGAAATTGAGAGAAAGAGTTAGAAATTTTTACAGCAATTCAACAGAGTACTTTGAGGTCTAAAGTTGGGCTTATATTTTTATATCTTTATTGTATTTTTCCAGTAATTCATTTTTACATTATTTTATAAAAGTAGCAGTGTGCAATGGATTCAAACTTTTTTTCATTTTCAGGACAGTTTGCATAGTCTTTCTTATGAATCAGTTCCAAATATATTAATTAGAGATTTTAAAAAATATTTTTTGAGACAAAGTGTCACTCTTGTTGTCCAGGCTGAAGTGCAGTGGCACAATCTTGGCTCATTGCAACCTCCACCTCCCAGTTTCAAGCAATTATCCTGCCTCAGCCTCCCCAGTAGCTGGGATTACAGGCACCTGCCACCGTGTCCAGCTCATTTTTTGTATTTTTAGTAGACACAGCGTTTCATCATGTTGGCCAGGCCGATCTTGAACTCCTGACCTTAGGTGATCCACCCACCTTGGCCTCCCAAAGTGCTGGGATTACAGGCATGAGCCAACGCACCCAGCCCATTTTAAAAAATTTTATAACCTGCAGTCAAATATATGAGGTATATATTGTAGTACAAACTTTTCCCTGTATCAATCATCTTCAGTTAGAAAGTGGCTCTCCTTAAAAACAAAATAAATACTCACCTTCCAGTTGAGTGATTACTGCATATGTTTAGTGGAGGAAGAAAAGATAAATTATCTACAAATATGAACTTGCCTTTACATAAGGCAAGATATGTTGTTGTCATGTGTATAAAACAATAGCATGAAAATCACCCTGTCTTGTCTTCTCCAGTAAAAAGTAAAACATTTCCCCTCCAGCACGAACATAGGAAGTGCTGGCATGCTTACTTGAGTTCTGAGCAATAAATGATTCAAAGATAAGAAATTCAGTATCCATCTATATCATGACAAAAATGGGGAAATGCCCACTAACATTTTAATTGCAATTTTGGTTCACATTAGATCAAGGAATTTTTAACAACTGGTCCTGCCCTGCAGGTTGGGGCAAAAGCGATTGCAGTTTTTGCCATTAAATGTAATGGTTTGAGAAGCAGCGACTGAGGTCTCAGCTCTGGGACAGCGTGGCAGAATTTTACTCTTAGGCATTCTAACAGGAGTTCTCTCACCAAGTAATGCCTAAGAATCACCTGGGAGCTTGTTAAAAATGCCAATCTCTGACCCCATCACAGGAGAGTCCAAGCTGGGGCCCAGGACTCTGACCCATGATGTGGCTGCGGCTGGCCATGCCTGTGCTTGGGAACATCTGGCTTAACACTCCACCAGGGGCTGCCCCTTGGTCTCTGGCTGAATTATCTATATACATTTTTCTGTCTTCAACATCAGCTGCACACAAGGAATACTTCACAAAGAAGGTAGTACTCAGGCAGGCCCTTAGAGAGTTGCTAGAATTCAAACATACCGAGAAAGGGACAGGAATGGAGGAAAAGTCCAAGTATCAGAAAGTGTAAAGTGATTTGGGGCAGGCTATAGAGAAAAACCCCATCTGTTGGAAAACAGGTTGGTAAATACATGGTACCTGTGCCACACTCTCCCCACCCTCACCAGCAGCAGACATTGCTAATCAATTGCAGCACGCTTTCACAGTGATCCCAGGGACAGCCTCATGATCCCCATCAACATCAGACTGCTTCACCACAGAACGCTGCAGATGCACAAGCTCCAACCAGGTGCACAGATGGCCCATGAGATACTCACTCAGGGCTGGAGCATGAAGTCAGTCCCGGGGAAAGACAGAAGTAGGGCAAGGTAATAGCAGGCACTGAATGTACTGCTAATGACTCACACCTCATCCTGACAGCACTGCTAAGGACTCAAACCTCATCCTGACAGCACTGCTAAGGACTCAAACCTCATCCTGACAGCAGTGAGGGGCTTGAGCAGAGGGCCCAATCATTTTCAAAGCTTTGTTTTGAAGATCATGAGGAGTTGTGAGGGCTGCTTTGGAGTTTACAGAAGATAGATCCAGGAAGAGACAAGGGTCTGAACAGAGATGCTGAAAGTGAAAGAAAAGATTGAAAGCAAGAAATAGAATGGAAATGACACAGGAATTTGTAACATCCAGTCAGGTTGAGAGAGAAGGAGAAGTTGGCAATGACTTTAAAGATGGGAGCCTCAGTGACCCGCGGAAGATTTGGCCCTGCTAACACAAGCAGAGAAGATAAGAGGAGGAAAAAGGAGGGGAAATGAGGACTTCGGTCCGGGGATTTTTAAGTCTGTGTGGTTGGCATTTCCTGCAGGTGGAAATGTCCCACAGGAGGTAGGAACGGCAGGTACTCAAAGGAGCCATCAAGCTGGAAAGAGCCCATCAGAGGAGGTGGGCCAGGCCAAGGAGCTCCCGGACAGATATAAAGAAAGAAAGAGATGAAGACAGAGTTCCTTAGGGGAGAAAGAGGAGGAGGCTTCAGACCCAGGATGAGGGAAAGTGGGAGGAGGGGGTGGCCCAAGAAAATAAGAATGTGCCTGAAGTCTGCAGCCTGAAACACTGCACCAGGAACACCCGGGAGCTTTTAAAAGCTCAGGGGCCTGGGCTCACCCTGCAGGTCCCAGCTCACAAGGCTGGGGTGTGTTCCTGACACCCTTTGCTCTCAGGCTCCCCACTCCCAAAGGCCGCTCAGGAAAGGGGGTCCCCTTCTCAGCTACAGAGCTCACTAGAGCCTGCACTGTCCCAGGCTGCCCCTGCCCCTGAGGGCTCTGGAGACAAAGCTACCTCCAGAAGGGCCTGAAATACTAAGGCTGATGTGGAGAGGATGGAGAGGGCGACTCCCAGGCTGGACAGGAGAAGCAGAGCTAGGCATTGAGCCAGAAGGTGGAGGGGGCGGAACTCTGAAGTCGCTCTGTCTAAGACAGTGGCAACTAGTCACGCATGGCCATGATAACTGAATTTTAATTAATTAAAATTAAATTACACTTACAATCCAGTTCCTCACTCACACCAGCCACCTTTCATGTGCGCAAGAGCCCTGTGTACGGGTGGCTGCATATTGGACAGCACAGACCTGGAGTGTTTCCATCACTGCAGAATTTTCTATCTGCCAGGGGTGGCAGAGGGAGGAGGGAAGCAGATGCGCAGGGCCATGGCGAGGCCCCGAAGAAGCAAAGCATCTCTCACCAGCCAAAGGAGAGGCAGATTTTTCTTTAGTTTCCTGCCATCACTGCTGATCACAGGCTTTTTGCTTTGAAGTGAGAAGGCATATTTGACTAAATGTTTAGAAGGTAAGGGCCGTAGAGAAGAGAGAAATAATAAACCTCCTGGAAGGACCCCTGGCTGGGCTCCCTCTTCTCCAAAACCATTATCCAGATTCTCCCAACATCCCTGTGAGGTCAGCTCACATTGCATTTTGCAAACGAGGACCTGGAGACTGCATAGAATAGGGTGGTAATGCACTCCAGGTTTGGGTTCAAATCCAGCCCTGGCCATGCCCTCTCCAAGCTGGGGGTCCTCTGGAAAGCCCTGTGACCTCTCCGAGCATGGGTTTCTTCAACTGTAACAACAGAGCCAGCCTAATAGGATGGTTGGAAGGACAGAATGAGGCAGTGAGGATAAACCACAACATGACTGGTATCCATTGTGTCACAGTCAGCTCTCTGAAAAAGCAAGCCATGGTTTATGGCGTATGCCAATTCCCATGGCGTAAATACTCACAGCTTGGCAGATTTCATGCCACCACCATGCCTGCCCTGAACGTGGAGTTGGGAAGAGGTGCAGATAGTGGCCCCCTCGGGCCTGTAGGAACAGCCCCGTCTACCACACCCCTGCGTCTCAACTCTCGGGTAGGAGTAGCCCATCTACCACACCGCTGCTTCTCAACGCTCCAGTCAAGGACGACACTGGCTTCTCCTCCTCCCTCACATCCTAGGCCTGCTAATGATTTTCTGGTTGTCATCTGCCTGAAAGAGAGGCAGGTTTGGTTCCTTTGAGGACAATGTCATTTGGTTTCACAGACAGCTTTGCCATAAAATGGCATCTGCATCCCAGCGTTGACCCACCCAGCAGCAGCAGGGTGAAGTCTTCGAAGTGGAGGCTCGGTGGATGTTGTGGCTTCATGTGGGAGACCCGTGGTGGTTCCTGACTTGAAATGAGACTGGTGGGGCTCAGCCAGCTTCCCCCAGAGACACATCACATCTCCAAACCCAGCTCTGCCCTGGGCAGGGTGCCAGGCCCTTCCAGGGTAACTGCAGGAGGCCAGGGACTGCAGGCCCTGGGGGAAGCGGGAGCCCAGCCGCTCAGAGATCTCCAGCAGAGGAAGGAGGCCGCCTGGCAGGCAGCTCCAGGTGGAAGGAAGCCAATGCCCATACTATTCCGGGGCCATCGTGCCCTTCCCAGGTAGGAGTCAGTGGTAGAGTCACCTGCCGAAATACCATAGAGGCAGAGTGGAGATTGGAAAGGACTTCCCCCCTCCCTCCCTCTCCTACCTCCATCCTCTCTCCTTCCTCTTTCCCTCCATCCCTCCTTCCTTCCTCTCTTACTGTGTCTTTCTCCCTTCCTTCCAACATTTACTGAAAACATCATCTGCTAGACATTCATGGCAGTGGAAAAAGACAGGTATCTCTGTTCTCCTGGGCAGGAGAGCCACTGTGGGGGACACCAGTACCCTTTTATTGCATTTTCAAATCAAGATATAATCTATCTACCATAAAATTTGCCATTTTAAAGTCACAATTTAGCAGTTATTAACATTGTCACAATGGTGTTGAGCTATCACAGACTCCTTCTGTTTCCGGGATTTGCCACTCCTGATTTTACAACCTTGGCAAATGATGTCACTTCTCAGTGCCTCAGTTTCCCCATACATAAAATGGAGATAGCCACCCCTACTACGCTGGTTATCATAGCGCTAACTCGAGGATTCACTGACAGGCGTGTAGTAGCATTCCCAAGCGGCAGCTGTGGTCCTTACTTAAGTGATTAGTCTTGGGCCCCATGTGGGCTTAGGGAACTGAACATCCCAGAAACCACCTTCCAGAAACTTACAGCCTCATAGAGGAACTCACTATTAATTGCAAGAGAGAGAGAAAGTAGAAAGAACAGCTTCCCGGGGAGTTGTTCTCACAGAGACAGTGGGTGTTTGGACGTGAGCATTCTGATGGAGCCGCCGCTGCGACACCTGACTCCAGAGCCACGTGCTAGCATGCCACCCTGGCCTTTCCCCCACCCTCTGTGTTTCCAAATTCTAAAGAAAGGTGTTTATGAGACCGAGGGAGGGAGTGGGCATGTCGCCTACTAGGCAGGAAATTGAAAACAGCTGCTACGGTTTCCATTTCGTGGGGCAAGAACTTTCATTTTTCATTCCAAATCCCGGCCCTTCCCCTTTCGCCTCTGAAGAAGTGACAGTGGGGTGGTATTCGTTCCTCCGGGACTCCGACATGAGCCACTGCTGGGGGCTGGGGGCCGCAGGCTGACCCCCAGAACTCACTCAGCATCTCCAAACCTCAGTGCCAGAGACCGATGCTCCAACGCCCAGCCTAGTGCTAGGGTCTAGTACCAACTGGCTCCAACTGTCTGGCCCCTACCACAGACTTTCTGCTCCAGACTCACTGGCTGGACGTGGTCTCACATCGTCTTTTTCTGTCTCTGTACCTACGCACTCATCTAGCACCCAGCGGGTCCCCTTAAATGTCTGTGGAGTAAAATAAATAGACCAGGAACCCATAGCTTCCATTTGTGAAATCCCGCACGGAATAAAACCCAAACGTGGCTGTACCTGCATGTGTTCTCAATAAGCCACCAGTAGAAACCACATGATAAGAACTTAGTCCCCCAAGACAAACTGGAACTGACTCTCCAGTCTTCTTAAAACGAATGGCCCCGAGCAAAACTACAACGGCAGAATATCCTCTCAGCCTGAGCCAGTATTTCAGTTTGACTCTTGGCTTTATTAGAATGGATGCAACGTCTCCAACCAAAACCAGATGTACTTCCTGCTTCCTCTAGAGCAGGCTTCTGACTCAGGTCCAGTGGAGATGGGATCACCATGTTCCAGGACTCCAGGTAAGTCCAGCTTCAGATCCTGGAAGATGTGGGAGGCTGTTTGAGTACAGGGGATGGGACAGGCCCCAGGACGTGTCTTTCCATGAATGAGAAGCGAGACCCCTCTTAGCAGCTGGCACCTCGATCTCCGCTTGTACCTCTTGTACCTGGTTCCGCTGTGCGCACACACATCTGCTGGGTCTCGGCTTCTCACCTGACAGGATCCACTGAGCACCAAACTCCCCTTCTGGGAGGGAAGTCCAGCCCTGCTGAAGGCCTCTTGCACAGAATCACAGAGCGTAAGAAAGCACCCTCTGATTTAGATCTTTGATTCCCCAGGCATTTACAGCAATGACAAAGGACATTTTGTGACAAACAATGGCATTTTCATTCTGCGACCTCAATTCAAAAGGTCAGAAATGTGCCCTGAACATTCCCTGGAGAGTTTGTTACGGGTCAGTCATCCTTGAAATTAGGCTGCTGGACCCAGACAGACCTGGCTGCAGACCAGTCCTGCCTCTGCCTCCTGTGTGATCGTGGGGCACAGGACCTCGGACAAGTGTGTCTCTCCACGTTCAATGTCTTCACATGTCAACAGATGGTCATTGTTTTTTTTTTTTGTTTTTTTGTTTTTTGTTTTTTTTTTTTTTTTGAGATGCACTTTTGCTCTCGTTGCCTGGGCTGGAGTGCAATGGCGTGATCTTGGCTCACTGCAACCTCCACTTCCTGGGTTCAAGCGATTCTCCTACCTCAGCCTCCTGAGCAGCTGGGATTACAGGCGTGCACCACCACACCCGGCTAATTTTTTTGTATTTTTAGTAGAGACGGGGTTTCTCCATGTTGGTCATGCTGGTCTCGAACTCCTGACCTCAGGTGATCCGCCAGTCTTGGCCTCCCAAAGTGCTGGGATTACAGGTGTGAGCCACCATGCCCAGCTAACTCATTGTTATTTCAACTCTGACTGGTCATGAGGATAACATGGGGGTTCATTCCAGTTCTCAGCCCAGGGGCTGGCACACGGGAAGCAGGCCGTCAGCGCAGGCTGTTATTACAATCCCAAAGGGCCATGTTGAGACAGTGGGCAGCAGATGTTAGGAACGTGGCCTTTGAAACCAGCAGTGCTGGGGCAAAGCGTGGTTCTTCCATTTGCTAACTGTGTAGGAAGCAGGCGGGTGCACCTCCCAAGCTGGCCCTTACTTTCCTCCTCTGTAAAATGGGGATAATAACAACCCCCAACACACAGGAGTTGGTGCTTTCCTATTGGAAGCAGACAATGCGCTTCACATTTTCATGCAATGCCTGGTGCCGGAACTTCGTTCTTCACCCATCCGCGCTACCCATCACAGAACCCACTCCAAACAGTGACTCCCATGTGTGTGTCCTCAAGCTTTAAGGAGTAACCAGGTCTCCCCGACCACATTCTGAAAGTGCATTCGTCTTTCTTTTATGAGCTGCCCTGCTGCTGGGAGGCCTTGAAGCCAGCTTCTTGTGAAAGAGCGGCTACAGATAAATGGTTAAACGCTTGCAAGCAATCATCAAAGGCCCAGAACCATTCAAGAAATGGGGCCGGAGGCGGTGGCTCACGCCTGTAATCCTAGCACTTTGGGAGGCCAAGGTAGGCGGCTCACCTGAAGTCAGGAGTTCAAGACCGGCCTGGCCAACACAGTGAAAGTTCATCTCTACTAAGAATACAAAAATTACCTGGGTGTGGTGGCCTGCCTGTAATCCCAGCTACTTGGGAAGCTGATGCGGGAGAATCGCTTGAACCTGGGAGGCAGAGGTTGCAGTGAGCTGAGATCATGCCACTGCACTCCAGCCTGGGCGACAGAGTGAGACTCTGTCTCAAAAAAATAAAATAAAAATAAGAAATGAGCCACCATCCAGCTGTTGATGAGAAAGTGAAGATCCCGGAAACTTGGGCTAAGGAGAGCTACCACATCTGCACACAAACCTTATTTCTGAGCTTCCTGACAGACAGCAAAAAGGGAACATGACAAGCTCTCGGCTAATAAAAAAGAGGGATCATCATTGAACAGAGACTCATTTATTCCTCAGACCTAACTCTGGGAGACGTCTCTCTGGGACTTTCATATGAGTGACACATTTGAGAGTAGATTGGCCAAAGGAAGGGAGGAAAGAAGGACAAAAGGACATAAGAGAGGAAGGACAGAAGGGAGGAAGGACAGAAGGACAGAAAGGAGGAAGGACAGAAGGGAAGAAGGACAGAAAGACAGAAGGGAAGAAGGACAGAAGGACAGAAGGGAGGAAGGACAGAAGAAGGACAGAAAGGAAGAAGGACAGAAGGGAGGAAGGACAGAAGGGAGGAAGTCAGTGCCACATAGGCAGCATGACTGTTTAATTTTGCATCCAGACCAGGGCATTTTTGAGTGTGAAATTAGTAATTATAGCAAAACATCAGACAGAAACGAGGACTGCCCCATGCACATGAGGGCTATGGTCACCAATAGAGCTGGCCATTTCTTTTCTCATTCCTTGATGACCGCCAAGGGCCAAGCCTTTTAAGTGACTGGTCCGTAAAAACCACAATGGCAAAGTGCACATGCCTCGCATTTCAGCAATTTAACCAAAGGGTGGTAACTAACACTCGTGTGATGTCCTGTGTATGACACTTCCTAAGGTTCACGCCTACTCATCACAGAAAGGCAGCAGCTTGGAAGAGTGGACAGACCTCTGGCTTTGTAGCCAAAGACACCCCGTTTCCATGAGACGCTGCACGTCCCCTCCTGTCACACTCCCCGGCACTAGCAGGTGTTCAAGAGCCCATGGCTCCCATGACTGTCACTGCTTCTGTTGCTATTCCTTTGGGGGATAACATTTTGCCGTTAAGAAAACTGAGGCTCAGAGAGATTCAGAGATCTGCCCGAGGACATGCCATTGGCAATGGAGCCCCAAATCCCTCTGTACCATTAAGCTTAGAAAATCTAGAGCAGGTGGAAAAGCTCAACAAGGTGTTGGGGGAGTGAATTTTAAATCCCGGGGGATATTGACCATGTCTGGGGACATTTTTTGTTGTCATGCTAACTGGGGTGGGGTACGACTGGCATCTAGTGGGTGGAGGCCAGGGGTACTGCTAAACACCCCCACAGTGCCCTGGATGGCACCCCCCTAGCTGAGAATGCTCCAGCCCCACATGTCAGGAGAGCCACGGTGGTGGATAGGCCGTGTTCCAACACTAAAGCAAATTCAAGACTGTGACATCAGACACAATAGCGGGACAGACACACCCCAGTGGGATTTGTCAGGATAAATGCAAAGGACCCTTTAATATGTAGAATAGCCAGGAAAGGAAAAGAGGACCCTTAGGTCTCTGGAGCTTGATTTGCCCAGGATGTCTTGAGCAGGAACCATGAATTCTGTGAAATCAATATTCCCTCCTTCGAGTCCTCTCTCTGCCATTGAGGTTTCTTAAATGTCTGAGGCCAAAAATCACCTGCTAGCAGCTCCCTCCTTAGGATCCTTTCTAAAACCCTGCAGCCTCCTGGGGAAGGTTCATCGTAGTCACTCTCTCCCTGATGTGAACTCAGAAGGCGATGGAGTGGGTTTGTAGGAAAAACCCCAGGGGTTCTGAGCACAGGTGTGAGCCAGCCAGCTGCCTCTCAGTCAGCACGGAGCCTCCCGAAGACCGCAGACACGGACAGCTCTGCTCCCATCGAGGGACTGCCCAACTCAGGACATCTCACTCAGCCTGTTCAAACCTTAGAAGGGGCCAGAAAAAGAAAAAAAAAAAAAAACAGACTCTGGAATCAGAGAGGCATGTGTTCCAATCCCAGCTCAGCTGCCTCCTAGCCACAGCCATGCAAACTCAGGCCACGCACTCGGCCTCTCAGGCCTCAGTTTTCTCTGCCGGAGACAGGAGATAAGAATAGAGCTTCATTAAAGAGGTGATTAAAAAGGTGATGAAAGAGGATTAAAGAGGTGACACAATAGAGTACTCAGCGCGCTGCAGGTCCCCAACAAATGGCGCTCATGACGATCACTATGCGGCTCCACGTCCACCGGCCTGGCTGCTAATCACCCTTGGGTCAGGCACATTAGCCAGCAGGGTTCTTCCACTTCCCCAGCCTGAACTGGCTTGAGTTGGAGCAGGGGGTCCAGTTGGGCTTGTTCCATTGGTGTTAACCTCTAACCCCCAGTTCTGTCACCCGCACCTGCATGGCAAGGTCTGTCTCCCAGACGCCACATCACTGTGGTGTAGTGAAAACAGCCGATAACCACTCAGCCAATGCACCATACCCGCCATGGTCTACTAGGTCTGCAGTGATAGCAACAAACAGCTTTTCTGTTTCTCACACATGAGCCGCAGGGTTATGCAGGAACTGGCCTTCCAGATGGTTTCTCTCCACTCAGTGAATACTCAGATACCCACTCACAAGCTCTCTCCTTCCTCCCAATTCCATCTGTCATCCAAGGTGAACCCCAGACCTATCAGATGACCTATTATCTTCTTTTTCTTAAGTTGGAGCTCATCATGTTCCTTTTTGCTGTGGCTGCTAGGAAGCTCAGAGCTGAATTTTGTGCTCCCTGTCTTAATTTCTTCATCTCACTGACCTTCGTCTCCATTCTGTTCCAATAACCCACAAGTCTTTTCTCTATCTCCAGAATACCTCACTCAGACACCCTCAGACTTCAGAACCCAATTTCTTCTTCTTGTACCTAGGCTCGAATGTGGGCACAATATCAGTTCACCAGCCTCTCGGAGGCCACCAGTCCGCGGGTCCTTTATTTCTCTCCCATCCACCCTTCAAGCTTCACCCCCTCCCATATTCAGCCGAGGCTCCGTGATCTATAACATCAGTCACAACCTTGACACTGCTCCCCAGCATTTTGAGGGGCTGGAGATTGTCCTCTTCACACAGGCCATTGCATGGGCTCTGGTTAACCCAAGTGTGTTTTCTAGTTTAAACATTGTCTCTGGGAAAAAAGCACATGAGCCTCCCCACTCCTTCCCTTGGAAAAACAAGATCAGAAATAATACTTTCTCTTTTAAGCATGGTAGGCGGTTTCTGATAGTACAGTGTGAGCCAGCAAGACTAAGAACTAAAGGGAAGAGTTTCAGAGAGATTCATTGTTTTTTCCTTCTCATCTTTCACGTCGGTTTTGCCACCAAGAAAAAGAAGAATCCCCCTGCTGTGGCTAAATGCGACTGTTTACTTTGCTTACAGACGTTGTAAATTTTTTATGTGCCGCGGTTGTTTTAAGAGCTTTTAAAGCATTTTGGATGATTATATAAGTCACAAAACAGCTACAGTAAAAATGAATTTATTTTTTAACGGTGTCATGGAATGTAAAGGATGCATCAGTGGGCTCACCAAACATTCCTTCAGTGTGCAGCAACCTCGAAGCCCAGACAGCCTCTGTTTGCCATCACGGTGCCCACGGTGGGATGTTTTTATGAAGCAGTTAGCATGCTCTTAATGGGTATATGTTTTTGTTTTTCTGAAAACCCAAACACAATGTGATGCTTTCTTGTTCAACCTTTTCTGCAGATGGGACATAAAATATGAGAGAGAAAGAGAGAAGGGGCAAGGCGAAGATGGGCACAACACCTTGCACAGGCGCTGGGGCATGGGGGTGTCAAGAGTGTGCTGGGCAGGGAGGGATCCCTGCACCCCAACATCCTTGCACTGCCACACACTCAGATGACCTCCTGGACTCCCGCATGGCCATCAGGGAATGGGAGCAGGCAGCAGGGGGAGACCCTCGGGCCCCATCCCCAGCACCTCAGGGCTGAGGGACCCTGGACTAAGCTCCAAGCCAAGATAGCAGCCTCCAAGCTCTCAATGGCAGGAATTTTAAGCATCATTTTATCCAACCCGTCCCCTTAGAAATGGGGAAACCAAGGCTCAGAGGGCCCAGTAGTTGTGAATTCCCCATCCAAGGGTATACATTGACATTCCAGGACTCCGAGGCTCCCACATCCAACAGACCTTCCTTCCAACACTCTTCATAAGTATGCAAGGGGGGATCCTCTTCTCTGAAGCCTCCCCCTCACCACTCCCAGCTGCCCCGTGAGGGTTTCCATTCTGCCCAGATCAGACCCCCCGAGCCACCGTTTCATTTCTCTCTGCAGCGCCTCACTCACTGTGTAAAATTAGCTCAGCCATGAGTTTCAGGAACAAATACCTGTCACCTCCTTCAGTGTCGAGAAAAAGAAACTAGAGGGGACTTTCCTCCTTTCCTGCCAGCCAAGTCTAGGCCCCCAGCAATGCAGGCGCTCAGGAGAGAGCTGGAGGAGGGGCCCAGGATGCCTGGCACAGAAGGAAGCTTCCTGGACCCTCCCCACCCTGGACAACTGTCCTCCCACACTGAATGTGTGTCCTGTGGTTCTCAGGTGTCCTTGCACTGTCCGTGGTTGCTTTAGAAACATGCGTTTCTGAACGTCGTATTGAAGTATGACACAGGTTCAGAAAAACGCATGCATCCTAAGTGCACGGCTCAGTGAATTTCACCCACTAAGCACCAGTAACAGCACTGGGTAGAGAAATAGAATGGCTTTACCCGCCCCCAACAGGAACCCTCCTCATGCCCCCTGGAAGTCAGTACCCAGACCCCCAAGGAGAGCCCCTCTCCTAACTTCTAACAATGTAGATCCGTTTTGACTGGTTTGGAAATCTGGATAAATGGCATCAGGATGTGTGGACTCTTGTATCTGGCTTCTCTTACTAAGTATCAAGTGTGGGAAATCATCTCTGTTTTTACATGTGGATCTAATCATTCACATTCACTGCTGCATTCTCTATTCTAGAAACACATCACACTTTGTCTGGTTAAATGACATGAAATTGCCGTTTTGTAGGTTACAGAAAACAATTAAAGGGGGAGGCTTAAGAGAAGGCGAGCTCCCTTGCGCACCTATGAAGAGTGTTGGAAGGAAGGTCTGTTGGACGTGGGAACCTTGGAGTCCCGGTCCCTCAGACTGGAGTATACCCTCAGACTGGGGATTCACAATTACTTGGTCTGCTTGGACTCTGTCATGTTTTTTGTAACCATCCACATGATCCATGCATTTTACTTCTGGTAAATACAGGTGTTGGTATCATATTGTCCTCCCATTCTGGCCCTTTTTTACTGTTTTAAATTGGTGTTTTGTTTTTAAAATTCATCCTTGCCGCTGCATAACCAGGGTATGCCCACCATACAACTCAGCCCTCACTGAGGGGCATCGGATGGTTCCCACACTCCCCAGCACACATAACACCATCATCCACGTCCCCAGTGGACCCCAGGTGAGAATTTTGGGGTGTATGTATCCAGGAGTGCAATGATGGGCTCATATTCTCGGGAGGCCACCTTTTTTAATTCATCCACCCCACTGATACCCTGCAGCTTATCCAGCAGCCCAACAGGCAGTGCATGGACTTAGTGACAATCAAAGGTCCTAGAGGTCCCAGAGGAGGATGGGGAGGAGCAGGGAAGAAGCCGGGGTGAGGAGAGCCGGGGGGTGGTGGGGGGGGGGGAGGGTCGACGATAAGCCAGCAGGGGGCGCTGCTGCCCATGGGATCCTCATGGCCAAGGGTCCCAGGAGGTGGTGGAGGCCATCTGAGGGCTGCTGCTCCAGCTGTCCCTGTCTTCTCAGTGACCCCAAACACCCACTGGATGTGGCATGAGCCCCTGGGGTGGGACTTTGGAGGCGCTGGGGCATGGGGGTGTCAAGAGTGTGCTGGACAGGGAGGGATCCCTGCACCCCAACATCCTTGCACTGCCACACACTCGGATGACCTCCTGGACTCCCACATGGCCATCAGGGAATGGGAGCAGGAAGCAGGTGGAGACCCTCGGGCCCCATCCCCAGCATCTCAGGGCTGAGGGACCCCTGGACTAAGCTCCAAGCCAAGAGAGCAGCCTCCAAGCTCTTTGCTACAACATCCCCTGTCTTTATGGCCCTACCCTGCTTTGCACCCCAACTTGAAATGCAGGGATAAGAAAGAAAGTGAAAGAGAAAGTAGAACAGATATCTGCAACAGAGGCCATAGCAGCTGCTCCCAGGGGACAGGTGTCCCTTATCCGACACGATGAGCTGATCTCCTCTGCTCCTTGGACCTGGAGGACAGCCCTGGGCATGGAGATCAGAATACATTCTTTCCTCTGCTTTTCCTCCTATGATGATTGAGTCCCATTCATTCATTTGTGCATTCATGTGTTTGATCGACAGATGCCGGGCCGCTGCTGTGTGCTGGGCAGTGTTTCTCAGCTGGGAGGGACCGAGTGCTAACAAGACCAGAGCTTCACACACTAGGGCAGGGCTGCCCCAACTCACAGAGAGTGTCAGTGTTGGACTTACGGAGGCATCCACGCACACAGTCACTCAACACTGGAGGAAGGTGTCCACCTGTGAATGCTGACCTTCTGTTTGTGTGTGCATCTGTGTTCTGGCATTTCTTTATTTAAAAAAAACAAACCAGCAGAATCTATGAAACTGGAAGTGGCCTATGTGTCTTTTGTCTTCTGACAGCCTCCAGGCAAGTCGTGGAAGCTGCTCCAGGGAACAACTACATGTAAAAACATGGATGATTTCCCAAACTTGATATTTAGTAAGAGAAGCCACATATAAGAGTCCACACAGCAATGCCATTTACCCAGGTTTCCAAACCAGGCAAAACTGATCTACATTGTTAGAAGTTAGGATAGGGGTTCCCCATGGGGGTCTAGGTGGTGATCTGAAGGGACAGGATGGGGGTTTCTGGGAAGCTAATGCCATTCCAGTTCTCCATCTGCTTCTCCCATGCTCTGTTCTTAAAGCAATAGTTTTTTATTAAATGAATGCTTGGGGGCCGGGCACAGTGGCTCACACCTGTAATTCCAGCACTTTGGGAGGCGAGGCGGGTAGATCACTTGAGGTGAGGAGTTCAAGACCATCCTGGCCAACATGGTGAAAACCCCATCTCTACTAAAAACACAAAAATTAGCTGGGCATGGTGGTGCACACCTATAATCCCAGCTACTCGGGAGGCTGAGGCAAGAGAATCACTTGAACCCTGGAAGCAGAGGCTACAGTGAGCTGAGATCGCACCACTGCACTCCAGCCTGGGTGACAGAGTGAGACTGTCTCAAAAAAAAAAAAAAATGCTTGGGGTGTGGTTAGACTCCCAGTAACAACTACCATGTGTATGACTTCACATTTATCAACCCCCGGCGATCCCCCATTTCACAGATGGGGAAGGTAGGGGGCACAGAGGTTAAGAAACTCTTGCAAGTTGCCTAGAAAATTGCAGAAAGAAGGGTCCCTCTGGGCCATCAGAGTCCAGAACATGCAACCTGCTGGAGGTGCAAGACCAGGGCTGCCCCTCCACACCGACCACCTCGTGGTTGGTGTCACTACGTATCCGAAGGGTAGAAGGTTCTAGAAAATGAAGACTTTCCTCCAGCAGGCTCCCAGAGGGCATCTGCAAAGGCAATAACCTGAGATTTTTATGGCCCTCCAAACTGGGAGCAGGACAGTGTTTCCAAGAAACACAAGAGTTTTATGACAGCTTCCTATCTCGTGATAAATGTTTGACTTTCCTTTTCATTTTCTTTTTGTTTGGGGATTTTTTTTTTTAATTTCCCCACACTGTTGGGTTTTTTTTTTTTTCCCCCTCCAACGTTTTGTTTGTCTCTTGTTTTCCAGGTTTTCCAAATTAAGCCCATGTTACATTTGGAATTAGAAGAAATGTTACTTTATGTAGCAGATCAATGAATGCTGACTTTAACCTGCAGGTCAAGGAAAAAACAAATTATTGGAGTAATTCATGAGAACAGTCAATATCATTTAGTTGTCTAATTTTCTCAGGGTATTTCCTGGGCGGACACGGTGTCAAAAAAAATGTTTCGAAAACATCCCTCCATTGCAGGGTGAAAACGTGACTAAGTCTGACCATGCTTGGAGCTCGGAGCCTCTGCGTTCATATTACGGGTAAGGAAACCAAGACTCCCAGTGGCTAAGAGCTGTTCCCAAGGCCACGTGCTGTGGCTCCCACTCATCAGGACCAGGACTGCAGGGCTGCCGCGAAAGACAGAGAGAACGCGGTGAGGGCAGCCTGGCTGGTCTCCCCCTGACAGTGAGGCCCCGTCTCCCCAGGCGTGTACTCAAGAGCTTGTTGAGAAGTGCCTATGCTGCCTTCAGCCAGCGGCCCCAGGGTTACTGAGCAACGGCCCCGAAAGCAAAACACTTCTTTGAAGGAACTAAAATTTTGTCTGGGCTCCGTCAGTCATCTTGCTGCCAAGGGAAGCACAGACAGCTCTGGATGAGGGGTCAGGAGACGCCCTTTCTCCAGCCATCACGAAACGGACTTCCTCTCTCCAGGCCTGTTTCCTATGCGTTAAAATGAAAATGTCAATCAAGATAATAGTAACAATAATTCCTGTTTATTAAGGACTGGTCTGCCAGGTACAGATGCTTGGTCTGTGCCACCTACTTTCATCCTTACAAGGGCTCTTTACAGGTAGGTAAACCCAGGCAGGGCATGGCTAAGTCACCTGCTAGGGTCCCACGGCAATTACAGGCAGAGGCAAGATTTGAATGCGAGCCTCTGACTGTAGGACCCCGGACTCAGCCTTCATGCCCTCTGCGTTTCCAAGGTTCCAACAGCTTGCTGGCTTCGGCATTCAGTTCTACTCTTTTACTTCTACAGACAAAAAGAAATGCGCTCAAGGACGTTCCCAAGGTGAATTGGGACATTGGTGTGGCACCACTGGCCCTCACCAGTGCAGAATGCAAAGATGTTTGGGAGAAGAGTCTGTGCTACACAGGAAACGCTTGATGTGCACTGGCTTCCTCCTCACGGAGAGGGTAAGTGAAGAGAAGAATGAGGGCTCCATTGAAACCACAAGTCGGATCCATCCTCGGGCGATTTCCTCATCTGCAAAATGGGGTGATGGGGCTGACTGTAGACATCCCTTCCTGGCCAAGGCAGGACTCAGCACACCTTCGCCCTGCCTTTGATCAGGTGACAATCCCAGCCACATGGTTCCAGGCACAGGGCTAAGAATGCCGCATGAGGGATTCCTTAATCCTCACAACTGTCCAAGAGGCAGAGGCTCTTGTCCCTGTGTCTCTAAGCCAAGGCATGGGGAGGCTCCTGAGACAGAGGCTCTTGTCCCTGTGTCCCTAAACCAAGGCACGGGGAGGCTCCTGTGGCTGGAGAGTGGCTGGGAGGGTGCTAGAAGGTGAGCCCGCAGCTGGGATCCAGGACCCGGGCTCGGGGCCACCAGTGGCAGACACCTCAAAGCTGGGCACCTCCATTTCCACCTGGTCTACCAGGGACTGGGCAGCATGCGCCTTCCACCCCATCATGCCTGTGACCACCCCGGACAGCCCCAGAATGAATGGCAGGAGGGTCCAGGGAAGGCGAGGACACAGAGCGGACACCCCGCTGAGGGAGGACCAGGTCCCCCGCCTGCAGCAGTGCCCCCGACGCAGCTCTGCTCTGCAGATGAGGAAGCGCAGCAGGGGCTGCGGAGGAGCCAACCGTCAGCTGCAGAGCCAGACACCAGGAAGGAAAAGAGAGCTGGCCCCGCTGCCCTTCCGGTGGGCTGAGAGGCCTGACCAGCGCAGAGAAGGGGCTGAGAGGCAGCAGCTCCTGTGAATCTGGAGCTTGCTCTTGGCGCCCCATGCTCTCGCCCAGTTCTGATGCCTCCTGGAGTTGAGGGCCTAAGAGAGACAGCCAGACCTCAGCTGTGTCTCAGACAAGGACAGACATCTTAGACGTCTGAGACGGAGGATGAATGTCTCAGTCCCACCTGAACGATTCTTAGCTGGGGGCCTTAGAGCCTCCCCACCCTCGGCTTGCCATCCCTCATCTCCCCACACTAAGACCCCCGAAGACCTCCTTGCAGAACAGCCAAAGGCTTTAGAAGCCCCAAGCGACCTGGCGGTAGAGGCAAGAGCCCCCACCTTCCAGGTCAATGGTTGGTGTTGGGGAATGCGGGCCCCCTGGCCCTGGGTTGGCTCTGGGGTGTCCGTCCTCGACGACGCCGTGGAGTGGAGCATTAGGGGCACCACCCTGCAGGCTGGCTTCCTCCAGCTTCACCCATCACTGTGTGGCCTCAGGCAAACAACTCGACCTCTCTGAATTCATCTCAGACTCTGTACGATAGGGCCAAAAGTAGTTCTTATCTCATAGTGTCTTGGGTTACAGCTATGGTCTGCTTAGCACAGGGCTGGGCCTAGAGCAAGCGCTCCACACTTATTCCCTTATGCTCTGGCCCTCCCGGACCACAGCCAGCCCAGGATCTGTGCTGGGTTCACAGGAGGGCTCTGCTACCTGTCCTTGGAGAAGAGGCCACAGGGGACTGCAGGAGCCGACAGCAGGCCCACCCACTGACACGAGAGGCCACACTCACACACGCATGGCCACACATAGACACACATGGCCACATGCACACGCGGCCACACCAGCAGCTGCCTCTCGTCTCCGTGTAAGTGGAGCAGGCAGGGCGGGGTGGGCGGCGGGCATGACACCGGGCGCAGCCCTATTGCTCAACGCCTGGACCGCGCCAGGTCTCAACGGTCAGAGACGCGGCTGCTGGAGCCCAGGAGCCTCGCAATCCAGCCTCTGTGGGCCACGGGCTTTGAATATTTTTAGAGAAGTCGGGTTTCTGCCAAGTTCCTCTCCTTCAGATTCTTCCTGTTGCTGGTGGTTCCCACCCCACCGGGGTCCTCCGCCCCTGGTGCTCACAGGTCCATCTAGGCTCCTGGGGGACTTGGCAGAATCAGAGAAAGTGCAGCTGCCGAGTCATCCTCCCACCCCAGCCGCTCCCCCCAACCACAATTCACCCCGGGACCCCGTGTCCCTCAAACTCAGGCCAGGCACTGCGGGAGGCCTTATGTTTTCTCTCCACCCTCTGTCCCCCGCTTCTCATTGTCTTTGCCCCCCATCCCTTTTTATGTGAAAGATCCAGGCCTGACCAGCTGGGCGCCTAGGAACATTCATTTCAGCCCTTTGTAAGTGCACGCCTTGGTCGTCAGGCGTGAAGAGGCAGCGGGTCGGGCTGACTACATTCCAAGCCCACTGGGGCAGCTTTTCCTGTGTTTCAGTGGGTTTGTTCAGGCATGGGCAAAAGTTATTCTTCCCAGATCCTACTAGATCATAGCTCAGAAGTCAGCAGCACACTAGTGCAGCAACATGGACCCTCCACCACCTTCTCCAGCCCAAGTCACAGCCCAGAAATACCCCTGTAGTGGGATAAGCAGCCAAGGGGTGGGTGCCGTGGGTTTGGAGTCTGCCTGTGCTGTGCTCAGACACAGCTGGAGCCTCAGGGAAGTCCTGGGCTGCGCACGGCACCACAGTGAGTCCATCACTGCTCCAGGAGGGGCATAGGTCTATGAAGGAGATTTAAAGTTGAAAGTCACTGCCTTACCTTTTTTTTTTTTTTTTTTTTTTTGGAGACAGGGTCTCGCTCTGTCACCCAAGCTGGAGTGCACTGGTGCAATCGTAGCTCACCGCAGCCTCCAACTCCTGGGCTCAAGGGATTCTTCCATATCAGCCTCCCAAGTAGCTGAGAGTATAGGTGCACACCACTATGCCTGGCTAGTTTCATTTTCTTGTAAATGTAGCCTTGTATAGTGAGACGAGATCTCACTGTATTGCCCAGGCTGGCCTTGAACTCCTGAGCTCAAGTGATCTTCCTGCTTCCGCCTCCCAAAGTGCTGGGATTACAGGCATGAGCCACCGCACCCAGCCATTCTCCGTTTTTTAAGACTGCATTCAGCTCCTATGGCTGCCATAACATATGACCACAAGTTTAGCAGCTTGGAACAGCAGGCGTTGATTCTCTGACTGTTCTGGAGGTCAGGAATCTGACACAGGTCTCACTGGGCTAAAGTCAGTGTGTCACAGGGCTGTGCTCCTCCTGGACGCTCCAGGGAAGAATCTCTTTTCTTGCCCTTCCCAGCTTCTAAAGGCCGCCATATTTCTTGGCCTCTTCCTCTACCTTCAAAGCCAGCATCTTCCAGTGTCTCTCTGACTCTACTTCCCTCATCGCAAGCTCCATCTCTAACTCTGACGCGCTGCCTCCCTCCCTCTTACAAAGACCCTTGTGATGGTCCACCTATATAATCCAGAGCAATCTCCTCCTCGCAAGAT
Organism: Homo sapiens; assembly: GCF_000001405.40. Taxonomy (NCBI): domain Eukaryota; kingdom Metazoa; phylum Chordata; class Mammalia; order Primates; family Hominidae; genus Homo; species Homo sapiens. The sequence continues at coordinate 85,981,146 of NC_000016.10, read as the reverse complement.
CCTTAATTTAATCACACCTGCAAAGTCCCTTTTTCACGTCAGGTAACACATTCACAGTCCTGGAGTGGGGACGTCTTTGCAGGGCAGGATGAACAGAATTATTCTGCCAGTCACACAAACCTCAGGCAACTTAGCTATCTTCTCTGAGCATCTCTTCCCCCAGCTGTGAAATGGGAATGATGATGATCATGGTGGTGATGATGGTGATGAGGCGGATGGTGGTGACAGTCATGATGGTGGTGATGGTGACGGTGGTGGTGGTGATGATGAAGGCGATTATGGTGACAACAATGATGATGATGATGATGGTACTTTTCCCTGTGGGGCTGCTGGGAGGATTCAACCGGTTCATATTTAGAGTTCATACAGCTACACTGAGCACACAGTAAATGCTACGTATGTATGTTTGTCAAATATAAGAATTATTTTGCTACAGGCAAGTTTCTGCCTGTGGGTTTAGCACTTTCCCTGCTGGGTAACTGACTTGCTCTGTAACACGACAATCCTTTGCAAGTCTTCCATGGGAACCAGGATTTCTATCACATCATTAAAACAGCTCAGCATCCCCTGAAGATCTGGGAAATTTGTATATAGGTGATACACACAACGTGAGGCTCCCAACCCTGGTGTGCAAAAGGTCGTAATAGGGAGTGAACGGAGCAAGCCAGCCCATCTCTCAGCACCGTATCTCCCAACACACGGGCCTCCTGGTTCCCTCTCAAGCCAGCCCACCTCTCAGCACCGCGCCTCCCGACACACGGGCCTCCTAGTTCCCTCTCAAGCCAGCCCATCTCTCAGCACCATGCCTCCCGACACACTGGCCTCTGGTTGCCTCGCACACACCAGGCATCTTCCCTCCCAGGGCCTTTGCACTGGCTGTTCCACGTTCCTGAACAGCTCTTCCCCAACCTCCAACCCCACTCCTCCCTTCCTCCCATCCTCTAGGCTGCAGCCTAAATGGACCCTCAGGTGGGTCCTCAGAGAACCCCCCCGGGCATCTGTCTGAAGCGGGCACCCCATTGCGTCCCCAATGCCACCCTATATTTTCCTTTCAGGCTGTAATTCCATATTCAGCTGTTTGGTCATCCATGTCCCCCTCCAGAGATACATGGCTCATATCTGCCCAGTACCCAGAACCGTGCCCGGCAGCTGCAGAATTCTCAATGCAACTTTTGGTGAATGAGTATTGAAACCAAGACATCCAGCCTACTCATTGGCAAACACTTACTCAGCCCCACCCGTGGACCATATGCCCTGCTGGGAACTGCACACATCAAAATGAAAAACACACACAGAGAGAGAGAAAGAGATAAGTGGATCTTTAGGACACAACGCAGTGAGTGCCAGACAAGCCCTTCTCAGATGGGTGTGCACGTTGTTAAGTGAGCAGGACTGGAGCCACCCAGCGGCGGCCACCAGTCACCTGCAGCTAGGCAATGCGCATTTAAATCGATTACAATCCCATCCTGTTAAGGATCAGGCACTCGGGTGTCATGGCGGCTGGTGGCTCCATTTGGACAGTGCGGGCATGGGTCACTTCCCGTTCATCACAGAAAGTTCCAGCAGACGGTGCTGCACAAGGGTCTCAACTGCACTGTCCCTTCAGGAAGCCATGTGTCGCTTACATTTAAGTTAAAATTAAAGTTCAGAATTCAGATTCTGTGTTGGACAAGCAGACAATAGAGTGTGTCTACCCATGCAGAAAGTTCTGGTCCACCACGCCGCTCCCCTGTTAAACTGCCTGGGTTGAAATCCTGGCTCTATGATTTCCCCACTGGGGCAAGTTCTTTCTCCTCTCTGTGCCTCGGGCTCCCCACTTCAAGTGAGGGGTGGATGGAACTCAACACACAGGCCCTGGCGTTCTTCAGGCCTTCCACACGTAGCAGCTGCGGTCGCTGTTGGCACACGGTCCGCTGCCAGCTCACCGGGTGAGTTAGGGAGGGCTGGGATTCCTACACCCATCTTAAAGATGCAGAAATGAAAGCCCAGAGAGGCTGCTCAGCCTGCCCAGGGCACACAGCCTGTGCGCAGCCAAGCACCTGGGCCTCCAGTCTGCTGCTCGCTCTGCTTCCCAGCCCTTCCTTGATCTTGGTGACCACACGGTGTGGCAGGACACCAAGTTAGCAGGTAACTGGTGGCGTTTCCATAGGCTCAAGAAGGAGCGTATGTTCTGAGCCCCGCATCACAGAGCCGGTGTGAAGGCACTGAGATTCCCTGAGCAACGTGGCCCTCACCGTCTTCCCCTGCCATGAACCCATCACTGAGATGAGGGATTTGTAGCTGCGTCTCCATTTTTCCAAGGGCAAGGAGAAAGGGAGGCTCAGGAGATCTCTCAGAGTGTCGCTGAGCAGGCATCTAGGCCGGGAAAGAGTGGGTGGTGCAGACGCAGGAGCAGGGGTGGGAACCAGTGGGAAGAGCCTGGACGTGCGGGGCGCCGGCTTGAGCGCGGCCCTGGTATTCCTCGCTAAGTAACAAATCATGACTGTGTCTATTTTTACTTAATCTTCATCATTCCCAGTGGTGAAAGAGCCGTGACAATTGAGGAAGTGGTGGGTGGACTTCTTTTTTCTTCTTAATCAAGTGCAAAGCTTTCCTTTAAGAATCCGGCATTTGAAAGAATGTACTGGAACCAAGGGGTCAGGCAGAGGCATCCGCTGCCCTGAGAACGAATCCTCAGCTCGTCCATCCTAACGCGAAGCGTCAGCGCCAGGCTGGCTCCTCGTGGGCCCCACATCGGGCACTCAGCACTGTGTGTTGTGACATCGCTGGTGGGCCGGGCACGCTGGCAGGGTTGGGTTGGTTTTTTACATCCCCCTTGGAAACTCTCACCCAGAGTCCTCTCAGAATGTGGCTGGGAGCATTCCCACAAACCGTTACAAAGTATTTTAGGCGACACATTTCTATAACTGCAATGCTCCTTAAAACAACTTTTTTTCAGTTTTGCCCTTTTGCAAAATAACTGTTTTTATACCGATGCAGAAGCTCGTTCTCTCAAAATTATTCTCGGTCAGAATTGCTCTTGCCTGTGGCACTAAAGAGAAAGCGGAGACAAAGGTTCAACTCTCCTGTTTTGAACCAGGGTGTCCTGCTGTGGAATTTTGGACATTTGCCCAAAGCGGCAAACACCCCTCCCTAGCGTCAGGACCTCAGGCCCAGTATTATGCAGAAAGATACTCAGGTGGGCATCTTCCCCATTTTCTCTCCTCTGATAAGAAAAAAAGTCACCATTTGAAAGCAACCTCAAAAACATGGCATCTTGCTGTCCCACAGGGCAGGAATCCCAGACACAAGGGCCCTTCCACAGAGATCACTTTCAGCTACACATCGTTGGGAAAAAACAGCCCCTGTGAAAGTAAACATTCCTCATGCCCAGATCTACATGTGGCAAGGGGCAGGGCATACATTTAGTAAAATCGTATTTTTGTCAAAACAAACAAGCCATGTTTGTCTGGGAAGGATGCTTAGAACACCATTGGCATAGGTTACTGCTGGCATGGAAATGAGAAGGGAGAAGCTTCCATTTTTTACTTCGTACATTTCTCTATTGTCTCAATGTTGTTGCAAAACTCATATATCCCTTGTGTGTGCTTCTTACGTTTGGATGCACGTCTCCTTGAAAAACAAGAAAGGGAAACTATTATTGAGCACCTACTACACGTAGGACACTAGATCAGATACTGAATGTCATACAAAAGTGAGAAGTGGTAATAAACGTGACCGCTACCTTTTAATTTAATTGGGCATTTACTCTGTGTCAAGCTGTTATAGCCATTCTGCATCTGATCAACTCTTTAAGGTGGCTACTTCTATTCGTTCCATTTTACGGATGAGGAATAAATGTGAGACCCAAAGTTAAGCCAGTCATCCAAGGTCATCAGCAGCCACGACAGGTGGTGGTTGGGGGGTTGGATTTGGGAGCCTCCAATCTAAACACTGCGATTTTTATCCTGAACAACCACCCGCTATTCCATGGCCAACATCACAAGGATGAGGTATGGCCAGAGATGGTCTTATGGAAGAGTACTGTTCACACAGCAACGTGCATGGAAGAGAGACAGGCAAGACGGATGGGAAGGGGGTCTGAGCTGAGGCAGCAGTTGGGGGTTCAGCAGGGGTGGACCATTGTGAGGCCATGGTGAACCAGGAGGGGTCTTTGCAAATGACTCAATGTTGCAGACAATGGAGGGAAGGAAACCCAGAAGGTGAAGGAGTTTTAAGCCCAGGAGGTACGTTCAGGTCAAGAAGTGATTTCGAATGTTTACCCAGAGGCATCACAGCTATGGTTTTGAGATTCCCAGGGCTTTTTTTAATGATACACCCCAATTTTTTAAAACCACTGTTGTTGGCCATCCCTTTACACTTCACCCTGTCCATACAGGAATATCAAAGAGGAAGAAGTTCCTTCAAAGCCCTCAATAAGTTGTGATAAGGCCTGTGAAAATGAAAACCAAAGATAGAGTCACCAGGATATTAAATCTCAAGCCAGGAAGCATTAGAAAGAATTTTTAAAGTACAGCACAACATCAAACTCATGAGGCAACCAGACTCAAAAGATGGCAGCACAGAAGCAATGTTCTCTCAGCTTTCAAAGACTGCGCATCAGGAGATTTGTCTATAGGAGCAGTTTTTTGTTTTTTTGTTTTTTTGAGACGGAGTCTCGCTCTGTTGCCCAGGCTGGAGTGCAGTGGCGCGATCTCGGCTCACTGCAAGCTCTGCCTCCCGGGTTCAAGTCTTTCTCCTGCCTCAGCCTCCCAAGTAGCTGGGACTACAGGTGCCCGCCACCACACCCAGCTAATTTTTCGTATTTTTAGTAGAGACGGGGTTTCACCATGTTAGCCAAGATGGTCTCGATCTCCTGACCTCGTGATCTGCCCACCTCAGCCTCCCAAAGTGCTGGGATTACAGGCATGAGCCACTGCGCCCGGCCGGGAGTAGGTTTTTCATACTTACAAATTTGGTTCATTTGGGAAGCAGCTGCTGTCTAGAACTTTGGTTTGAGGATATTTAATTCCAGATCATTGTTTTTTTTTTTGTGACTTTGTTTTCCAACTCGTTTAGCAACCCAGCTATTCTGAGGAAACATAACTGCGTGGCTGCTGGGAGATCCCACCACTGAGTTTTCAAGGCCAACGGATCAGGCATTTGAAAAGATCTGCTGCATACAGTGGTGTGGTTTGTGCACTGCACAAAGTGCTTCTGTCTCAAGTGGGGCTAAAGTCCAAGCTGTGAGCTGCCTTGTAGGAACACCTTTTTCTTCGCACAAAAGCCCTGGCAGTTAGCTCACCAACCCCTAGGCCTGCAGGTCTGCATTCACCCAGGAAGGAAGCCTTTTTCCCATTCAAATGAAAGTGCCATCTTAGCGGGTAGCAACTCATGTCTGGGAGAGTTATGGAGAGAGAGAAGAGAGGCTGGCCCCCTGCAGGGTGCCTTCATATAGAGGTTAGAAGGAGGAAGGGAAGCTCACGGTGTGGCTGTAGAAAGGAGGCATTTCCTTAAGTTCAATTTGCAATGAGAGTGGAATTTGGACAAGCCCCTCACCCCTCACCCTGGGGTTGGCCGGGAGCCCTTTGTTAAACATTGACCAGGGTACGGGCACCTCCAATCTGAGATTCCCTTTAAAGTCACGCTGCAGTCGTATATTTGTACAGCACCAAGGCAGGGGAGGATGATCTTGTGTGTGCCAGGCTGGTGCCCTCCAACTGGCATGTTTTAAGGCTTAACCACCCCCTCCACCTGCTCGCCTGAAGTCTTTTCACCAATAAATGGTTAGTCCTAATAGAAAGGAAGGGTCCACCCACCATTGCACTAAAGGAGGGGCTTTGCTGGTTTCAGTGGCATCTAGATGTCACCGGCTGATACCTTATCCTAGGAACAGGGTGTGACTGAGACAGAGGGAACCGCCAGGGCAGTTCTACCTTAAGGAGTGGGGAGAGGGGGCTGTGGGAACACAGTGTAAGAGGAGGGAGAGGAAGCAAAGCCTCACCCACCTGGCTTTTCTGCCAGCACCACCCTGGAATGTGGCTCTGTATGTCTTAATTCACTTATTCCATAAACAGTATCAGCCTCTGCTCTGTGGCAGTCACTGAGTCAAGGTAGGAAACAGGACGTGAGACCCTCACTGAGTTCCAGCAGCATCATCTCATGTAGTCCTCACCTGAGTCCCAGGAAGGAGGTGGTGACTACTTTTACCCCTGTTTCATGGATGGAGAAACAGAGACTTAGAGAGAGGAGGAGACAGCTGAGCTCACACAGTCAGGAGACGGCAGATCTGGGCCTCCAACCAAGGACCTTCTGGCGCCAGTGCCTGTGCTATTACTGACGCAGAGATATCCCTTTAAAGGAATATTTTACCTGTAAAATGTTGTCCAAATATTGGACATTCAGAGGAATCATGTTTCAACCCTTGTGCTAGATAATGAACACACTTGCTTTCAATAAACCTACACTGTCATTGAACATCAACTCAAGGCAGAGAATTTTTATGACCGAGGAGTTGTCAGTTAGCTTGAGTACACAACCAAAGGTCAAAATGGCATCCACAGAAACAAGGGGTCACTGAGGTCGTGGAAGGCTCAGCAAGCCTGAGCTTAGAGGACACAGAACCACCACTTCCATCAGGCTGGGCTCAGGCTTAAGGTGAAGTCAGCCTGCGTGCCCGGCAGAGCCCCCCACAGCACCGTCCCTAAATGACGCCACCTCAGGACCCCAGGACGACTGACTGAGGCTCAGAAAGTCTGGCATCAGAGAAAACTCAGGGCAGGACTCTGCAGGGGATGCTGCGGAAAAGGGGGCTCGGTGGGTATTTCATTCCTCCACAAGTGAGTTACAGTACTAAAGGTAGCAGTAATACCAGCAGCAACAGCAGTCACTATTGCAGAAGCAACAGTCTCAGCCATGATCATAGTGGTAACCAGAGGAGTAATCACTAGACTAGCAGCAGTAATCATAGAGTCAAGGCAGTAACGTGGCAGTGATAGAAGCAGTGCAGGGAGTAATAGGAGGAGCAGGAGAAATATCAGTCATAGAGGCGGTAGTCACAGAGGCGGCAGGAACAATGGCTACAGTCGTAGTACCAGCGTCGGTCACAGAGGCGGTAGTCACAGAGGCGGTAGGAACAATGGCTACAGTCGTAGTACCAGCGTCGGTCACAGAGGCGGTAGTCACAGAGGCGGCAGGAACAATGGCTACAGTCGTAGTACCAGCGTCGGTCACAGAGGCGGTAGTCACAGAGGCGGCAGGAACAATGGCTACAGTCGTAGTACCAGCGTCGGTCACAGAGGCGGTAGTCACAGAGGCGGCAGGAACAATGGCTACAGTCGTAGTACCAGCGTCGGTCACAGAGGCGGTAGTCACAGAGGCGGCAGGAACAATGGCTACAGTCGTAGTACCAGCGTCGGTCACAGAGGCGGTAGTCACAGAGGCGGCAGGAACAATGGCTACAGTCGTAGTACCAGCGTCGGTCACAGAGGCGGTAGTCACAGAGGCGGCAGGAACAATGGCTACAGTCGTAGTACCAGCGTCGGTCACAGAGGCGGTAGTCACAGAGGCGGCAGGAACAATGGCTACAGTCGTAGTACCAGCGTCGGTCACAGAGGCGGTAGTCACAGAGGCGGCAGGAACAATGGCTACAGTCGTAGTACCAGCGTCGGTCACAGAGGCGGTAGTCACAGAGGCGGCAGGAACAATGGCTACAGTCGTAGTACCAGCGTCGGTCACAGAGGCGGTAGTCACAGAGGCGGCAGGAACAATGGCTACAGTCGTAGTACCAGCGTCGGTCACAGAGGCGGTAGTCACAGAGGCGGCAGGAACAATGGCTACAGTCGTAGTACCAGCGTCGGTCACAGAGGCGGTAGTCACAGAGGCGGTAGGAACAATGGCTACAGTCGTAGTACCAGCGTCGGTCACAGAGGCGGTAGTCACAGAGGCGGTAGGAACAATGGCTACAGTCGTAGTACCAGCGTCGGTCACAGAGGCGGTAGTCACAGAGGCGGCAGGAACAATGGCTACAGTCGTAGTACCAGCGTCGGTCACAGAGGCGGTAGTCACAGAGGCGGTAGGAACAATGGCTACAGTCGTAGTACCAGCGTCGGTCACAGAGGCGGTAGTCACAGAGGCGGTAGGAACAATGGCTACAGTCGTAGTACCAGCGTCGGTCACAGAGGCGGTAGTCACAGAGGCGGTAGGAACAATGGCTACAGTCGTAGTACCAGCGTCGGTCACAGAGGCGGTAGTCACAGAGGCGGTAGGAACAATGGCTACAGTCGTAGTACCAGCGTCGGTCATAGAGGCGGTAGTCACAGAGGCGGTAGGAACAATGGCTACAGTCGTAGTACCAGCGTCGGTCATAGAGGCGGTAGTCACAGAGGCGGTAGGAACAATGGCTACAGTCGTAGTACCAGCGTCGGTCATAGAGGCGGTAGTCACAGAGGCGGTAGGAACAATGGCTACAGTCGTAGTACCAGCGTCGGTCATAGAGGCGGTAGTCACAGAGGCGGTAGGAACAATGGCTACAGTCGTAGTAACAGCGTCGGTCATAGAGGCGGTAGTCACAGAGGCGGTAGGAACAGTGAAGATCATGGCAGCACAGTCACATCATCACAGCAGCAGTAGTCACGGTGGTAATGGTAACAGAAGCCCCAGGTGCAGTCCTTGTAGCCGCAGTGGTGCTGCCGAGAGTGATCCTGGCAGTATCCGCAACAACTCAGTACATGAGTAGTACTGGCAATGGTCCTAGCAGTAGTCATAGTGTAACCACCCAACAGGGTCCCCTGCCCGCTGCCTAGACAGAACTGATTTATCAAGACAGGGGAATTGCAGTGGAGAAAGAGTAAATCACACAAAGCCGGCTGTATGGGTGACCAGAGCTTTATTATTACTCAAATCAGTCTCCCTGAGCCTCTGGGGAGCCTTCGGGGATTGGAGTTTTTAAGGACAATTTGGTGGGTAGGAGCTTGGGATGTGGGGAGTGCTGGCTGGTAGAGTTGGAGATGGAATGATCGGGGATTGAAGTGAGGTTTTCTTGCCGTCCTCTGTACCTGGGTGGGATCACAGAACCGGTTGAGTCAGATGACGGGTTTGGGTGCAAAATATCTCAAGCACTTATCTTAGGTTTTACAAATAGTGATATCATTCCCAGGAGCAATTTGGGAAGGTTCAGACTCAGCCAGAGGCTGCAGGGCCCCTAAATCGTAATTTCTAATCTTGTAGCTAATTTATTAGTCCTACAAAGGCAAACTGGGCCCCAGACAACAAGGGGTTTTCTTGTGGGAAAGGGCTATTATCAATTTTGTTTCAGAGTCAAACTAGAAACTAAATTCCTTTCCAAGGTTAGTTCAGCCTACACCCAGGAATGAACAAGGACAGCTTAAAGGTTAGAAGCAAGATGGAGTTGGTTAGGTCTGATCTCTTTCTCTGTTATAATTTCCCCAGCTATAATTTTTGCAAAGGCAGTTTCAGTCATTGTAGGAATGATTCTAGAAGTGTTTTGTGCTAAGTGTTTTGCGTATGTTACTAGAAAGGGGTCCCGATCCAGACCTCAAGAAAGGGTTCTTGGATCTCATGTAAGACAGAATTCCATGACTCATGCCTGTAATCCCAACACTTTGGGAGGCCAGGGTGGGCGGATCACTTGAGGCCAAGAGTTTGAGACGAGCCTGGCCAACATGACAAAAACCCATCTCTACTAAAAATACAAAAATTAGCCAGATGTAGTGGCAGAAGCCTGTAGTCCCAGCTACTCAGGAGGGTGAACCTGGGAGGCAGAGGTTGCTGTGAGCCAAGATTGCGCCACTGCACTCCAGCCTGGGTGACAGAGTGAAACTGTCTCAAAAAAAAAAAAAAAAAGAAAAGAATGAATGAATGAATGAATGAATGAATGAATTGGAGGCTAGTCCATAGAGTAAAGTGAAAGCAAGTTTATTAGGAAAGTAAAGGAATAAATGGCTACTCCATAGACAGAGCAGCCCCGAGGGCTGCTGGTTGTCCATTTTTATGGTTAATTCTTGACGATATGCTAAACAAGAGGTGAATTATTCATGCCTCCCCTTTTTAAACCATATAGGATAACTTCCTGATGTTGCCATGGCATCTGTAAACTGTCACAGAGCTGGTGGGAGTGTAGCAGTGAGGACGGCCAGAGGTCACTCTCATCACCATCTTGATTGTGGTGGGATTTGGACGCTTCTTTACTGCAAGCTGTTTTATAAGCAAGGTCTTTATGACCTGTAGCTAGTGCTGACCTCCAATCTCATCCTGTGACTTAGAATGTCTAACTGTCTGGGAATGTAGCCCAGCAGGTCTCAGCCTTATTTTACAGAGCCTGCTTTCAAGATGCAGTTGCTCTGGTTCAAATGCCTCTGACACGTATACTAATTCATTTAATCCTCATAACACCATGTGATAGGTCCTGGTCTTGTCCCCATTATACAGATAAAGACATTGAGGCACAGGCATATTAAGGAACCCCAAAAAGCAACCCCAACTAGGATTTGAACCCAGGAAACGTGGTCTTAACGTGGTAGCCACCCCAACTGGAGGAAGCAGAGCTTCTCAAGAGACCTCTGCATCGCAGTGCTGAAAGGCGCGTGTGGCACTGCAGCCTCCATCTGGCCACCTTCCCCCTGTCATGCATCATCCTAGGCCCAGGGAGGCCACAGTGAACAGAAGCAGAGCCCAGCGCTCTAGATGCTCAGGACTGGTGGTAGGGAGGTTCCACGGCAGCAAAGAATCCCTCCAGAGAGTGCTGGGTGCTGGGAAGAAGAGAAATGGGTGAGGGGTGTGGAAGGGGACGGGGGTTGTCTATTTTGGATGGGTGAGCTCCCCACCCACACCCATGCCCCACCAGAGGCAACATTTGAGCAGAGAGATCTGACTTACACAAAGGTATAGCCACAAAAGGTGCTGGGGAGAGAGCATCCCCAGCCAAGGGAAGCAGCACATGCAAACCCTGCACAGCACGAATCAGGCGCTTCGGGAGCAGACGTGGGGGGTGGTGCATGGGAAGGGAGGAGGCAAAGCCCCTTTCCACTGCCCCAGAGAAGAAAACTTTTTCCATTCGAAATATTTTTGAAACAAAAACACAAAAAAATGAAAACATCACTCATAACCTCACCGCTTTTGCAATTATATAAAGAAGTGAAAAGTCCCCCTTCTGTCCTTTTGCCCCAGCTATGTTTGGGAAATGAACAGGCAGAGTGGGCCTATCAAAGTGCAGAAAGCCATTTGTAGATGCACTGAACGCCCGAGGTCTCAGTCTCCATCCCTCTCTGGAATGCAGAGACCGCCCTTTTCTCAGCAGCTCCCAGTTCACCAGTCTCTAGCAGCGTGATAAACTGCTACGGCCTGAAACCACTGATAGCCACAGAGGTTAAACTTGCAGGGGAACTAAGACTGATGAAGGGGCTCGGAGCCCTTCCTCCTGACCTCAAGACGCGGGCTTGAATGCCTGGTCCTCAGGTCCTGTATGTGGATCTTGGGGCTTTTTGTCTTCATTTTGGTTTTCGTGGCTACCTTCTGGATGGTTGGAATTTTTTGACAACTGACTTCCAGATGCACAATGGGGGGATAGTGACAAATGGCCCAATGAGAAAACAAATGCAGTTGCCAAAGCCAGGAGGAGCCCAAATCACAGAACCTCACAAGGGCTCAGGATGACACCTGAGCTTACCTGCAAGGGATCTGCTGCCTAAATTCACAAGAAAGAGCCCTGACAACCATCTTGCAAGAGGAGGTGAAAATGAGTTAACATGACTGTGAAAACAAAAGTTATTTCTCAGGGTTATTTTCAGCATGCCACGGAGCAGATTCCAACCACAAAGGTCAATAAGAATACAGAAAGAATGAGGTGATCCAGCCAGCAAAAGCTGCCTCCAGGCAGCAGAAACGTTCACATTTTAGGTAATTTCTTCAAGGAGCAGAACTGATTATGGACCATTCCCTCTAGCAGAAGTGTGAGGTCTCTCTCTTCATATTCTCATGTTTCCTTCCTGCCCTCTCCCTCCTCTCTCTCTTTCTCTCTCTCTCTCTCCCCCGCTAAATAATCCTTATCCTACACTACTTGGTGTTGCTTCTTGTTTGCTAAACTCTTTCCAACGTCCCTCATTTATCCTGAAAAAAAAACTGTCTTGATTCTTTATTCTGACCCTTATTATTATTATTATTTGAGACAGGGTCTCACTCTGTTGCCCAGACTGACGTACAGTGGCTCAGTCACGGCTCACTGCAACCTCTGCCTCCCAGCTTAAGCAATCCTCCCGCCTTAGCCTCCTGACTAGCTGGAACCACAGGCACACCACCGACATGCCCAGCTAATTTTTAAAATTTTTTGTAGAGACAAGGTCTCACTATATTGCCCAGGCTGGTCTCGAACTCCTGGGCTCAAGCAGTCCTTCCACCTCAGTCCCTCAAAATGCTGAGATTACAGGTGTAAGCCACTGTGCCTTGCCTAATTATTACATCATTTTTGAAACATAAATCCCCCAGTAGAATACTGTTGCATATGTAAGAGGAACCCAGACATCATTTTAAAGTGGCATCATAGCAACCCGTGCTGCACGGTCAGGAGCATGGCAGGCACAAGAGCATGCATGGTCAATCCTGTATCCAAATCAGGACCCCTGGGGGCCACCTCCCCATCATCTCAGGTTTGCTTTTCATCTTTCCTGCATCATGGGACCAGCCGACCTCAGGAACCACTTTATTCTTTGTCTGTTTTTAAAGCCCATGGAAAACTTCCAATGTCATTCCATATCAAGTTGTAATAAGACTATTTCACACTCTTGGTACTGAAAGTGTGGTCTGCAACCAGCACCATCGGGTCTCCCCGAGAGCTGGCTGGAAATGCAGAATCCCGGGCTCCACCCTAGTTCTGCTGAAACAGAACCTGCACTTTCCAAAAACCCCCAGGGTACCCAAGTGCAAGTAGCAGCACGAGAGAGGCTCTGCTTTACACCGAAGTTTACTTACACATTTGCACGAGAGTTTTTTCAATCTCCAGTTTGCACCTGCTTTGTCCTCTGTAGACAAGTCTCCTCCGTAGATAAGTCTCCTCCTACCCACCCCCATGCCCCGTTCCCAGGTTGCCTCCACCAGAGCCCTTCCAGACCCTCCTGCTGGTCAGATGCCCCCACTGATGTCCCACAGTGCCCAACTCTTAGCCACCTAAGCGTAATTTTCTATTAATCTGCCTCACCACTGGACTGTAAGCTCCCAGAAGTCAGGGACTGTGTTCTATTTGCAGTTGTGTCTCAAGTGCCCAGCACATAACAAGGACCCGTCAAATATGTGTGTGATTGAATTAAAATGGCCAAGTGGAATTATAAGCACCTGGTACCCATTCCTGCTCCTTCACAATCTTGCCCAGCCCTGTTATGCCCAGCCGGGTCCTCAACCTCTTTGCTCTTGTCTGCTCACAGCTGGGGTGCCACTTGACCCCCTTGGCAGAGCCATCCTGGCTGCTTCTCCCAGGACATGGACTCCATCCAGCCCAGGCCCTTGGACTCTCAGCATTGGTGTCTGGGCTACTCATCAGATTGACCTTGGGTACTAGCTGTGACCTTGATTTCCTGGGCTTCCTTCTACCTTGCTCCTGAGCCTTTTTCCCCACCTCATGCTCCAATTAATGGTGACTTTAGTTTCTTTATTACTCATTATAGCTAGTCCCCTTGTCTGGGGCTCTGCTTTCTGCTTCTTACCTAGTTCATGGGCTCCCAACTCACATGGAAGTGTAGCTGTTCCCTGATGTACTAAAGCCTACCTCTGCTATCAGAGCTTCTGCACTGAGCAGCTGCCGGCACAGACAGTCAACCTTCCCCTGTTCCTAAATTCCTCTTAGCTTTGCTCAGTCTTGACTTCCCCTTGCCTGACTGGGCTTTGACCTGTAGTGACCTTCCATGCAGAGACTCTGGCCCCCTAACCTGGATTTCCCCTGCTCCCTGCCATTGCAGCTGTGTCTAACCCCAAACTATATCCCAGACTTATGCTCAACAAATGTTTTTTGATGGATATGAAGATGGACGGATGAATGGATGGATGGATGGATGGATGGATGGATGGATGGATGGACGGACGGACGGATGGATGGGTAGGTTGGTAACTGGATAAGTGGACAGATGAATGGGTAGATGGATGGATAGATAACAGATGGATACTTAAAGAAGTAAAGGAGGAGTAAGGAATGGATAGACAAGTGAATCAATATGTGAATAAATGAATGAACAGATGAAGTGATAGATAAATAGACAGATGCTTGATTGACTGAGTCAATCAGTTGAACCATTCCAATCCTAAAAGCCCAACACACTGTAGCAGGGATTAGCGGATCAACATCGGAACCCACAGTGACATCTGGAAAGCTGGCCATGCCAAGAACCACGGTCTACAGAGAAGTATGAGAGCAAAGCCCCTGCCCACATGGCACTTACAGTCTAGAGTACTTGGCCCCAGTCTGCTTGGGAACTTGATGGACAGGCAAGAGCCAAACTGAGCCAACCCTTGGTCATATCCTTTTTTTCCCTCACAGGTCAAGTTTACTGCTAGGATGCCTCACTGTTTAATCTGGGAACTGCTGGGTCTACCTGTAGTGATGAACTCTGCTCAAGAAGCATAACTGAGATTCATTGACTGATAGAAAAGGCGTCTATACCTGGAAATTCGCAACACCTTTGCACAGTGTTCTAATGTTGAAGTGCTGTCTCCCGACTGCACCAACAGCTCCTTGGAGCAGAAATGGCTTTCTTCTCTATTTGCTATTGATAAAAGCAATGTAACTGAAATTACTCTGTACCTCAATAGATTCAACAAATATTTACTAATCACAAAGTGGAAGACACAGAAACGCTCACCACATATTCCCTTCGCCCCTTTAGGCTTCCCAGGCCCCATGCTGCTAGACAGGGAGCGTGTGGCTAGATCTGGTTGATAAAATGGGATAGGAAGTGACAGGGGTCTCTTTCAGAAGGAGGCAATAAAAAGGCCACGTGTGATTCTCCAGGCTCTGTCCTCTCGGCTGTATCAGCTGAGGGGGCTGTGAGTTCCTGATGGTGAAGGAGAGTCCCCCTCCATTGCCTCCCACCCTCTCCAGCCCACTATTATCACATGTAGCTTACGTAGTCCATGAACTCCTGTTGTGTTAACCTTTGAGATTCTCTCCTGCAGCATCCCTCAGCTTAACCTAAGTCATACAAATAAGAATAGCAGCAATGATCACATTTCCTAACTCCTTGCTTTATCCTGATTCCTTTTTTTTTTCTTTGAGATGGAGTCTCGCTCTGTTGCCCAGGCTGGAGAGCAGTGGCATGATCTTGGCCCACTGCAACCTCCACCTCTTGGGTTCAAGTGACTCTCCCGCCTCAGCCTCCCGAGTAGCTGAGATTACCAGCGTGTGCCACCACGCCTGGCTACTTTTTGTATTTTTAGTAGAGACTGGGTTTACCCATGTTGGCCAGGCTGATGTCGAACTCCTAACCTCAAGTGATCTACCTGCCTAGGGCTCCCAAAGTGCTGGGATTACAGGCGTAAGCCATCTCACCGGCCTATTCTGAATCCTAATCATGGATTGTCCTACTTTGTTGAGTAAATGGACCTGTTCACCAATCAGCTTTTATTTATTTGGAATGGCTCAACTCTGTCTCTGTGTAATGAAAAAATTGTACAGTACTTAAAATCTGTCTTTGATGGTCTTCCTCCTGTCCCCCTCTCAGGGGCCCCCTTCTTTCTACCTCAAACCCCCTGACGGGTACCTAACCGACTTTCTTGTTCTCAAGTAATCTGCTCTACAGTGTGAAGGAACTGACTTCGGTAAGCAAACTCCCTCAGGGATATTTGCATAAGGGAATTTACATAAAGATCAGCTCTTCTGCATTCTCTACTAGGAGACAATCAAGCACCTCATCCCTGCCCCACTAAATGAGAAGACAGATCATCGTACAGCTTCCCGCAGCCCCTCACGGCTGGCGATGCAGGGTCTTGTTTTCCATTAAGGCTGAGATAGAAGATAGAAGACAAAAGGGCTAAAGCCTGGGCTCCAACATCAGCCCACCCTACCACTCACTGGAAGGGCCTCAGTTTCTTTTTCTGTAAAATGGGGAGGTGCTCATTGGGCCTACCTGTCTTCGTTTCCTGAGGCTGTTGTTACAAATTACAAAATTAATGGCTTATGACAGAAATGTATTCTCTCATAGTTCTAGAAGCCAGAAGGCTGAAAGCAATTCTGCTGGGCCAAAATGAAGGCATCGGTGAGGCCACGCTTCCTGCGGCGGCTCCAGGAGGGAATCCACTTTCTTGCCCCTCCAGTTTCTGCTGGCTGCCGGCCTCACTTGGCTCACAGCTTCGTCACTCCAATCTCCACCATTGTGGCCGCATCACCTTGACCTCTTCTCTGTGTAAAATCTCCGCCTCCCTCCCTTTTTTTTTTTTCTTTTTGATTTGAGACAGGGTCTTGCTCTGTTGCCCAGGCTGGAGTGCAGTGATATGATCACAGCTCACGGTAGCCTCAACCTCCTGGGCTCAGGTAATCCTCCCACCTCGGCCTCCCAGGTAGATGGGACTACAGGGGTGTGCCAGCACACCCAGGTAATTTTTTTGTAGAGACAGAGTCTCACTATGTTGCCCACTTGGGATTGCATTTAGGGCCTACCCAGATAATCCACGAGAATCTCCCCATGTCAAAATCCTAAATGTAACCACATCTGCAAAGATCTTTTTGTTTTTTTTCTACCACATAAGGTAGCATTCACAGGGTCCAAGGACGAGGACATGGGAATCTTAGAGGAGCCTTTTGGCCATGAGTCAGTCTACCACACTACCCCATCGGGGCAGATTAAGCCATGCCTGGTACATAGCTAGTGCCCGATAAATAGCTGTGTTAACAACTATTCAACATTGTACCACAGGACCTCGTGAACATAAGAAAAAAAAAATGTTGTTTCTGTCACTGTTGTTGCTTAGTTTATGAGCCTAGAAAGCAGAATGGTCACTCCCTCAAACATTTGCTTGGAAACAGATGTGTCTGCTATCTGACTGAGGCCTCCACTTTTTTGTAGCCACAGACCCAGCAACCACTTTCCTGAAAAGGGTCAGTCCACACGACGCACCAAGAAGCCTGGCTCAGAGGAACTGTGGCTCCAGCGTCGGTACACAGACAAAGCAGAAGGCAGCCAGTTGGCAGGGTATTATTAAAAGTCAAGAGAAGCTGAGCCAGTTAACGTGAAGGAGGAGCGGAGCCCACTCTCAAGCTGCTGCTGGGCGCCCAGAGACACAGAATCCCGTGCCAAGAACCGGGAGCCTTCCCAGGACAAGGCACTTGAGTTGCAGATTAAAATGTCATCTGGTTTCTGCCCTGTGTATGACCTAAGGGGGAAAAAAATCACTTTGAGAGATGTAAGTGGGGACAGAGAAGAGAATACGGAAGGCTTCTGGCTGGGACAACTGCGTGTGTTTGTCAGTGTATTTTTTGGTCATTTTAGAGCAACCTTATTAACCCCTCAGAGGCTGCAAGAAATTAACTTTCTTTTCAGATTCAAATGAATCCCAATGATGGGTGTATCACTGGGGGATTTTCACAGGGACTGGATATTAAAGATGATATTACATTTCTCTGGTGTGATAATACCATTGGGATTTTGGAGAAAGCTTTTATTCTTAGCAGACGCTGCTAAGGTCTGTAAGTGGTCTGTTGACATGCCTGCCATTTACCTTCAAATGAGACAGCAAATGTTTTTTATGTATGTATTTATTTATTTTTTCAGAGACGGGATTTCACTCTATCCCCCAGGTTGGAGTGCAGTGGCAGGATCATGGCTCACTACAGCCTTGACCCCTTGACCTCCTGGGCTCAAGTTATCATCCTGCCTTGGCCTCCGGAACAGCTGAAACCACAGGTGCGAGCCATCATGCCTGGCTATTAAAAAAAGAAAAAAATTATAAAGACAGAGTCTCATTATGTTGCCCAGGCTGGGCTTCAACTCCTTAGCTCAAGCAATCCGCCAGCCTCAGCCTCCCAAAGTACTGGGATTACAGGCAGGCGTGAACCACCATGCCTGGGCAACAAATATTTCAGCACAGGTATTAAAAGCAAATATGGTGAAATGGTAACAGCTGTCAAACGTGGGTAGTGAGTAAATCCTTCATCATCATTCTTCTCTCCAATTTGGAAAAGTTTTCATAATAAAAAGTGGTGAGGTCGGGAGAAAGGACAGATGGTTAGAGGAAGCACAGTTCTACTCACCATTTTCCCAAGACTGAACTTGACGGAGAGGTGGGGACCCGCTGAGGTTGAGAGGAAAGCTTCAGGGACCAGAGGTTTATGGGAGCAAAGATATAAAATCTGGGCCTCGAGGCAGGGGGCCCAAGAGAGAGAACGGGACAGGGAGAGAAAGCCAGGGCTGAGGTGCCTTCTCAGCACTGAGGTGTTAACAGAACCAAAGCCAGGACGCCCCCGGGGCAATGACAAGCTGGGTGTCCGAGGTCAGTCCCTGCAGAGGAAGCACCGCAAAGCCAGCGCCCGCCAAGGCACAGGTTAAAGACTGACCAGTCACAGGGCAGGAAGCAGGGGTGTGCTCCCGAGACTTGGGGTCTCCAATGCAGCTGTTTCTGGGGAGAATTAGGAGGCCTGGGTTTTTGAAGGCAAGAGCCCAGCAAGGCCCATAGAATCCTGGTCTTTTAGGGCAGAGGACAAGGAGCTTGACGCTCAGTTTCCAGTCCACGCCCAACCATTAATCTGAACCAATCATGTGATCCCATTCTTTGCATGTGATTGGTTCAGGAATGGACATGTGACCCAGTTCTGACCAATGAAATGTGAGACGAGGTCGCTGGGTTCGGGTCTGCATGGGGGTGCTTCTGGGATGTCTCTTCCCTCCAGAAGGATGCCCGGGAGAGGTGGTCTCTCTTCTTCCTCCAGGTTCTGTTGCCCAAATGTGACCCCTGGAGCTGCTGCCACCACCTTGTGGCCAGACTGAAAACAAGGCTAACGTCAAGGATGGCAGAGCAGAGAGACGGCAAGAACCTGGTCCTGGAGGACATCTCTGAGCCGTGGAGCCGGCAGCCATGAAGCCTGCCCAAACTTCCTGTTGTGTGAAATAATAAACGGCATGATTCTGGAAGTCTGTTTGGTCCTATTTCTGTCTCTGGTACAAGAGACAGAAGCTGAACCCCATGCATTGCCTATGCCCGACTTAGAAAAGGTGGCCCTTCCTCCAGGACAACACCCATGTCTGGAAGAGCAACACAGCTGGCTTCCAACTCAACTTGATCCCCACACCAGGAACCCCTTCTGGTGAATATCCCACACGGCCACATCACACAGGGCATCTGGTGAAACCCCCAGGTCACACCTGCCAGGCTGGTGCATCTACAGAGAGAAAGAGAGCTCACTCCCTCCGTTTCTGGATGACTCTGGCCTTTGAGAAGCTCGGGGGGCGGGGGGCGGTGCCAAGCAGTGGGTGTAGCCCCCACCTTCCACCTAATCAGCCCCCTCCGTGTACTTCACAAAAGACAATTCACGTTTCCTTGATTTTTACTCAAAGTGTAATTTATATGCAACTTCAAACCACACCCTCTTTTTTTCCCACCAGAATGATCCCTGAGCACCCCTTGATGGAAATCCTGAAGATGGGGCTGCAGCGTGAGCCCCTCTGACCTGTTCCTCTGCCCATCGGCCCCCAACCCAAGGGTGCTGGGAGGAAAATTAAGGCTCTGAGAGACCCTGCCTGCTCTTGGCTCTGCTGAAGACCGGGAGGTGGGTGGATATGAGTTTTCCACAAAATGCCCTCAGGACCCAGATGTTTCCAAAGTGGATCCAAAATTCTGCCCTATTGTCCTCCCACAGGACCGCTTGAGCTCAGTGACTTGAGAAGTGAGGGGGCATTGGTGTGGCACAGGAGATGTGGGACAGGATGGAATTCAAGAGCCAAGAGAGTATTTTGCCCTTCACCCCTGGGGCTCCTTGCAAGAAGTGACCGGCACTCAACTTCTGTCTCACATTTGAAAGAGAGGCTGGCCAGTTCCATTTTCTGACCTGGGCTGACTTGTATGGCCAGAGCGCACTGGGTTATGGAGATCCCTGCTGAAACTTACAGAAGACCCAGATGGTTGGACCACTCAGCATGGCAACCAGGAACATCAGGCGGCCTTGGTGAACACACCCACCAGCCACCTTATCCAGCCACAAACATTTGCTGACCTCCCAGCTCACGGAGCCAGGACACTCCAAAGAGGCCGCTCAGTGTGGTAAACGAAGATCGGAACTTGGGGTTGGCTGGATCCAGGTTCGGGTATCAGCTCTCACCATTTCCAGCTGTGTGTCCTTTGGCAAATGACTTCACCTCTCTGGTCCTGTCTACAAAATGGGGATGATAACAATAGGTCCCTCTCAGGACTTTTGGCAGGACCAAATGAGACAAATGTACCCAAAGCACTGAGCTGGCTCCCTGGCATGGAAACGTGACTAGTGATTGGTAGGAATGCACAGTACTTGACATTTTGCAAAGCACTTTCTTGGCTGTCATCTCAACACCCCACAGAGCCGTTGCTCTGGTTGTGAAGGTGGAGTAAACCATCCTGAAGCAGAAGTTCAGGTAATGCCCTCAACGCCTCCCCAGCACAGCTCCTTGAAAAGGACGGTCATCCACCCCAGGCTAGGTTTCAGTGTTGATGCTCCCATGCTGGGTGACTCTGGCAAGTTACTTCCATTTCCATTCCCAGTTTCCTCATCTCCAGGGTCCCTTTTCCTGCAGCATGCTGAGATTTCCTGCTAGACTTGATGTCTACAGCCTTAATTACCTGTTTAATATTTACTGTGTGCCCCTCAGTGCCAGACAGAGGCTAGGTACTTAAATACCTCATTTCCAATCCTCACAGCAACCTTGGGAGGTAAACCATTTTATCCCCATTACACAGATGGGGAAACTGAGGCTCAGAAAGGGGATTGCCACAGTCCACACAGTGAGTGAGTGGTAGCGATGGGATTCGAACCCACGTTGGTCAGATTCCAAACTCCATGTTTTACCCTGACGTTGCCTTTGGTTCAAACCCTCCAGTGGCCACCTTAGCTTCTTTGCAAGTAACCAGACTTTACCATTTGGACTTTGCTGTTGGCCATTCAACATGGAATTGTGTGATGTTGTTGACAGAAAGAAAACCAGAGCCGAGGGTAGATGTGTTCGTGGAAATTATCATCACTGCAGAGTAAGCAAATCACAGTCCCCACTGGCGAGGGGGCCAGCCCCACCCTCTTTGACTCCAGCGTCGACTGTGCACTGTTCTGTGCAGATTCCTGCCCTGGGTGTGCAGTCAGGAACAAGGCCCAGCCCCGCCCTGAGACACTCGCTGCCTGGGCAGAGTCACCAGACAACTGATACAGCACAAGAAGAGCCTGAGAGAGGCCTGCAGAAACGTCCAGAAAGCTGCATTCAGCTCTTGCTTTGCATTGCAGCTTCCTTTAATGTCGTCTTGAAGCCACAAGCACGTGGGACCCCCGCTCAGGGAACCGTCTCGCTCACTTCTGCATCCCCAGTGCCTAAAGGAACGCCTGACCTAAAGTTGGTGCTCAGTAAACATTTTCTTATTTAGCTCACAAATAACTGAGTGAGTGAATGAATGAGGGAATTAATTACCAGGTCAGATCACTTGGAGAGAGAGATTGGTTACTGTTATGGTCTGTGCGGCCATGGAGCCCATGGTGTCATTTTACTTAAAACAATTTTTATTTATTGTTATATGGACAGGTGAGTTTTTCAGTCACTACTTACAATTTAGGACTCAGCATGTGGACAAAGAACTCACTTCCCTGCAGGTCACGAGCCAGATTCTAATACTGGCCTATTACCAGTTTCCTGAGAGACTTATAACTGATTTTCCCACCTCTCCAGAACTCTCCAGAACCACGCTTTTTATTTTCTACAGAGAAATCTAAAGTCGCTGCCCCCAGAAGTCAACAAGGCCAGTGATGTGCTAGAGGCAGCTTCACCAGCCGTGAGAGCTGATTGTGCCCAGACCTTCCCAGGGCACCTTCCACATTCAGGGACATCACGATAGTGGCTTGAAATCAGCCGCTGTGGGAATATTTACGAGATGGAAATTGGAAAGTGCTTTTTTTTTTCAGGAGAGCCAGTTGTTAAATTTCTACCAGCGTACCCCTCTAAAAGGCCCAAACTTCTTTGAAGTATCTGGTCTTATGTTTAAAATCTCGGCATATACCATGGAATACTATGCAGCCATAAACAGAACAAGATCATTTCTTTGCAGGAACATGGATGGAGCTGGAGGCCATCATCCTTAGCAAATTAATGCAGGAACAGAAAACCAAATACCGCATGCTCTCACTTATAAGTGGAAGCTAAATGATGAGAACACATGGACACGTAGAGGGAAACAACACACGCTGGGGCCTGAGGGTGGGGTATCAGGAAAAGGAACTAGTAGGTACTAGGCTGAGTACCTGGGTGACAATTTAATCTGTACAACAAACCCTCATGACACAAGTTTGCCTGTGTAACAAACCTGCACATGTATACCTGAACTTAAGAGATTTAAAAATGACAATAATCCCTAAGATCCTCTAATAATTAATGTTAAAAATTTTTCCAACTATTCATCCAAGAATTCTTAAAGACAATGTATTTTGCCATGGTTATACCTCTATATTTCAAATAAAATCACATTTTTGGGGCAAAGTTTAAAAAAATAAAATTCCCATATATTCTGCACTTTGGAAAACTTGACTTTTGATTTTAGTAAAAAAACATTTTAATGACCAATTATATGACTGCAATCTTTTATTAAAATGGATGCTCTGAGAGGCTGCCATGTTTATCCTGCGCTTTGTTACATCTCACTATAACTGGGTTTTCTAGTTTAAAAAACAGAGCCCTGGGGAGGGAGGGATGAACAGGTGGGCAAAGCATGTAGAGGAGTGGAATGATTCTTTCTGCCTGAGCCTGTGATGGTGGATGAGTGCCATCACACATTCATCCAAACGTACAGAGTGTCCAACACCAAGAGTGAACCCGAATGTCCACGGTGGACCCTGGGTGATAATGAAGTGTCTGTGTAAGTTCATACATTGTAATCAATGTCCCACTCTGGTGTGGGACATGGATGGTGGGGGAGGCTGTGTAGCAGGGGTGGGAAGGCTGCATGTGTGGGTGGGTGGGAACCCTCTGTGCTTTCTGTTCAATCTTGCTGTGAACCTGAAACGGATCTGAAAAAATAACATCTATTTTAAAAATTATTTTTAAAAAAAGAGCACGGCATGATTTCCAGGTGTCCTTCCAGATCTGAGATTCCACAGGGCTTTTGTCTCCTTTCTTTAATTAGCACCAGCGAAAGTAGGATTTCCTGGTACCGGTTCCTGCTCGTGTGGGGAAGGAACTGCAGCTTACACAGGTGCCGGTACATCCACCATCAGATGTCTTCACCGTGTGGTTAGAATTTAGGGAAGATGAGGCCAAGGGGAGGTTTGATTCTTCTAGCAAGGTGGTTTCTCCAAGGCTTTTCTGGCCACGTGCGTCGGGATCACCTGCTGAGTTTATGAAGATACAGACTCCAGGCCCTGGCTGAGACCTACAGAGTTGGAAGCCCTGGGGACAAGGCTTAGGTATTATTTTAAGTTCAGGGATATAATCTCTGCTTGGGTGACCATCCCGCAGCCCCAGCCAAGCAGCGGTGGGTGGGCTGTTCCAGGGGCATCAGGAGAATGCAGGGGTGTTCCCTGCCATCCACTCCACCACTCACCGTGGCCTGACTGTGCAAGGCCCTCCACCCCTCTGAGCCTCAGTTTCCCCAGCTATAAAATGGGGATGATGACGTTCACCAACTCCATGGGAATGGCGCATGAATGAAATCAGACAGCCCTGGTTAGAAAGCGTTGGGCCCACCATGAGCCCCGCGAATGGAAGTAGCCCCCGACCCTCCTTGCACTTGTGCTGCCCTCGTGCCCTTCACACACGAGTCTTCATCGGAGCTCCACGCCCAGCTGAGACACCAGTCAGGACGGGCACTTGTATCCCTGGTCAGCAGAGGTGGAAACAGACCCACAGTCTCTAACAGACTGCACCAATTGCCGGCAGGAATAAAGTCAAATTCCCTTCACCTGGTCACCCACATCACCCTGGACAGGCAGAGGTGCTCACGGGGGTGGTTTGGGAGGCATGAATGCATCAAAACCACTCTCCAGAGAAAATTCCCAACTGAAATCACCCCTGGATCCCTGGCACCCAGGGGCTGGGCATTGACGAGCGTTGGGCCATGGCCACAGCTCCCGTCAGCAAGTTAGTGACCCATATGCAGAGACCTGAAATGGCCATAACACCCCATGCATTTAAATAGTCACTCAGCTAGTGCCTACTGAGCACGTTCTGTGTGATGGGCACATGCAGGTACTTACTGAGCACGTTCTGTGTGCCAGGCACATGCAGGTACTTACTGAGCATGCCGTCTGTGCCGGGCACATGCAAGTACTTACTGAGCATGCCCTCTGTGCCGAGCACATGTGGGAGCTGGAGACGCACCAGTGTGCAAGGCGTAGACCCTGCCCGCATGGTGCTCACCACCTGCGAGGGGCCGCGAGCTATATCAGTGTCAGGCGATGACAAGTACTCCCAAGAAAAATAAAGTCAGACACGCCAGAGAAAGAGAGGGGAGCCCTCTCTGAGGAGGTGATGTTTGAGCAGATCCCTGGACAAAGCGAAGGGAAAGCGTATGAATAAACAGAAGTATTCTGGGAGGAAGGGGGCGCGGTACAAAGGCCTGAGGTAGGACCACACTTAACATGTTTGTGGACAACAAGCAGCCCTGTGGTTGTAGTGGAGTGGGGGATGCAAGGGATGGGGGAGGCACTGGAGAGGTGACCAGGGGCCGGATGGTATTGACCACTCCATAACGCCACTCCTGGGCATTATCCTAACAGAGGAATTAAACAGAAGCAGAAATCCACACGCAGGCACTGGCAGGATTGGTCCCGAAAAGCAGACATTTACAAATGGCCTGAATGGCCATCCACACGGGGCTGTTTCATAGGCGATAGCGCTCCGCTCCCCAAGCACTCTGAATGACAGTTACAAGATTTTGTAGCAATGAGGAAAACAGGCATGATATAATAAGTTCAAAATACGTTCTGGCACCTGAATGAAGACCGAGAGCTGTTGGGTTAGTGTGGGAGGAATGTGGGGAGCAGTTCTTTTTTCCCTTTTTCAAATTTTATATAATGCGGTTGCTGTATTATTTTTATGATTTAAAAAAATTAAGGGAGAAAATGTGTTCAAACCAAACCAATGGCTGAGTGAGGGGAGGCAACGAAAAAGATCAGTTTCCCTTCCTCATGATACAACTCCCACCAGGGTTTCGGGTTTTCTCACCACTGTTTGCTGGAACCCAGCCAGCCCACGGAGTGCTACGCCCGGGCGAGGAGGGTCCCGCTTCTCCTATCCAGCCCCAGAGGGGCCACATGGCTTCTCGGGAACAGGAGACTGTGTTCCCTAAACAGCCTTCTCGCCCAAAGCCTAGCTGGACATCTAGAGTAGGCAGTGGAGGTGGGGATGGCGGGGGGAAGACATTCTTGCAGGACACCTGAACAATGCTTCACCCCAAAATCCATCCCTGGCCTCTGCTTGAAATTCCACCATCGGAGACCCATTTGGGTCACCAGGGGCTCCCTCCTAACCCCTAACAGAGACCACCCACCTCCCCATCATGCCCCGCGTTCGCTCTGTGCAAGGTTCCAGCTCCAGTTGAGGCGGGTCCCCACTGCCTCTGCCTCAGGTGAGTGAACAGGCTCGGCTGCTCTGCCAACAGCCCTCAAGCTTGATGTCACAGCTAGTGGGCAAAGCAGAGGCTGCCACGGCTGTGACACCTTCTGTGGTCACCCACCTCCCCTCAGCGTGAAGCACAAAAGCACTCACGGGGCACTGCCTGTGGCCTTGCCCCGCTCTCGGCCTACCTGCCCTCTCTCCCCAACCCACCCTCCTTCCCCAGGTGCCACTAGAGCAAGCGGGTTGCTGCCTTTTCAACAAGGCTGGGCTCCCTCTGGCCTATATGCCTTCACCCACACTGCTCCCTGGGCTCAAAGTCTCCTGCCTGCTCTACCAGGCTCTGCTTGGCTGAGCTCTTGATGCTCAATGCAGAAGTCACCTCCTCCAAGCAGCCTTCCTTGGCCTCACTGCATCCCACCCACCACGGCATTTAAGCTATCCCCACCTTAGAAGGGTCTGGAAATTTTACAACAACCTTAAGGAGATCCCCAGACATGCCTGCACATTTGAATTGCCTGGGGGGCTATTTATGGCACCCCGGTGTCCAGCAGACAATAGAATTCAGGGGCAGCCCAGGCAGGGGACTTTAAAGGAACTGATTCCGATGCTCTGGGAGGAAAAGGTTGGGCATTTCCAATGGGCTCTGCAGCGATTCAGGCACAGGGGAGCTCTGCCTTCCCAGTGAGGCCTCAAAGGCTCTTGAAAAGAGAGAGAAGGGGACAGGCACCCCGCATTCCCAACAAGTCAGTTGTCCCCACCTCCATGTGTTTGCTGGAATCTTCGGGGGAGGGGGGAAGCATGGCTTCAGAAGAATGCCTGAGAGAGGAGAACGGGGAGCCAGGAGGTAGTTTTCTGAGATGGGCCACAACTCATCTGCAGCCCTGGACAAGCCTCGGAGGCCTGGGTCCAAGTCCCTCTCTGTGGCCTGGGCCAGGTAGGGCCCTTCGGCCCTCTGTGTCCTTACTACAGAGGCGGGCAGACACTGTAGATTCTATTCTAGTTATTATTTTCCTGATTCTAAGTCAGGCTCATACAAAGACATGTCACCTTCAATGAAAACAACATCTCATTAAAGATTTTACTATTTCTTTTTTTTAGATAAGGTCTTACTCTGTCACCCAGGCTATAGTGCAGTGAGGCAATCATAGCTCCCTGGGCTCAAACTCCTGGGCTCAAGCGATCCTCCTGCCTCAGCCTCCTGAGTGGCTAGGACTACAGGCTTGCATCACCTCACCCAGCTAATTTTTAAACTTTTTGTAGGGATAGGGTCTCACTATGTTGCCCAGGCTGGTCTCAAATTCCTGGCCTCAAGTGATCCTCCTGCCTTGGCCTTCCAAAGTGCTGGGATTACTGGCATGAGCCACCATGCCTGGCCTAAAGATTTTATACTATAATAAAATAGCTTGCTCCTTCCATATCTTACAACTCACCCGAAACAAGCCCACCCTACATGGACCTACAGGCAGACAACCAGCCCATCAAGAAGGTGAGGGCATCTCATTAGGTAATCTCTTTTATTAAAAATGAAAGACATCAAGAACCATTCCAGTTGGGTTCCGGAGTCTTACAGTTACTGATATTTATCTCCCACTGTGTTCCCAGCTGGGCTCAGCTCAACACACAACAGGTCCCATTAAATGAACAGAAACTGGCTGGCAAACGGTGTGGTGAGGGGTGGGGCCGAAGCCCATCTGCCAGGAGAGGGTCTGGGGACCCAGTGAGGAGCGGGCAGGCCCCCACCTCGGCTTCGGGTGTGGTTTCTGCATCTGCTCAGGCTACAGGAATAGGATGAGCTCTGGTGTCGTGGAGAATGAGAATCTGGAAGTGGAGAGCCCGAAGAAGGGCTGCAGAGAATGAGCAGAGGAAGGGGAGGGTGGTCCTCAGACCTGCACTCGAGGGGACCCTGGATCTCACTGGAGCCCTCGCTCACCGTGGGGCCTTAGTCAAGCCACCATTTAATCACTCTGAGCCTCGGTGTCTTCCTCTGTGAAATGGAAACAATAAGAACAGATGTGGAGGCATTAGTCCCCCAGATGTCCACAGCCCAGTCCCCAGAGCCTGTGACTATGTCCGGTGACCTGGCAGCGGGGAACGACAGTGAGGGTGGGATGAAGGCTGCTAATCAGCTGATTTTAAAATAAATTATCCTGGACTTTTCAAGTGGACCCAATGAAATCACAAAGTCCCTTTAAAGTAAGAGAGGAGAGGGCTGGAGGGGGGCCATGTCAAGACTCAACCGGCTAACAGATGGAAGAAGAGGCCAGGAGCCAAGGAGTGCAGGTTGCCTCTGGAAGGTGGAAAAGGCAAGAAAGTGGATTCTTCCCTGGAGCCTCCAGAAGGAACCAGCTCTGCCCACGCTTTGATTTTAGCCCAGTAACACCCACGTCAGACATGACCTCCAGCACTCTAAGAGGCCTCTGTGTCATTCTAAGACACCAAGTTTGGGCCAAGCACAGTGGTTCTCACTTGCTGTGGCCTGTAATCCCAGCACTTTGAGAGGCCAAGGTGGGTGGATCACTTGAGGTCAGGATTCGAGACCAGCCTGGGCAACATCGTGAAACCCTGTCTTTACTAAAAAATACAAAATTTAGCTGGACGTGGTGGCACACACCTGTAATCCCAGCTGCTCAGATGGCTGACGCAGGAGAATCACTTGAACCCAGGAGGTGGAGGTTGCAGTGAGCCGAGATTGTGCCACTGCCCTCCAGCCTGAGCAACAGAGTGAGACTCTGCCTCTAAACAAATAAATATCACGAAGACACCGAGTTTCAGCAGTTTGTTGCTGCAGCAGTTGGAAGCTGGCTCGTACGCCTGCTAGGGTTGTGGGTATGAAATGAACGCATGCATACGCAGTGCTCAGCAGCATTTGGCACGTCAGAAGCACCCTGCAGATGGCAGCTACTTTTATCTCCGAGAGAGTGATGTGGGGGTTGGTGCCAACCCATTGCCACCCTGATGTCCAGTCCCCAGGCTTCGAGCAGCTGTGGGAGCAGCCGGCCTGGCGCACCTCTCACAATGGCCCTGGTCAGTAAGACTGGGCCTGGGCCAGCGGGCAGTCATCAGAACCATTTCTCCCTCGCTCACTGGGCAGACGGGAAGCCGCATCCCTTTCCCCAGCACCAGGTCTGGAGCAGCAGCTCTCAGCCCAGCCAGCCAGGACCAGTTCCTCCCTAAACTTGGGGCCAGCCCAGGAGTCCATTGTTTTTAGGTTCCCCAGGTGACCCTCATGGACACCCGGGGTCAAAAAGTCCTCTAACCGAGAAAGAACACTGACCAAAGGCTGATGCGCTGACCTTGACCACTAGATAATACCAGTGACAACAGTGACAGTGGTGGTCACCATTTGCTGGCAGGGTACTGGCTAAACACTTTACATATGTTATCTACTCAAATCCTTAAACCTGATTTGTAGGTGCTACCTGATTTGTAGTGGCATCCCCACTTCATAGATGAGAAAATTGAGGTTCAGGAACGTGGAGAAACTCACCCACAGTCACTCAGTTATAGAGAGTTGGGGCCTGGATTGGAAATTACAACTATCCAACGTGAACGTCTTCCCCTCAGCCACAAACGTGCAAATCCTCACCCAGTAACACACGGTGTGCAGGGTGGCCACCCTCCCAGGCCCCCTAGCTCCCTGACAGCATATATGGGGCTGCAATGGAAGGAAGCTCCACTCTGGTTCAGAGAGACATGAGTTCAAGTTTGGACTTGAGGGGCAACGTGTAAAATACATCTTTCCATCACTCATTCCATACGACTTCCTGGTCTGTGACTCACTTTGAAAAGAGTTACCTGGAATCAAGCCTTATCACAAGGAATATCTTTGCAAAATAAGTTCCACACACTTTCAACAGATGCTTCATTTGTAAAGGAACAGAGGTATATTTTGTTCAGAGAATTATATATTTTTGAGAGTGTCGTGCCCTCCAGCCACGCTCCCCTGGGGGCCTTTGGTTGAAGAGCCAGGTTTCTTCCACCTTGCAATGAGGGTGGACGCTCCCCATAGGAACTTCGGGGTGAGAGGGTGCTGGGAAGAGCCCCTGTAGGATTTGGGGTTTGGGTGGGTAGTGGGAAGGCGAAGGTCTAGGGAAGTGGGGCTCAGTAGACCAGAAGCCAAAAGAAAGGGGGCAATTCTCTGAGTGGGTGCCTCAATCACTGTCACCTCTAGAGAGGGGAGACGGGCACCAGCATAAAGCTGAGATTGGTCAAGAAACAGCCATTCTTCATTTTAGTGGGGAAAGGGGGATAATTGGTGTTTGTGGGTGACACCGTGACCTGTCTTTGTCTCACTACTGTGATCTCAGAGTGACCTTCTGTGCAGCTGGTGTTCTGGGAGATGGTTTATGTCAAACCGGAGAATGGCCCAGCCCGGCCAGGGGCTCCAGGACAGTTCCCAGGTGTCGGCGGCTCCTACTTTCCTACTCAAGAGTAATTAGAGGGAACCCTTTTAAAACCATTCTACTATTCCTGCTTTTCACATTGGCCTTCCACACCATGTCTGAAGTTACAGACTCTGGCTGGATATCTGCATTCCACACTCAGGCAGATCACTTGCAGAATTATCCGTGTTTTACAAAGCATTTTCCACATAGCACTAGTTTTGTAAACTTCATGGGAGTAATGGAACAAAGAGGTTCCCTGAACTACTGCATTTGGGAAGCACTTGGTTCTTTGCTGCAGGACTTATCAGAGCCTTTAATATGCTCCTGTGCATTGTGAAACGTCCAGAAAGAAATGGGGTATTTTCAAAGCTTGTTTGGCTACATAACTTTCATTTTTTTGGCTAAGTTGCAAATGGGTCAGTATCCTACGGGACAGAGTTTATAAAATGCTGAAATAAGGGGTCTAAAACAAGGGAGTCTAACTGGTAGGACATGGGTTCCTGAGGGACCCAGGGAGTCCTCATGTGGAGTTCAGATCACAGAGACTCGAACGCATCCTAAATAAGAACACATTCTAAATGAGGAGCTGCTGTGATTAGGGAAACATCATTGGCCAAAGCGTGTTAGAGAAGTCAGCGCAGCATGTGGTAACTATGGAGGTTCCCAGTCCACGGAGAGGGAGGAAAGATCTCACGTGGGCTGACCGGCGCTGCACATCCCTCGGCCTCTGCATGCTTGGCTTTAGCCCTCCTTCTCCACCCTCCAGCTAAGAACTGGCCTCCTCCTAGCTCCTCCACGGAGCACACTCCTGCCTGCTCAGCAGCTTCCTGTGTGCCGTCCCCTCTGACCAGCCAGTCCTACTTCCTCCCTCACCCACAGACGCCCCTCTGCCAGGAAGCCCACCTCCATTCATCAGGCAAAGTCAAGGCCTCTGCTGTGTTTTCCAGCAGACCCTTCTCAGCTGTGATTTGCTAATTCTTCTCTACAATCGATTATTGCAGGGAGTGGGGCAGGGGGATTCCCTGCCCCAGGTGACTGGCAGGGCCGTGTCTGTTTTGCTCTCTGTTGCAACCAGAGCTCCTAGTATTGGACTTGGCATAAAACAGGTGCTCAACAAACATTTGTTGAGTGAATAAATGAATATGAGGTCTTTGCAGAGTATTTTAGTATGGCTTTTGTTTTTTAGAAACAGGGTCTCACTCTATTGCCCAGGCTGGAGTGCAGTGGCACAATCATAGCTCACTATACTCTTGAACTCTTGGGCTCAAGGGATCCTGCCACCTCAGCCTCCCAATTAGCTAGAACTACAGATGCTCGCCACTATGCCCAGCTAATATTTTTTATGTTTACTTTTTTGCCAAGATGGGGGTCTCACTATGATGCCCAGGCTCGTCCCAAACTCCTGGCTTCAAGCAATCGTCTCACCACAGCCTCCTAAAGTTCTGGGATTTCAGGCATGAGCCACTGTGCCTGGCCTATCTTAATATTTTAAAGGTCCCCTAAGACTCAAATGCTGAAGACCACAGGTCAAGAAGATGCATAAAAGTCTTAACATTTACCGGGCATAGTGTTTCACACCTGTAATCCTAGCACTTTGTGGGGCCAAGGCAGGTGGATCACGAGGTCAGGAGTTCGAGACCAGCCTGACCAACATGGTGAAACCCTGTCTCTACTAAAAATACAAAAACTAGCCGGGCGTGGAGGCGGGCACCCGTAATCCCAGCTACTCAGGAGGCTGAGGCAGGAGAATCGCTTGAACCCAGGAGGTGGAGGTTACTGTGAGCCGAGATGTACGCCACTGCACTCCAGCCTGGGCAACAGACTGAGACTCCATCTCAAAGAAAAAGTCTTAACACAAAAAAATATTAATAGGTGCAGAGTGACAGCCAAGGGACGTGAGGGGTTTTTTGTGAGAGGAGAGTGATGAAAACGTTCTAAAATTGACCCTGGTGACAGTTGCACAACTCTGACTATGAAAGGCCATTGAATTGTACAGTTGAGATGGGTCAACTGTATGGCGTGTGAATTCTGTCTCAAAGTTGCCACAGAAAACAGGTGAGTATGGGCAAAACGTTTGGGAGTATTCTTTGTGCGATTCTTACAACTTTCCTGTACATTTCAAATTATTTCCCAATGTGGTTTTTTAAGTGGGTGAATCAGATCTCATCTCAAATCAGGGGGATTTTAGAAATCTTCCCTGCCCTCCCTCACCCGGTGAGCGTTTATTCCGGATTTATTCTGCGCAGTGCTTGTCACGATCATGAGCACTGGACAGGCATTCATTCCCTCGGTCCTCAGTGCCCTCCCAGGAGGTAGGTCCTATGGATTTCCCCACTGTACAGGTGAGGAAACTGAGGCCCACTGAGGGGCATGGCCAGCCTCGAATTACAGTAGAGAAAGCAGGACCCGAAGTCGGGATGTCTCCCCGGAGAGACTGGACCCTTCCCTGGGGAGCCAGCCTGATCCAGGGCCAAATCCAGGCTTCCATGTTGGTTATGGGGTGTGGGTCCAGAGATGAGCCCTGAAAAAAAAAAAGGCAGGATGGTGTTTGTGTGCGTGGTTTTTTTTTCCAAGGGGGTCTAATTCAGTCTCTCGCACATGTCTTGCCCACAGCACCTGGGCCAGCTTCTGGCCGGAGGGGCCTCAGAAACCTCAGCCGCTCATGTTGCAACAGCGTGGCTGCCACACGGCAACGCCGACAGCTGCTCAGGAAGATGCGGCGTCAGGCTGCCCGACACAGGTGGCCAAGAGAGGGACGGACCACCCTAGCCAAGCGCAGTGTGGAGTCCGGCCTCAAGGCCAGGGCGGCGTGACTGCCCCGCTGGGGGACCGTCACCTCCCCGCTCCCAGGTGAGGTGAGATCCTGAAACCGAACCTGCCTTGACCAGTTCCCCCTTCCAACGGCAACGAAACATGGGACTTCCACCAACGATTCCTCTTTGGGAGTCGTCCGTCCCGTAGGGCAGGACGTGGAGGGCTGGATTCAGGAAGTTGCTGGGCGTCTTCAGTTTTCAACTTCACATTTTCACTTTTCTTATCAGAAAGGTGCATGAGTAATACTGTGAGCGCAGCACCTCGCACGGTGGAACTACCTTGAGGTGTGGAGTCCCCGAAACTTCACTCTTCTCTTATGTGAGTGTGAAGGTAGGGATCTGAGATAAAACGAAAGTCAGAATGAAGAGAGCTGAAATAGAAACGAGAAGAGCCAGGGACGGGAGCCAGGGCAGGCCACAGGTGCCGCGCCTCAGCGCGAGACGGGAATGCTCTACACGCGGAGTGCCCTCTCGATGGTCTCACTCGGGGGACAGCACCGTCCCAGAAAGGGTCGCAGTTTCCTGAGCCACCCGGACCTGGCTCCACCCGTGGGCAGCAGCTGCCTGACACGCAAAATCATTTCTCCTCTGTCAGCCTCAGTTTCCTCATCTGTAAAACGGGGCACCAGTAATGCCCACCTCACCAGGTTGCAGAGGGTGAAGTCAGCATGCCCATCAATGGGTATTAGTAATTCTCATAATAACTAGGATTTACTGAACACCTGTTTTCTCTATCAATGAAACAAATATTATGCAACATTGAGGTGTTTCACCACCACACGCTGGGCGTTTTGCTGAGAATGGGCTGGTCATGTCCTTCTTTGCTAGTCAGAGCCATCCCACAAGGCTGTCTTCTTACTCTTATTTCACAGATGAGAAGACTGGCATCATCAGGGCCAAGTCCAGCCCAGAGTGGGTCTAGGTTTGTGAGCTTGCTGCTTAAACAACCTAAATAGGGTCCCTCTTCAGGATAAAAACACAAAATGTGCCGCATGTGCCCTGTAAGGGAGCAGGCAAGAAAGGAGACCTGGAGTTCCAGCTTCATTAGCCTGGTGATCCATCTGCAGCCCTGCCAGGTTCCCCAAGCCTGGGTGATCCCAGCGCCGTGACCTTCACACAAAGAGCAAAGATCTGATGCGTGCAGAGGAGGAAGCTGTTTTCCTGAGGCAGTCAGCAATATGTCACCCTGGGGTCTTGGAGGGGAGCAGGTGTGGACCAGCACAGGGAGGAGGGAGGAGGCCAGCATGGAGGCAGGCAGTGCAACGGAAGGGGGAGGCAGGAGCAGGGCTGAGAGGGAGCCACGCAGAAGGGAGGCGGGAGGAGGCTGACCTGGTGGGTGAGTGCCCCTACGAACCATGGTGCGCTGAGGCCACTGAGGGTGAGAGGTGGGCACTGGCCCCACAAGAGCCAGGTTCTAGGACATTCCCTGTGGCGCTCATGTGGATAATGGAGCACAGCAGGCAGCCTGGAGACCTGGAGGCCAGCTGGGAAGCTGTCATGACTTCATTTTAATTAATTTAAACTTAAATAGCCACGTGGGGCTAGTGGCCACCATATTGGGGATTAGAGAACATTAAGTTGGGGGCTGTGATGTGATCTCCCCGCGTGGCTGAAGATAGCTCTGCCAGAGGTGTAGGAAGCAGACAGGAAGGGTGGCCGAATGTTTGCAGGGAAACCAGTTACCCCACTACGGCAATAACCCAGGTGAGAGATGGTGGTGGCCCAGAGGGAGCAGGGCAGCCAGGCAGCCAGGCAGCATGTGGGTTCCTAACTTCATAGCTGTCCTCACCCGAGATCTAGGAGCCAGGAGGAGGAGGAGCTTTGGGGTGAGGGGAGAGGGTTGCAAGGACGAATTTGGGTTAAGACGTTTTGAGAGTGAGGTGCCTGCAGGCTGTCTGGGCAGAGCAGTTCAGAGGGTATTCCTCAGATGGTTCGAGAATCCATTGTACTGGTGCTAAAGACAAGGACTTGGAAGTTGTCAGCCAAGGGTGGCAGCTACATCGTGGGAGTAGACGTGGTCCCATGAGAAGACCCAGGACACACCAGCACAGCCCAAGGAGATGGCAGAAAGTGACCTGAAATTCCCTCCTGGTGATGCCACCAACACATCTGAGCACGCACAGGCACTCTTGGACTTGGGGGTGCTATCTCTGTTGCTGCTAGCCACCCATCCTCCCCATCCTTATGCACCCCCCACCCACCTGCCCAGTGCCAGCTGGATACCCTGCCTGTTCTCACCTGGCAGCCTTCTCTGGCTACCTGAAACTCCTTTGCTGCGTAGGCAGAAGCCAAAAGTACCAAAGAATTCACGGCCTCTGGGAACAGCCCTTGGATGTGTTCCTTTCACCTTCATAACAGCCCTGAGACACAGGTACTATCAGTATCATCCTGCTGTACAGATGAATAAGGTGGGGCACAGAGAGATGGGATCACTGGCCCACAGTCCCACAGCTTGTGGCTGGCAGAGCCAAGATTCCAGCTAGGCCACCTGTCACCAAGTGGCACTCATAGCTGTTCATGCCTCCTCATAGTTGTACCCAGCTATGCCCAGCATGTGTGCTCATGCTATTCACCTGCCCTGACGTTGGGCTGCTTCCAGCCATCTCCATGGGCCCCGCGGGAGAGGAGCAGCAGCATGTGTTATGCCGTTGGCGCCGGCCCTGCCCCAGGTGCTCTCCGTGCTCTGCGTCCTTGCCAGCCCACGCCAGGGGCTTCTCTCATTCCCGGTCTCCACTGCAGGCCCAGTGCCGGGGCTGCTGCTTCACTGGAGGAAGCTTCTATCTTCACACTCAAGATTTGGTGTTAAAAAATAAAGAAAAATAAAGCTGGGTTCAAAATTAGCACAAGATTCGCTACAAAGAACACAAGACACAATTTCCTGTATGGTTTTTTTCTTCAGTTTTTTTAAGACTTCCAGAAAAGTTTCCACGGCAACACTGAGACCAAAAGGGTAGAAAATGCAAATGTGAGGATCCAACCTTGAACCATCATCTGCCCCCAGCACAGGGCAGCCACAGAGAGATCAGGAGAGGGACAGCAAATTCCTAAAGACCAGAGGCTCCAAATGGGAGATGGGTGAGAATCGTGAGGGGTCACCAAGACAGTGGGTTCCTTTGACCTTGTGCCCTGAGCCTGTAGGTGCTTGGCTCCATACATGGACGGAGGATACATGTGGAGGTGGGGAGGTGATGAATGGGTAGATGAGTGGATGGATGGTTGAGTAGATGGATGGATGGATGATGAATGGGTGGGTGGGTGAATGAATATGAGTGAGTGGGTGAACTTTGTTTCTGAAAACCATATCACTTGACAGCTAACAGAACCAGTGTGAGAGGAAATGCAGCCAAATGCTTATAATTGCAGTTGTGGGACTCACACAGACTCACAGCCACCTTTGAGTCCTGGCTCTGCCCTTGGTGGCCGGGGACCTTTGGACAGGGCTAACCCACAGGATGGACCTGCTGATCCCAGTAGACCACAAAGTGGAGCTAAAGTGTACAACCTAAGAGCACAGGGGACCTGCATTCGACCCAAGAAAGAGATTGTAGTTTTCCAACAGAGTTCTCGGGGGAGGCCAGACTCCAAATAGCTGTTCAGACCCAGACAAATTTGTGGACTAATAGGGAGAGAGGAAACCACTCCACAGAAAAGATCAATGTTTTCACCATCCAAGTCTCTCTGCAATGGAAAAAGCAGCTCTGTGTGCAATAGAGCTCCCCCATCCTTCAAGAATTCAAGCCCAGGTATGACCAGTTGTGGTGGATTAATGTTGGCCACAAGTTCTCTGACACTCAGCCCTTTAAAGGTGGGGGTCTATGCCTCTTTCTTCAATCCAGTGGGCTCTGTGCCTGCTTTGACCAGCAGCATAGGTAGAAGTGATGCTGTGTCCGTTTCTAGGCGTGAGACTTAAGAATCTGCGAGCTGCTTCTTCCTGCCTCCTAGAACATGTTCTCTTGGTGTCCTGAGCCACCATGGAAGAAGTCCATTTATGCTGCTGAAGAGACCACATGGAGAGACCCAAGGCAATGTGGAGACAGAGAGCTGACAGCCCTCCTATCATCCCCATCAGTGAAGCCACCTTGGTCCATCCAGAGCAGGCCATCAACCAGCTGAGTCCCACTGAGGGACCCCCATCAATGCCAGGAAAGCAGAACGCCCAGCCAGCTGAGCCCTGCCTAAACGGCTGACTGCAAAGTTATGAGATAGAATAAAGAGGTTGTCATTTATGCCACTGAGCTTGGGGCAGTTAGTTTTGCAACAATAGAGAACTGACACACTAACTGTTCTGCCTAAAGAAGAGCCATGGACCATATGTGGTCTCTGAGACACTGTGACTCTGAGTCATGGAGCTCCAAAATCAACAAGGGTCAGGCCCTTCTAATTTAACTCTCACTCTGGCTTGATAAAACCCAGATAGATGAGGCTAAGACAGGGGTGTAAGACTAAAAATCCCAAATTAATTGACTTAAAAATTTCATTTCATCCCCACTGAAATGTACTCCTAAATGCCCCCTAAGGGAAGGAAAAATGGAAAAAATTAAAAGACAAGATAATATGAATTCTAATGGTGAGGATTATCCTTCTATAGTGTCCAGGCAACTAATGCCCAAGGCTTCCTCATTCATTCATTTTACTCAACAGACATCTACTGAGCTGAGCACTTCTCATGTTCCAGATGCTTCTAAGACACAGGCTCTAGGGATACAGCAGTAAACACAGACAGACACAGTCTAGTCCTTCTTGAACTTATTGTCTTATAGGGGAAACATGCTAATTAAAAAGAAAAACTTGTTCAGGCGTGGCTCACACCAGCAATCCTGGCAGTTTGGGAGGCCATGGTGGGAGAATCGCTTGAGGCCAGGAGTTCAAGACCAGCCTGGGCAACATAATGAGATCCCATCTCTACAAACATAACAAACAAACAAAAAAACAGGCATGGTGGTGCATACCTGTAGTCCCAGCTACTTGGGAGGCTGTGGCAGGAGGATTGCTTGAGGCCAGGAGTTTGAGGCTGCAGTGAGCTGTGATCACCACTGCACCCCAGCCTGAGTGACACAGAAAAACCCAGTCTCTAAAAAAATAAAAAGAAAAGAAAAGCTCCTGCCAGGTGTGGTGGCTCACGCTTGTAATCCCAGCACTTTGGGAGGCTGAGGCGGGCGGATCATGAGGTC
Source organism: Homo sapiens (assembly GCF_000001405.40). Lineage (NCBI taxonomy): Eukaryota > Metazoa > Chordata > Mammalia > Primates > Hominidae > Homo > Homo sapiens. The sequence continues at coordinate 85,943,032 of NC_000016.10, read as the reverse complement.
AGGAGTTCGAGACCAGCCTGGCCAATATGGTGAAACTCCGTCTCTACTAAAAATATAAAAATTAGCCTGGTGTGGTGGCACACGCCTGTAGTCCCAGCTACTCAGAAGACTGAGGCAGAAGAATTGATTGAACCCAGGGGGCAGAGGTTGCAGGGGGCAGAGGTTGCAGTGAGCCGAGATTGCACCACTGTACTCCAGCCGGGTGACAGAGCGAGACTCCATCTCAAAAAAAAAAACAAAAAGAAAAGCTCCCACACAGGAGCGTATGCATGCTGAGGTGGCGAGCCCTGTGCATATGCAATGGGGGCAGCCCTAATCTGGAGGGTGGTCAGGAAAGGTTTTCCTAAAGAGGTAGACCCTGCTTCAGGTAGACTCTGAAGGAAACAGGAGTTAGCCAGCACAGGAGGAAAGAGAGTGGATTCCAGGCAGAGGACATGGCACGTGCAAAGCCCCAGGGTAGATGGAAGGGGACATGACATGCTGGAGAAAGTGGAAGAAAGCCAGTGTGCCTGGAGCCAGGACAGCAAGGGGAAACAAGAGAGAGCCAGGAATCAGGGGTTGGGGTGGATGAGCAGGGCCAGCCCACGCAGACCTTTACAGAGCACAAAACCCACGCTCCTCGGCTTTTGAAAAGATGTTCACTTTCTAGCGAACGTCTTGCATAGCTGCTAAATGAAGGGCATCTTGGTTGTGTCAAAACTCCTTGAAGACCAGGGCTTGAAAGGCCACAGAGGCTGCCTCAGCCGCTTCTCTCCTGGGTAGACCAGATGGTCCTCAGAGCACAGTTTCCCAAGGGAGAGAGGCCAGGGCCTGAGCCACTTACTATTCCCTGGCTCTGTTACCTCAGGAAAGTTCTTTAATGGATTTAGTGAGTCTGGGCTTTGGTTTTCTTCCAGAGTGCAGTATGGGAAGGGGGAAGAGAGTAAACTTCCAGTGGAGAACCCAACAGCCAGCCAGGTGGCCAAGGTCAACGTCCACCGTGGTAAGTCACACGGACAGCATGGACCATGGATAGGAAGTGATGAGAACAGCACTTTCATCTGAGATCTTCCCGCAAAAACCGATAACCCCAGTTTAACCATGAGAAAAACATCAGAAAAGCCCAAACTGAGGGATCTTCTACAAAATATTCTACCCGAGCAGTCCTCAAAACCATCAGCGTCATCACAGACAGGCAAAGTCCCAGAAACTGTCAGCCAAGAGGAGCCCACGGAAACCCAATGACTGTCACGTGGAATCCTGGATGGGATCCTGGGACAGAAACAGCCACGAGGGGAAATCTGAGGAAATTGGAATTAAGTGTGGATTTCAGTTAATGATCATGTATCCTTATTGGTTAATTAATTAGAACGAATGCACCATGCTAATGTAAGATGTTAGTAAAAGGGGAAGCTGAAGGCAGGTAGATGGGAACCATTTGTATTATTTCCTCAATTTATCTGTAAAACAGTGCTAAAAAACAAAGTCTATATGCTTTAAAAAATTCGGATACCCGGCCGGGCGCGCTGACTCACGCCTGTAATTCCAGCACTTTGGGAGGCCGAGGCAGGTGGATCACAAGGTCAGGAGATCGAGACCATCCTGGCTAACACGGTGAAACCCCGTCTCTACTAAAAATACAAAAAAATTAGCCGGGCATGGTGGCAGACGCCTGTAGTCCCAGCTACTCAGGAGGCTGAGGTGGGAGAATAGCGTGAACCGGGAAGTGGAGCTTGCAGTGAGCTGAGATTGCGCCACAGCACTCCAGCTTGGGTGACAGAGCAAGACTCCGTCTCAAAAAAAAAAAAAAAAAAAATCAGATACCCAGGCCTCATCTCTAGAGATTCAAATTGCAGCCTGGGTTGGTGCAGGCACTGATCTTTTTTGAAGCTCCCTAATGCGTGGCCAGGGGCAAGTGGCCGAGCTTCACTGTGGACGTGGGTGGTGCGGCCGTAGCAGGAAGGGCTGTGGTTCTGCAGTCGCTCTGGGCTGGGTCCACAACCAGCCCGAGTTAAGCTGCACTGGGCACTTAAGGACGCTGAGTGACCATGAGCCGACGGTGCTGTGGCTGGGGTTCCTACTCTAGGTGGGAAAACTGAGCATGATGCTCTGAGGTCACCGTCAACCACAAGATTCCACGGCTCCAGAAGGAGAAAGCTACCAGATTCTGGACACCTGGATTCTAGCTCAAGCTATGTGTCCTTTAGCTTAGCGACCTTCTGGACTCCAGTGTCCAAATCTCCATAGACAGAGGCCAGGACTGGTTGCTGAGAGCTGTCCTCCCGAAACAGAGCAGTGTGTCAGGCTAATCCACAGCTGCCCTTTGGTGGACGGCTGCCGAATCTTGACCAACGTCAAGGTCAGTGTTGTCCTGTAAGAGCAATAAGTTCTGCAGTGAGCGTAGCGTCGAGGAATGATGGTTACGCGCAGGAGCCCTGGACTTGGACTATGCTGGTGAGTAGCAAGCCGCTTAACTTCTCTGTGCCTCTGCTTCCTCATCTGTAACATGGGAATGACAATAATGATGACCTCACAGCACTGTTTGCAACTAAAGGAGATGAACCAGGCAATGTTCCAAAGACGGTCACTGTTACCCAGGAGACAGGGAGCACGGCTGGACAGAAACTCCATGTTTTACTCATTGATGTGGACCCAGGCTTGGCATGTGGGTGGTTAGCAAACATCCGTGGAATTGTTAAATAATTAACCAAGTATTACAAGACAAAACACTGAGCTGAACGTTCTGTAGTGGAACAAAGCACAGGTAGCTACAAGACACAGGATGGAAGGAAACACTCTGTAGGTCCTAGAACTTGGGAAAGATTTGCCTTGTGGAGTGTGGCAGGCAGAATGATGGTGTCCCATCCTCAAGACCTCCATGTCCTAACCCCGGAACTTATAGACAGGTTAGGTTACACAGCAGGGGGGAATTAAGGTTGCAGATGGAATCAAGGTTGCTAATCAGCTGACCTTAAAAGAGGGAGTTTATCCTGGATTATGTGGGTGGACCCACTGTCATCACAGCGTCCTTATAAGTGGAGAAGAGGCAGAAGAGAGAGAGGTGGGATGTGGGAGGGACTCACCTGGCATCGCTGGCTTTGGAAGTAGGGGGAGGGCCCACAAGCCAAGGAGTGAAGGTGGCTTGTAGAAGGCGGAAGAAGCAAGGAAACAGATTCTCCCCCAGAGCCTCCAGGAAGAACAAAGCCCCCATGTTCATCTGAGCCCACTAGGACTGACATTGCACTTCTGGCCTCCAGCGGTGAAAGAGACTAAATTTGTATTATTCATAAATCTGCGCTTATTTATTACAGCAGCTATGGGAGGCCAATACAATGAGTGTGCAAGAGCCTACAGCGAGGGCCAGAGACATCTGCTCAGCCAGTGACAGGGACGAAAGGTGACAAGGGCTCTAAGCATTTTTTTGGACATAGGGAGAGACTGTTAAACTGTAGTCATCGCTCAACGCTCTTCTCGCTGATTTATTTGCTATTATTTTCAGGCTTTTAATCTTTCAGATGATTGGCCACAAATTTCAGTGTTTAAAAGCAGGTTACCAAGAGAAAAATGCTGAGAGCCCTTGCTCTCAGTCCCCTTCCAACCCGTACACTCTCAGACACTAGATAGGCCATCAAAACAACTGAACAAAGATATCTGGGGGGTGAACTACGGGCCACTTTCATTTACTCAGTCAGTGTCCATCGTTACGCTGTAGGGGCTGTTTGTCACTAATGCGGGCACCCCAGCCTAAGAGCCCCTCTGCTGTTTACAGGATTTCCCCTCCCGTGAGAAGGGAGTAGGACATGCCAGACACTCATTCTCCCAGCCTCCTTTGCAGCTAGAGTGCAGCCACGTGACTGAGGTTCCCCAGGTACCTCCACAGGTGGCGTCAACTCTGTAACCAGTACCCAAGAAGCAAGGGAGCAGGACCTGTTGTCCACCCACCCAACATCCTTCTATGAGGTCCCATGCACCTTAACCACAGTTGGCATTTGCTGTTTACAACAAACACCTCTAACTGATTCAGGGCTGGGACAATGCATACAAGGCCCTGCAATGCTGTCGTCAAAGGAATGTTCTGCAAATGGCCCGCCGGCTGTGGTCATCCCTCTCCCCGGGAGGATTAAGGCTTGGTATTATCATCACCAAATACAATTAACCAGCACAAAAACTATGCAGACCAGTCAAAGGAGAATTAGGAAGACACCCAAGAGCAAACAGCACTGCCCATCCATCAAGGTGCCATTCTCTGTGGGGTGCTGGGTTCTGTGGCAATGCCAGAAATGGCATGATAGGAAAGGTGGCTCACCCTCTCTCACTCTTTCTAGCCCAGTGGCATTCTGAAAGTGCCTTACTTTGCATGTGATACCTCGTTTTCACTCCAGCAACACGGCCAAGTGGGCAAGGCAGGAGAGTCCCATTTTATAGCTGAACAAGTGGAGGCCCAGAGGGGTGGGGCCATTTCTGTAAATGATGGGGCCAGGGCAGGAACAGAAGGCTCTAGAGTCCTCAAGCTTTTCTAATTGGCAAGGAAAGGGGTGGGAAAGAGGTGAGGAAGAGAAGTCCGATAATGTCCCTCAGGATGCCTCGGGCTGCAAGGAGCAGAGTCAGGTTCCTTGACTCCAACTCAAGGGAAGGTCTGCCTCGCACAGAGTCCTAAATCAAGGCAGCCTGGAGCTGGCACTTTAGGCTCTGCCACTCCCGTCTCCACGTGTCAGTGCCATCCTTGGCTGGCAGCAACATGGTGGCCCCATTTCCATCCCATCCTCTGGACACACCAGGTGGCAAGGAAGGAGGGACCTTCCTGGAAGCCCCAGCAGGTGTTTTTCCTCTCAGCTCATTGGCCATTATTCAGTCCCATGCCCCTTCCTGAGCCAATCACTGTCGAGAGGGTGAGGGACCTTAGAGAGGGATAAAGATTCATAGCTGGTAGTGTGGATGGGGACCCCTCCCACTGAACCATACAGAGGAGGACTCGATAGCTGAACAAGATTAGGACTCTATGAGCAAGGAGAAAAGGGAGAATGCACGTCGGAGGTGAAGCAACACTGTTCCCATCAGTGGCCAAGTTCTATGAGAATCCTGGACTGCCACCCGAGCCTGGTCCCTGAGTCTCCGTTTCTTTTTTTTTCTTTTTTTTTTTTTTTGAGACAGGGTCTCCCTCTATCATCCACGCTGGAGTGCAGTGGTGCAATCACAGCTCACTGCAGCCTCAAACTCCAGGGCTCAAGTGATCCTCCTGCCTCAGCCTCCCAAGTAGCTGGAACTACAGGTGCACACCACCACACCTGGCTAATTTTTTTTTTAATTTTTTTGTGAAGATGAGGTCTCCCTAGGTTGCCCAGGCTGGTCTTGAACTCCTGGGCTCAAGTGATCTGCCCACCTTGGCCTCCCAAAGTGCTGGGATTACAGGCATTGAGCCACTGTACCTGGCCTCAGTCTGTTTATCTAGACAGTGGGAACGATGCTCTTGCAAGATGTTGGGAGGGTTAGGTGGCATGGTATGTTCACAGGTTCTCAACAACCTTGAGTTGCCGTCCTAATTAGGAAGATGCTCAGTTGTCACTAGGACATTCCTCCTTTCTTCCTTGTTCACAGAACCCTGATTTTGTGCAGATGTCCAGTCCTCCTCTATAGACTTGAGGGGAAGAGTCCCCATCCTCACACCCAGCTATGAATCCCCATCACTCTCTAAGGTCCCCCATCCCCCTTGACAGTGATTGGCTCAAGAAGGGGCATGAGACAGAATAAACACGTTTATCTTCCCTGTACACCAGATCCTCCACAGAGCCTTTTGATTGCTGGCATAATCTATCAGCCAAAGCGTTAGTGGTGCCTGTGTCTATTTCTTCAAGACCTGGAGCAGGCCATGTGTTGGAAACGTGCTGCCGCTCAGGCCTCTTTGGGTCATGGAACTGGAACTAATTACACTGAAGTGCCTCTTGGTCCCCATTCAGCAAGAGTTACGATCACCAGGAGCCTCTCAAGGTAGTTAGCTCTCGCCTAATGAACGGTTCAAAGTCAGAACATGAGTCAGCATTAGCAGAAGATGGTGATCAGTTCCAGAACATTCCGGTCACTTCAGAATGTGTTGCTCACCCACTCACGCATTCACCCATTTGGTTGTTCATTCGACAACCATCGCTCGAGTGCCTGCTCTGTGCCCCGGGAGTGGACTGGACACGCAGTCAGCATCCACTCTGTTTGAGTTTCTAGGCACAGGCTCTTCTTATGTGCTTGGCATTTTTAAAGCAATCCCATTTGAAATGCAACCGAAATTGTAAGCCTCGTTTAAACTGATTCTTTTCTTCCCACACAACCTAAGACAACGTGTCTGATGATGTCGTTCAGACTTTCCAACTACAAATAACCTTTCGTTCAAGCCCAAGAACATGATGGACGGGAAGGAAAATTTCTTGTGAAACCTCTGCGCTCACCGTGGTTTGAGAGGAAATGTCTTGGCTGTGACAGCATCATGGTCGATTCTCACACCCAGAGAAAGGAAACACCGACTTTAACCTCAAAACGAGGAAGATCATAATAGTGAAAAGAAAAAAAAAATAGACAAAAAACGTCTACCCCAGAAATCCCTAACCGCTGCCCAGCCTGGGAACGTGTTGGGAATTTTTCCAAGGAAAGAGACCTCAAGGACAACCTCAGGATGGCTGAGAGCTTGGGATAACAGAGAGAGAACCCATGAGGCAGCCACGGGAGGAAGGCAGATGCCAGGCAAGACGAGGGTGGCAGAAGCGAGTCAGGAGGAAGTGGCTTTGTGAGCCATCGACCTCACAGAGGGGGAGAAGCAGAAACGTAACCAAGCAAGGTGCAGAGCTATTTTCAGCCTTGGGGTTTTCACCCCAGGGTCCCCAAAGTGCTTGGGGCAGAGTACAGCTCCCCTTTGAGAAAGTCGGTGCTCTGGACTGATGAAAAGGACAAAAGAGAAGCCAGGTGAGAACAAGGAGATTCAGGGGATGCGGGGGTGGCACATGTCCTCAGTGGAGCCTTGGGCTCCGGGCACCCACGCTCTGGGCCTCAGTTTTCTCACCTGCTCTCTGAGGTTCTGTGTGAGATTCCTATGGCGGCTGTAACAAATGACCACAAATTTAGTGGCTTGAAACAACACACATTCATTCTTTTACAGTTTTGAGAAGTCAAAGTGTGGGCAGAACGGTTCCTTTCTGGAGGCTTTAGGGGAGAATCTGTTTCCTCGCTTCTCCAGCCTTTAGAGGCCACCTGCAGTCCCTGGCTCACGGCCATCTTCAAAGCCAGCGGTCGCATCGCCCTGACCTCCGCCTCCATCAACCATCTCCTTGCTGACCCTGACCCTCCTGCCTCCCTCTCACAACGACTCCTGCGATGACGTGGGGCTGTGAAAGGAAAAATCTCTTGGGTCCCTTCAAGCTGGGAACTGCTCAGGGCAAAACTCCCTCCCATTCTATTCAAACTCATCCCTCTGCTCACTGAGATAGATGCATATTCTGATTGCCTCGCTTACCAGAAACTCAAAAGAATGCAACCGGTTGTCTCTAAACTCAAAAGAATGCAACCAGTTGTCTCACCTACCTGTGACCTGGAAACCCCTTTCCTGCTTGGAGCTGTCCCCGTCTTTCTGGATGGAACCAGTGTACTTCTTACATGTATTGATTGATGTCTCATGTCTCCCTAAAATGTATAAAACCAGGCTGTGCCCCGACCACCTTGGGCACATGTCGTCAGGACTTCCCGAGGTCGTGTCACGGATGCGCATCCTTAACTTTGTCGAATAAACCTCATAAAGTGACGGACACGTGTCATTTTTCTCGATTGACAGGGCCAACCCGGATAATCCAGGCTGCTCTCCCCAACTCAAAGTCACATCTGTAATGTCCTTCGTGCCATGAAAGGTCACATAGTCACAGGTTGTTTCCTTGAACTCTCTAAGAGTCTCTGTAATAGGATGACCCTTCTACAAAACCCACTATCAGTTACAGTGGTGGCTAATGTTTATCCAGGGCTTCCTCTCCCCCAGCTGCCGCTCCATGACCCATGTGTTCTACCAGCATCCCCACAAGTTAAATCCTATCCTCATGTTCTGTCCACAGACGGGAAAACGAGGCCTGGGGTGGACACGCCGAATGACTAGTTCACGTTCACATGGCAGCAAAGCGCAAGCTCTCGGCCACATCAATATCCTGCCACCCTGGTGTCAGAGGCAAGAATGGCCTCACCTGGCTGAATCAAAACAGATCCAAGGGTTGAACGTAAAGCTTCTTAGCAACAGGAGCTGTCATCCATTGCTCCTGGATGAGGATGCAAGCTGGCACCCCCACTTTAAAAGACAGCCCGTCAGTTTCTTGCAAAACTAAACACACTCTTCCCATTCGATCCAGCAACCGTGCTCTCAAGTGTTTACCCGAATGAGTTGAAAGCGTATGTCCACACTAAAACCTGCACACAGATGTTTACGGCAGCTTTATTCATGATTGCCAAGTGGCGCAGAGCTTCCTGAGGTGCCACCAGTGAGCTTTGCGATGCCATGTGAGCTGCTGAATTAAGACAAAGTCCAGGAAGGAAAGACCAAGCTCGTCACCGTAGTGGCCCGGCCTGTTTCTCACTGCCCTCGTGGCACGGCGTCCTCCACCCCTCACCATTCCCCTCACACCATGTGCTCTCTGACCTTGGTCCTTCTCACTCTGTCATGCCCACTCCCTCCCTGTCATCTTAGCTCCTCTCAGTTCTTTGAGTCCTGGATCAAACCCTACCTGCCCTCCATCCAAATCCCTCTGTGGCCCCGAGACTGGATAAGGAGCCCTCCCCTGTTTCCTTTTCCTAGACCATGAGCTGGGGAGGGCAAATGCAGGAGCACCCGCTGTGGGCCCCACGTCCCAGCTCTGAACCTGGGTTCCCTGACCCTTTACTGGGTGGCCTGGACACTCAGCATTCCCATATGGGTTCCCAGCCGCAGTCTCTCCTTTCTCTTGCCCTTCAGCCACACACCGCCCGGACATCTCCAGAACACACCCCTGACCCTCTAGCCCCTGCCTTGATGTAGTCATAGGATTTATTGAGAATTCATTGAGAGCCACGTGCGAGTCAGGTGCAGGCACTCACCCAAGAGCCCCACACAAGCACGTGGAGCCACAGAAACTACCAACATCATCCCTGTTTTGCAAATAAGGAAACTGAGGCTCCGGAAAGCCAGGTGACCCATACATGCTCAGCTCACTAGAAAGTGTCAGAGCCTAAGGTCACCCACGTCAGCCTGGTGCCCTCTCATGTCTTACATCTCTGATGGCGTCCCATTGCCGAAGAATAAACCTAACACACAATCCGGCATTCAAGGCCATTCCCCACTGTGGCTCTTACCCAACCTCACCATCACACCCCTCACCGTGCCTGCACAGCACAGCCACCTCCCAGACACAGCATGCCCCGTGGGCCTCGGAGGTCATGCTTGCCTTCCCATCTGACACTCTTTTTTTTTTTTTTTTTTTTTACCTCAAGGCCAAGTTTAAACATGTTTCTGTGATGCATTCCCTCTGGGAAGAGTACGGCTCTGGGATCAGCACTGCCCAGCCCCCTAAACAAGGCTCCCTCATGTAGGGAGCACAGATGCAGCTAACTGTGACTGCAGCTGGATTAGGAGGGGATGGCAGGAACCTCGGTCCAGGCTGGGCAGGGATGGGCCTATGTGGTGAGGAGCCTGGGGCTGGTGTTAGAAACCGCCAGGAAGACCCGGGCGAGCAGCAGGAATCAGCACCAGGCTGAGTGATGGCCGGACTCCCTCATGGAATCCCTTGGAGTCCCATGTGGGACCCGCTGTCATGTCTGAGACTTAGACCTTCTCCTGGTTTCCACCATAGCTTCTATTTACCAAGAGGACGCACACAGAGTAGGCAGGCGGATATTCAAAATACTTAGCTGCAGGCAGCAGCCACTCGAGCAGATGCCAGCTCTGCAGCACGGTGTGGGCCCCCTTTCTGATCCCCGGGAACACCCATGTGTCCACCAGGGAAGGATGAAATGCAGTGGAGAAGCTGGACAGCCTAAAGCGGCACTTCACCAAGAAACAGGCAAGGAGCCCAACCCCACCGGTCATCGGAAAAGTGCAAATTTAAACCAAAATGAGCACCGCTCCGCCCACCAGGATGGCTAAAACATAAACGACTGAAAGTACTGAGTGTTAGTGAGGATACGGAGCCACGGAAACCCTCGTGCTGCCCATTACCGTGTGCACTAGGGCGACCCGTGGGAGACCGGCCCTCTCGATTGACAGGGCCAACCCGGATAATCCAGGCTGCTCTCCCCAACTCAGGATCACATCTGTAATGTCCTTCGTGCCATGAAAGGTCACTTAGTCACAGGTTGTTTCCTTAAACTCTCTAAGAGTATCTGGAAGAGGATGACCTTTCTACGAAACCCAGGTTGTCAGCAGGTCAGCAGGTCGTCACGCTGAATGTGCATGCACCTGTGACTCAGAAAGCCCGCTCTGAAAGAGGTACACCTGTGCACGACCACTCACTGCAGGTCCCACAGTGACAGCCAAAATCTGGAAACCAAGCAGGTGCCCCTCCATGGGAGAGTGGGTCAGTGATAGCACAGTCATACCATAGAATGCAGCGGGGACAGTGAAGGAGCGACTCCAGCTACACGCAGCAGTTGGGGGCTCACCCCGCCTAGGGCTGAGCAAAAGAAATCAGACACATAGGAGCGTGTACTCTCTACGCCTGTTGATATAACACTCAAGATAAGTGTTTAGGGACTAGTTGGCAGTAAAAGTGTAGAGAAAAGCAGGGTGCTTACCCTAGAAGTCAAGATTGGGCTGATGTCAGCAGTCAGGCTGCCTTCCCACCAGCGTCTCCTCTTGGCAGGGGAGAAGTTACGCGTGTTAGGCGCCAGCCCGGCCAAGCGGAAGGTGGGGAGGAGGTGATTCCCCCAGGCCCATTCTGCAGCAGCTGAGGCTCTTTAGCAAGAAAACATCACATTGCGTCTTCCCACCCCATTTGCCAGGTGAGGAAACTGAGGCTCAAGGAGCTGAAGGGACTTGCCTGAAACGGCACAGACACAGCAAAGGCGGGCAGAGCCCCCCCACACACATACCCACTGCCTGCCTCCCGCCTTCCGGTGCTGTTGCCCTTCCCGCTCCCGGCTGGGGCAGGGGGCAGCCATCCCAGAGGGCAGTTGCTGTTGACCTCTAGGCCCTACAGGTTTTCCTGCCTTAGAGGAAGAGAAAGGATCTCAGCTGACATCAGAATCAGGAAATGAAAGGAACCCTTGAAGGAACGACCTTAGGTTTCAGAAAGGCCCAAGTCCCCACCTTCACCCGGGCCTTCGGAAGAGCAGGCTCGCCCTGAGCGAAGCTGCTCCTTGGCTGAGTCTCGTGGCCTTGCCCGGGCTGAGCAGGCACAGCTGTCTGGAATCACTGTTTTCCTAGTGGCTGCACAAAAGCCCCCATTAGCATCTGGAGACCTTCAGCGTAGCCCCATCTGCCACCCTGGGGGCACTGAACACCCCCATCTCCCACCTACCCCAAACCAGTCTCCAAGCCCCAGCCCGAGGTGGTCACCAGCATCCTCCTTATCCATCAGGGACGAGCTGACCCCCCCCACTCTATGGAGCCCTCGTCCCCATCCTCTGAGCCCCTAAAGCCCGTGTCAGGTCCAGCACAGGTCACTGCCTGCCTTAGAAGTGGGAACCGTGTTGACCAGCTCCGGTGGGCAGCCAGCACACGCCCATGTGTCAAGAACCATTTGTGAAACCCGCACTACGTGTTGGAGATGTGACAGTGAGCGAGACAGACACAGGCCCTCCCTCCACAAAGACAGACGGCCACTCCGGCCTTCCTCTAACCCAGCGCCTCTGACATTCGGGGTTGGATCCTTCTAGCTGGGCAGGTGAAGGCCAACCTTTACACTATGGGGTGTCGAGCGGCGTCCCTGGCCTTGACCCGCTAGATGCCAGTAGCACCTGCTTTCCATCATGGCAACCAAAAATGTCTCCAGACATGGCCAGATGTCCCAAAGGCCAAACCACCCCTGGTTGAGAACCACCCACCGGTGGACACAGCTGCACACTTTCCTTAGTGAGGGCAGTAATTAAATGTATAATTACACCTGCTCAACACTTACCACACGCTGCCTCCTCTGGCCCTGGGAGGAAGGAGCTCCTTTACAGATGAGGGAAGGGCCCGGTAGTGCCCTGGGATCTGCTCTGGGACTTTCCCTTGCTCACATTCTAAGGGGCAGAGTGAGGGTCCCAGCTTCAGCCTGCTGCCCCGCTTCCTGGTGGCGATGCGTGGAGAGGTTTGGAAAAGACAGGAGTGTTGCTGACATGTCCAGGCTTTGGGGACCCTCCTTGCCACAAAAATTGAGAAATTCATGAGAGAAGCTTCCTCTGCAAAGGACAGGCCGTAAAAATCAGCGCCTCGTGCAGCACAGAAGAGGCGCACAAAGGCCCTTCAGAGACCAGAATAGATGACAGGTCGTGTGTCAATCAAGGGGGACCCGGGCACAGAAGCAAAGTAGGGACACTGATTCGAGTACTGGCCCTGCCGCCACGAGCACCACCCAGGGCGTCCCGGCTGTGGACAGGGGACTTCCTTGGCATGACCGTCCCGAGAGCGAGTAAGAGCAGCTCAGGACAGGAAGTGCCATGGGGTGCTGGTGGCACCTGCCTTTGACTCTGGAACTGACCTCCCCCTACTGATTGTGTGCCTAATCTCATCAAAGTTATTTAGCCTCCCTGTGCCTCCGCTTTCCCATCTGCAAAATGGAGAGAACGAGAATGTTGCCAGGCTAAGAGGACGTCAGGATAATAGAATGCGTGCCGGGTAGGTCCCAGACAGCCATTGGCACACTCAACACAGGTTAATTCAAGGAAGGGATTTGCAAAGGGACTAATCTCATGGGTGTGGGTGGGTCTCACACAGAGGTCACAGACTTTCTCTGGAAAGCTGGAAAGAGGCAGATAGTGAATATTTTCGGCCTGGGGGGCCGCACGGCCTCTGCTGCAGTCGCTGAATTCTGTCGTTGCAGCTCTGTGGCCAGATTCGGTCTGCAAGCCAGATTTGCTGACACCTGGTCTAAGGGAACCAAAGGAGACAGAGCAGGAACGAGGATAAGCTGTCACTAAAGGCAGGGGACCAGGGGGGCCAGGAGAGAGCATGGCTGCTGGAGCCCAGGAGGAGGGCGGTATGGGGGCCGGTGCCTCAGGAGGAACAACGTTGACTCAGGGAGAAAACGGGAGTAGGCACTCTGACCTGTCTCCTCCCTCCCTCTGGTCTCCCGCTGGGGCACCTGTTGGGGAAGCTGCTTATGGTCCCTGGAAGAGATCAGTCTTCCTGGGAGAGCAGGTGGATTCTGGGACAATAGGAAGGTGTTCAGCAAAACAAGCTTAGAGCGTGGTCTGCTCAGGTAGGCGCTCCAGCACTGTCGTAAGCTACGCTGGTGAAGAGGGCCTTCGAGAAATCTCTTCGCTCCGTCTGATCGACTCCCCACCCACTGGGCAGCCTCCCACATTGCTGCCCATGTCACTGGGCCACAGGGAGAGAGGCTGACTCAAACACTCAGGTATGCTGGCAGTTGAACGAAGGTGGTGGCGTGGCTTAAGCATCCCTCTGTCACTGAGCTGGGGAGACCATCCTTAGGCAGAGAGCCCCTCCCCGTGGGCCAACCAATCCCGGGCAGCGGGGACAACCAATAGGGCTGAGGACCAAGGCCAGGGTCCAGAGGGCCAGCTGGCTTTCACCACGCCTGAGTCAGCGTGTACAATTGAATGCCTTGCCACCGAAAGTGCACCTGGGAGCAGCCCTGAGCCAGGAGCGAGGAGCCTCTACAAAGAGGGAGTACAAGCCAACAACCCCCAAACAGCCGCAGTTGTTGAGAACCAACACTCCTCCCGCAGGGCTATGCCGAGTTCTCCCATCATCACGGTCAGGAGAATCTTCCCAACAGCTAACACACACCCAGGGTTTCTAGTGTGTGGGGCTCTTGTCCAAGCATGTCAAACGAAATCATGATTTCATTTAATCCTCACCAACACCCCAGGAGGTCAGGACAATGAATCCCCACAACATCCATGCGATGTGGGAAGAATCCATCATGTATATAGTCAAGGACACTGAAATTCAAAGAGAAGAAGTCATTTTCCAAGGACACAACTCATCAGTAAGGAGTCGGGATCGGAACCCAGATCTAGCTGACCTCTCAGCCCGTGTGCACCATTTGCATCAACCCACACTGGACCTGGGTAGGAATTCAGGCACGTTCCCCAAACTGTCTCCCCCTTCTCCCCCTCCTCTCCAAACACCACCCTCAGCTCCCCCACCCCGTCCTGCCACCCAGCAGTTCCACCCACAGGGATCCCTGCCTCTGCCCTGCAGCCCTATCGGGCTCAGTGATGCAATAGCCCCAGCCAGCCTTGCAGTTGAAATGTTCTGAAATGTACAGTAGACCGGGCCATCTGCTTCCTCCAAACATCACCTTCTGCCTCTGCTGAGAGCCGGGGCAAACGTGCAAGGACGCAAAAGCAACAGTCACTTTATTTCTGGGCTCAGGATTTCGAACTGGCCTGGATTGCTCAATGTCTCCTTTCAGGCACGGAGAGCAGAGAAGCCAGAAGGAAGGCTCGGCAGATGCTACAGGAAGGGAAATGCTGAATGGGGAGATCACATCTGGAGCTACTCAAATGCACTGTGATTTTTCTCTCCAGAAGCTGGTCAAGAAAACAGCCAGGGCTCTTCAGGGAAGATGAGCATTAATAAAAACTTAAAAATTAAAAAAAAACAAAAAACAGCCAGAGTCTCTTCTGAGAGGTTTTTGTTTTCAGCTTTCCTTTTTATTTCTAACTCTCTCTGCCCCTTACTATTTAGAAAAAAGGAGAAGAAGATGCGTGTAACTCATGTAAAGCCAGGAGCCATGGGGCTCAGTCTCAGAGGAATGGCCTCTTGAAAAAGCATAGCTGAGCAAACAAATGTAACCTCAGATTAACTCAGACCCTCCATCTGCACGAGTTGAGACCCAGGAGGTGAATGCACACGGAGAAGCCACCACATCTGTAAACAGCCTTTCCCCCTCATCCGCACCTCCTTCGGGCCAGCCTGGTACTGCCCGGACGCTCCA
The DNA here is from genome assembly GCF_000001405.40 of Homo sapiens. Classification (NCBI taxonomy): domain Eukaryota; kingdom Metazoa; phylum Chordata; class Mammalia; order Primates; family Hominidae; genus Homo; species Homo sapiens. Next base: position 85,927,958 of record NC_000016.10, on the reverse strand, counting down.
TGCGAGCACCTTCTCATCTTTCTCACCTTTCTCACCTTTCTCTGCCTCCTTCCCTTTCTTGATCCTAGAGTTCAACTTAGCCTCTCCCCAGCAGGAAGCAACCCCCCCAGGAAGGGAGGAGCAGGCTCACAATCATGTTCTCCTTGGAAGACAGGGGAGGGGAGATTCTCAGTGATTTCCGCTGTAAGACTTTTGTTCGTTCATTTAACCTCACAGAAGCCCCAAGATCTCGCTCTTATGTTTTCAGTTGTTTATCAGGAGAAGAGGATGGGAAGGGAAGTCCCATTTCTGCAGCACCTCTTCCGTGCCAGGCAGCTTTGGGGATGCTGTTTCTGTAGCTCTTCCTGCCCCTCCTGGAGCCCCATGTCATTCACGTCTGTGTGCTCTAGTGGCCCCTCCTGTTCACGGCCACCTTTACCACCACAGCCCGACCCCACCGCATCCACTCACCGCCGCTCGCTCTGCAAGCGTGAACTGAGCGCCACCGAACCCCAGGCACTGGGCCAGGGGCTGGATAGAGCTGGGACGTGGCCATCCTTGCCCTTGCACAAACGCAGAGAGCGAATAAGTCATTCCATTGTAATTATTTAATAACTGCATGATAAATATGTATACCACTATGATAAGTTATCTAATAATTGTATAGTTATACCATCGTACCTTCACTTCCATAATTCATATAACTATTTGTGAAATTAAATAACTACATGTATAATTAAAGATAGCCAAACAACTCTGGCACTATATAATTCTATAGTTAATTTAGTATCAATTATTTTATAATTACTAATTATTAAATAATTACCTATAGTTATTGTTGACACTATAGTTCGTTGACATAAATTATTGTAATTATTTATACTTATAACTATTTAATAATAAATAAACAAGAAAGAAAGAAAGGGAGGGAGGCATTAATGATATGTGCAAATCCACTTTCTTAGTATGTACTGCGTGCCAGGCACTGTTCTAAGCCCCTCATACTTATTAAGTCATTTAATCCTCCCAATAGGTAACATTATTGCCCCTTTTTTACAGATGAAGAAACTGAGGAACAGAAAGTTTAAGTGACGCACACAGCTAATGATCCCTGGGCTGGAACACAAACCCTGGGTCATCTGTGGTTCCGGCCACTACACAAATTTTCCTTCAAAGTGCTGACAAACCCTCTCCGAAGCAAACACAACCCCTTACCCGCCCCACCCCACCTGCCCCATTCCAGTTTATGCAGCTGTGACTCCCCCTGCCAGCACCTGCAGCAGTGTCTGAGACTTCAGTCGCCTGAGCCCACCCCTGCACATAAGGCAAGAGGAAAGTGCCAAGTAATTAACAACCCGGGGCTGGCTCTGCAGGGCTTGGGCCTCAGCATTCCTCAGAGATCCCAGGCCTCCAGTAGCACAGGGTCACCATTAAAGCCACAGGTCCCCTTCCCCTCCCAGCACTTCTGAGATCACCTCCCATACAGGCCGCTTACCTTGAATCCTTTTGTTTCTGTCTCTGCTCCTGGGGGAATCCAAACCCGACTCCACCCACTTTCCAATAACGACAGTTCACAGTGATAAACTGCGAGTCTCTGCCAAGCGCTGTTCTGGGTTGCCTTGATGTGTTAGCACACTCAAGCCTCACAACAAGTGGGGAAACTGAGGCTTGGGGTGTCTGAATAACCCAGCCTCTTTCACTCGGCTACAGGTGGCGGAACTGGAGGTTCAAACTGGGCATTCCTGGCCCCACAAAAACCATAACCCATGGGGGGCTCTTTCGTTATCTTTCTTGCTTTTATGAAGAAACTTTGGCCAAGCCTTAGAGGTGGGGACGAGAAGGCGAGGAAAGGTGACCTGTGTGCCCTGAGGGATGAGGAATGGGCGGAGAAGGGGAAACTTCGCACTAGGCTCCAGCCAGAGCACCCCGTTCACCGGAACTCAAAAGCACACTGTGCTGCACGCTGGCCCTGGCAGGGAGGGGTCTTTGTAACCCAGTAACGTGTCAGAGCCCTGCTCTGAGAGGTCATCAAAATGGACAAGAAAAAGGCTCCATTATGAAGTAGGCAGAGTCCACTGCCATACTCCCAAGACAAAGTGAGGAAAAGGCCCATCTGCCTGGGACTCAAGGAATAGGGTCAGAAAGGAATCAGGATGCCCAAGGAGAGGTCAGGGGGATAAAAGGCAGGTGGGATTGCAGCAAAGGAGAGGCTTCGGGGCTCCCGTGGCAGGTTGAAAGCATGGCTGCAAATTCCTGGACACTTCTTCCTCAAGAGGTGGTGTTTCTGTCCATTCCTCTTGAACCTAGGAGGGCTTGTTTGTCCAGTTGAGTGATGGCTGGGTCACAAACAGCCATTCAGCTTCCCCTGTGTCCACGGGACTGCCCTGACGCTGCCATATTGTGAGGAAGCCCAAACTCCATAGAGAGGCCAAAGTCAATATTCTCATCGGTATCCCAACTGTGCCCAGCCTCACCTCCTTCCAGCCCAAGCACCAGACATGTGAATGAAAAAGCTTCCAGGTGGTTCTATCTGCAGGACTTCAAGTCACTCTCAGCTGTTCCCAGCTAACATTCCAGACATTGCAGAGCAGAGAAAAGCCAACACCACTGTACCCTGTCTAAATTTTGACCCACAAAATAAAGCGTTTTTTATACCACTAAGTTTAGGAATAGTTAGTTACATATAAAGAGGAGACTGAAGCCATCCCCATCCCTGGCAGACTCCATCCAGACTGAAAGGTAGCCCAAAGAAAATAGGAAAGAAATAATGTACACACTCTTCTCAACTCCTAAGATGTTCCAGTCGGATTGTGATAAAAGACTGAACGCTTGTGGGCACCTCTCATCCACAGACACGCTGCAAGGCAAAACGTCAAGTCAAATAAGTTTGGGAAATGCTGGTTTAAATGGGCTTCTTACCATGAGCTAGGCCTTTTAACAGATTAATGAACGGTGTGCTTGAAGAGAAAGCCTGAGATCAGGTGTGCCCTGGGGCCAGGATATTTGTCATTCTCCTCCTACTTGTAGTAAAAGCAGCCAGATTTTCCACTGAGAAACTGCCACACCCCACTCTCAGCCCACTGGGTTGTTAAAATTACAGTCATTAATTATAGATTATTCTTTAGAATTTCTAAACATTTCCGAGTCATTGGGTTGCAAAACTTTCTATTATGGAGAGTCTGAATCATGCACAGGAGTCATTTCTTCCTGATTCCCACAGCTGCTTCTTTATGGAGAGAAAGTGTCCCTGTGGCAGGCATGGGTGGCTGCCCGGTGAAGCCCTTTCAGGAAGATTTTCCCAGGATTTCTAGGACCCACCGGATCCTGAGGATGCTTGGACCCAGGGGTCATCATCTCCAGCCTTCTGGACATTACGAGGGCAAGCAAAAATGTTGTGTCCCAGATGGATTTTGCACATTTTTTCTGAGACAGAGTCTCACTCTGTCACCCAGGCTGGAGTGCAGTGGTGTGATCTCGGCTCACTGCAACCTCCACCCCACTGGGTTCAAGTGATTCTTGTCTCAACCTCCCAAGTAGCTGGGATTACAGGTGCCTGCCACCACACCTGGCTAATTTTTGTGTTTTGTTTTTGTTTTTGTTTTTAGTAGAGACAGAGCTTCATCATGTTGGCCAGGCTGGTTTCGAACTCCAGACCTCAAGTGACCCACCTGTCTTGGCCTCCCAAAGTGGGATTTTGCAAAAGTTAATGAACTAAGTGGCAATCACTCAGAAAGGAATTGTTGAAATACCTTAACTTCTTAAAACATTTTTAAACTACCAAGAGTGGAGATGGCTTGTTTTTCAGGATGTCCCGTCAGCCCATCCCCACCAGCTTCCCTCCAGGGCCCAGAGCTAACTGGCCAGTGTGGGGTCAGCATCTCAAAAGTCAGTTCACATCCAGGGCCCTCACAGCATTCTCTAGAAACCCGACTTCTTAAAGAAGCATCCTGTTCCCAAATTTCCTCCTCTGCAAATGAAAACACTCCCCTCTCCCGCCTCTCCCCGAGCTTGCTGCAAGAAGTTGAGTAGGAAGGATTTGTCGACCGTCTGCACGAGAGCGTTGAACTCTGGGGAGACAACAGACGATATCAACTTTCCACATTTGGCCTTGAATCCACAGGATGGAGAAGAGCTTGCTTGTAAACAAAATTCCTACTTGCAGCGTGCGGACATTAGTGTGACTCATGGCAAAGATGCCTAAGACAGTGAGCGACGCACCCAGCTGCTGACCTCTTGCGTGGGGTGTTAGGAAGCCCACCAGCTCAAGGATGGCAGCGAGATCTGCTCATGAAGCCTCTCAGGCGAAGCTGTCCTCCTGGGACATAGATGGCTCTCAGTCAGCCACGCATGAGCCTGTGCCTCAGTTTCCTCATCTGTAAGCTAGAAATGAAGAACAGGCCCAGTCTCACTGGGCTCGTATGAGGGCAGAGGAGAGAACAGACATGGCCTTGCGGATGAAGCTTGCTGGGGAACTTCTCTCCACCTGGGTTGGCCAGCCCTGCACCTCCCAGAATTGATGGGTTTTGTTGTGTTGATGGATGGGAATGTCCTACTAGGCTGGAAGTCATCTCTGTGACTGCCAACCTGGGTCCCTCATGTCCTTGCTGTATCCTGAGGGCCTAGCACAGCGAGATGTGCGTAAATAGGACACACACTCCAGCCACGTGTGGCTGACCCAACCAGGGACGCCTCGTACAAATCACCCCAGCTGCATCCAGGAGGATGAAATCAGCACAAGACCCCACTTCCTCCACACCCTTCCGCACACTCATCTGTCAGCTCACAGAAACCCAAACAGCCCCCCATTCGGAATAAAAACATTCTCCAATGTTTTCATTCCATAGGATCAGTCTAAGTCTCCGTATCTTTTTGCTGTTGTTTAAGGGATAGGTTGAAAAAGAAAAATCCTTAAAACAGGAGTTGGGTGAGGTGGCTCACACCTGTAAACCCAGCACTTTGGGAGGCTGGGGGAGAGGTTGGGGCAGAGCACATGAGGCCAAAAGTTCGATACCAGCCTGGGCAACATGGTGAAATCACAACTCTAATTTTAAAAAAAAAATTAGGCAGATGTGGTAGCGTATGCCTGTAATCCCAGCTACTTGGGAGGCTGAAGCACGAGAATCGCTTGAACCTGGGAGGTGGAAGTTGCAGGGAGCCGAGATCGTACTACTGCCCTTCAGCCTGGGTGACAGAGCAAGACTTTGTCTCAAAAAAAAAAAAAAATCCTTAAAATCCCAGTGCGATATTGTTTCAGTCCAGTGCACTGAATTAACACTGCACATTGCAGCAGTAACTCCCCCTTTACAGAACCTAGAATCTGGTGAGAATTACATCATATTTGACAGTGACTAAAAAAATACAGTACACAGCAGCTTTAAAAAAGAGCATTTTATTTTAATAAAGAATAAAAGAGATCAATATACTGTTTTAATGGATACAAAAATAAATATTCATTCAGCATATTAAAGATATGTGCTTTGACATTCATTTGAATTGGAGATTCAAGCCTATTGTTATCTTATGAACACTTCAGCAAACAGGTCTGCCATTCTTAAAAATATAATGCTTTGTTGGACAAAAGGGACAAGCCACGTCCCCTGGTCCTCTCCTCTATTCGCCTGTGAACTCCATCCACACGTAAAGGACCTCTGGGTCTGACTGTCCCCTCCACAGGCATGGTGCTGGGAAAAGGAAACAGGCATATCTGGCTTTTCAGATTTTAAACCGGAAACTCTCACAGTCACAAATCCACCATGAGACTTGGGAGATTGGATGAGCTGTCTCCCAAACCCTAACACCTTCCACCTTCTCAAAATGAAGGCTGCCCTTTCACTGGGAGGTTCTGAATGCGGGATTGGTGCTGACTCAGGCTGGGCACAAAGGAGAAAGGAGGACATGGAAAATCCGACAATTCGAAGTACAAATATTTCAAACACATGTGAAAACCATTTGGAAAGAAGAAAAGAGGTATCTGGAATGATTTCATGACAGAAATGAAAAAAATAAATTTAGTTCTAATCTTCCTGGCAACAAAGCCCCAGAGGAGAAGGTTTCATTGTCTGAAGATAAAAACACACCCGTTTGCCTGGATATGAACACATATTCCTGCACCAAATTCTAGAAAGAATATACTTTCTTCTAACAAGCCAAGAGTTTTTCTTGTACTCATTAAAGGGGGCTTTAATCTAAATATTTTTAAATCTTATTAAAATGCATAAAAGTAAAAAGATATTTCACATAGAATCAAGCCTATGAAATCATAAATCTATAACTCTAACAAACGATAAAGACAAAAACAACCTTGTTTTCACAAGTTGATTTTTAAACTCCAAATTCCTTTATCGAAGCAGCTATCTGCTAATATTACTGAATGACAAGTCTTTGGAAATGATAGTTAACCGAAAATGCAGAAAGAATCATAGCAACTAATGATAATGACGGGTAAAGGATAGAAAATAAAATTTTTAGCCACAGGTTGTGGTTACAGCATCCAGGCCATCACCGACATCTCGGCAGGGCTATGCCGCCACTTCGTATTAAACGTCTACTCCTCCGAGAATGCCCTTATTAAATTAAGTGCAAAGTAAGGCATCCCACCCCAGACAGAGGGATCCACATTCTTTAATCATGATGCGGGCCACTGTAACAGGGAGATGGATGCAGGACGCAGACGGGGTGGGGCGCCCAAGCGACGCACTTAGACGGTGATCTGTTGGTTTTCTCTGAAAAATGATCTCTGGTGTGAGGCACAAATATCTGGAAACATCCGGAAGACCTGGTCTGGCGGCGGCTCCTCGGGGGCCTGCATCACAGAGCCGGCTCCACAGCTCTTCCCAGCCTCTTCTGCCAGTTGCCGGACATACAGCTGCTCAATCTAGATGGGAGGTGCAGAAAGTCAGAGGCAGAGGCGGAGGCTCCAAAGGGGGTGGGCACTGTCTTTGACCCTAGCCAGGTCCTCTGATGACCCCAGTGCCACGTGAGTCCCAAGTGAATGAGCCAGAATGCCAAGGAAGGGCAAGCAGTACTCCTGCCAAAACTGTTCCATACTCCCCAGTACTGTCCCAGCTGGGACAGCCAGCACCCAGGATCCCACCATTAGAGATTCATTCCCTTGACTACATGAAATAAGGGCTGGCAATGCCCTAATCTGTCACTTAGACCTTCGGGCAACTGAACAGGTAGAATCTTTCTGGAGAAGAGGCTTAGATTTAAAAACCAAAAAAGAAAAAAGAAAACACACACACACAGACTGTGCGCGTCCCAGACACCAGAAGATGGCTCGGAGATGGCAAGAATCCGCTTCCCGCATATTGAAGGTCTTGCCCAGGCCTGCCTCCTACACAGGTGGAAACTTGTCCTTGTGTCCTCTTCTCCAGCCCAAAACTTGATCCTTACATGACAGGGCCAGGAGACCTGGATGCAGGGCTCAAAGCTGCCCAGACTGCCGGGCGAGGTGGCTCACGCCTGTAATCCCAGTACTTTGGGAGGCCAAGCTGGGAGGATCACAAGATCAAGACCATCCTGGCCAACATGGTGAAACCCCATCTCTACTAAAAATACAAAAAATTAGCTGAGCGTGGTGGCACGGGCCTGTAGTCCCAGCAACTCGGGAGGCTGAGGCAGGAGAATCACTTGAACCCGGGAGGCGGAGGTTGCAGTGAGCCAAGGTCACGCCATTGCACACCAGCCTGGGCAACAGAGCAAGACTCCATCTCAAAAAAAAAAAAAAAAAAAAAAAAAGCTGCCCATACTTACCTGCACGAGAATGAGTTTGGAGCGCAAGGGGGCCATATCCGGAAACTCTTCCCCAAAGCACAGCACCACCCTGCCGTCAGGAAGCCGGCCCTGGCTGTTATAGAACTGCTGCAGCTCTGGAATGACACAGGCAGAGGGTGTTTGCAAGCAAGGCCGAGATGACCTCCAACTCCCGCAGCAGCAGGGCTGGGGGATCAGGAGGCCCAGGGCTTGTAGCATTTAGGCCAGGGCACCATGGGATCTCAAACTGGTGGCCCTTGGGCCAAATTCCAAGCAAGGAGCTGTTCGTTTGGCCATTCCAGGTTGTTGCCGGGATTTTAATGCCTCGTTTGAACGCCTCTCCATGGGCACAGCTGCCCAGTGCTCTCTCTTATCTCTCAATTCGTGCATTGCTCTTACCTGCCTGGCCCTTGGAGGCAACTGAGTTGGCAACCCCGACCTGAGGACACCCAGGGAGGGCTGCAGCCCTCACCCGAATCTCTGACAGCCAACTGAAAGGGTCTCAAAGTGGGCCGGTGGACCGGCAGCAGTCGCCTTCCCTGGGAGCTCATTAGAAATGTAGAATCTTGGGCCCCGCCTCAGACCCATGGAATCAGAGGATGTGAGGTAGGCCCGGGAATGTACATTGCAGGACGCACTTCTGTGCCGCTCTGCCTGCTCAGGGGTGATAACCGCGGCCTCACACCTCCTCACTAGGGGGATTCCTCAGGGCTTATGCCCCTGAGCTCACACATACCCCTGCACCCGCCCTTCCAGGCCCCTCCTCTGGCAGTTCTCAGGCCAGTGGCAGCTGAGACCTGACACTATCTCGGGCTGTGCTGCTACAGGGAGAGGAGCAGAGAGCATGGGGACGTGGAGAAGGGAGACGCCATCCTAACCCTCCAGGAGACACCCAGGCTGGTATCCTACACATCCTCCCTACAGCGTAACGAAAGCTAACAGGCAGCACTTAGTGTGTGCAGCTGCCATCCTGAGCACTTAGTGTGCGGAAAGTCAGCGTGTCTCAAAACCTGTACACAGATCCCCAGGGACCTTGCTAAGATGCAGGTTCGGATCTTGTGGCTGGAGCAGGGCCTCAGACTCTGTGTCTCTAGCCAGCGCTCAGGGACCATCCTTGGAACATACTCCAAGGTACATGAGGTTAAGTTCCTTTACCCTCCCGACAATCACCTGATGAGGGTACTGATTCTGCACCCCCACTGTACACATGGGGAAGTTGAGGCACAGAGAAGCACCCCAGGATCGCTCAGTGGAGAGGGCAGAGTGCCATTCAAAGGAGCACCTCCTTGCCACACCATGCCCCTCACTCCTCCTCCACATCCCTCCATGAGACCACAGGGCCACCCTGAGCTGCAAATGGCACACAGATAGGAGGCGTGATCTCTAAGATGTGGGGGCAGCAAGGTGACGACGGTACAGACCTCGGAAGAACTGGCTGGTGTCGAAGACCTGGACCACCTCATCACGCTCCAGCTTGTTGGGCCTGCCTTTGCACACCACGGCGTTGCCGCTGCAGAACACGCGGCCCTGGCACAGCCGCTTGACGAACACGCCCTGCCGGCTGCTGTGCAGCAGCACCCCGCGCTCCAGGTGCCCGAACAGCTTCCGCGTCACCTGCCTCTGTCGCTCGCTGGGGATGGCGTCGGCCGGCGGGAAGCGCACCAGCTCCAGGCCCTCGGGCCCATACAGCTTGGTGCCGGGCAGCCCAGGCTGGCTCAGGGACAGGCGGCAGCCCTCGGGGCAGGTGGTGGTGGCCTGGCCCACCAGCTTGCCCCCATAGTAGAAGCTGATCACCATCTGGGAGAATGCTGTGGACAAGAGGGACACGATGACGGTGCTGCGGGGAGACATACAGGGTCCCTCCTGCCCAAGTGCACAGTCTGTCTCACACCTACACGGGTAACTCTTTGTGTGTCTTGAACCACTTTGATATTCTGGGGAAATCCATGTACTGCTTGTAGAAGTAATGTTTTTATATGCATGAATAAATACACAGAATGACTAAGGAAACCAATGACTGAACATATTAACTACAACAGTGTTCTCTGTACTTCTTCACTGACTCTTTAAATACAAGGTCTAGAGAAGGTCTGGTAACTGTTGTAATTTACACGTCAAGCTGAGGGCAAACGATGTTTCGACAACTCATTTCTTATGACAATACTCCGTCTCATAGGCACTGCCAAGGGCACTGCGGTCTGCTGCCTACATTCATAACAAAAGGAAATGCTCAATTTAAACCTGAAGTTAAAGAAAATAAAGACATAATCTTTTTCTCAACAAATTCACAGCGCCCTTGGTATTTCCTGGATTTCAGATTAAGAATCTCTGCAAAACCCTTCATCCAAATCTGTTCTCAGGAAAGAGTCTGAAAAACACTCAAACTAAAGCAGGGGTTCCCCAAAAGTGGCACACACAGAATAATGGGGGAGGGGTGATACATGTAATCACAAGATTATTCCATCTTCAATATTCTTCCAACCTCTGATTACCTCAAAAAGCAAGCCTCAGTTTGGTGCTGATAGCTCTCTAACACCTAACACCTGTCAACCTCCCTTTTGAATAATGGCACTGAACTTAGGGCTCCAAATTCAGGGCATTGTCAGAGGTCAAGACAAATTCAATGAAAGACAAATACAATCTTAATCAATTCTAGCCAGACAGTATTACCTACTTATACCAGGTGCCACAGGTCTTCCTTTACAGCCAATGATAGTGGGTTCTCATTTAAAATAAACTTAAGTTTTATTTTAAGATTAAGATTTGAGGAAAAACATGATGTTAGTAACAGTCCAGGCTGTGAAAACCAATTGTGACACTGGACCTCAAGTGACCAAAGTTTGGAAAACACTAATCTAAGGTAGGAATGCAGATAACATGTAAATGCAGGGAGGTATCTGCATTTTAATTGCCTTAAACCAAAAGAATTACATACGCTAGCAATGAGCTTAGTGAGTTTGCAGCTCCTTCTAAGTACCCCAGACCGGTTCGAGGCTGCCTTGTGGAGCCACACAAGTTGTGAGGTGCCTAACTCCACGGCGCCCCCTAGAGTTGTGCAAGGCTGACCACATCTGGGGAGGCCCTGAGTCCATCTGCATTCCCTGCTGACACTGCTGGGCACTCAGAACTCCTTGGACCCTCCCATTGGGCTCTGCTCCCTGCCTTATTATTTGACAACCCACCATTCACGGGCTCCATTTCCAGCCATGCTGGAGTTACGCAGGTTCTAGAATCATGCAGGGTAGGAAGCTAGAGCTGCAGAAGCTCTGGTCCACCTCATTGATTTGACACTTCAGGAAACTGAATCCTAGATAGGGTCACCCAGAAGGAAATGGCAGCACTGGTCTCGCTCTTCCCTGCTCACCATCTTCCCCGCTGGTCTCGCTCTTCCTCACTCATCATCTTCCCCCCACGCCAAGTCTGCAACTTCTGCACTGCCTGCGGACTCCACACACTCCCCTCCCTTTACCCTGAAGCAACTTTCGAACTTTGTTCCAAATGAATGAAACGCTTCAGGCAACTCCGTCACCCCTTTGGCCCTTTGCCCTGTCATTTCCGGGGCCTTATCTTGGTACCAGCACCTCTCAGTCATGTGAACTGGCAGCTTCACCCGGAACAGCTAAGTGCTTCAGAGACGCCTAAGCAGGAGTGTCTTAGTGACCACACACCCCAGAACGTCTTATGCTAAGAGAAGGTTCCAGCTGTCAGGCTTGTACCTGACAGGTGAGAAGCAGCTCACCAAGGGCTGCCAAGGTGAGGCAGGTGAGCCTTCTGCAACAGTAAGGGCCTGCTGCGACCCAGCCCTGCCCTTATAGAGCCACTCACCCACAAGAACAGCCTTGCTGGGGAACGGCCTGACCACAGAGGCAGCAACAAAGACACCCGCAGCACAGACCCTGCAGCCCACCTGCCTGACGTGCGGTCCCAGCCCAGCTGCTGCCCAGCTGGATGACCTGGGGCAAGCCGCTTCCCCACTCTGTGCCTCAGCTTTTCATCAGCAAAGTAGAGATAAAAACAGCATCCACCTCACTGGGCTGCTGTGAGGATTATCGGAGCTTGTATTTGTGCTCGGCACAGGTAAGCACCAGTTAAAGAAACTGGGTAACAGGACAAATGCTTATCTACACAGACAAGACTCCTGAAGTTATAAACCACAGACTATGGTCTACACAGCTCATATCAGGTGCTGTGCCCAGGGCTTGGGACCTACCAGCACATTTAACCCTGTAAGGTAGATTATTATTATACCCATTTTCCAGGTAAGGAAACTGAAGCATGGATTTACATAGAGGTGGGGGCGGGGCTGGACAGAGGTACCAAAGCTCACAGCTTCTAGAAGGATGTTCTGTGCATGAGGCAGTGGCTATGACCCTGCTGGACTAATTCAAGGACATGCTCTCCCCAAATTGTGCCTCTGCATCTCACCGAGATGGCTCAGTTCTGTGCCTGGCTACTCCACAGCCCCCGGAAAGCACTGGTCAGCAGACTCCCAGGCCATAGCCCAGTGGCTGGCGAGCCCGGAGGCTTAGCCTCATGACCCAGGCCTCCCAGAACTGAGACCCTGTGAGCATGGCGGCTGCCGGGCACAAGGAGGCCTCAAGAACAGGCTCCAGCCAGAGGCCTGCGCGACCTGGATGAGATCCTGAACCTCCCAGCCTCAGTCTCCTCATCTGTGAAGCCGGAGTGAAAACAACCCCCCAGCTCAAAGGGCTGCCAGGAAATAGACAAGAGCTTCATGGACAGGGCATTGCCATCTCGACAGTTTTCCTGCCTGGGTGAGCACCGACCTCTGCTACCCACAAAACTGTCCCATGCAGTCCTCAGCCAGCACGCTTCTATCCCTGCCCCATTTCCTCCCCTGCCCAGAGGCCCAGCCCTAACGTTCTGTGGCCCATCTGATGAGACCAGCTGCTCGCCTCCCACAGAACCAGCCAATGCTGGAAGATGCCCCAGCTTCCTTGTTCAGAAGATGCCGTCACCACGCCTGAGCGTCACTTCCAGGGGCAGCTGGCAGAAGTGCAGCCAGGGTCCTTAGCCGCTGAGACTACACACAAAGGCCACCTCTGCCCACCGCGGGGAGGCCCCCAGTCTGGAGCACACAAGCTACCTGAGCCCGCGAAATGGGAACAGCTGCATCCACCTAGAGGTGGTGGGCAGGGGAGCCTGAGATGAGGCTCTGAGAGGCTCCACCACTCCACCTGCAGCCCCAAAAGAGAGGCAGCGCTGGGACAGACGCTGGCCTGTCCCTCACTGTCTCTCCTGCACAGTTACAGCCTCAAAGAGTACTCTGTCTACTTGCTGGTCCAGTCCAAGAAAAGTGGCCTCAAAAGAGGCCACTCGCCAGCTCCTGACCAAATGGTGAGGAGGAGAAATTGGGGCCTCGACTTCCACACCAGGTCCTGCTCATCCTCAGAACCGGGCCTAGACTTCCACACGAGGTCCTGCTCATCCTCGGAACGGAGCCTCGACTTCCACACCAGGTCCTGCTCATCCTCAGAACCAGGCCTAGACTTCCACACCAGGTCCTGCTCATCCTCGGAACGGAGCCTAGACTTCCACACCAGGTCCTGCTCATCCTTGGAACCAGGCCTAGACTTCCACACCAGGTCCTGCTCATCCTCGAAACCCCGCAACCCTGCTTGGGTTATCTGGGCTTTGTCTTCAAACAGTGCCCACGCCCCTCTCAGCCCGGACCACCCCGTACCTGAATGGTGCGCGTCGTAGGTGGTGTACCCCGTCACCAGCGGCACGCCTGCAGGAGAAACAGAAAAGCAAGCTCAGAGCCACCCAGGTGTGGTGTACAGGGAGTAACCCCAATCGCTCCTTCTCCAAAAGTCCCTTAAAAGGCTGCACATGGCGTGCCAGAGGCTCCAGGGAGCACAGGCTTCCGCTGAATTCAGTGCTTTTCCCCACCAGAGCAGAGAGCCATTGTTTCACAAATGCAGAAAACCAGAGTGGCAAGTCGGGGGGACTTCCTCTATGCTGTGGGATTTCTGACCATGTGTCAATGTGACACTGTGGGGCCACATTTCCTTCCCACCTCAAGCACTTACCCCCAGAATACCACTGGACTGCATACCCACCACCCAGGGCTTATCTCTGGGGGAGAGCCTGGGGGTGCAAGCTAGCTTTCCGGATGGTGTTCCTGCAGCACAGACAGAGGTGCCTTTCCAGGGACCTCTTACTCGACACCCAAGGCCTGGCAACCTTCAAGGCCTCCGGGGCCAGCTGCCACCTCCCAGACTCCCACAGGGGATGTAGGGCTAGGGGGAAGACGCCGAGGGAGGAAGCAAACACATTCACCGGCTGCAGAAGCCTGGGCCTGGCGGGGGCGGGGGCATTTCAAGCAGCTGGGGGTTCTGAGTGGCTCATCAAAAGAGAATCAAAGGATGAATGCCTCACTTAACCCTCGTGACCCCATGGCGCAAGTCCTGGTTTCTCTGTTTTACGGATGAATAAACTGAGGCTCAAGATCTGTAACTTCCCAGCGTGGGATTCAAATCTAGGGCTCTGAACAAACTTCCTGTTCCTGGTCTGAGTTCTCCTCTCCTCCAAATGCCCTGGGCTCTCTTTGGTTCTGAGGGGGTCCTTAATGTCGTAACAGACTGGCCGACCTAAGGGAGTACCCAGGGAGGGGGCGCCAGCGTGGCCAAGAGCTGCATCTTCCCTCTGGCCTTACACAAGTTCACTAGACCCTCTTCCCTGGACTTTCCCAGGAGCGTGGGGAGAGCTGGCATGGACATCACCTAGGGAACAAGCAGCTTGTGCCCTCCTGAGAAGCAGCGGAGAGCAGGGCCAAAGGCACAGCTGGGCTCTGCCCTCATGTTGGGAAACCAGGGCCATCGTTCTTCACCTCTCAGGGCTGAGCTACCTTTAATGAGACATGGATCATGATAGCAACAACCACCCCCACTCCGTCCCTGGCTGGTGGAATGCCGTAAACCCTTCAGGCCATGCCTGGTGACAATTCTAGGCCACCCACCCTCACCTGTGCTGGGCTGCTGCGCCCACCAGTCTGGAAGGAGCTGACTCCGACAGGCCTCCGGCGGGGAAGGGCTCCTTTTGATCATCCCCATGTAATCGTCCACAGAAGGCTGCACAGTCAGGGGAGGGAGAGGAGGGCAGCTCAGTCACTGATCTCCCACCTGGGGCTCCAGTGTTTGTAAAAATGAACAGTTCATGTGTAAGTAAAACCATATTGTCACCTTTATCTCAGGAGACAAAAGTCAAGTTTCACTTTGCAACCTGAAAGGCCCTAGGCCTTAAATCTACCAGGCTTAGCATTCAAACCATGTGGCCAAATTACTAGGCTCTTTGGGGGCCACTAATAAGTTTCTTGGCCCTTTCCACGACCTGCCTGTTGCAGACCCAGTGTTCCAGATTATCCAATTGCCCTCAACGCCCTGGACACGCAGACAAGCTCTGAGACACCAGTGAACAGTGATGCTGGCCAAAGGCTGCCATGCTTTCAAGAATCTCGCTCAACGAGCCACATGCAGATGTTCAATCTCTGGCCCATTCCTTAAAGGAGGCTGATAAATCCAATTATGAAATGTTTTGAAATTGCTTTTCTTGTGACCCCGGTGTGGCAATCCGATTATCTCACTCTCTCAGCTGAGTCAGCAGAAAAGCCTTCTACAGAAAACAGGACATTGGTGGAGGGCCACGAAGCCAAGAATTCACTCAGTCGGCTGCCAAAGACCACCCAGACACTTGGCAGCTGCCTGTGCAGAAGAGCAAGGCCGTTCGGGTAGGTTACATTCTGTTATCTTCATTCTCTGACAGCCAAGCTACTCTTAAGGATTCCATTATTGCTATGTTATTAAGAAGAAGAATTTATGCAGTACTCACACACAACCTTTTGCAAAGGCTGCACGAGGTTTAGTCATGCAAATGTCCACCTTGTAATACCCATGAAAAGCATAGTTAAGAGGCCAAAGACAGAAGAAAAGGGCATCCCAATAGCTGAAATGGGTATACAAAAGCCATGTATTCTTGCCTAAGGAGGCCCCGATTATGCTCTCCCTTGTAGCCTGTTAGGAATTTATGTGCAATGTGAACATGCTTGGTTATCCAGCTTTCCAATCCGTTAAGGAATAAAAACTGCACATTAAAAAGGAAGCAATCAAATAGCCATGAGAGCTGGTACAACAACACCCGCCATCATGACAAGCGCAGGCAGCAAGGAAAGTTTACATTTTGTTCTCTGTAGCCTGCTAGGAAGGCAAGGGAATTCACGATGCCATTTAAAAGACTGCTGTCCAAAGTGTTCGAACAGTTTGGAGCTGGAAGGAACTTCACTGACACATAACCGGCAGCTCAGGCCCAGCCCTAGGGATGAAGGAGGGATCTGGCGTGAGGGGTTGACCTGTCGGCAGAAGCTGGCCTGGGGAGGGGGCGCCCAGCCAGTCCTTCCGTTCCAGATCTGTACAGGTGGAGATGCCACTTCCTCAGCGAGCCCGAGGGTCTGGCTGCCTTCATACAGCAAGAACGGTGCCCCTCCCTGCCAGAAGACATGAGACTCCTCCTGGCAGGGCCAGACCCCTGAAATGCTGCCTCTGCTTACCTCCTTGATCAGCTCGTCGATTTCAGAGCGACCGCACTCCATCTCTGTAACTTCATTCACGCAGCCAGCAGTTGCCACGCCTAGTTTGCCTACAGAAAACCAGACAAACACCATGACACATGGCACGGAGGCATCACAGCCTTTGCTGAAGCCATAATCTACTCTGTAAATGCTGAGTTTAAGGAAACATTAAGTTAGTGAGTGTCTTCATTGGTTTGGGAAAGGCACAGAATTTTTTTCCCATGCTTCAGTCATCTGATCAGCAAAGTCAAAAGAGAGAAGTTGGTGGTGGTGGTGGTGGTGGTTGTTTCTGCTAACACTTTTAAAGGATAAAGACAGCACTTTGGTCTCTTTCTTCTATTTTCTGAGATCCAAAATGAGTCTGTATCAGATATACTTTACAGCAAGCATTTGCTAACTTAAGAAGGTTACATTTATAAGACAGGGCATTTGAAAACACTCACCGATTTCCTGGCAAAACGTGTTGGCAGGTTGGGGTCTTTTTTGTATTGCCAGTTGGCAGGAAATCTCTTTTTGGCCTTTCCAAATATACACATGTGCATCAGTGCACACAGCCATGCACACACACACACCGCAGCACCCTCACTGATGCCCAGTGGGCACCAGCCGTAATCACAAACCGCCTAAAGGTGCACAGTGTCCACAGGGGCACGCTGGGCCAGCCTCTGCTCTTTCCCTTCTCATGCCGCTTCCTCAGTCGACAACTTACCTTATGAAGTTTATCAGTGTGAGACGTATCACAACCAACACTTACAAAAATTCATTATTCCCAGTGACCTACAGAATTTACCCACTGTTTCCTCCTGGCTGAATTTTGATTCCATTTCGATAGATTAAAGAATTCACTGAGAAGCTACTGATGGGGAAGTAGGGAGCAGGTGGGGCGCCCACCATGGAGCCTGCAAACCACTGAGGTTAGAGGCGAGTGGGCCCCTGTAGGCAATTATGCAAATGCTACATTGCTTCACCCCTGAGAACCTCCTGCTGCTTCTTTAACATCACTAGCAGGTGATGCTGGCTGCACCCCATGCTATAAACAAGTTGGGGTCACCTGCCGGTTCAAGCCTGACTGATCTTGGGGGTGGCAGTAGGGGCCAAAAGAAACTTCTCTATTCCTTCAAATCACACTTTACTTTTTGGTGATAAAAAAAATTGTCCAAAACTGGGAAATGAGGCAAAAAGATGACTGCTTAGCCTTTCAGGGTCACCCCAGACTATTATATAGAGGTTTCCTCCTAAAGGGCACCCGATTCTCCAAGGGAAGGTCAGTTTGTTGGCCTTACTATTTAGTATTGACTAGGGTTCACGCTCAGTAGAGTTAGGTGCTAATTGCAGACGATTAGGCTACAAACGCCCCAAACCGCAATTGTACTGTCCGGGTCGGGCATCGGCTTTGGCTCAGCTTTCTCGTTCATGGGCCACATTCACCAGCACCTCGGATTCTCTGTCCACCATCTTTACCATCATGCTGCCTCCTTCATGACGATTACACAACTCTCTGACACAGATTCACTATAGATTTGTTTGAATCACCATTTTAACTTCTTAAAAAATTCTAAGTCAACACCCCCACAGCGGGAAGAGTGCAAACTTCAAACTTCTGCACAGCCCCAAGAAGTTTTGGGGGTTTCTGTTTCTTACAGGCATTCGTGGACTACTCAGAAGCTTAGAAGGAGAAAGCCAGAGTGGGTTATTCTAAAAGCCTCATCAAGTGGCTAAGAAAATCAATGTGTTAAAAGCATGTTCTAAACCAGCGCTGGTAATTAGGTTTTATCTCATAAATCAGCTACAATTCATGGCAGCGGCACAGCACAGGGCTTTGAGAAGCCTTCTGAGGCCAGATCCCAGCTCAGTACTTTGGGATTTATTTTAGTGATGTAGGACCAGGGTGCGGCATGTTTTTGCTGTCCTGCTTTAATCTGTCACAAATGCTTTCTTGGGATTTGAGAGCTGGAAGAAACCTCAGGAATGATCACATCCCGGAGTTCCCAAATAACAATCAGGATCTAGTAACACACTGAGGCATATCCCATCTCCAACAACGAAGGCCATGGTGCCATCTTTGACAACTTCATCTGAGAGCTTTACTCCCAACCCTCATGATCCAGGCCTTCTGTGGTCACCATATTTTCCCCTGGCCTCCTCTGCAAGCTGCTGGAAAATGAAAGGATTCCTCATCAGAAACTGCTGGAGGATGCTTGTTCCTGTCCAGGGAGGCCCTACAAATGTCTGTGGTCAGGCAGCAAGTGGGGCACAGGTTGGGCAGCACCCAATCTCCTCCGCCCTTCCCTCTGAGGTCACTGGAAAGAGATCTCAATTTCTGCTTACACGAAGGAGAGAACTGCTTTGTTTAACTGAAACTATGTGCCCCAGACCCTGTGTCTACCCCAGACCCAAGTTCTGTGGTGAAGGCTACAGGCCAGGGCAGCTTCTGGAAGGTTTCATGCCCATAAAGGATAGTTACATTTTTGCTCTTCCTCAGGAACAATTCGGTAAACTTTGTATGGCTCGGAAATGTCCAGTTGGGACCGGTCCGTCACTTCCTCAAAATCTGGGCTCTTATTCAAAGCACAGCGTAACCTCGTCTTCCAAGTGGCTGGTTCAGCTTTGTCCCCTTCTTTAAACTTCCCTTTAAAAACTGCCCAGGCCTGAAGAAAGAAACAGAAGCACATTAAATTCATGGCCGACTCCAATCACAAATATCCGTCACCATGACCAGGACCCCACACATCCTTCCCTTCCCATGAATCTTTGTTGGCCATCAACTCTCATTCAATTTCAGGACCCAAAGAGACTCCAATCAGATGTCTTGAGTCTTTTCACATCTGGGGACCAGATGTGGAAAGACCCAAGCCAGGGAGGGGGTCCCCCAGGTTCATACAGCTGAGTCAGAAGTCGAACCCAGGCTGAAGGCTCCTCCAACCCTGGAGTGCACCTTTTAGCCAAGCCCTTGCCTGGCTGAAGAGCTGGAGACACCTGAGGTTTACACAGCACAAAGAGGAAGTTGCATATGGTTTCACCAGAGCGTTCAAAACAAAGAACAAGTTGTTGCTTTTTCAGATCAACCCCTAAAATTTAGCATGAAAAGGGAACATTTGCAAAAAGTCAAAATGGTCATCCATCGCCCTGTTACTTTTAATAGAAATTTTGTTTTGCATTTTTGCATTTATTCTAGACTTTTCCCCCCAGGTGCTGTTTAAAATGTAATGAAGTACTTTCCCTTTAATGTGTGTGTGTTTTTTTTAATAGATCTGTTTTCTGACTTTTCCAAACCTTAGGATCTGAACTAGGACCAGAAATTCAAAGCTGAAATCTTAAAGTCATAATGTAGAATGGGGCAGTACAGATTTTAAAAAAATAAGACAGGTGAATGGACAGATTTTAAGCTTGCAAAATTGGAATACAGACACACCAACTAGGAGGTAACCACAGTCAGATGAGAATTATCTTCGGTTTCAGGAAAAATCAGGCAGTGTCCTCCAGCCTAAAATGATAGGAGATCTGTAGGGACATCCCGATCCCATTCAGGAAAATGCAATTCCAAGAGGTAAGTAACTTTCGCAAGGTCACCCAGTCTGGGATTAAATGCCAGCTGTACCCACTTCAGGAAAATGCAATTCCAAGAGGTAAGTAACTTTCCCAAGGCCACCCAGTCTGGGATTAAATGCCAGCTGTACCCACTTCAGGAAAATGCAATTCCAAGAGGTAAGTAACTTTCCCAAGGCCACCCAGTCTGGGATTAAATGCCAGCTGTACCCACTTCCAACCCAACAGTTTCCCCACCACAGCAAGTGTTCTCAGGCTTAATGCATATACCAACCCCCTGCCCCTGGGAAGCTTGTGAAAATGCAGATTCCTGGGCCTTGCCCCTCAAGATTCTCACTGGGGAAGGGAGGTTGGGTCTCGGTAGCTGTCTTTTTTTATTTTTTATTTTTATTTATTTTAGTTTTTTTATTTTTTTGAGACGGAGTCTCACTCTGTCACCAGTCTGGAATGCAGTGGCGCAATCTGGCTCACTGCAACCTCCACCTACCAGGTTCAAGCGAATCCTCCTACCTCAGCCTCCCAAGTAGCTGGGACTACAGGTGTGCACCACCATACCCAGCTAATTTTTGTATTTTTAGTACAGACGAGGTTTCACCATGTTGGCCAGGATGGTCTTGATCTCTTGACCTCGTGATCCGCCTGCCTCGGCCTCCCAAAGTGCTGGGCTTACAGGCGTGAGCCACCGCGCCCGGCCCAGGTAGCTGTCTTTAGCCAGTATTCCAGGGATTTGGATTTAGCTACCCAGGAGACCACACTTCCAGAAACTCCATCATGCCCCCATGAGTCACAGCTCCTTTAAAATAGCCCAGACTGTTTTTCCTCTCAAAAAAGACAAGAATGCTTACTGTTCAAGGCCAATGCTGCCTACTTTGTTGATGCAAAATGTTGCACCTCTACCTGGGGTAAAGAGACTGGAAGAACATTCCCATTAGTGAGCATAAGTGGTAGTTTCCTCATGTGACATTGATGTAAAACTCCCCTCTAAAACTATTTCTTAAAGCACACGGTCTTTAATGCTCTCTTCATTGACTGCATCACTGACCGGGCATTAATTTGGGTTTTGTTGCTGTTGTTTATTTTTAAAGAAATAAACCAGCAAACCATGTACTAAATCAACTGTAGTTTCAAATTTTTATTACTTTAAATCAGGGTTTCCCCACCGTGGCAAGCCTGACATATCAGCTGGGACCCTTCTTTGTGGCGGGGTGGTCCTGTGGATTGTAGAATATTCAGCGGCATCCCTAGCCTTGACCCACCAGATGCCAATAGCACCCCTCCCCTAGCTGTGACAACCAAAAAAGGTCTCCAAACATGGCCAAGTATTCCCTGGAGGGTAAATCATGATACCTCCCCCACCTGAGAACCACTGAGTTAACCCACATCCCAAACGGGCCTTGAAATGCACAGATTTCATGGCAACGTTGTGATCCGCTGGTACACATACGCAACCGCGGTGCCTGCAAGGCACTGCCATACTCACTCGTTCACGCCAAGCTCACACTCACCCCACGAGCAAGTCCAGGCCACATCATCCATCACAGCAGGGCCCACGGCCAGGAAGCATCCAGGGCCACCATCGGGTACCTGGCTTGCCGCCTGCCCTGAACTCTGTGACACAGCAGGCACCTGGCCCTCTCCCAGCCTCTCTGGCCAGCATTAAAAGGTCAACTTAGCTTGATGATCTCTCGAGATCCTTCTTGAGCTAGAGCAAAAACTAGACATGA
Organism: Homo sapiens; assembly: GCF_000001405.40. Classification (NCBI taxonomy): domain Eukaryota; kingdom Metazoa; phylum Chordata; class Mammalia; order Primates; family Hominidae; genus Homo; species Homo sapiens. Next base: position 85,906,367 of record NC_000016.10, on the reverse strand, counting down.
GAGTGATTTCAGGGCCCCCCCACCCCTGCCGCCAGCAACAGTCACTATGGCTCATTCAGCCTCCACCATAACTTATTTCTCCTGTTGACGCACAACTCAGGCTGACAGCACTGAACTAAGACCAGGAGGTCTTCCTAATTTAATATGATTGTTTCATGTTGCATTTTTTTAATTAAATGCTATTTTTCCCTTCAAGGCCTGCTGAATGAGAAATATCTGTGCTACTAAGTGAGCTTTAACTCATTCAGGACTGTTACGATGCCTGGAATAACCATGAATCATAATCCTCACTTAACTAGATTTTCCCCCCTTGTCGTCATGTCAAGAAGGTAAAGTACTTTTTAAAAATTAAATGAGTTGCTATCAGGGCCTCATCAGTGTACTCAGGGTCGGTACAAAATGAGCTCAATGTTTTTTCAATTTCTCTTCTGTGATCTATACCATGAGGCCGGCCTCAGGATGATGCCTGCAGACAATGAGGGATTTTCTGGTATAAGTGGCCCCTTTTACCATCCACTTATTACGGAAGAAACCAAACTCATAAATTTCTTTCTTAACTCCTAAATTGTTGAAAGGTTTTCTTTGAACAGTTGAAAGAAACAAGTGTCTACATAACCGGAAAATCCCTAAGATGGCTCTACCTGACCGAGGTTGACTTCATCCAACAGCCAAAGATCTATCCGGCCAACGTCACAGAGACAGGCCTCTCAGAGGATGGATGGGAAGAAGCATAGCTCAGGGAAGCACATGATGGGCTCTTGCTGGCGCCATGTCTCCACCGGCACTGGTGGCCCTCCCGATGGCCTCCCTGCTCCAGTGGGCACCCGCGTCTCCCTCCTGGCCCCATTCCTGCTGAGATGGTAGACTCATTTCAGATTGCCACATCAGGCGACTGCGTAACCAACGGAAACATTGGGAATCTTGCACATTTTTCTCAACACTGTTGAAACGGCCATGAAGAACATTGCATAAGATGTATAAATCTGGGGCTTTATTTCATTACCCCCCGAGCACAAGTTGAAGTAGGGAATGGGGTGAAGGGAGAAGCTTCGTCTCCGTCAGCATGCCACATGTCAGGGCTACACAGCCTAGTCCAGCACCCTCTGCCATGTCTTAAAGATGTTTTACTGATGTCCAACCTGCAACTGTGCCTTCAGCACCCAACACCTCTGGTTAAGTCTGTTGATCCTGGCAGTGGCCAGCTCTTATCAGGGTTCTTAATGGGGAGGGGAAGACTCTGCCCCACCAGGAGATATTTGGCAATGTCCAAGACATTTTTGATTGTGACAGTAGGGGAGGGGATGCTACTGGCATCTGGTGGGTAGAGGTCAGAGATGCCACTAAACATCCCACAAGGCATAGGGAACCCTTACAACAAAGAATTGCCCAGACCCAGACATCAACAGTGGCGAGGCAGAGAAATTCCGGCTTTTGGGGTTATCTATAATGCAGAGTTCCCAACCGACTGAATGGGACTCTGGCACTGTTTACATTTGCAGTCCTTCCCAAGAGAAGTTCACCATGATGCCAAAGGCAAAAAAAAAAAAAAAAAAAAGATCTGCAATCAAACAAGAGAGAAATCCACAATGGCACTAAGGGTGAGGAGGCAGGCAGTGGCATCACAAAACTTCTTGGTGCTGAGGCTCCCTGACCTGGGGTCCTTGATCAGAAAGAATCTGGAACGTGTGGGGGCACCAAGGGACCCCTCGAAAGTGAGTGCAAAGCGTTCCCTTGTCCCCATATTCCTTGGCGTGGTCAGTAATGGGCATCAGATTCTCAAGAAGATCAGCAACCTCAAATTGCAGATTTAACAGAATTACTGAAACGCACAGCCCCACTGCAAACATCGGTCAGGCAGAGACGTGCAGGACCAAAATGCATCTTAAGCTACCTTTGACCTATTTATGGTCCACTCTGGGGTTAAGGTGTGATCTTTTGTCATTTTTGTTCTCTGGTGTCAGGGGACAGTCATCTGTGGCTGGGAGTCCAGCACTGTCATGGGCTCCTACAGCCTTGACCCCCTCCACACCTTGTTTGTGGTCTCAGGTCTGATTCTGGCCCCCAACAACTCAGCCCCTTTCACCCCTCTCCCACACTCACTCTCCCCTCCCCATCTCTGGCCCCCAAATGCAAGAGAATAAGCACACATGGCAATGGCTTATAACCTGGGCTAGGACTCAGACTACGTGTAGTGTCCACACTGGCAAACGTGGAAGTCTAGCTTGACCTTGACCTTGGGCTCCGAATCTCCCAGAGGTGAAACCTGGACATCTGGAGCCTTAGAGATGCCCACACAGGACTCTGATGACCCACAAGGGATTCGATAGCCCAGCTGGTCTGCAGAGCTGGGCTGCCCTAATTCCTGGTTCCTCTGTCTGAATCTAGGTGTAATGGCAAGAAATCTCTGTTGATCAGCTATTCTGGAGTTAGGACCAAGGGTTCACAGTTGGGCCATCTTGCATCTGAATGCTGGCTCCGTCATACAAGAGCTGTGAGACCTCAACAAGTCACTTCTCCTCTCAGTGCCTCTATAGAATGAGGGTGGGAACAGCATCTACCACACAGGATCATGTGAGCAGAAAACAAGCCGTGGGCCAGGCCTGGCACAGAACAAACCCTCCATCACGTCTCTCCACGCATGGGGAACCGATTACTCTCAAGGGAGGTGAGACTATTTTTAGACATCTGCTGCAGGTTCACAACCCCCCACACGGCCCAGCCCCCAAAGGAATGACAGATGGCATCTCACCCTCCTGAGCTGGCCCTACAATGCCAGGCAGAAGTATCAGCTTTGAAAGAACAAGGACTGAAACCTTCCCTGGTATATGCATCGCCTCTAATGGAAGCCCGTGGGGAAAGGTCTTAGCGTGAAGGTCTCGAAGTATTTTCTCCCACTTGGCTCATCAGGAAAAGGAAGCAGCAGAAAAGAGAAGAAAAGAGCCTTCGATCTCCTCATCAGAATACAAGCGACCACAAAAGTGACTCCGTAATTCAAAAGATGTGAAATCAGCTCATGTACATGTCTGAGACACATTCAGCACTCCTGAACCAATGTTTGCTTTTAAAAAACTGGATTAATTTTTAAGTAAATGAGAAAGATGTCACTCAACATCTCCACTAGTCCATGAGGGAAAGGAGACACTGTGCCCACAGTGGGGAAGGGAGCTGGGCTCTTTACCTTAAAAATGGAGGCATCCACTTCCTGATTATAATCTTGCTTGCCAGCGTGTTTCCAAGGGATCCGGAACATGCTCTTCTCCTCATTCTCCCAAATCAGTCCTGGATACATGCTACTGTCAATCTGCTCGATCAGCCACTGTCGAAGCCGCCGACCACCATTCCGGTCACACATCCTTGGAAAGACAGAAATACACGCTGTGATATTACGGATATTGTCTCATTCATCACAGCAACCCAAAAACTGCTAACAGGAAACTCAGAGGTTTGCAGCAAAGGTGCTGGCTTGGGGGAAACCCACAGATTCAGGGACTCCGGGACACCTGCCATGAGAAGGCAATGCTGGCCTCCATGACCTCACAGCCCTGAGTGCAAACTGAAAGCTCCGTGGGAAACCTGCAGCCACCAGCAGCCCCCTGCAGGCCCCTCCCACTGTGCTGGCTGTGCTCCTTCCAGCTTTCATCTGCCCTTTCCTTTCAGGCAGATACAACCACAGTGAACAGCTCCAGTTTTAGCCCAAGACTGGAAGGAGAGGGGGAATCACTTTTACAGCACCAGGTTCCTTCACTGAGCAGCCCATTATCCGAAGAACCAACTGGGCTACCAGATGCCCAGCTGGCCCCACATTCCCTGATAGAATACTGCGTCCGTGCCGTCTGGGAAAGAGGAGGCCCTCAGGCCAGCCCATCTAAATAGCTGTTCCTTCACAGTGATAAGAGCAGCAGTTTGAGAATGAGACAGAACCGCGATCTCATTCAAGTCCCGCCACCGCTCAGCTGGGAGACGCTGGATCAGCATTTAAACTCAGGGCATCAGCTACCCAGTCCCAGATGCAGCTAACAAAACACTACCTGTACTGGTTGTAAGAGAATTCAGATGCTACACGGAAAGCAACTGAGACAGGGCCTGGACCTTACATGCCAGATGTCATTATTATTATCCAAACTTCCTTCCTGGGCAACTCCTACGACCAACTGAAAGATAGGGACAAGAGTGAGGAAATAAACTGCAGCTACCGAACAGGGCAAAGTTCACTGGGCTCCTCTTCCAGAACATGTCCCACTCTAGGGACCTAACCATCCCAGGGCACCCAAAGACATCCTTTGGAAGAACACTCTCACCCAAGCAGACAGCTTCCCCAACAGCACAGAGAAAGAGAGAGAGAACTAGCATGACCTATCGACTTAGAGCCAACATTTCCAAGAACAGTGCTGGAAATCCCCAAGACAGCTGGATAGACGCCCACCCAAAAAAAAAAAAAAATAGCATTTTTGTTCTTCTGATTAAAATGTGACCTCTTTGGGCAAACGAGTTTGAAACAATCAGCAGTAACAAGACATAACATCCCAAAATATGGTAGAGCCACACTGGTCCAGAAAGCAAAATATCAATCAGAACCTTCACAAGAAGTACGCATTCTGGAAACTTCAGCCACCCTGCAGGTGGCCATGAGACGGGAAACAGGGCCAGGTCCCAGGGAGGAGGAGGTGGGATTTCTTAAATTCCCCATCCAACAACCTCAGTTGTGCGTTTATGGATTTAAAAGGGGATGAGTTCAATTTTTTTTTCTTTAGAGACAGGGTCTTGCTCTGTCACCCAGGCAGGAGTGCAGTGGTGCCATCATAGCTCGCGGCAGCCTGGAACTCCTGGGCTTAAGCGATCTTCCTGCCTCAGCCCCTTGAGTACCTGGAACTACAGACATATGCCACCACACCCAGATATACATTTTAGAGACAGGATCTCGCTATGTTGCCCAGTCTGGTCTTGAACTCTCGGCCTCAAGTGATCCTCCCACATCAGCCTCCTAAAGTGCTGTGATTACAGGTGTGAGCCACTGCGCCCACCCAAATTAGACCTTGGTTTGAAAACTCTGAACTCTGGCAAAGGCTTTTCTCTAACCAGACCTTGTGACGTCACTTGAACCTCTCCCTGAGGCTTCCTCACCTGTAAGTTGAGAGGCTGTATCTCAAGAGACCCAGAATTCTAAAGCAGGCCACTGTGTTTATCATAAAGAAGGGACAGACTTGGGAGAGGGTACCTGAGAAGAGAAATGGAACACCAATACCAAAGACCCCCCCACACTCCCCGAAAACAAGTTAGCAGCTCTTTCCTGGGGCAAGGTAGAAAAATTTCTCCTAGATTGAGGAATGAGCTGCACAGAGGTGGCCAGAACACAACATAGGGGTTGGCTTCTGAGACTTTCAACTCCCCTGATTTCCTTGCTACAAGTTTCTTAAACTAGAATCCACAGTTCCTGAGCCTCCTGCAACCAAAAGCAAAATTTTGTTAGTACACGCATTTTTCTAGAAAGAGGGTCAACACTTTCTTATCAGGATTCCTAATGGATTCATAACATCTAAACTGTTCAGGACAACTATCTTGGTGATTTACAGGAAAAAGAAATTTTAAAAGGAAAAAGAGAAGAGTAAGTCATAGCATCTGAAAGCTGGAAAATACTTTAGAAATCATCTAATCCAGTCCCCTCTTTATTTAAGAGAGGAAAAACTGAGGCCCAGAGAGGCACGGCAAATACCGAGGCAGCCAGCGGACTGTGTTGGAACCCAGGCCGGCGCCCCAACGCCAGCGGCAGCTTATTTCACACATGGTGCAGAGAAAAGCCATAGTTACGTTACAAGATCTCTGCACATGTGCAGCCACGTCTGTGTGTCCTTCGTGGTCTCCTCCAAGATTCTAAGTAACATCAAAAGCCTGAGATTCTACTACAGTTATGATCCATAATGATTTATTAAACATTAACAAACGAATTCCACCAAATGCCCAGCCAGGAAAAATTAATAAGTCTAATCACATGTTTATAACTTCCTCTTCTTGATTTTGAGGTAATCTATTGGCCAAGCCCTATCTGCAGCCCTAGAAATGTATACAGCAGTCAGGCTTTCCAGGAGGGACGTGATAAGAGGTTGCCCTGGGCCCACCTAATCCAGATTACAGGTCACACCTGAGCTGGCAGCAGCAGACCCCACCCTCTCCCCCGCCTCGGAGGGCCCAGGGCACTCGCTCTGGCCTAGCATACCCGCATCACTAGACCAGAAAGCACCAAAGCCATTTCTCTCTCTGGCACCAACCTTCCTCAAGTGACTGAATCACTCCCAAATCTTTTCATAGAGGAAGCTGCCGTAACCCAAAAGGACAAGCTTTGAACTGTCATTTTAACTACCAGTTCTTACCTTTGGTTTAAAAAAAGAAAGTGGGGGGCCATTGGTTGGGGAGACTTCTTAAAATTCTGGAAAATTCAGTCTCTAGTTTCCATCCGTAAAGCCTTTCACAGCTCTGGGTAAGTAACACATCTCACCTTAGGAAAGTCTGTCCTATGTATTGGGACTCATTTTACAAACAATGTTCTTTCAATAAATTTTTTCAAACAATGCTTTTGTGAGCTGTGGCCCATATACAGACTCTCTTGCCAAGGACGACTGGGCTGTGATGGAAGCAAAGGCCCTCAAGCCAGACTCAGAAATCTTAATTGACTGTCATTAAACAGAATTTTAGAAGCAGTCTGTCCCCTCCTTCACAAACTAACCCTCAGTAACGACTGGTTATTGGGCAGTTCCACAACTCTGACCCTCCAAGCATTATTCCACGTGGTAGAATTTCAGTGGGATGATAGAGCGCGTTTCAAGATAGGGGGTTGCTATTGCCGTTCATTATATGAGCTCTCCTAACGTTTTCCATGTAAACCAGATTTAAAGAAAAATGAGATTTTTAAAAAGGCATCTATCTACCAATCTTTGGAAACAGGCAAACGACAATCAACGACTTGGGCATTCAGATTGGACTTAGGTGGCTGGAAAATAGGCAAAAAGCAGAGAGGGACACGGGTGGCCACTGAGCTGCGCCCGGGGACATTACGGTAGGTAGTTCCACCCCCACGCCCCGCCTGGCGTCGGGGACCCCGCGGGACCGGACCGCGCGGGACACGGGCGCCCTACCCGCCCACTGTGCCTACCTGCCGCCGTCCTGCCGCCGTCTCGCCGCCCGCGTTCCCACGCTTGCTGCCGCGCTCCAGGCGATGCGCCAGCGGTCGCGCGGCCTTAAAAAGGGTCGTGGGGGGGACGGGCGGTGCGCAGAGCGACGGCCACACCGACCAATAGCGTCAGCTTGGCTCGCGCGGCCCGCCTTCTTCGAAGTGCTCTGCTTTCCGAGAAATCACTTTCCCGCCCCCGGCAGCCACGGCAGTGGGGTCCGGGCCTCTTCTGGAGCCGCTGGCCGAGCCCCGCTCCTCACACCTGGGGTCCAGGGGCGGCGCTGCAGGGGGGCTTTCCCAGGAATTCCGGAGGCCCCGCGGAGCGACCTGGAGGCGTCCTCCGCCTTCCAGGCCGGCTCGGGCGGACAGCCCCGGGAGTGCGGCGGCTCCCGAGCGAGCCACTAGCAACGAGCCGGACGGTGCAGACCGTGCGCCTGCGGCCCATTAATCAGAATCCACAGCCAGAAACTAGCTGCCCCGCCGGTCTCCGCCTTCACGAGCGCTGGATATTGGGCAGTGATGCCCGCCGCGCGTTATTCCACGGGGACGGGGACGCGAAGGTCGTTTACAGACCGTCCCGGGTCACCGGTGGCCTGCGCTGCCCGGGAGGGGCAGGAGAATCCCAGCTTCAAAGGAGGCCACTGCCCGCTGAGACCGCGACTGAAACAGGAGCATCGAAGGTGCTAGGCGCTAGAAGGTCCCCTTGGGGAAATTTTCATCACAAATCCTTTTCTCCAGAAAGCGTCAGCGTTAAGAGGTCCTCTGTGGGACCAGCCGCTCCTGGGTGGGCGTTAAGATGTCCCCTGTGGGACCACCCGCTCCTGGGTGTGCACTGACATTTATTGTAAAAATGAAGTGGGGGAGAGGGAGAACGACACTGGAAAAAGAAAGAAATCCCTGGAAACGGAAAAAGAAGCGTTTCCGCGTTCTATCCTGGGGAAGCCCTGGAATGGGGGGAAAATGAGGGTCGCGATTGGCTTTTATTGCCCAGTAGAGAATCACACATGGGGGCTGTTTTTTGCGTTGAGCTTTTCAGGGACCTATGAAAATGTTTGAGACTGAAAATTTTATTGACTGCACAATACAAAAAGTATACTGCAAATCTGAGATTAATAAATGTTTAAATGAAGGTCCCCAAAACATGTTAATTTCATAATTGTAATGTATTGATGGATAAATGTTTCATTATATTTTGAAACTATAACTTAGACATCACTTGGTATGAATTCCCTAATGCCGTGATTGCCGGGAAGTCATAGTCATTAGAAAGTGAGTTCCGCAACATCAAATAATTTCAAATGAAACTACTGTTTTAACACTCACATTATTTAAGAGTATTTAGAGAATATGAGAGTGTTTTAATATATTTGCTACGATGTGGGATGGAGCTTCCAGAAATCAGAGCATCTAGGACATCAGAAGTTCTTAAAACAGCTTCTGTATATGTTTACTCTCATATATTTTTATCAATGTGGCCCTAAGCCTACACAGATTTACTTACAAATGCTGTCTGCTGCACAAAGATGTATCCTCAAGTTTCCACCAACATCCACTTAAAGACAAGGGTAAGTGAATATAGGAAATCAACAGTGGAAGGGCTCCAGCACGTGTCATTGGCAGTAGGTGTCACTATGTACATTACAGGAACTGGCTTGCATTAACACTGCTCCAGAAACCCCATATTTTCCACGTGTTGGTTCCTTGCTGCCTAGGAACAATTTCTAACCAGATGTGTTTAGTTCTGCTCTTATTTAATGGGTATTTATGAGGCAACTACTATGTGCTAGATATAGTGCCAAGAACAGGAGCCCCAAAGAATGAACATAATGTCTCAATCTTTGAGACACTCCTGCCCAGGAGTATCAGAATCCAGAACCCAGCCTGCTCTGCCAGTCTCAGCCTCTCAGCCTGGAGGCTCCACGGAGCCTGCCCCTCAGATATCGGGAGGCAAAAAAAAAAAAAAAAAAAAAATCCTTTAGCGCTTGTGTGTGTTATTACTTGTCATATTACAGTGTGGTTCTATTCTTTATTCTCTGGAATTACATTTCCAATTGAAAGACCATTTTTCTGGCTGGGCACGGTGGCTCATGCCTGTAATCCCAGCATTTTGGGAGGCCGAGGCGGGCAGATCACCTGACGTCAGGAGTCCAAGACCAGCCTGGCCAACATGGTGAAACCCCTGTCTCTACTAAAAATACAAAGAACTTAGCTGGGCATGGTGGCGCACGCCTGTAGTCCCACCTACTCAGGAGGCAGGAAAATAGTTTGAACCCAGGAGGCGGAAGTTGCAGTGAGCCGAGATCACGCCACCGCACTCCAGCCTGGGCAACAGAGCAAGACTCCGTCTCAGAGGACGGGAGGGGAGGGGAGGGGAAGAAGAAAGACCATTTTTCTGTGTACACAAGATTTCTACTCACATAATGGAAACACAGTTTTCTTAGGTTTCAAAGGGCTTTCTTTCCATTTTAGTATATGGGATCTAGCCCTTTCTAACAGCTGCATATATTTCATTGTATATATTTGCCTTAATTGAGGTCATCAATTTCCTAAATTGATTTGGGTGATCAATTTGATGACCTGAATTGATTATTACCTAATTGAGCATATCTAGTGAGCTCAGATCACCACTCCTGATCTGGAAGGTGTGTAAATAGGTATGCACATATGTAAAAATCACCCTGTCATTTTTTCTTGTCATATAAATTACAAAAATGACTACAATGAGGACACATGGCAATAAATGGTATCTCATGCAATACCATTTATTGCAGCAAAAAGATGCAGAGCATGGTCCCAGATTCTCTGATCCTTCCTTCCAGCATCTCACGATCCCAGTAAATTTCGTCCTGATCTCGCAGTGGCCTACTTACCCTCCGGCCTCCTCATCCCTTCCCTGTTGATTCTACTTTGCTACCCTACCTTTCTGTCTTCAGGGGCTTCCCATTGGTAGCCACACAGGTCAACTCCTGGCATCTAAAAGTCATACTTACCAACCTCATCTCTTACACATTCCCGCAGGAACCCCTGTTTCCATGGATGGCAGCCTACCACAGCAGGTTTGGGAGTTAGGCCCCAGTTCACATCCAAGCTCCCTGACTCACCAAATGTGTGAGCTTGAGCAAATGACTTAACCTTCCGAAGCCTCAGTCTCCTAATCTGTATAATGGCATTGATGGTAATACTAGGTTAAACTCTGTGACATCACCTACATTTAAATTTTGACCTACAGAAGGGCAGTTCACTATGGCGTAACCCAATTGTTCCTGCCTCTTAGGATTGGTGGGCATTGAGTGAGATAGTATATGTGTGAGAGAGAGAGATCTCTTTCCTCCACCTTGCTCATTAGTGCAAGAGGAAAAGGTCAAATCATCACCAATAAGAGAAGTCTAGAAAAATGGACACAGTGATTCCTAACTCTAAGAATGCCAGTTGCAGACCAGCGATAATCTGCCTCCATGAAGAATGGGAAGGGTTCCTCCCGTCTGGTCAGCTCCCTAGCTCCTCTAACACCTTCCTGCCCCCACCAGTTAACAGGTGGGTGCTTCAGACTGGTTCTCACCTCCTCACTTATGTTTCCAGCTTTTAGAGACCCTCTCCTCTTCATGGAGTCCCTTTTTCTTCCTCTTCACCTTCCTTAATTCCTATCTTCCTGATCTCCAGAAACCTTCCTGTCGAGCCTCCGTACCATCTATCTTGCTTGGCCTAAGCTGCCAATCTGTCTGCCCAGTTCTTACAGTGGAGCAGGTGCAGAGGTGATGAAGCAAGGGCACCTTCCACAGCCAGCCTCAGGACCAAATCCCTGGGAGGCCTTCTGACCCGGACAGTGCCTGCTATGGACCAGATGATGTCCCCCCAAATACATATGTTGAGCCCTAACCCCCAACGTGATGGTATTTGGAGATGGGACCTTCGTGGGGTAATGAAGTTTCGATGAGGGACTAGGGACACCAGAGAGCTTGCTCTCACTCACTCTCTGCCCATGTGAGGACACAGTGAGAAAGCAGCTGTCTGCAAGCCAGGAAGGGAGCCCTCCCTAAACCTGACCATGTTGGCATCCTGATCTCAGACTTCCAGCCTCCAGAACACTGAGAAAATAAATGTCTGCTGTTTAAGCCACACAAGCTATGGGGTTGTATGATGGCAGCCAGCACTGAGGAAGGCAATGCCGCAAGGGACACAGTGAACTTAGCTTGACTCTTCGGCTGCACTTTGCTAATGGGATCTGGGTACCTCTTCTCCACTTCTGATGATGTCACAAAAGGCCCTCCTTTATGGCCCTGGCTGTTTTTCCTGTCTTGGGAAAGGGTACTCTTTCTCGAAATGGGAATAGGAGTGGTGGAAATCCATCCAATCTTAGATATAAACTGCTTAGAACGGTGCCTGACACAAAGTAAAGGCTCAATAAATTGTAGTGCAAGAGGGTGCTAGATTCTTTCTGGCCCGGCTTCTACAGGGACCAATTCCATGAAGAGCCAAAGTGTATGAGACTTACATGTGCAGATTTACCCCTTGGCCAGAGGAGAGACATCAAATGGGTTCAGGAGAGAGGCAGGAGGTGAGAGTCTTTCCAGCTGCGGACCCCAGCTCTCCCTTCACACTTTCCAAGCCAAGCTTAGCAAGTGAGTTCAAGAGTGCTCAGAAACATGTTTGCTGAGAGCACAGGTGTCAACTCAGTCTTGAGAAAGCCAGAGTCACCTGCAGATGGGGCTCTGACTCCTGCCCTGGAAATTGACAGGGCACTTGGGTGGTGGCGCCAAGAGCCTGCACTGCTCTGGGAATGGTGGCAGCCCCAACGTGTGCTGGGCAAGGCAAACGCACACGTGTCCCATAGGCCAGAGCTGGGCCACTCAGCAGAGAGCCAGTGTGGGGTCCTTCCCTCCAGGGCCTCCTGGAAAGGCAGGGGAACGTCAGGAGAGAGGCTGAAGGTGTGTCTTCAGGCACTGGGGGCTGAGTTACAAGCAGCACTTGGAAGAAGATGCCTCTGTTGAGGTTAAGTCGGGAGAGAGGCTCCCAGTGGGGAAATTCAGGTAAGCCCCCAAACTGCCCTGAGTGGGGCTGCATTAACCATCTTTCTGCGCATACAGGGATGGCAGCATTACATACTTTCTAGGCCCAGAGGGCACAAAACCACCAGCCGAGTACTAACTCTCCCAGTGCCTCATCTCCCTGGTAGCTGTAGGGCACGGGGGATGCAGGATTCTCACTAGGATCCATAGTCTTGGCATCGTCATTAAATCTCCATCCAGGGACCTGACAGGCTTGTCCATTCCTTTTCACCCTCCTCTTCACCCCGCAAAATACTACAAATCTCAATGCATTTCCTATGGTGGCTGTCACAAATTATCACAAACTTAATGGCTTAAAACAGCACAAGTTTACAATCTTTTTTTTTCTTTTTTCTTTTTTCTTTTTGAGACAGAGTCTCGCTCTGTTGCCCAGGCTGAAGTGCAGTGGCCCAATCTCGGCTCACTGCAAGCTCCACCTCCCGGGTTCACGCCATTCTTCTGCCTCAGCCTCCTGAGTAGCTGGGACTAGAGGCGCCCGCCACCACGCCCGGCTAATTTTTTGTATTTTTTTAGTAGAGACGGGGTTTCACCGTTTTAGCCAGGATGGTCTCGATCTCCTGACCTCATGAACCACCCGCCTCGGCCTCCCAAAGTGCTGGGATTACAGGCAAGAGCCACCGTGCCCGGCCGCAAGTTTATAATCTTATAGTTCTTCGGGTCAGAAGTGCAACACGGTGTCACTGGGCTAAAATGAAGGTGTCGTCAGAGCCGGCTCCTCCTGGAGGCTGCAGCAGAGAATCCACTCCTTGTCTTTCCAGCTTCTCTCCAGCTGCCTGCCTTGGCTCACGGCCTTTTCTTCCATCTTCAAAGCCCACAATGGCTTTGTGAATGGCGAGTGAGTCTTTCTCACATCACATCACTCTGCCCTTCTCTCCTGCCCCCTCTTTTTTTTAAGAGACAAGGGCTTGCTCTGTCTCCCAGGCTGGAGTGCAGTGCTGCAATCATGCCTGACTGCAGCCTCGAACTCCTGTCTCAAACAATCATCCCACCACAGCCTCCTGAGTAGCTGGGACTGCAGGTGCACTACCCTTTTCCACGTTTAAGGACCGTGTAATTATATTGAGTCCACCTGGATCATCTCCCTATTGTAAGGTCAGCTGATTAGCAACCTTCATTCCATCTACAACATGAATTTCCCTTTGCCATGTAGCCTAACACAATCCCAGGTTTCATGGGCTGTGACTTGGACCTCTCTGCGGGCCATTAATCTGCCTACCGCATCATCCTTAAGATCCACCTTAAATCTTGTCCTCCTTCCTACTCCAGCCTTCACTGACCCACATTTTAAAAACACTGGACTCCAGCTATACTGAAATCTTTATAACATAATTTGGTACCTGCTCTATATTATGAATTATTTTGCTGAATTATTCTTGAGGTAAGGGGGAAAATCTTATGCTATTTCAGTGCCCCTACTTATCCCAACACTAAATTAAAAATGCCTTAAATAGACAAGGTATAAGCTCATTGCAAAAAAAAAAAAAATCTCAGGGAGGGCAAAAGGAAAGAAAGCTGGAAGAACATTGCTCATCTCTGTGCTCTAGGAGGTGTATTAATTTTTATACCTGTCTGAGTTGAGGCCCCAATAACTCCCCAGGCTCAGTGATTCCGCGGGAGGAGGGCCCGCAGGACTTGCCATATAGTTGCGCTCACAGCTACCGTTGATTGCAGCAAAAAGATGCAGAGCGAAATCAGCACAAGGAAAAGATACACGGGGTGAGGTCTGGAGGAAACCAGGCCCAAGCTTCCAGAGTCCTCTCCAGTGGAATCCCAGACAACGCACGTAATTCCTCCATCAACAAGTTGCGACAATACATTTGAGATGCTGTCAACCAGAGAAGCTCACTAGAGACTCAGAGCCCTGGGTTTTTATGGGGGGTGCTGGCCACATAGGCACCTTCTGCCTGGCGTGTTCCAAAAAACTCCAGATCCCAGAAGGAAAGCAGGTGTTCAGCATAAACCACACTGTTTGCACAAATAGTTTGGACACAGTGAGGCACTTTTATCCGTTAGGGTGGCAGGAACCCCCCTGAAATCCAAGTTCCCGGACAACAGCTAAGGTTCAACCCCAGAACAGGCCTTCCTGGAGGCAGCACTCCCAGCCTGCCGTGCGAACTCTTCTGCACATGCTCCTCGTTCCGAGGAGGGTCCGGTCTGCCGCACCTGCTGCTGGTTCCAAAGGTGCCTGTGGCTAATTTACCTGCCATTAACTACCTGTGCTTAGCTGCCTGTGACTAAGGTAAGCTGCATTTTCTCATGCTTCACTTGGTCGGGGGGCTCAAGCTTAAGAACAACGTTGCCACTACACACCAGTGTTTCAGAGGAAGGTTGGAATGAAAACAGGAAGCCCCTCACAATCTGCTGCGGCCCCTCAGAGGGATTGCCCTACCTGATGTGGGTGGTCTGTAAACAGGTGTGCACATGTGGAAACATAATCCTGCCATCCACTTAAGGTTTATATGACAAAAATAAACACAATGAGGGCACCTGGCAAAGATGTTGGCTCAAGCAGACTTTGGTATGCCTTCTCTAGGTCAAAAAACTAAGACCCAGTCACATGCATGAGCAGCCCTGGGGCTACAGACACTGGAAGGTGCATGACTCACCTGGGAAAACCAAAGAGTATTTGAAAGTTGGCAGTTTACCCTGGCAGATAAGGAAAAGATTCACTTATCAGTCTCCACAACACAGAACAAATGACTACAGTTTATCAGGCAGTTGAATACAAAGGATGTGTGTGCATATGTATAGATATATATATATATACGTGCACAAGTGGTAAATGTTTTCGTGTAAGAAGCTATCTTACAATAAAAGTGAGATCTCTAAAAGGCAGTAAGTTGGGACCGACTCAGGGGACTTGGGAAGAGAAATATTACTGGGTAAAATGTATCTGCCCTAAAGACATGAACTTTGACCCCATTTTGCTTCCAGTCATTTCTCTTTCACTGAGTCAGTTTGCTCTATCTGTTCATGGTGGGTTTGGATGGTGATTTACGAATTGCTAATATTGCCGCAATCTGTTTCTTTACTCTAGAAGGATTACAAATAAAAACCTGAGATTTCTATTTTTTATATCCTAAAACTCATTACTTTTAAATGCATTGGCGTTCATTTATTGGCTGTTTATTAAGCAGCTGTAATGTATTAGGTATTTAATTCATAACCCTCCTTCGAGGAGTGGCAAAGTATGTAAACATTTAATGTAAAGGAAAAAATTTCATTAAGCATTCAATAACGTTTTGCCTTTCAGGTATAAATTTTTATTCACATTTATTACTAACGGAAGAACTTGAAACAGTCCCAGGGGAGGAAAAAAAAACTTAAGAGTAAAAGGTTTCTTAAGCATAGATCAAAAATATCCTGAACATTTAGGGCTATTGCCAGGAAATACTGGTTTGTGAAAAATATAAATTCTGGGCCAGGCATGGTGACTCACGCCTGTAATCCCAGCACTTTGGGAGGCTGAGGCAGTGGATCACTTGAGGTCAGGAGTTCGAGACCAGCCTGGCCAACATGGTGAAACCCTGTCTCTACTAAAAATACAAAAATTAGCTGGGCTTGGTGGTAGGCACCTGTAATCCCAGCTGCTCAGGAGGTTGAGGCATGAGAATTGCTGAAACCTGGGAGGTGGGTTCACCTATGGGACTCCAAGCCTGCTTACAAATGAAGACAATTACAAAGTCAACAATTACAAAATATATATTATTGTATATTATATAGATGAGTGTTTTTAAATTTTAGCATAAATAAGCAACAGTGGGACACTTATCAAGATGTAGGTTCCCAGGAGGAGCCTCCAGGGATTCTGACTCAGTGCATCATGAATCTATGTGCTTAGCAAGCAGTGCCAAATAATCCAGAACGCTCACCCATGTTCATCTCCAGCTTACCTTTGCAGATGTGCAGCAGGTGCATCTGTGAGAAACAAATGGCAGAAGCACAATAAAATATCAATACAACAACAATAATTTACCTCTAAGGAGAATCACAAACTTTGAGCGTGGTTAGAGATATTTTTAAATGCAATCCTAGAAGTCCATTTTTACCCTGGCACTTAGAGACAAGACGGATGATTTTGTAATTGTCTTCATTTGTAAGCAGGCTTCATTTCGGACTTTGGTGGCATATGGTAGTTGTGTGTCAGTGGGCAGAATTTGCCCCCATGCTTACCTCAGTCCACTTAATAATGGGCTGTGCTTTAACAATCTTTCTACAAGTGGAATGAGGTCCCTGGTGACGTGGGAGCCACCTGTCCCTGGAAGCATGAAGGGAACACATGCTAGACCGCCTGTTAGAGGTGATTGCAGTGTTGCTGTGTGATTTCAGGAGCGTGTACTACTTAATCCATAATCTCCAAGTCCCTTCCAATTTTAAGGTTCTGTGATTTGAGGTCAACTTCATTGCCACCTAATAGGTCTTTAGTAAGTATTTTCGGAACTGAAGCAGTCAAATGCACCCCAGGTCGTAATTCCCTTCTCTCTATTTCTTTTGGCTGTTTCTTTCTCTGTAAGTGCATGGTTGGCTGGGATGCACCAAATGATTGCCTACAAAGGAAGGATGCAAGGAAGGGTTCCGAGGCAGAGTGGGTTCCCCAGGCCCAGGAGTCAACAGGGACCCTTTGACTCCCAGCACTGAGTTCTAGAACTCAATGCAGGAAACTACGGAGAAGAATCAATTTGCTAGGCAGCTTTGAGGGGCACTAGGAGTAGCAACTTAAAGTTGCAGCTTGCTTTCTCTTTTACAAAATACTTGCTCTTAAATCATCTCCTTTGCCCTGCCCAGTAGAGCAGGGCAGGCGTGGTTATCCTCACTTGACAGATGGGGAAACTGAGGCTCGGGGGGCTGGAGCCTCTTGCCTTCAAACCCAAGACTCTTTCCACTGCTCTGCATTGCTTTGCTCAGGGAGTGGAGGCGCAGTCCAGAGCAGGGGTGTCTAATTCACACCTCTGTTTCCTTTTCTATGAAATGAAATGGTTGCACAAGTGAGGCACTCAGGTTTCATCCAGACCTAAAAGCCTATGATTGTACATAATCTTCCAGGCAGAGTTGTTCTACAAACTGAAAATGAACCTACTGGGAACTTAGTGGGGGAGTTGCTGGGGACAGGACACAAATGGCTGAAATTTCTTGTCGAGTTAGTCATTTCCTTCCTGACAGCCTTCTTCTGGTTCTGATCTCATTTTTTAGCCCCTGTCACCCACTCATGCAAATAAATGCATCATCACTTTCAAGCCAAGCCAGATGAAAGTGCAAACAACATCTGCCTCATGGGCTGCTCATGGAACGTGTATAAAAATTAGGTTCAGGTAGGTCCACGTGAAGCCTCAGGAGGTGCATTAATTCTCTTTCCTGGCTGGGTATGGTGGCCCATGCCTATAATCCCAATACTTTGGGAGGTTGAGGTGAGAGGATCCCCTGAACCCAGGAGATAAAGACCAGCCTGGGCAACATAGCAAGACCTCATCTCTGCTAAAAATTTAAAAATTAGCTGGGTATTGTAGTGCATGCCTATAGTCCCAGCTACTCAGGAGGCTGAGACAAGAGGATGTCTTGAGCCCAGGAGTTCAAACTGCAGTGAGCTGTGACCACAATCACTGCACTCTAGCCTGGGTGACAAAGCAAGACCCTGTTTCCAAAAAAAAAAACAAATCTGTTTTGTCACTTGGCTCCATTTCTTGGGTTCCTCTTGGAACCTCAAGGAGTTTGGAACTATCCCTTTATGGAATAATTTCCAGGGACTCCTTTTTAGATTTAAGTAAATGGTTACACAGTGGTGATGGAAGCCTGTTTGTTTCATCCCAGTATGTAGTTGTTCTGGAGAGACAGTGAGTGCCAGATATCACTGCTGAAACTCCCCCACATTGACTGGACTAGGCATGGTTATCTTTCTGAACTATGAATGTCAGATTTCTTTTCCCTAAAAATTATTCTCATGCTTTTATTTCCTTATTTGTTGCTTGGATTGGGTTATTTACTGTTTTGACACATAAATTTCCTCAAATGACTGACATGATATGTCAATTTATCACTGAGTACTTATCCATGACAAGACCCTTCTCTCTTTTCCTGCAGTGGCGTGAAAGTAAATTTATCTTCAAGTGTCTTGAATCTGTATTACATAAAGAAGAATGCATGGTCTAACACAGAGAAATGGCTGGTGTTGGGAGGAATTCTCGATAAGAGGGTGTAGGGGTTTGGGACAAGGGGACAAACAGTAACAAGAGTGGAGTTGATTTGTCACAAATCCTGAACTGCTCCGTAGGAGCCACCAGGTTTTTTGATTGGGAGAATAGGAGTATTGTGGGGAGAGTGGGAGGGGATTAAAATATTGGCAGCCAAAAGTCAGGAGATGATGGGCTTGAGTCCCCATAATCCATGAGGATTGAGGGGACATTTTAGGACCACTATATAGTGCTTAGGATCCCTTCAGTGAAATTTGTATTGGAGAATGGTAGATAGCTATTACGGGGAAGTCAGTGCTTTATATTATGGGGTTTACTTGGCTGAGGAATTTGGGATTTAAGTCTGTTTGATGTTGAGTGTCTGAGGAAGGGTTTTGTTCTTGACATAACAATAAGTAAGGGATGCTTTGATGTAGGGCTGATAAATGAATGATTCCTCCTAGTTTGTGTAGAATGTCCCTTCCTAATAAAGGAGTGGGACAGTGAGGAATGACCAAGAAAGAGTGAGTGTGGGTAACTCCCTGAAATGAGCAGTATACAGGTGGTGTTTTGTATGGGGTTTCTTGTATGCCCTTCATGCCAACAACAGAAACCGATAATCATTCTAATGGGCCTTTATATTCAGTTAATACCGATAGGCATGCCCCATTATTCAAAAGAAAGAAAAAAATTTTACCGGATGCTGTCCCAATTACCCTGGGTTCAGTGGACTCACTAGATGTGGGGCAAAGAATCCCGGGCACCCTCAGTCTTCCTTGATCAGCGCCAGCAGTGAAGAAATTTCCTCCTGTCTTAGTTAGGGGGCTTCATTATGAGCTGCACCTGAACGGGGGAGGTGTCCCCGTAGGGGGCAGTCCATTGTCCAGCGTCCCCAGAGACCACAAGTTGGTCATGGTTTGGTGGGAGGGGCCGAGGTTTAGGACAAGGCTTTGCCCGGTGCCCAAGGTTGCTACATTGGAAAGAGACACGCAGAGAGGTGGAGGAGCTTTCTTTCAGGTTACTGGGAGGCTGACTATTGGGCAAAACACGCCTCAACAATCACCCAATTCCCCAATACCTATTTCCCCTCATACAATAGACGGAAAGTACATCAGTGATTAGCTAGGGCTAGGGAGTTTGAAAGAAAATGAGGAGTGACTGCAAATGCATATGGGGCTTGTTTTTGGGGTGAGAAGATGTTCTAAGCTCGATGGTGGTGATGGTTACACAGTTTTGTGAGTGTACTAAAAGCTATGGAGTTGGACACTTAAAATGGATGAATTGTGTGGTATGTGAATTATCTCTCAATAAAGCTGTTTTTAAATATTTTATCTAACTGGATAATTCATAGAAAATTAAAAAAAATCCAAAAAGCCAATTAGCACACAGAAAGATGCTCAACTATGATAGCGGTAAGGAAAATGCAACTCAAACAATGACCTAGACTCTCATACTCCTTATATCAGCAAGACTCTCAAAGTCTACCAACACCTAGCAAGGCTGAGAAAGTAGAGAAATTGGGAGCATCGTATTCACTCTGGCACATATCAGTGGGTGAAGCTGACAGAACCACGTGGAAAATTCTGGCATTGTCTCCAACGGTAAAGATGTCATGCTTGGCAGGGCGTAGTGGCTCACACTTATAATCCCAGCACTTTGGGAGGCCAAGGCAGGTGGATCACTTGAGGTCAGGAGTTCAAGGCCAGCCTGACCAACATAGCGAAACCCTATCTCTACTAAAAAATACAAAAATTAGCCGAGTATGGCGGCGCACACCTATAATCCCAGCTACTTGGGAGGCTGAGACAGGAGAATTGCTTGAACCCTGGAGGCAGAGGCTGCAGTGAGCCAAGATTGCGCCACTGCACTCCAGCCTGGGCGACAGAGCAAAACTGTCTAAAAAAAAAAAAAAAGATGTCATGCTCTATGCGTCAAGAATTCCAATTTGAGGCAAAGACCCTCGATCATACCTGTGATCAATAAGACACAGAAAAAAATATGTACGTGGGCACCATCTGTTATGGCACAAAATTTGGAAGCAACATAGACGCACATCAAGAGGTCGTGGATAACCTGTGGCATTTGAATACAATAGATACAACATCATAGTTCAAATGATAAACCTAGAAAATACAATTTTGAACAAAAAAAAACACAAGTTACAGAATAACTGCATGCAATATCATGGCGTTTATATGAAGCCAGAAACACACACCACAGAGTAATGTGTTTATGAAATGACGTCAGTAGACATAAAATAAAAATGTGTATGAGGATGATAGAGACTAATTTCAAGGTAGTTGTTACCTCTGAGGAGGAGGAAGTAAATGACATCCCCATGAGACGTGGCCAACAGAGTCCCAGCCGTGTCTGCTTTATTGTATATAACAAAAGCAATATGAAGTGAATATCACATAATGTAAAGACTGACAAAACTGGAGGGGAACATTCACTGTATTATTCTCTTCTGTATGCTTCAAAATCTAATGACTTTTGACAAAAAGCATTGATACCTAGTGCTACCTCGAAATGTTCATGGGAATACACTCGTGATAAACTTGGAGATCGGCAGGTAAACTCTTCAAAGCGGTATCCGGAAAGATCACCCAGCCAGAGCCTGGCTGTACAGGCCCAGGGCCAAGAATGGATGGGGTAGGGGGAGGCTGCTGCAAGGTGGAAGCCAGGAATTCCAAATTCAGACCTGGGGAATGCAGAAGCCCAGAGCCAGGGCACCTTAGCGGAGGAAACCCATGATGAACTTGCAAGAGGAAGCATGTCTGGAGGTGAGAGCCAGAAACCAGAACAGGGTAAACTAATAGCAGAAAGTCAGCTGAAGGCTGAATCCAGAGATGGGGGGTGGGTAGGAAAGGAGAGTCCCAGGCAAGAGTCAATGCACACAGTGAGAAGAAGCCATTTACGTAGCACTCACATTGGGACACAAGGACGAGACACTGCCAAGGGGCAAATCCAGGACATGGAAGAAGTTCTACTTGGTCCTTGAAGCAGGACTAACCTGTTGACATGGCTGTTCAGAAAATGGCCGGGCAAGGTGGCTCACGCCTGTAATCCCAGCATTTTGGGAGGCCCAGGCGGGTGGATCACCTGAGGTCGTGAGCTCAAGACCAGCCTGGCCGACATAGTGAAACCCTATCTCTATCAAAAATATAAAAATTACCCGGGCATGGCAAAGTGCACCTGTAATCCCAGCTACTGGGGAGGCTGAGACCTGTAATCCCAGCTAGTGGGGAGGCTGAGACAGGACAATCACTTGAACCTGGGAGGCAGAGGTTGCAGTGAGCCAAGATCTCAACACCGCACTCCAGCCTGGGCAACAGAGCAAGACTCCATTTCAGAAAGAAAAAAGAAAACGAACGTGCACAGGGTGTGCTAGGTGCTCAGGAGCTATGAAGAAGCCAGTGGCCTCCCTGGTGGGGAAGTTTTGACAGGTGCACAAATCACTACAATTCAAAGCAAACAATCCATGTGGTTGAGAGGATCCAAACCGGGCAGGCACTGTGGGAATTCACAGGGAAAGATAAATCAAATAAAATCCACGAGGCTCTTTCCCCTGGGCTGTTTGCTGGGGCTTCTCCACAGCCTCGTGGGCAGCAGGCTAGCCTCAGCCTGGGGATGCAGATGTGCAGCAACTGGGATGCAGAGAGGTGAAAACAGTCGCCCCAGGACTGAGAGGAGGAGCAGGCGAAAACCCAGAGTGCTGGTGTGAAGTGAGTGGGGCTTATCCCACCACATCCAATTCACCCTACACAGGAACAACCAGAAACGGCTTTGTGGGGGAAGCAGCAGGTACAACAGGTTTTCCACAGGTGTGGAGGAACGGACCCAAGCAGGAAAAAACATAGTGCCAGGAACGCCAGAGGAGCAGTGGTCTCCGCGTGTGTTCTTGGACTCTGCAGTGCACACAAGGAGCGGTGTGATCCTGGACCACGAGCATACCCAGGGGACAGCGGGAGGCACAGCCCGCCGCAGCCATCATTAGAGGAGGAAGGAGCACACAGGGTACTGGGAGCCCAGCCCAGAAGGACTCTGTGCTAGAACAGGGACCGTGAGTGGGACAGGCCAGGCACCGCTGGCTGCTGAGCACTGAGAAACACCAAGAAGCGTCCCTCAGGGGCATCTGGGAGGACACAGAGGAGGCGTCCCTCAGGAGAATAATGAGGACTTGAGGGGAGGTGTCTTTCAGGAGAATAAGGAGGACACAGGGAGGCTTCCTCAGGAGAATAAGGAGAGGACACAGGAGAGGCGTCTTTCAGGAGAATAAGGAGAGGACACAGAGGCTCCCTCAGGAGAATAAGGAGAGGACACAGAGGCTCCCTCAGGAGAATAAGGAGAGGACACAGGGGAGGCTTCCTCAGGAGAATAAGGAGAGGACACAGGAGAGGCGTCTTTCAGGAGAATAAGGAGGGGACACAGAGGCTCCCTCAGGAGAATAAGGAGAGGACACAGAGGCTCCCTCAGGAGAATAAGGAGAGGACACAGGGGAGGCGTCTCTCAGGAGAAAAAGGAGGGGACACAGAGGCTCCCTCAGGAGAATAAGGAGAGGACATGGGGGACGCGTCCCTCAGCAGCATCATGGACCAGGGAACTTCTTTCGGTGTCTTCCTCCCCGGCTCTCCGTGGAATTCAGGAAAGTTTTCCGTGGCTGTGTCTCATTTTCGCCACTAACCTGGGGGTTTCCACAGGGCAGCCCTCTTCCTAGCTGCTCCTCTCTCCAGCTTGGCAGACACCCATCCAGCTTCTCACCCCTCCATGTGTCTCTGCACTGCACGGAACTCTGTGCAGAAAGCATTCGTGTTTTACATTCTCTATTTTTCAAATATGATTTCAACACTGTTTACTATAGTAAACACTACACATACTCCAAGTAAGGAAAAAAGTAAATCTGTGCCTTGGCAGTTGCCAAGCCTTCCAAATATGACTTGGGTCAACCTTGTAGATATGCCAACGTCCCCTGAATTTTACCCCTTAAATTGGGCGATTTTAGAGGGTGTGAATTCTACCTCCATCATAAGAAATGACGACAAACAAGCATCAGATGTTATCAACAGGTTGAGGAACAAAAGCTGTTTAAACGCAGCATAATGGTCTATTTTTGGCCATTGTGCTATTTCAGAGAAATTGTAATTGAACATTAAAACTAAAATCACCAAGATTTTGCTCTACATGTTTCCTAAGCTATTGAAACATGGTTATCTCCCAAGGTCTCCCACTTCTCTATTCTGGTTTTGACTTGAGGAAATTTAAAAATTATGTCATCAAAGAGATTGATGTTCCCTCACTATGCAGACATCAAAAAGAGACAAAGAAGGAAAGAGAAGAGAAAATGCAAGGACCTCAGGGCAGACAGGGTGGTCAGGCGGCTTGGAGGTGACATTTAAGTTGAGACTTGAAGAGCCAGAGAAATTGGCTGTAAGCCGGGGAGAAACAAGCCTCCTGGCCACATTAAGTCATGTGGGTGAAAGTGGTTTCTACACAGCAGAGCTCTCAGTCAGCCCTGACCCCCCAATGGCTTCAAATGTTTCTGGAGAAGTGGCAGGGGCCGGGGGTGGGGGAGTGGGTGTCAGCCTTGAGACTGACCTACAGAAAATAGAGCCCAAAGCTGAGAAGCATTAGCCTAAGCACTGTGGGATTTTCCACCTGCCAGGAAAGCATTATGTAAGTGTCAGGCTGCAGAAGGTCCATGAGAGAGATTGTCAATCATCCCCCATTCCGTGGGTTCCTGATCAGACCATTTTTGAGACTGAAAGATGCACTTGTCAGCCTTCACCACAGTTGAATCCTGTTTAGAAGCTGTTTAAACAGAAAAAAATGCATCATAATTTTCCATTTACAAGGCACACACTTCACCTGGTTATGGAGTCAGAAATAGAAGCAAGTTACAGGAGCAAAATTCTTGAAAATGTGGAGTTTGATAGGAAAGATCAGGAAGGCCCTGGCAAGATCATGGAGCTTCAGAACCTTTTTTGTGTCATGGACTCTGTAGTGGGTTGAATGGTGACCCCCCGCCCCTGCCTCCAACCAAAAGTTATGTCCACATCCTAAATTCCAGAACCTGTGAATGAGACCTTATTTGGAAAAGAGTCTTGGCAGATGTAATTAAGTTAAGAATCTTGAGATAAGATCATCCTGAATTTAGGGTGGGCCCTAAATCTAATAATGACTGGCGTCCTTCTGAGAGGAGAAGACATGGACACACAGAGGACACCGTACAAAGACAGAGGCAAAGACTGGAGTGATGCCACCCTGAGCCAAGGAACAGCTAGGGTTACCAGCACCTTCCAGAAGCTGGGAGACAGACAGGGAATGGATTCTCCTTCAGGGCATGCAGGAGGACTCAGCCCTGCAGATGCTTGGTTCGAGCATTCTGACCTCTAGAACTGGGAGAGAAAGAATGTCTGTTGCTTAAAACCCCACCCCAACCCCTCACCTCTCAGTTTATGGTCATTTTTACAGCAGACAAGGCAACTAATACAGACTCCTTTGGCAAACTGCTGAGGCCTGATGGACCCTTGTCAAGGATAATGGGAATTTGGGTGGGGAAGGGGGTTCTTTTATGGTTGGTTTTTTGTTTTTTGGTTTTTTTTTTTGAGACGGGGTGTCACTCTTTGTTACCCAGGCTGGAGTGCAATGTCGTGATCTCGGCTCACTGCAGACCTCACCTCCTGGGCTCAACTGATCCTCCCACCTCAGCCTCTGGAGTAGCTGGGATTACAGGCATGTGCCACCATGCTGGGCTAATTTTGGTACTTTTTTGTAGGGATGGGGTTTTCACCATGGTGCCCAGGCTGGTCTCGAACTCCTGGATTCACCTGCCTCAAATCGTGTTGAAATACACTTCTCAGTGGAGCCCTTAGGCCCCCAGTGAAGAACTAGGAGGAACTTCTGTGACTCTTAGTGGAGATTCTCTTGGAGTTTTTCTCTGTTTGGTAACAGGGGATACCCCCAAGAGCGCTGCTAATTTAGCACTTTCCATGCACTAGAATTCCTTACAAACAGCCACTGGCTGAGGAGTGGCCATCTGTCACTCAGTCATTTGTGCATCTGCTCCAGAGACAGCAGTGTCCTAAGGTTTCTTTCTAGAAAGTTCAAACTAGAACACAATTCCCAGCTTCAGTGCCATGTGAATAACAGGGTTTCAATTAATGTGAAACATAAGCCTCAACCAATGATTTTTAATAGGAAGGAATACAAAACTTGGCTCTTAAGCGTCTTCTACTTAAGTTTCTGTAAAAGGAGTAACAACACCACACCATGCTCATTTCAGGGGATGGGCACAATGGTGCCAGACTCCTCAAGGGGCCTAGGTGGTCCTTTAACACAGGATCTGCTCAAATTCCAGATGGGCCTGGAGGGGGCCTGCACCACCTGCTCCAGGTTGGTGCTCTCCTACCCCTACGGGGTCCCATCCTCATCACCAAATATATATACATAGTGACAACCAGCCTTCTTTCAACAAAAAATGCTTTTGCTTCCAAAACATTTAAGATCATCTTGCCACAAAATTGTCACTGCATTCAACCTCAGAAACTCAAAAAGAACCAGAGGTGTTAGCATTGACTCATCACTTTCTCTGATCTACATACTTAGTGAGTGAACAGATTACCAGCTGGCCTTGGTCAAACCCTCAGAAGAGAAAAAGGAACTACTCCCAAGTGTAGTCACCAGAATCTGCACTAGATCCCACTGAGTTGGGGGATCTGTCTATAGATGCCTCCCCAGACTTCAGCACTTTCCCTTCCCCCACCTCCACAGAGCCATGGCCTCCAACTACCCCATGAACCTCACTGTGGCATCCAGAGTGAGTGGCAGGAGAATCTGATATTGACTGAACTGTGGGCTTCTATCACCCCTGAGTGTAGTAACAAGGTAAAAGGAACCTTAAAATGGCCCCAGGATTTCCCACCTCAATCCCAGGACCAAAAAGGTATTGTGATACCACGTCCATGATGATGATAAGTTACATGGCAAAAGGGATTTTGCACATGGAATTAGGGTTACTAATCAGTTGACTTTGAGTGAATCCAAAGGCAGATTATCAAGGTGAGTCTAATCTAACTGCATAAGCCATTAAAAGCAGAAGGCGGTATTGTTTGTCTCTGTGTCCCCACCCAAATTGTATTCCCCATAATCCCCGTATGTCAAGAAAGGGAGCTGGTGGGAGGTGATTGGATCATAGGAGCAGTTTTCCCCCATGCTGTTCTCATGACAGTGAGTGAGTTATCATGAAATCTGATGGTTTTATGAGTCTTCGACAGTTCCTCCTTCACACAGTCTTCATCACCTGCTGCCATGTAAGACGTGCTTGCTTCCCCTTCACCTTCTGCCGTGATTGTAAGTTTCCTGAGGCCTCCCCAGCCATGTGGAACAGTGAATCAATTAAACCTCTTTCCTTTATAAATTACCCAGTCGTGGGCATTTCTTTATAGCAGTGTGAGAATGGACTAATATATAAGGTTTTCTCTGGCTGCTGTCAGAGAAGGGAGTCAGAGAGTCAAAGTGTGAGGGTGTCACATGGGGAGCATGAAAAGGAAGGTGCATGGCCTCTAGGAGCAAAGACTGTCCCCTGGATGACATATCCAGCAGGGAAACAGGAACCCTCAGTCTGATACCCACAAGGAACTGAACTCTGCCATCAACCTGGGTGTGCCTGGAAGCAGATTCTTCCCCACAGCCTCCAGATGGGAGTCAACCCACCCAGTGCCTTGATGTTGGCCTTGTGAGGCCCTTGGCAGAGAACCCAGTGGAGTCTGCATGGGCTTCTGACCTGCAGAACTGTGAGATGACGAGTGGTTGTTGTTCCATGCCACTATGTTCGTGGTAACTTGTTATACAACAATGGGAAACATGTGAGTGACATTCCATCAGGGGTGAGCTGGCTGCTTGGCCAGCTGGAGCCGAGGCATTCACAACAGAGAGGAAGCAAAACGCTCCTGCAGCACCAGTTACTGAGTTCTTCCTTCAGGCAGGCACTGCCTCCTCCTGTCCACCTGGCATGGCAACCACTGGTCATATGTGTCCGGGGAGAGTCAGGGACATGGCTGTCATTAGTTGAGATGTGCTGTAAGTTCAAAATACACCAGATTTTAGAGGTTTGGTACAAGAAAAAAGAACGCAAAATACCTCAGTTACTTTTGTATTGATTATGTTGACTTGATGATATTATGGATCTATTGAGTTAAATGAAATTAAATTAATGAAAATTTAAACTTATGCATATGGCTCCCATTGTGTTTAACTGGATAGTGCTGATCTGTGTATTGCCTCACAAACACTCACAGCAACCCCAGTGGGTAGGTGCTACCCTGTGTTTCAGATAAGAAAACTGAGACTTTGCCAGGTGAAATCGATGATTCGACATCATCCGGAGTGAGTGGCAGAGCAGGGTCAGAAGCCGGGTCATAGAGATCAACACTCATTCTCTTAAAGCTTAATGGGTCACCCTACCAAGCAACAACAGTGAAAGTTTGTGTTGTCTTTTTTGTTTGTTTTTTCAGAGACAGAGTCTCACTCTGTCTTCCAGGCTGGAGTACAGTGACGCCATCATAGCTCACTGCAGCCTCAAACTCCTAGGCTCAAGTAATCCTCTTGCCTCAGCCTAGCTGGGACTACAGGTGCAAGCCACCATGCCTTGCTAACTTTTTTTTTTTTTAGATATGGGGTCTTGCTATGTTGCCCAGACTAGTCTCTAACTCCTGGCCTCAAGCTATCCTGTGGCCTTGGCCTCCCAAAATGCTGGGATTACAGGCATGAGACACTACCCCCAGCTGAAAGTGTGTGCTTTCTTTTTTTTTTTTTTTTTATTCTTTAAGTTCTAGGGTACATGTGCACAAAGTGCAGGTTTGTTACATATGTATACATGTGTCATGTTGGTGTGCTGCACCCATTAACTCTTCATTTAACATTAGGTATATCTCCTAATGCTATCCCTCCCCCCTCCCCCCACCCCACGACAGGCCCCGGTGTGTGATGTTCCCCATCCTTTGTCCAAGTGTTCTCATTTTTCAATTCCTACCTATGAGTGAGTACATGCAGTGTTTGATGTCCTTGTGATAGTTTGCTGAGAATGATGGTTTCCAGCTTCATCCGTGTCCCTACAAAGGACATGAACTCATCCTTTTTTATGGCTGCATAGTATTCCATGGTGTATATGTGCCACACTGTCTTAATCCAGTCTATCACTGATGGACATTTGGGTTGGTTCCAAGTCTTTCTATTGTGAATAGTGCCACAATAAACATACGTGTGCATGTGTCTTTATAGCAGCATGATTTATAATCCTTTGGGTATATACCCAGTAATGGGATGGCTGGGTCAAATGGTATTTCTAGTTCTAGATCCTTGAGGAATCGCCACACTGTCTTCCACAATGGTTGAACTAGTTTACAGTCCCACCAACAGTGTAAAAGTGTTCCTCTTTCTCCACATCCTCTCCAGCACCTGTTGTTTCCTGACTTTTTAATGATCGCCATTCTAACTGCTGTGAGATGGTATCTCATTGTGGTTTTGATTTGCATTTCTCTGATGGCCAGTGAGGATGAGCATTTTTTCATGTGTCTTTTGGCTGCATAAATGTCTTCTTGTGAGAAGTGTCTGTTCATACCCTTTGCCCACTTTTTGATGGGGTTGTTTTTTTTTCCTTGTAAATTTGTTTGAGTTCTTTGTAGATTCTGGATATTAGCCCTTTGTCAGATGAGTACATTGCAAAAATTTTCTCCCATTCTGTAGGTTGCCTGTTCACTCTGATGGTAGTTTCCTTTGCTGTGCAGAAGCTCTTTAGTTTCATTAGATCCCATTTGTCAATTTTGGCGTTTGTTGCCATTGCTTTTGGTGTTTTAGAAATGAAGTCCTTGCCCATGCCTAAGTCCTGAATGGTATTGCCTAGGTTTTCTCCTAGGGTTTTTGTGGTTTTAGGTCTAACATTTAAGTCTTTAATCCATCTTGAATTAATTTTTCTATAAGGTGTAAGGAAGGGATCCAGTTTCATCTTTCTACATATGGCTAGCCAGTTTTCCCAGCACCATTTATTAAATAGGGAATCCTTTCCCCATTTCTTGTTTTTGTCAGGTTTGTCAAAGATCAGATGGTTGTAGATGTGTGGTATTATTTCTGAGGGCTCTGTTCTGTTCCATTGGTCTATATCTCTGTTTTGATACAAGTACCATGCTGTTTTGGTTACTGTAGCTGTGTAGTATAGTTTGAAGTCGGGTAGCGTGATGCCTCCAGCTTTGTTCTTTTGGCTTAGGATTGTCTTAGCAATGCAGGCTCTTTTTTGGTTCCATATGAACTATAAAGTAGTTTTATCCAATTCTGTGAAGAAAGTCATTCGTAGCTTGCTGGGGATGGCATTGAATCTATAAATTACCTTGGGCAGTATGGCCATTTTCATGATATTGATTCTTCCTATCCATGAGCGTGGAATGTTCTTCCATTTGTTTGTGTCCTCATTTATTTTGTTGAGCACTGGTTTGTAGTTCTCCTTGAAGCAGAGACACACATAGGCTCAAAATAAAGCTATGGAGGAAGATCTACCAAGCAAATGGAAAACAAAAAAAAAGGCAGGGTTTGCAATCCTAGTCTCTGATAAAACAGAGTTTAAACCAACAAAGATCAAAGGAGACAAGGCCATTACATAATGGTAAAGGGATCAATTCAGCAAGAAGAGCTAACTATCCTAAATATATATGCACCCAATACAGGAGCACCCAGATTCATAAAGCAAGTCCTTAGAGACTTACAAAGAGACTTAGACTCCCACACAATAATAATGGGAGACTTTAACATCCCACTGTCAACATTAGACAGATCAACGAGACAGAAAGTTAAAAAGGATATCCAGGAGTTGAACTCAGCTCAGCGCCAAGCAGACCTAATAGACATCTACAGAACTCTCCACCCCAAATCAACAGAATATACATTCTTCTCAGCACCACATCTCACTTATTCCAAAATTGACCACATAGTTGGAAGTAAAGCACTCTTCAGCAAATGTAAAAGAACAGAAATTATAACAAACTGTCTCTCAGACCACAGTGCAATCAAACTAGAACTCATGATTCAGAAACTCACTAAAACCGCTCAACTACAGGGAAACTGAACAACCTGCTCCTGAATGACTACTGGGTACATAACGAAATGAAGGCAGAAATAAAGATGTTCTTTGAAACCAATGAGAACAAAGACACAACATACCAGAACCTCTGGGACACAGTTAAAGCGTGCATAGAGGGAAATTTATAGCACTAAATGTCCACAAGAGAAAGCAGGAAAGATGTAAAATTGACACCCTAACATCACAATTAAAAGAACTAGAGAAGCAAGAGCAAACACATTCAAAAGCTAGCAGAAGGCAGGAAATAACTAAGATCAGAGCAGAACTGAAGGAGATAGAGACACAAAAAATCCTTCAAAAAAGTCAATGAATCCAGGAACTGGTTTTTTGAAAAGATCAACAAAATTGATAGACCGCTAGCAAGACTAATAAAGAAGAAAAGAGAGAAGAATCAAACAGATGCAATAAAAAATGATAAAGGGGATATCACCACCAATCCCACAGAAATACAAACTACTGTCAGAGAATACTATAAACACCTCTACGCAAATAAACTAGAAAATCTAGAAGAAATGGATAAATCCCTGGAAACATACACCCTCCCAAGACTAAACTAGGAAGAAGTTGAATCCCTGAATAGACCAACAACAGGCTCTGAAATTGAGGCAATAATTAATAGCCTACCAACCAAAAAAAGTCCAGGACCAGACGGATTCACAGCCGAATTCTACCAGAGGTACAAGGAGGAGCTGGTACCATTCCTTCTGAAACTATTCCAATCAATAGAAAAAGAGGGAATCCTCCCTAACTCATTTTATGAGGCCAGCATCATCCTGATACCAAAGCCGGGCAGAGACACAACAAAAAAAAGAGAATTTTAGACCAATATCCCTGACGAACATTGATTCAAAAATCCTCAATAAAATACTGGCAAAACCGAACCCAGCAGCACATCAAAAAGCTTATCCACCATGATCAAGTGGGCTTCATCCCTGGGATGCAAGGCTGGTTCAACATATGCAAATCAATAAGCGTAATCCAGCATGTAAACAGAACCAAAGACAAAAACCACATGATTATCTCAATAGATGCAGAAAAGGCCTTTGACAAAATTCAACAGCTCTTCATGCTAAAAACTCTCAATAAATTAGGTTTTGATAGGACATATCTCAAAATAATAAGAGCTATTTATGACAAACCCACAGCCAATGTCATACTGAATGGGCAAACTGGAAGCATTCCCTTTGAAAACTGGCACAAGACAGGGATGCCCTCTCTCTCCACTCCTATTCAACATAGTGTTGGAAGATCTGACCAGGGCAATCAGGCAGGAGAAAGAAATAAAGGGTATTCAATTAGGAAAAGAGGAAGTCAAATTCTCCCTGTTTGCAGATGACATGATTGTATATTTAGAAAACCCCATCGTCTCAGCCCAAAATCTCCTTAAGCTGATAAGCAACTTCAGCAAAGTCTCAGGATACAAAATCGATGTGCAAAAATCACAAGCATTCTTATACACCAATAACAGACAAACAGAGAGCCAAATCATAAGTGAACTCCCATTCACAGTTGCTTCAAAGAGAATAAAATACCTAGGAATCCAACTTACAAGGGATGTGAAAGTGCGTGCTTTCAACAGAGGCCTCTACTGTGTTAAACCAAACACATGGCTACAATGGCTACAGAGAGGGTTAGACCACAACGCCAATCTATGGGAGGAAGTATTTTGGCATAGTAGACACTGTTCGTTCTCTGCAAATTCTACTCTAGGTACTCGCTCTGATAATTAGGAAACTAGACCTTTTCAATGAGTGATAAGGCAGTCATTAAATAGGAAAATTGTGGAATTCTTCATCTTCTTCTTGAGATAATAAGAGGCTCTCCCATGATATCTAAGGGAATGTTATAAGAAAATAAAAGTTATGATCCACAAAACCTGATCCATTTTTGCAAATGCCTTTGTTTAAGCCCTAAGCATTTAAATTACTACTAAGGAAGTAAAATATGCTGGTTACTTTTGTCTAAGTTTCACCCAAAATCCTCCCATATGCCCAAAATAAAATCTCAGTGACGCTTGCCCTTCCAGGGCACAGATCGTGCCTTTATTCCACTAGGAATGCAATCTAGGAACAGAAAGCAAATGCTGTCCCCCTGTCAAGGTACAGAAAAACAGCAGGAGAGGTGGGCATGGTGGTTCACACCTGTAATCCCAGCAGCTCAGGAGGCCAAGGCAGGAGGGTCACTTGAGCCCAGGAGTTCAAGACCAGCCTAGGCAAAAAAGTGAGACCCCGTCTCTACAAAAAATTATCTGGACGTGGTTGAACGCACCTGTGGTCCCAGCTACTCGGGAGACTGAGGCGGGAGGATCCCTTGAGTACAGGAGGTCGAGGCTGCAAGTGAGCCGGGATTGTACCATCGCACCCAGCCTGGGCGGCAGAGTGGGACCTTGACTCAAAACAAACAAACAAAACAGGCAGCAGTTGCTCCACCTGTCCTGAAGGACTTGGAGGCCTGGGTAGTCCTCAACAGCAGGAGGTGTTAAGGAGTATTCTCAACTATTCAGGAAGTGGCAATTTAAGGGTGTGGCTCAGTCCCTCGTAATCACTAACAGTTCACCAGTCCAGAGACACTCCATCACATTTTACACTCTTAGCAACCCATTTCTGTTTCTGTTTAAGTTGCACTCCTTCTTAGAACAATTTTAATCCGTTTATAATTCAGTGTTTATTTTGTCCAGCGTGCTGGGTTCTACATTCCTCCCTTAGAAAAGCTGTTATAACTGCCATGCCAACCATCCGGTATGTAAAGATCTGCCGAGCACACCACCTCCCAGAAGACATCCTGGGATGGTTCTTAGGGGTAGAGGTCAGGGGAGGTTGAGTAGGATTGGTGGGGAGATCTCCAGGGCCATGTTTTGAAATGCATTCTGTATTTGCTTTGGTAATAACATGTGACACCCTTTGTTACTTCTCAAAAAGTTTTGCTCCAAAGATGCTGACCTTGCTGGCATGGACAGTGGCCCCAGCAGGGAACTAGGCTCCTTCCTGCAAATTCCAGGCTAGGCTGAGCGTGACCGACCCAGGAGAATGTGCTTCCTCTGGGTCACGCGACCAAACAAGGGTGACTATGGGATGGGAATAACATGTTTCATGCAAGTTCCAAAGTTCTCGACAAGCAGGTTATAATTTTTCTTACATTGGAGTTGAACCAATATCCCTGTAAACATAAACACAAAAGTCCTCATCAAAATATGAGCAACTCAAAGCCAGTACAGTAAGGCTAGTACACCATCACCAAATAGCATTTTTTCCTGGACTTCAAATTTGAATCAACACTAAAAAAGTCCATCAGTGTAATCCACTATACTAACAGACTAAAGAATAAAAACCACATTATTGTCTCAATCAATGTAGAAAATGTGCTTGCCTAAATCCAACATTCATTCATGATTAAAAAAAAAAAAAACTTTCAGCAAACTAGGAATATAAAGAAACTTCTCTAATCCAATAAAGGACACCTACAAAAAGCCTACAACTAAACTTATACTAAATGTTGAAAAAGGGAATGCTTTCCCTGAAGTCCGAGAATAAGGCGGAGAGATGTACGCCCTCACACTAGAGAAGTAAAAACTTATGCCTACCCAAAACCCTGTACATAAAACTTACAGCAACTTTATTCATAATCACTAAAAATCAAAAACAACTCAAATGCCCTTTAATAGGAATAGATAAACAAACTGTGGGACATCCATCAAATGGAATACCACCAGCAAACAGAACAAACTATTGACACGGGCAACAGTATGGATGAATCTGAAATACCTTAAGCCAAATGAAAGAAGTCAGACACAAAAGATTACATAATGTACGATTCCATGTCTATGACGTTCTTGAAATGGCAAAACTACAGGGAGAGAGATCAGCCCCAGGCTGCCAGGCAGTAGGCGTGGAGGGAGGCCTGACTGCAGAGGAGCCGCCCCAGGAGCTTGGGAGGTGGAACTTTTCTGTATCCTGATGCATCTCCACTAAGGCACGCAGCCCTGTGAATGTGTCAAAACTTAAAGAACTGAACACCAAAACACAAGTGAATTTTACTACTTGTAAGTTTTGGATAAATTTTATAAAAGCTAGCAAAACACACGCAAACATTTCCTGGCCATCCTCCTATGTGTAGTCTTACAGATAAACTTGAGAATAATGTGTTAGGAAGAAAGAAAGAGAAATAAAAAAGAGACAGAGAGGGAAAGAGAGGAAGAAAGAAAGAGAAACAGAGAAAGAAAGGAAGAAAGAGAAAGGAGAGGAGAGGAGGGGAGGGGAGAGGAAGGGAGGGGAGAGGAGGGGAGGAAAGAGGAGGGGAGGAAAGAGGAGGGGAGGGGAGGGGAAGGGATAGGAGAGGAGAGGACAGGCAGAGGGAGAGGGTGAAAGAGAAAGAGAGAAGAAAAGAAAGAAAAAGAAGAAAGAAAGAAAGAAGGAAGGAAGGAGGGAGGGAGGGAAAGAAAAAGAAAGAGAAAGAAAGAAAGAAAGAAAGAAAGAAAGAAAGAAAGAAAGAAAGAAAGAAAGAAAGAGAAAGAAAGAAAGAAAGAAAGAAAAAGAAAGAAAGAAAGAAAGAAAGAAAGAAAGAAAGAAAGAGAAGAAAAATAAAGTAAGTTAGTTCACCGGTAATGTACTGAAAACGGCATTACATTGATAGATAATTTATGGGGAATTGACATCTTTTCAATGTGACTCTTTCTTCCCAAGAACAACATCTTTTGTGCTCCCCAATGGAGTGTCTTCAATTTTTTTCACTTTGGGTCCAGCACATACTTTTCATGAAATTTTCCCTAGTTGTTTTTGTTGCCATTGTGAATGAACTCTTTTTTCTATTACAATTTTTGAATTCTTATTACTAGTAAGTACAGATTTCTGAGTTCCTATTCTGTAACTGGCTGCCTCATTGGCCTCCCTTGTTGTAATTAATATCAGTTATTAATTAATATGATGTTACATAGGCTGACATCATCCACAAATAGCAACTGTCTTTTTCCACTGTTTATATGTCAACTTCTCCTTTCTAATGACGATGACTAACACTTTGAAAACAATGGCAAGTAATCTCACTTTTATTTTCTAAGTTTCACCCACATATAGGAGATAAAACAGCTGTTCAGCTTTTTGTCCTCAATCATCATTTTCTCTGACCTAAAAGATAGTGAACCCTGTATACAGTTATGTCTCTTGTTTCTCACAACAGTTTTTTATTGATTAAAAATTAGTGGTTCATCAGGATTGAAAATATAAAAGAAAAAAAAAGCAAATCATTCCCAAATCCTACAACTCGAACAAATTAATGGTCTGTGCCCTCCGCTGCTCCCTGTCTGAGCTCATCTTGCATAGCATTTCCTCAGGTTGTGATCACAGCATAGGAAATGTCTGTTCAAAGGCTGAAGGCACCCCCTGGATTTTACATACAAACTCTGGGACCGAGGCAGCCACCTGGGCACATTCCTGCCTTGCCATCAGATAGGGGGTTAGGAGAGTTGATAACAGGAAAGAATCTAAGTTATGAGCTCCACTAAAGAGCGACCAAGATGAGAGGAAGGAAAGGGACTGGGCGTGCCAGCTGGCCCTGAATTCCCTCACACTCCCCAAAGACGACAAGGCTAGCAAAGAAAAGAAGAACAAACACAGCCCCGGAACCTGCAACATGGCCAGTCCGGGCGGGTGATCCAGGAGAACGGCTCCAGGTTCTTCCTGTCATCCACCAGCTGCCAGACCTTGATCAACTCCCCTTAGCAGAAAGCGCAGGTTGAACGCTGAAGAGGCTTCAGTGCTAATTGCACATATCTATTTCTTGGGAAAAACAGGGCAACTGGGATGGGGGTTGGGCCGTCAGAGCAAGAAAACTGAGAAGCAATTCCAGATTATTCAAAATCATGAAATTGCACCATCTTTGTGCTGGGAATGACCATAGGAATGACCTAACATAACTTCCCAATTGTTGCAGGAATCCCCTCTTAACAGCATCTTTGAATTGTTCCAGTAATAATAGAAGTGCTATCTCACAAAGCAGTTTGTTTTCGACAGTTTAACATTTAGCAAACTCTCTCTTAAATTGAAATAAAATGGGTTCCAATTCAAAACTTGAAGTAGGGCTATCATCTGTAATGAGACAGAGTACAGCTCCTCATTCTAGCACAGAGCTATCTTTTTCTCTTTTTTTGATATTTGGTGAATTCATTGACATTTATAAAGAATTCCTTTAACATATGGCATATTGTCATATGGCATATTGTCATATGGATTTACGTAGAGAAAAATGTATAAAAATTCTATTCATAAGTGGGAGGCTCATAACTACAGGTTATATCCAAAAAAAATCTATTGCAGATTGTTTTAAATTTAAAAAACAACCTTTAAAATAGTGAATAAACTTCAAGGTAGTCCAAAAGAAAACAAGTAAGTTTCCAATGCAATTTTGTCACCATTCTATTACAAAACAGGAAAAAATGACTAAGGAAGGGAAAATATTATCTTCATTTTCATTTTCTATTGCTGCTATAAAAAATTACCAAAAACTGAGTGGCTTTAAACCACACAAATATATTATCTTACTGGAGGTCAGAATTCCAATATGAAGCTCACTGGGCTAAAATCCAGGTGTGGGCAGTGCTGGTTCCTTCTGGAAGCTCCAGTGGAGAATCTGTTTCCTTGTCTCTTCTGGCTTCCAGAGGCTGCCTGTGTTCCTTGGCTCATGGCCCCTTCCTGTGTCTTCAAAGCCAGCAGTGCTACCTCCCTGACCCTGCTCCCATAGTCACATCTCACCCTGTCTCTCTCCTGCTTCCCTCTCCACAGTGAAGAGCCTCTGTGGCTATGCTGGGCCCACCTGGTTAATATGGGATCATCTCCCATCTCCAGGTCACCAGATGAGAACGCTTAATTCTGTCTGCACCTTTAATTCCTCTTTGCCAGGTACATAGTCACAGGTCCAGGGATTAAGAGGTGGACATCTTTACAGGACGCTTATTTTCCCTACCACAAGTATTTCTTCAATTGTTGATACTTGACAAAAAGACGTGACCAGAAGAAGACAAGCGAGTGTATTCCTTGTTTGTCTTCCTCTGATCACACCTGTCAACAGTTCAGGTGAGCATCTGGAGCCTTGCAGGAACGTCGGTGGTGGTATTCTGCTCAGTCCCCATCTCTGCGGTCTCGCTTCAGTGTTCTGGCTTCCTTTGGCCTTGCTGTCATCACTGCCTCGCTCAGCTTCTAAGAGCTTCTCAGTGAAATGAAAAGGAAGAGGCTGATTTTTCTCAAGGGAAATGGGCAAGATTTAAAATAAATCAAGAAAGAGGGGGTTTTTTGTTGTTTGTTTTGTTTAGTTCAGATAAAGTCTCGCTCTGTCACCCTGGCTGGAGTGCAGTGGTGTGATCTCAGCTCACTGCAACCTCCACCTCCCAGGTTCAAGCGAGTCTTATGCCTCAGCCTCCCTTGTAGCTGGGATTACAGGTGCACACCACCACACCTGGCTAATTTTTTGGTTTGGGTTTTTTTTTTTTTTTTTTTAGTAGACACAGGGTTTCACCATGTTGGCCAGGCTGGTATCGAACTCCTGACCTCAGGTGATCCACCTTCCTCAGACTCCCAAATTGCTGGGATTACAGGCATGAGCCACCGCGCCTGGCCAAGAGGGGTTTAAAAGTGTGCATTTGATGTCACAGGTGAGCAGCAACTATCTGGGTCCGGTTGTACCAGGGCAGGAAGAATTTACCAAGACAGTTGTTGGTAAAGAAAAGCAGATTTATTAGAGAAAGTATGGAAAATATGTTGTAAGGGAGCAATGGGCAGGACAGCAAGAGAGGAACTGACTGCAAGGAGGCAAAGGCTTGCTGAGGACTTTATAGGATGGTGCTCGTGCTGCGTGCAGGAGAGAGCGACATGCAGTACTGACAACACCGAGGTTGCAGCGCGCTATCTTGCAGGTGTCTGACAATAAGTTGGGTGCAGGAGGGCTGCATATCCTGGACCATGAAGAAAGGCAGACTTGTGGCTTACCTGCTTTTTCTTTTTGCTTTTCCTCAGTTCTGCCAGTCTGACTCTGTTTCCGCAATTAGGACTCCAAATTTGCAAAAGAATGGAAGCAACTGAGGCTGAATGAAGCCTTTGGAAGGAAGGCTGGGGAGACCCACGCTCCTGATCCTCCACAGTGGAAAGAAGGACATGAGGGTGGGGGAGCTCATGGATGAGAGGCTCCCCACTCCCCTCCTGGGGACCTTCACTTCCAGGAGAGGGTGTTGGGGTGGTCAGGTCACAGAGGGAAGTATCCACAGCATTCACTCTCCTTCCTGGTGCATATGTATCAGACTGAACTGATGCTGATTTCTAAAAAACCCTACAGACCAAAGCTGAGAAAACCCTCATTTAAAAATTGTAAGCAGCTTCAGTCTAGAAAAGGGATATTGTTCAAACTCATTAGATGAGGAACCAGAGCCTCAGAGAGAGCAAATCAGTCACAGAAGAAAGCAACAGAGACCACAAGTCACCCTGAGGCTGCCGTGGGGCATCCTGAGGCCAGCTGACCCCAGGCCTGTGTCCTGTCCATGGGTCTGAAGTGGCAGTTCTAGAATAGCGGTTTAGGCAGAAACTCAGTCTGAGACATCCTTATTTTTTGGAGCTAAAATAGCCTTCCTGTTATGAATAATGATGCTACTATATGGTAGTTGGTTCTTTAAACAACCTATTACAATGTTAACTATCAACTTCCCCACGCACTCTTTTTCTAGTAGTCTCTGAAACACAAAAGAGTAGGAAACCCCTGGCAGCTCCACACTAAACCTGGGGATGCATCATAGATACATCACATACCAAGGCAGAACATGATATGAGGGCGTCCCTGTATTTCTAGGTATGTGACAGATCGAATGGGAATATGCAGATACAATTGGCCCTGCAACAACATGGGGGTTAAGGGCACTGATTCCCCCATGCAGTCAAAAATCTGCATATAACTTTTGCCTCCCCAGAAATCTAACCACTAATAGCCCACTGTTGACCAGAAGCCTTACCAATAACAAAAACAGTCAATTAACGCATAATTTGTATGTTACATGTCTATCCTGTATTCTTACAATAAAGTAAGCTAGAGAAAAGAAAAGGTTATGAAGAAAATCATAAGAAGAAGAGTATATATTTACTCTCTGTCAAGTGGGTCATGATAAAGGTCTTCATCCTTGTCATCTTCAGGTTGAGTAGACTGAGGAGGAGGAGGAAGAGGAGGGTGTTGTTCTTGCTGTCTCAAGGGTGGCAGAAGTGGAAGAACATGTGCATGTAAGTGGACACATGCAGTTCAAACTCATGCTGTTCAAGGGTCAACTGTATGAAAATATGGGTTTTTAGGCCTGGTGCAGTGGCTCACACGTGTAATCCCAGGACTTTGGGAGGCCGAGGTGGGTGGATCACTTGAGCCCAGGAGTTTGAGACCAGCCTGGGCAACATGGCAAAACCCCGTCTCTTAAAAAATAAAATAAAATAAAATATGGGTTTTAAGCT
The DNA here is from genome assembly GCF_000001405.40 of Homo sapiens. Lineage (NCBI taxonomy): Eukaryota > Metazoa > Chordata > Mammalia > Primates > Hominidae > Homo > Homo sapiens. The sequence goes on along the minus strand of NC_000016.10, from coordinate 85,866,381 downwards.
GGGTGCAGTGGCTCATGCATGTGATCCCAGCACTTTGGGAGGCCGAGGCGGACGGGTCACCTGAGGTCAAGTGTTTGAGACCAGCGTGGCCAACATAGTAAAACCCCATCTGTACTAAAAATACAAAAATTAGCCAGATGAGTCCCAGCTACTTGGGAGGCTGAGGCAGGAGAATCGTTTGAAACCAGGAGGTGGAGGTTGCAGTGAGCCAAGATCACACCACTGCAATCCAGCTTGGGTGACAGAGTGAAACGTCATCTGAAATATATATATATACACACACATACATATACATATATATACACACATATATTATATATATACACATACATATATATACACATACTTACATACATACATATATACATACATATATAAACATACATATGTATACACACACACATATATATACGGGTTTTAGGGTGATAAGAATATAAGTGCCTTTTTGCCTTTTTTTTTGGCATTGTTACATTGTTTTTTCAGCTACATTTGGTGTTACCGTTTTTCCAAAAAGAAGGTATATCTTACTTTTTCTAGTAAAATCAGAATAGACTAAAAATAGAACCACACATAAATAGCCAGTGGATTTTCTGCAAATATGACAAGATGACAAAACAATTCAATGAGGAAAGAATCCTCTTTTCAGCTGATGAAATTAGATGTGATATTGAGTATCCCTATAGGAAAAAAGTAAACCACAACTCTCCTATTGTATACAAAAGTTAACTCAGAATAGGTCTAAGACATAAATTTAAGAGCTACAATTATAAAACTCCTAGAAAAAAATAGGAGAAAAATCTAAGTGACCTTGGATTAATTAAAGATTTCTTAAACAGGACACAAAAAGCACAAACTATAATATTTAAGAAATTGGACTTCAAAATTTTTTTAATTTTTGCACTTCAAATGCCACTGTTAAGAAAATGAAAAGGCAAGCCACAAAAAATATTTGCAAAACATATATCTGACAAAGATGTGTATCCTGAACATATAAAAACTCTTGCTGCTCAATAAAGAAAACAAATAACCTAATTTTTGTAATGGCCGTATGATCTAAACAGATACTTCATGGAAGAAAATATACAGGTGGCAAGTAAGCACTTAAAACCATCATCAGTCCTCAGGCAAATACAAATTAAAACCATAAATAAATATCCCAATATGGTCACTAGGATGGTTAAAATTTTTTAAACTGACAATACCAAGTGCTGACAAGGATGTGGAGCAACTGAAACTCTCAGATGTTGATGGCAAGGATGCAAAACTGTGCAGTAAATTTGGAAAACAGTTTGGCAGTTCCTTACAAAGTTAAACATAAACTTATCCTGTGACCCAGCAATTCCACTTGAAGTATTAACTCCCACCTCCCACAAAAAAAAAAAAAAAAAAAAAAAAACAGAAAAAACATATGTCCACATTAATACCTATTAACATGTGCTTGTTTGGGTTTTTTGTCAGTCATTCACTTTTTGTATTTCTTTTATTTTACTTTAAATAGTTTTAGGGGAACAGGTGGCTTTTGGTTACATGGATAAGTTCTTCAGTGGTGATTTCTGACATTTTGGTGCACTCATCACCCTAGCAGTGTATACTGCACCCAATGTGTGGTCTTTTATGCCTCACCCCACTTCCACCCTTCCCCACCAAGTCATTCTTATGCTTTTTCATTCTCATGGCTTAGCTCCCACTTATAAGTGAGAACATACAATATTCGGTTTTCCATTTCTAAGTTACTTCACTTAGAATAATGGCCTCCAACTCCATTCAAGTTGCTGCAAAAACCATTATTTCATACTGTTTTATGGCTGAGTAGTGTCTCCATGGTGTATATATACACCACATTTTCTTTATCCACTCGTTGGTTGGTGGGCATTTTGGTTGGGTCTGTATTTTTGCCACTGCAAATTGTGCTACTATAAACATACGTGTGCAAGTGTCTTTTTCATATAATGACTTCTTTTCCTCTGGGTAGATACCGAGTAGTGGGATTGCTGGATCAAATGGTAGTTCTACTTTTAGTTCTTTAAGGAATCAGCATACTGTTTTCCATAGTGAATACCTGTTAGCATGTTTATAGAAGTTTTGTTCATAATGGCCAAGGGAAATGACCTCGCTATCACCTGGCAGGTGAATAAACACACTGTGGCTGTATTGGTCCCTTTTCATACTGCTATAAAGAACTGCCAAGACTGGATAATTCATAAAGGAAAAAGGTTTAATTGACTCACAGTTCAGCATGGCTGGGGAGGCTTTGCGGAACTTACAATCATGGTGGAAGGTGAAGAGGAGGCAAGGCACCTTCTGCACATGACGGCAGGAAGGAGAAGTGCTGAGAGAAGGGGGAAGAGCCCCTTATAAAACTATGAGATATCATGAGAATTCACTGACTACCATGAAGACAGCACGGGGGAAACCGTCCCCATAATTCAGTTACCTCTACCCGGTCTCTCCCTTGATACGTGGGGATTACGAGGATTACAATTCAAGGTGAGATTTGGGTGGGGACAAAAAGCCAAATCATATCAGTGGCATATCCATACCCTAGAATACTACACAGAAATAAAAGGAAAGGACTGCTTATACAAACATCAATATAACAATACAGATGGCTCTTCAAAGCATTATATTAAGTGTAAAAAAAAAAAGAATAAGAGACTAAATACTGTAAGATTCCATTTGGCTACAATTCTTAAAAAGGGCAAAACAATGATGAAAAGCAGATCTGTGTTTGCAGGGCACTGGGACAGAGCATGGGTTCATTACAAAGGGGAATGACAGGACCTTCTGGAATGATGGGAATGTTCTAGGTCATTATTGTGGTGGTTATGAAACTTACCAAATTGTACACCTAAAACTAGTGGGTTCTGGCTGGGTGCGGTGGCTCACGCCTACAATCCTAGCGCTTTGGAAGGCCAAGGAGGGCAGATCACCTGAAGTCAGGAGTTTGAGACCAGCCTGGCCAACATGGTGAAACCGTGTCTCTACCGAAAATACAAAAATTAGCCAGGCATGGTGTCGCATGCCTGTAATCCCAGCTACCCAGGAGGCTGAGGCAGAAGAATCACTGGAACCCGGGAGGCAGAGGCTGCAGTGAGCTGAGATCAAGCCACTGCACTGCAGCCTGGGTGACAGAGTGAGACTCCGTCTCAAATAAATAATAAATAAATAAATAAATAAATAAATAAATAAATAAATAAATAAATAAAATTGGTGGGTTTTATTGTACATAAGTTATGCCTTGGCAAATCTGACCCCCAACAATCACCATGCAGTGGAAACCACTGACACGCCTATAACCAAAGTCAAGTCCATATCCTGTGGCCACCAGGAGGCTGCCAGTGGGGAAGTAAGATTTCAGTTTCATTTTCCCAGAGGATTCCTCTAAATCTAGGTGAGCAAAAGCAAAACATGCTGCAGAAATTTTAGAGTTTTCCTGACGTCTCCTCCCCACCCCCGTGCCCCAAGCCAGCTCATGGCAGCTCTCCCATCACAAGCGTCTCAGTTTCTCTTCTTCCGAGAGGGGTCTGACCTCATGGTCAAAGGGGTGTTGGTTCTCAGCGGCCACATCAGCGTGTACTTTCCAAGCTGCGTTCTCCAATGGGCAGCCGGGACCTGTAGCCTGGGCCATCTCTGTCTGCTCCCATGAATGCTGACCTACATCCTTTGCTTCCAGGCGGCACGTGGCCGAAACGTGCATCCAGGGCAGATATGGCAAGAGCAGGGTCCTGCGTGAGTGGCACCCATGGGTGGGAAGAGAACATCACAGCCAGGAGCACAGCTCAGACCGCAGCTTCCAGGAAGCTACTGCTACCCTTGGAAATAGCACTGTGGACCCCAAGACAGGGCCTGCCACTGTCCCCGATTGCTCATCCCCCAAGAAAGAGCTGCCCCATTACCCAGTCTAACAGGAGCGTGTGTGGCCATCCCTCCACTGCCAAACCAATGAACATTTTCAGGATTTCTTTGTTCTTCTCCACACCAGGTGAGTCTTCATCCCTTCGCTTCCTTGAACACGTAGACCGGACTCTCCTCATCCATCTCTCCTGCTCCAACGTCTGTTCCTCACTTCCGCAGCAGGCAGGCCCCAATCTCACCTGGAAAGGCAGAGGTCGGCCAAGACAGCAAGGCCCACCTGGCTCTTTTTTTTGCTTTTCTTTTGTTTTATTTTTTTGTTTTGAGGGAGGGGGTTGAGATGGAGTCTTGCTCTGTCACTCAGGCTGGAGTCCAGTGGCGCGATCTCCAATCACTGCAACCTCCGCCTCCTGGGTTCAAGCGATTCCCTTGCCTCAGCCTCCCTAGTAGCTGGGACTACAGCCACCCACCACCACTCCTGGCTAATTTCTTTTGGTTTTTTTTTTTTTTTTTTTTTGAGACAGAGTCTTGCTCTGTTGCCCAGGCTGGAGTGCAGTGGCACGATCTCGGCTCACTACAAGCTCCGCCTCCCGCGTTCACGCCATTCTCCTACCTCAGCCTCCCAAGTAGCTAGGAATACAGGTGCCCGCCACCACGTCCGGCTAATTTTCTGTATTTTTAGTAGGGACAGGGTTTCACTGTGTTAGCCAGGATGGTCTCGATCTCCCGACCTCATGATCCGCCCTCCTCGGCCACCCAAAGTGCTGGGATTACAGGAATGAGCCACCGCGCCCAGCCTCACCTGGCTATTTTGTGCTCTGCCCACCCATAGATCCCATGGAAGGCTGGAAGGAGCCCATGCGGGCCCAACCCCCTGAGGGACAGCTCCCAGGCGGCGAGATGCCACTTCTGCCGTGAGAGCTGAGAGGGTGGGGAATGCAAGCATGAGAGTGCTCCACATAGACAAGGTAAAGTCAGGGCCCAGAGCCCAGATATGAGCCTTTCCATTTTCCAAACTCACCCAAAGGCCAACTGGCCACATTGTGCACCACTAGTCACAGCTCAAGAAAATTAAAAATGGGGCTTTTCCACTGCAGAAATACCCAGTCAAAGGAGGAGTTTTCCTGCAGAGCTCAAGTGGAGGTAAATGAGGCCCGTGTCCTCCCAGCCTCAGCCACTCCCTGGAGCCCAATCAGTCCCTCTCGTCCCGGGCACTGTGGACATTGGGGGCTGGGTCATTCTCTGTGGCAGGGCTGCCCTGGGCATTGTAAGATGATGAGCAAGATCCTGGCCTCGACCCACCAGATGCCTGTAGCAACCACCAGCTGTGACAACCAAAAATGCACCCAGACATTGGCGAGTGTCCCCCGTGGGGTGCTATCACCCCCTGTTGAGAACTACTGAATTAGGTTTCTTCCTTTTACTTCAGTCTCCTTTAAATCTTTTTCCCTCTACTCCCTGCAGCCTCTGCTCCCCAACCTTCCAGCCTGCCTCCATGCTGCAGTGCCCCTTGGCGTGTTCTGCAGCCTACAGACCCAGAGGGGAGGGCTCCCCTCGACAGCAGCAGAGGCAAGAGTCCTCCCACGTGAGCACCCCAAGGCAGGGTCCCAAGGAGGCCTGGTGGCGTCTAACACAACGGAGTGCTGCTGTCGTCGGGGAGGTGGAAGTCCGGCAGAGAATGGCACTGGCCTGTTACCTGCCTGTTCTGTGTCACCCACATTTCCTCAGCACTGGCTGGGGGCCTTCCAGCTCAGGGGCACCCACCCCTCTCCCACTGATCCTCAGGCACTCCACAAGGTCTGAGCAGCAAAGGCCCAACACACCAAAAGTTTCTAGGAAGGGCTTTTCCTGCCACATCTTGAGGTACTGGAGTCGTTGGATGCAAAAGGAACTGATACGAAAGCAAACTGGATACCAGGCACCACTTCCCGTCAGAGGGACCTCCCATGCAGGGAACTGGGGAGTCCCTTGTGCTGCCTGAGTCACAAGCGTAGCCCATAAAAGGCTCTGAGGACACACCTGTCAGAGCAGCCCACAGCACAGACAGAAACTCAGCCTGCAAACCTCTTGGTCCCTGGTTTTTTCCCATTGTCTATTTTCATGGGGAAGGACAAACCAGAATGGATCCTAATCCCCAGGTCTCAATGGGAAGTCACTTCTGAGCTGCCTTGCTGTTCTCCTGCCTCAGTGGACCTGCTGCAGACTGGGGTTTCTTGACTTATGTGCCCCTGAACCCCTGCCTGTCTGGTGCATGGCAGACATGCCCTGTGAGCATCTGCGATGCTCATGGCACCTCGCCCTCCAGCCTGAGGTTGTGGGTAGTGAGTGCTGTGTTCAGACAGTGGTCCCAAGTGGAAGATCGGGTCTTGGACAAACAGCCTGAGGGCCTGGACATTCATGCCCCCTCCCCTCCTGCTCCTTGGCATTGCCACCTGAGATCGTATTACAGCTCAGGACAGCCGTGGAGGAAGCAGGAGGCCATTTACCTGGGTTCACTGAGAACACTCCAGATGTCCTGTGTGTCCCTGAGCTCCTTCACTCCCACCTCCGATGTGGCCACCCTCAGTCCACAGGGGGAGCTCCCACGCACTCTGCAGAAAACAAAGGGGAACCTCTTCCCACAGAGGCTTGCCAGCCTGGCAAACACCAGGCCTGAAGAAAAGCACTCTGCTCCTCCACCCCGGCGCCCAGCAGCTGAACACAACCGAGGGGCCCCCTCTGCAATGGGACCTTGGCCCCCAGTAAGCCTGCCCGCCCTTCCTCTGTCCTAGACAACCCTCCCCTAGCCTCCAGCGGCCCCGCGGCCCTGCCGCTATTTCACCAAGAAAATAGAAGAAGCAAAAGAGAAGGTGGATGGCATCCCTGAGACCCAAGCGGAGGAGCAGGGCTTGGCCAAGGGGCTGGGATCCACCTGGAAACAGGGTCTTCATGGAAGGTTGCTTCCCCAACCCCAAGCTGCTCTGGTGCCAGCCCACTAGGCCTGGCACTGCCCACAGCAAGACATCACATAAAGAGACCTCAATGGTCACATAAGTGTCACCCCGAGACGGGCTGGAAATCCCCTGGGTTTAGAGCATGATGTCAGTCTTTCTTCCTCTCTTATTGGACAAATGCATGCCCAGGAAGTGGAAGGAAAGGATGAAAGGAGAGACATTGAGGAAAATTCAACCAACATTCCTCTCTAGGACCCAGGAAGACAGCAATGAGGAAGAAAATGGAGTTTCTAACACAACTGGGGAGTGAGACGTCAAACACACGTGCAGGATGACAAGTCGTGTCCTTCTATGAACGGCAGGAACAAGAGGAAAAGTGTAGGAGGGAAAGAGGAAGATGGAGAGAGGAAAGAGAGGAAAGAGAGATGGAGAGGGAGAGGGAGACGGGATAAAGTTAAGGACTCTGAGATGGGGAGGTTATCCTGGAATCTCCAGGTGAGTCCAATGTACCCACAGGGTCCTTAAAAGAGAGGCAGGGCCGGGCACAGTGGCTCACGCTTGTAATCCCAGCACTTTGGGAGGCTGAGCCGGGTGGATCACCTGAGGTCAGGAGTTTGAGACCAGCCTGATCACCATGGTGAAACCCCATCTCTACTAAAAATACAAAACATTAGCTGCGCATGGTGGCACACGCCTGTAATCCCAGCTACTCGGGAGGCTGAGGTAGGAGAATCACTTGAACCTGGGAGGCGGAGGTTGCAGTGAGCCAAGATTGCGCAACTGCACTCCAGCCTGGGTGACAGAGCGAGACTCTGGGGAAAAAAAAAGAAAGAGAGAGAGAGAGGGAAAAGAGAAAAACAGGTGGTATCTCAAGGCAGCACCTGCTAACTAGGGGCCACATGAAATGCACATGTGGGAAGCACATGGACAGCTAGCGAGTCTTGCCATTCCCACAGGGGTTCAGCAAGAAACATCTTGGGCTGCTGGGACAGAAACATCTGGAACCAAAAGAAACACAGAAGATCTCCCAGCCCCCAAGACAAGAGCCATTGGTCACATACACCACCTTGTGTCTGCTATGACCAACAGACTCACAAGAAAAGATGAAGTTTAGGGAACAGCTCAGTGCCCATGGATAATTGTTGTAGGTTTAGTAGGAGTCACACTTCATAGCTGTTGGAGTATTTCCTGATAGACTTTCCACCAGGAGGAGTTCTACACACAATAAACAATTAGGAAACATTTCAATTTAACCACAGATTCTGAGTTTCTGTGACTTATGAGCCAGGCCGTAGGTGTTTTATAAAGACACCTGTTGGCCAGGCGCGGTGGCTCACACCTATAATCCCAGCACTTTGGGAGGCCCAGGAGGCTGGATCACTTGAGGTCAGGAGTTTGAGACCAGCTTGGGCAACAGGGTGAAACCCCATCTCTACTAAAAATGCAAAAATTAGCGAGGTATGGCGGTGCAAGCCTGTAGTCCCAGCTACAGCTACTTGGGAGGCTGAGGCAGAAGAATCGCTTGAACCAGAGAGGTGGAGGGTGCAGTGAGCCAAGATCCCACCACTGCACTCCAGCCTGGGCAACTATAGCAAGACTCCATCTCAAAAAAACAAAACAAAAAAACACCTGTTGTTTAGTTTAGGTCCAGCCAGGTAATCCAGGCTGATCTCATCTCGAGATGCTTGACTTAGTTACATCTGCAAAGACAAATCACACTCTGGCCTGGGGGTTCGAAAACGGGCATCTCTGTGGGAGGCCACCATTCAGCCCACTGCGGGTGGACCCGTACCTGGCAATAGGGACAGGCTCCTCAGCACCCCAGATTTCCCCCCTCTTCCCCCTCGGAATGAGCTTTCCAGACCCTCAAGTACCCCCCACAGAGGGGGTGATCAGGAGCAGTTCCAACCTGGAGACCTAAGACAGGTGTTCCCTCTCCTGCCGGCCACCCCAGGACCTCCTTTCTGCACAAGGAGAAGGGCAGTGAGGTCTTGGGTGACACGAAAGGGCAGAAAGGAGACTCGACACCAGTGTGGAGGCCAGCTGCACCTGTCATGTCTCTGAAACCTGCTTCTTCCTCCTGACAACAGGATGACAGCAAAGCCTGGCATGGCTGTCCTGTGTGAGAGAAGGATGAGCCTGGCGACTGTCATGATGTCACAGCTCCTGTAGACGTGGGCTACGTCTGTGTGCCTGCTGAGAGCAACCCTGGTATTCAGGGGACGTCAGGACCGGCTTGGTGGGGATCTGCCTCCTCTACTTTGGACCTGTTAGAATCATTTTTCTCATCTGGAAAACGGAGCATCGGCACTCACCTCACCTGGGGACTAAATGAGATGTTTGGGAAGCCAATACCTAGCCCATAACCCACACTTACTCGATCGATTTTCAAAATTCTCTCTCCATAGTGTGGATTTCTCCTACCTCAAAGGCACAGGTTGTGTGCTTACTTTAGTACAGCATATAGGGATAAGATAAAAACATATATACCTTAGGGAGAGAAATTATATCATACATCAGGAGGCCATTTGTCATGGCCAAAAAACCCTCAGCAAGTGTGGAACTTACGCCTTGAGGACAAAGAATATCTCTCATCCTTAAGAAAGGCTGCCAGTGAATGTCTGTGCCATGCAAACTATTTCCACAGTCATGTTTTATTTCATTGCAAATTATTGAAAGTATTGTGTTAGGATAATACATTCCTCAGTCCAGTAAATCAGACTTGCAACCTACATATGTCTCGGTGTGCAACCTACACACGTCTCGATGTGCAACCACAGCGGAGTTTCCCCTTCACCCTCAGGGTCTTCTTTGTCCTGCACATGACACTTGACATCTGGCAACCTTGCAAGAACCAAGCGAGGGTGCTGGTGTCTCCCTACTTCTAAACTTCTGCAAACTTCATTTTCTTCTTAGACAAGCAGAAATATGAGTAGAAGTTCAAATATTTTATTCTCTGACTCTAATGGGTCACCTACCCCCCCCCCCCAGGGTGAGATAATTTGGAACCCTCCCATCCTGGGACACATTGGAGGAATAGGTGGCTACAGGGTGACAAGATGGCCATTTCAGTGTGAGATCTTCATCTCCTAAAATTCAGGATACTAGGAAGGAGCACTGGTTGGCAGAGTCACGAGCATAGAGGGGACACACATGGTCTCTTGGCGCTGGGATACTTACTTCTGGAAAACCCAGGGGCTTTTAGGAAGTCCCATGGAGTGTTAGAGCGGTGTGCTGTCACAAGAAGGAGCAAAATCGGGAGTCCTGGGGTCAAGGCTTGACTGTGCTAGAAACTGGCCTTGTCATCAAGGTAGACTGCTGCAACAGTGACTCCCTCCCCACAGCATGATTCATGCTTCCCTGTATTCTCGCCCCTTGGTCATGTGGCTTTCCTGCTCCCCCCATCAATAAATGAGGTCTAGGCCAGGCACGGCAGCTCATGCCTGTAATCCCAGTACTTTTGGAGGCCAATGTGGGTGGTTCACCTGAGGTCAGGAGTTCAAGACCAGCCTGGCCAACATAGAGAAACCCTGTCTCTACAAAAAATACAAAAATCAGCTGGGCATGGTGGTACATGCCTGTAATCCCAGCTACTCGGGAGGCTGCGGCAGGAGAATCACTTGAACCCAGAAGGCGGAGGTTGTAGTGAACTGAGATCCTGCCATTGCATTCCAGCCTGGGCAACAAGAGCGAAACTCTGTTGAAAGAACGAACGAATGAGAGAGAGAGAGAGAGAGAGAGAGAGAGAGAGGAAGGAGGAGATGAGAGGAGAGGAGAAGAAAAAAGATGAAAAGAAAAGAAAGGAAAAGAAAAGTCAAGTCCAGGCCAGGTGCTGTGGCTCATGCCTGTAATCCCAGCACTTTGGGAGGCCAAGGTGGGCAGCTCACCTGAGGTCAGGAGTTCAAGACCAGCCTGGCCAACATGGCAAAACCCTGTCTCTACAAAAAATACAGAAATCAGCTGGGCATGATGGCAGGCACCTATAGTCCCAGCTACTTGATAGACTGAGGCAGGAGAATAGCTTGAACCCAGGAGGCGGAGGCTGCTGTGAGTGGAGATGGCGTTGCTGCACTCCAGCCCAAGCGACAGAGCAAGACTTTCTCAAAATAAATAAATAAATAAATATATATATATATATATATATATATATATATATATATATATATATATGAGGTCTATTTCCCCATTTCCCCCACTCCTTGCCCCTCTGGGGTAGCCTGTGACATGCTTTGACCAATAGAATGGAGTGGAAATGACCTGCAACTTCCAAGGCTGGAGAGCTCCTGCTTTGGTACATTCTTAGCATCATTTGAAGATGCTGCGATGAAAGCTTCTTGGTGGCTCCCACCACACAAGTGAGCCCAGGTAAGATCAGCTGAAGAATCACTCAGTCAAACCAAAGAATCTTCAAGAATAATTCATCATTGCTGTTTTAAGCCATGAAGTTTGAGGGTCATTTGTTATGCAGCAATGCTGACTGATACATTTTCCCAGTCTGTTTATTCCTCTTCTGTACATCTCAGTTTCTTCATCTAAAACATGAGTTTGAATTAGATGATCTCTAGGTTCCTAAAGCTCTGAAGCTCAGTCATGAGGAAAGGAGATAAATGTTTGCCACATCAATAAATAAAAAGATGGAAAAGATGCCAAGTCAAAGAGAGCAGTGCCTGGGAATAAGCATTGTCTCCTCTTGGCTGAAATTGGTCCCATTCCATAGATGCTGCCAAGGAGAGCATAAAGTTTACCCCAGCTGCACACATGGAAGCATTGCACCCCATAGGATGTGGAGCAAGAGATAAGTGATCTCAGACATTGGCCACATAGTCCTACAGCCCTGCACCCATATCTTGCCTCCACTGTGCCAACCTTGTGCCCTGACCCAAAAGTCTCTTTGATCCTGAGCCTGCAACCTCCTTTGCATGCTGCAGTTAGAAGTATCCACCTCAAAGAGCTGTTACAAGGATTAAATGAGATGTATGAAGTAGCTGGTGCCTGGCAAGCGTTGAAAGTGGCAGCTACAGTCTTCCTGCTTCAACCCACAGGTGCCTGGAGATGACCACCTGCAACAGGCAGGAGGAAAAACTGCGATGGGACAAGCAGATGAGGAGCCAAGGTGTTTTCTATCATCCCGGCTACTTCAGTGACTAGTACTGTTAAGTACAGGAGGGCTTCATGCAAACTCTATGCGTGCTTATGGAGGCAAGACTATCAGAGGGTGGCACCCCTACCCCCCGCACCTACACGGACTGGTACAAACATTGTAGTAAGTCACGATGCACGACTCCAGCGTTGGTGGTACATTCATCAAGGCCATAAGCCAGTGACCCTCGAGCTCCCCACTTTAAGTAAAGGGCACTTTCAAAGCAGCAGTTCTGGGTCACTGCTACTTCCCATTGGTAGGGTCATTCTATTTTCTTCTAGCCCTTCTCAAAACTCTTAACTTCCCCATTAGAGAATCTCATTGAGTTGAACTCTCATTTCAGGCTCATTTCCAGAAGGATTTAGACTCGCAGTTCTGCAAGTCTCTCTCATTAGAGTGAATATTTAATGGCTTCCATGATGCTTACCTTGGCTGCCTGTATGCAGGAATCATGCATCAGCTCTAAGAGCTCCCTGCTGCATTTGACTTCCAAATTATAGCTGCCATTAGGGCCTGAAGTCCCAGTCTCTCGACTTAAATGTCTGCATGTTGTGAAATCGAGGGTATAAAGGGATGTTCAGAAAATAGCTTCTCCAACAGGGCTTCCTTCCTGTGGCCAATTTCATGTAGACGTGTCACAATTGCAGGGGGCAAAACATGAGAGGTTAAAAAAATACGGCGGATTTGCTGAAAAAGTTATTTCTTGTAAAAGCTTCTCCCTTCCACTCAGGGAGAAAACAAACAGGCAGATTCCCCTTTGGTTTCCTAAATTTGTGAAGCTTAAGAAAACCCTCGCTTCAGCAAGAATCCTGTGACTAAGCCTGCAAGCCCCTGTCCAGCCCAGAGTCCATCAAACCAAACCCCAGGTTCTCACCCCTGGCTACATTCAAGGCCTGTCCAGCCAGTTCTGTTTGAACACTTCCCATGACCTCAAAAAAAAAATGCAGTGGAATGGGATCCCTGCTGAGCCAGGCTGAGATTTGGGCAGATCTTCCATTTGTATTCAGTGACCTTGTTCCCGAATACAGCCTTTACAAAGTATTTTAGTGCAGGTCACTCGTGGCAACCCTCTGTTAGTTTTTGCCTGAAATGTCATTGTTTCATTATCTCCCTTGAGTGACAGTTTAGCTGGGTTTATTTGTTTTTTCATATTTTGCTTGTTTGTTTTTGAGATGGAGTTTCGCTCTTTTCGCCCAGGCTGAAGTACAGTGGTGCCATTTTGGCTCACTGCAAACTCCGCCTCCCGTGTTCACGCCATTCTCCTGCCTCAGCTTCCTGAGTAGCTGGGATTACAGGTGCCCGCCACCACGCCCAGCTAATTTTTGTATTTTTAGTAGAGACGGAGTTTTCCCACGTTGGCCAGGCTGGTCTCGAACTCTTGACCTCAAGTGATCCACCTGCCTCAGCCTCCCAAAGTGCTGGGATTACAGGTGTGAGCCACTGCGCCTGGCCTTAGCTGGGTTTAGATTCTAGCTTCACGGTTATTTTCACGGCTCTGTTTGGAGATATTCTTCTACTGTCTTTTGTGTCTAGAGGTGCTGGTAAGAATCCATGGTACACTGATCTGTGTTCCACTGGGGAGGGCTTTTCTCTCCGGCTGCTTGCAGACATTTCTTTGTCTTTCATGTTCTGCAGTTTTGCTGCAATGCATCTTACTGTAGGTTTGTTTTTATTTGTCCTGCTTTGTCCTTGCTGGTTGGAAGAGTCATGTTCTTCATCACTTCTGGACCTCTGCGGACGTTCTCTCTCAGCACTGTCCTCTCTCTCCCGGAACTCTGATGTAACCTATGCTGGACTCCAAGACTCTGTAAACTCCTTTTAATGATATTTTGCACCAAGTTTTTCATTCAGCTACTGTCTTATTCTGAGAATTGTTTATTTTCTTTTATTTTTAGTTTCTTTTGTGTATTTAATCATTTACACATACTTATCATCTACCAGATTGCCTGATTATGTAAAGTTATTAAGGATCTAATCCTGTAGCATATTGTCTGTAATCAATTGGCTTACGATTATTGGAGACAATTACTGCATTAAGGTCTACCAAGAGAATTCATGCAATCCTTGCTTTAGCTAAGCTTTTTCATTATTCTCCTGTTGTGAATAAAACAACTTAATGGTGGTTAATATTTTAAAATAATTATAAATTTAAAGGGAAAATCATCTCCTTCCGTTTATGGAGATAGTCATGTCACAGAAAAAGCAGAGGAAAATTATTAAACGACGAAATTCAAATGATGGAATAAATTTGAGCAATCATCTAATCCTTTACTTCTGTAAGGATCAGAGAGTAAGTATTTTAGCCTCTGCAGGTCATACCGTCTCTGTCACAACTCCTCGAGTCTGTGTGCCAAAGCAGCCGTAGACTCTGTCAACGAGTAAACGTGGCTGTGTTCCACTTTATCTTCAAACACAGGAGAGGGGCGGAATTTAGCCCACGAGCCATAGTTTGCCAAACGCTGATCTAGTCCTGTGTCTTACTCAAAGCAGGAACATTTTCCCAAAAAATTCCTGGAAGCCTATCTGAATACTTTCAGTGATGGAGAGCTCACCCCTTTCTAAAGGCCTTGGGAAAGGAGGAGTGTTAGTAACAACAGAAACAGTAGAAACCAATCTCCATGTCCCTCAAATGATCCTTTTTCAAGGATCATTAATGTCTATGAAAGAATTAGATTTATCTCTTACAAGTCTCCAGTCTGTCTGTAGTTTACAAATGGGAAAACAGAGGCTTAATGAGGTTAAACGACGCACCCACAGTGGCACAGCTGGCTTGCAGCAGAACTGGTTTTTTGGCCCTGAGTCAATGTTCATTTCCCCACACCACCTTAACAGGGTTTCCTGGCCAAAGAGCAGGGATGGAGATGATGATGGTGGTGATGGGGTGTGTGCAAGGCCCGGGAGAGGGTTGTAGTGGGAAGATGGGGAAGAAGCCACGCCCCTGGCCACTAGTTTCTTATTCGATTACTCATCTGTAGAGAAATTTGAGACGCATCACCTGACCCATCCGTCAATTCGCATCTGGCATCTAAAAGCACCAGAGTCAGTGCTGGGGAAAACACTATTTTAAAAAATTCCCAGTTTAACCTCAATCCCCCAAGCTTCATCTCTCGATGGGTGCCAATGAGACTGTATTGACACCTACACCAAAACGTTTCCAGCTCGACAGCCCATGACCTGCTTATCTGCAGGACCCAGCCCTCCCTTTGAGGACCTATCTAACATCCTTCGGTACCCCAGCAGACACCTGACAGAGCAGCCCAGGCTTCCAGCCCAGTGGATGCAAAGTGGTGTCTCATCAGGGTCCAGAGTTGTGCTCTCCGATCACCCTTCCCTATACTCATTGGCATAAGCACACTGTCTTCCGTGCGATGTCTGTTCCTGACTTTTGCCCCCTTTTTTAATTGGGCTGTTTATGTTTTCTTACCACTTTGCAAGAGTTCTTTATATAGTCTTGCTACTAAACTTTTATGTGTGTGAAGACTATGTTCTCCCAGTGAGTAACTTGTCTTTTCCCTTTTTCTTCAAGGTTCTTTTCGAAGAGCAAAAGTTCTTCATTTTAACTCAGTCAAATGGCTCCATCTTTTCTGGTGGAATATATCCTATCAGGAAGTCTTCCCTACTATGGGTTTTGCTGAATCACACTGCATAACAAACAAGTGGCTTACAGTCACAGACGTTTGTTGTCCTAGCTCATGGTCTGTGGGTTGGCAAGGGCATCCTGGGTAAGGCTGCAGGGCAGCTCCAGGTCTGGTCCCCAGGCCTTCCCTGGCTCTGGTGTCTACCTGGAGCATGCTGTTTTCATGGTAGGTGCCAGAAGCACTGGAGACCAAGCCAGATCATGCAGACGCACTATGGCCCCGGCTTGCGTCACCTCTGCCAAACTTGTTTTCGTCAAGCAAGTGTCACAGTGTGTAGTAAAGAATTTATCTTTGACCAAAGAGAGACCTGACCTTTGCCCTCAGCTTCTGGAGGGTCACTGCTAAGCCCTTGGGAGGCCATGCCTGATAAGAGTATCTGTTGGCATGAGGGCCTTGGGACAGCCAGATAGGACAAAAAAAAAGTGAGCCTTTGGATTCTTTTAGGACATTTTGGAGGGGAAAAAAATGTGGAACATGGTGAGTTTCAGGTGGACGGGTAGGACCGAGGAGGAGGGAGTGTCAGGAAGCTGATGCCGAGTCTTAGGAGCCAAGAGGGAACGACTGACTTAAATTAAGGTTAACCTCAAATGCTCCAGGAAAGTCAGTGGATTTGCAACTAGAACATCTCTGATGTGGCCGAGAAGGCAGGTTAGTTACAGTGCAGGCCACGGTGCATTGCCCAGGAAGTCCAGGTCACTTTCTGACATCTCCCTTTGATCTCACTACCCTACGAGGTAGAACTATTACCGACTCTGTTCTGCAGATGAGGACAGTGATGCTCAGAGAGGTCGAGTGACTTGTCCAAGACCATGACCAGGGGAGGGTGGAACTAGAACTTGAACTCACATCTCCTATGGACAAACCCCACTTTGCTTTCCAGTAAACCACTCCTGTAGAGATGTGCCCACATTGTGGGACTGAGGAGCAGAGAGGGAGCCAAAGGACCCCAGATGAGAGGAGAAGAGAGGGAGAAACAGGCGTGGACGGTGCTGTCTGCAAACTCAACAACTGAATGAAGGTGAAGGCAAAGGATGGAGCAGGTGGTCTTGCAGAAGAGACCTACTCCTGTGTGAGCGACGAGGACACAATGCATTGTGTCACCTGCTGCTAAGGAGAGACATTTAGCTGTCCTTCCTCCCTCTTATAATTGGAGAGTCAGCAGTCCCAAGTGGTACCCAGCTCCCAAGATACAGTAGAGGCAAGAGGTGCAGGGCACAGGCTTGAGAGTCAGAAGAACCTTGCCCTCAGCCTGGCTTTGTCACTTCCGAGCTTTATTGTCCTTGTCTGCGAGATGGGAATAGCACTGACGAGCTCATAGTCACCTGATCCATGCTCAGTTGCTTTAGCTATTCGTGTTATTACAGCTATCCGTAAACCATAGGAGATAATACCTGCACGAATCATGGTTTATATTTATCAAGCACTTTTCAGGTCAGATACTTCGTTGTTAAAGTGTGTACAGGTTCCCACTCCAGTTCAGGAACTATTTTCGTTAGATTATGCCACTTCATTGGAAGAAACAGCTGGTGGAAAGGAAGAAATTGAAGATGCTGGAACGTAAGGGCTGGCTGAGGGGCAGAGGCAGTTGGAGGCCGAGTGGGATCAGAGCCAGCCAGGATCTGCTCAGCTGGGATGCAGAGAAGGGTGGGGGAGGTGTCGTGGATGTAGAGACTGAGGCCACAATCCCTCGGCCTCAGGCGTTTATCGGGAGCTTCCTGCGCCACAGTGACCAGCATTCTGGTTGCACCAGCAGGTGAAAGTGGACTTTTTTCTGAAAGTTACCATTTATTAGCTTCATCCTGCCCAGTACTTCACACCTTATTTCCTCATGGCAACACCTCGGAGGCAGGTTATAATTGACCCGTTTTACAGATAAGAAAACTACGACTGAGACATTAAATAACCTGCCCAGGAAAAAAAAAAAAAAAAAAAAAGGTTAGGAAATGGTGAAGCCAGGTCTGTCTGCTTGAACTTTCTCCACAATGCCACATTTCTTGTTTCTCCCCCGAATTTTTTAGTTGTGGTAAAGCACACATAATATTATAATATTATTTATCATCTCAACGATGTTTACGTGTAGAGTTCAGTGGTACCAAATACATTCAGAACACTGTGCAAGCAAAGCCACCATCCATCTCCAGACTCTTTTCATCTTGTAAAGCTGAAACTCTGTCCCGGTTAAACACTGAGTCCTGTCCCCGGCCCCCAGCCCCCAGCAGCCAGCATTCTACTTTCTCACAACACCGTGTTTCCAAACCTTTGAGACACCGCAGGATAAGGGCTGGCACCAGCCCCAGGCTGCAGGTTTGCAGAGAAAGGTCCGGAACGTCCTTTCCTGATCCATCTGAATCCACGGTGCCCTCTCCCGCCCTGGACCTTGCTGGGAGACAGACGGCGGGCTGTGTGTAGGGGTGATCGGATATTTATTATCCCACCTGGGACACTTTCCCCCCAACACTTCAGCACGAACATTTCAAACACACAACAAGGCAGAGAGGATCTCACAGTGCAGCTCGCGTCCTCACTACCCGGAGGCCGCATGGACACTGGCTCTCCCTGCCTGGTCAGGCAGCCGCCCGTCAATCCTCCCTCACCCAACCATCCATCCACCTTGGCTTTTGGACAAACGACAGAGCAGACTGCAGACTCCAGCACCGTCCTCTATTTAATATCTTAGTGTGCATATTGCTAGCTCATGGCCAACATTTGTTTACAGTTGCTTAAATATTTGCTGAGTTTGGGCAAACGCATAGACCTGTGTAACCCAAACCCGTATCAAAGTACATGTTACCACATCCCCGAAGCCCTTCCTGCTTCCTGCCATTTCCTGCTCAGTCCTGCCCATGCACAACAGCGACCACCGTTCGTCTGGGCTCTTGCCACCACTGGGTGGATCTGCCGGTGCTGGGACGTGACAGACACGGAATTGCACCGGGGGTGCCCGTCTGGGCAGGGCTTCTTCCACTCAGCACAGCCTTGCTGAGCCTCACCCACGCTGTCATTTGTCCCTTTCTGCTACAGAGTGACATTCCACTGCACAAAACGCCACGGCGTGTTCATCCATTCTCCCGTCGGTGGGCACCTGGCCGGTCTCTGATCTTGAACGAAGCTGCTCCGCCCGTTCTTGTTCCAGCTGCTACACCTTTAAGAGGAAAAGTGAGCACAATTTATTTTTTGTTTTGTTTTGTTTTGGGGACAGGGTCTTGCTCTGTTGCCAAGGCTGGAGTGCAGTGGCGGGATCTCAGCTCACTGGAACCTCCGCCTACTGGGCTCAAGTGATCCTCCCACCTCAGCCTCCCCAGTAGCTTGGATTACAGGCGTGCACCACCACATCAGGCTAATTTTTTTTTTTATTTTTTATGAAGACAGAGTTTCACCACGTTGGCCAGGCTAGTCTCAAACTCCCGGGCTCAAGGGATCCGACCACCTCAGCCTCCCAAAGTGCTGGGAGGGAGCACAGTTTAAAGTTAAGCCGCCACCATCGGGTGAGTTGGGACTGCCCAGCAGGCCGGCACCCCGCGCAGCGCACAGAGCCCCCTGCAGGGCCCGATTTCCACCCCTTGAGCAGGAACCCGCCAGTTCCGCCCCTGCAGCATAGGTGCTCTTCCTCCGCCTCCTCCCTGCACTCAGAGGTGAATGCACAATCTTTCTGCCGCTTCCCTCCAGACCTTGGGGTCAGGCCGCTGTCCCACCCTAAGCCTGTAAACCAGGGCCCCAGCAATATCTGCTGGTGGGTTTTCTTTGCTCCTTCACGACACTCTTCTGGAACATCAGATTTCCAAGTTCCCCTGCCTGGCTGTAGGACGGCCAACTCTTCCATTTATAGTAGAATCTTGGTGTCTGAGATCAACCGCACCTTAGAGACCCTCCCTCCCAGCTCGGCCTTCTCTTGTGACCTGGAGTGTTCTCCCCAACTGCCCTCTAGCTGGCCAGCTCCAAGGCTCAATGTGAAGAGTCAGGTGGCCCATGGCTGCCAAATCTGAAGGCCATCTTCCCGTCTTCTTTCCCAGAGAACCCTGCTGACCCACACACCTTCTCCTGCGCCCTGGAAACCATCACCAGACCAGGGCCGGACACACAGGATGCCTCGAACCAATTTTAGTGAAATCGTGAAATCTGTTTTTCATGCATGAAGTCCCACCATGCAACCCTCCAGGGGGAGACCCAGGAGTCCAGGCAGCCTGAGTGACTCACACAAGCCAGAAGTTTCTTCTTTAACAGATAAAACCTGCCTTGTCCCAAGAGACGTCGTCCCGTATTAACTTTCTAGCCTTCCAGAGACTTTGGGTCCCAGCTAACTTGGGTTCTGATATCCGAAGCTCTGGGAGGCATATTTATATTTAGCTTTTTTGTGATCCTGACAGTGTGTGGGCCAGCATGCCTTAGCCCCCGAAGGACTCTGATAAATATTTGTAGAAGAAAGAGGGTGAGGAAGGGAGAGCGAGACAGCGGTACAAAGGAAGGGAAAGACCCAGGGGGTCTCCTGCAGGCGCACTGTTTGCCTGGCCAGTGTGTAAATATGTGAGTACGAAAACTATACACATTTTTTTTTTTTTTTTTGGAGACAGGGTCTTGCTCTGTCACCCAGGCTGGAGTGCAGTGGCGCAATCTCGGCTCACTGCAACCTTGACCTCCCAGGCTCAAGCAACCCTCCCACCTCAGTCTCCCAAGTAGCTGAAACCACTGGCTTGCACCACCATGTCTGGCAAATTTTTTTTTTTTTTTTTTTTGTAGAGGTGGGGCCTCACAATGTTGCCCAGGCTGGTCTTGAACTCTTGGACTGAAGTGATCCTCCTGCCTTGGCCTCCCAAAGTGCTGGGATTACAGATGTGAGCCACCATGCCAGGCCTACATTTTTTTGTTTGTTTTGAGACGGAGTCTCGCTCTGTCGCCCAGGCTGGAGTGCAGTGGCGCAATCTCGGCTCACTGCAAGCTCCGCCTCCCGGGTTCACGCCATTCTCCTGCCTCAGCCTCCCGAGTAGCTGGGACTACAGGCGCGCGCCACCACGCCCGGCTAATTTTTTTGTATTTTTAATAGAGACGGGGTTTCACCATGTTAGCCAGGATGGTCTCGATCTCCTGACCTCATGATCCGCCCGCCTCGGCCTCCCAAAGTGCTGGGATTACAGGCGTGAGCCACCGCGCCCAGCCCAGACCTACATTTTGTTTTCCTTGATAACAAGTCTGAGGGCAAAGGCCTTAAGGAAAAAGAAAAATGCGCTGTGGCTCTAGGGCAAAAATTGGGATTCAGACAAGTTGCCTACAGGAACAAGTTCAGCGTCGCTGAGCTCAGAACGCAAGGCTTCCTCCCGGTGGAGAAGCTGGTGTCCTGTGTTAAACACGTCGGGATGCGAGGGCAGCCTCGCCAGGCAAAGCAAGGAAAGGAAATCCACGCGTCCTCACACATCAGCAATGCAGCGAGCGGCGGCGTCTCCATCCAGCAAGCGTCTGCTCCCTCCATTCGGCTGCTCTCAGCCACGCACCGTGGGCCTTTCTTGACCAACTGCAAGTACCGAAGGCAATGCCAGATTTATTTTAAAGGCAAATGTGTTTCAATGAAATGAGCCCTCCTCCACCCCCCAAATCCTCTGTCAGCACTCCAAAATTTAAAAGTGAGAACTTTTAAAAAGCCACAGCAAACGGCAAATGTTAAACCTGTCAGACAACGTCTGTAGCTAGACACACGCTCGCTATACAACCCAGAGCTCCAGCCGCCCATCCATCTCTCCCATCCCACGTGAAAGTTAACCTACATTCGACCTTCAAAAACCCACAGACGCATAAACAGTGTGAGATAACACACAGCCCTGAGACGTCCGCTCTGAAGGGAGGCTGGCTGAGAACCTCAGAGAGGGAAGTAGCTGCACTGTTTAAATAGAGCCAGCGCAGCCTCCTCCCAACAGCTGCCTTTTGCCATATTATTAGAGTAAATATGCTCTTGGCTCCAGAAACATGGGAAAAGGGTGCAACGAAGGGGTCAAAGTAATAATACCCAGGAGCAAAGAAGCAGAGGCCGGGAGGAGACGGTGTTCGAGGAACACACTTGCAAAGCAGATGCTGGTGTGTCTTGCTACACAATTGTCAGTAGCCTAAGAGTAATACACAGACATTTCCATGACCTAAAAACTTAAGAGAGTGAAATGCAACATAGAAATCAACTGATTTGGGCCGGGAGCGGCGGCTCACCTGTGTAATCCCAGCACTTTGGAAGGCTGAGGCGAGTGGATCACCTGAGGCCAGGAGTTCGAGACCAGCCTGGGAAATATACCAAGACCCCAAATCTACAAAAAAAAAAAAAAAAACTGTAATTGACTAGGCATGGTGGCTCACACCTGTAGTCCTAGCTACTCAACAGGCTGAGGTGGGATGATCCTTTGAGTCCCAGGAGGTTGAGGCTGCAGTGGGCTGTGACTGCCACTGCACTCCAGCCTGGGTGACAAAATGAGACCCCATCTCTAAAAAAAAAAAAGAAGGAAGGAAGGAGGGAAGAAGGGAGGGAGGGAGGTAGGAAGGAAGGAAGGGGAAGGAAGGAAGGAAGGAGGATGAAGGAAGGAAGAAGGAGGAAGGAAAGAAGGGAGGGAGGAAAGGAAGGAAGGAAGGAGGAAGGAAGGGAGGGAGGGAGGGAGGAAGGAGAAGGAAGGAAGGGAGGGAGGAAGGAAAGGTCGGAAGGAAGATGAAGGAAGGAAGACGGAGGAAGGAAGGAAGGGAGGGAGGGAGGAAAAGAAGGAAGGAAGGAAAAGGAAGGAAGGAGGAAGGAAGGAAGAGAGGGAGGAAGGAAGGAATCAATCAATTTATAAAAGATCTGGAATTAGGCATTTCTGTTGAAAAAGGGCCAGAGTTGAACCACTGACACCAGTGATGGAATTAGTCCCTGTGCTGGGCGGTCTGAGTGAGGATATGCGGAAGTGTATGTTGGACACATGCAATAAAACAGTAACAAAAATTCAAAATGAAGACAGAGGCATAGGAAAGCCAGCATCAGGAAGTCAAAATAAGTAACATCATGGTAATACATGGACAGGACTTTCAGGAACCCAAAGCAGAGAGCATGGGAGGCCAGCACTGGGGCGCTGGGATGTTGGGGATAGGGGAGGTTGGGGAGTTCCAGACTACCAGAGTAGCCACAGGAGGCCAAAAGTGGAGGCCAAAAGAGTGGCAGAGGGACCCAGCAACACTGCCGCGTGGGGAGAGTTCACACAGCAGCCTGAGACTGCTGCCCCTGGAAGGCGGCCTCCAAGGTCGGCCCTTGACTGGCACCTAGGAACTTGGACCTGGAGCGGGTTCCCACCATTTCCAGAGCTGATACGAGTAGCTCCATGTGCCTAAAGTGGGTCAAGAGTTATCACAAGAATGGCTAAAACCCGTAAGTTAGTAGAGCAAGCCGCACCACGCTTTTTGATGGGACTTCCAAAATCAATGCATCCTAAGTGTAAACTATATTGATTACCACGAACAACAACAACAAAAATCAGGATTCAGTTTTCCTCTCTGTTTTGGGTTGAACTGTGACTCCCAAAAGGATATATTGAAGTGTTCACCCCTAGAACTTGTGAATGTGAACGTATTTGGATAGTTCACATTCCTATAGGATCTTTGCAGATGACTTAGGATCTTTGCCGATGGAGTCAAGTTCAGATAAGGTCATGCTGGATTGGGCTGGGCCCCCACCCAATGACTCCTGTCCTCATAAGAAGAGGGGGAATCTGGACACAGGGAGGAAGGCCCGGTGCTGACACAGGCGGGACTGGAGTGATGGGTGCACAAGCCAAGGACTGCTGGCCACTCACGAATGAAGGAGAAAGGCAAGGAGAGAGCCTCCCCTGGAGCATTCCAAGACAGCATGGCCCTGCGCACACCTCAGCTGCGGACTGCTGGCCTCCAGATCTCTAACCGAGTACAGTCCCCATTGTTTTAAGGCATGCAGTTTGCAGTACTTTGTTTCGGCAGCCCCGGGAAACCTACACTGAGTGACGTAGTGTGGGTGGAATGTCTCGTGCATCATCTGATGTCAGGTTCAAAGCTTTCTCCCCACTCCGGGTATTTCAAGGAGATATACGTGACCCATCTTCTCTCTATGTAGAAGTTAATCAGCTTCAGCAAACCAAGCAGTACTAGCCAGGGTTTCAAAGTCAATCATCGAGCAAGCCCCCTCTCCATCCACCAGTCACTTCTCTTCTTGCAAAGCAGAGCCTCTGACACCCAGCCTGACAGTCCAAGTCAGGGCCAAATCCGTCAGGGTGAAAGGACACCTTACATGACAGATGGGTTCGTTCTCAGTCACCAAAGGACTGGGGCAACGGGAAGCCTATAGACACCCAGGTTCCTGCCGATGGGAGATAAACCACACAGCTGCGAGCTTAAGAGGAGCTGTTCATGTGTGGAAAAAAACTATTTTTAAATTCTATATATGGGAATCAAAAGAAAAAAGTCTACACCCCAAAGCTTGTTGGGGGTGCTTTAAAATTTTGAAGACAGACTTTGGAATCCTGATACCACAAAGCAGACTTTTAATTCACATACACGCCCAGAAGCACCCAAGAACTCATGAGAGGCTCTTTGGCCTACAGCAAGTTGGTGACACGGACAAGTGGACAAGGGGATGGATAATTCACGACCCCATAAAAGACTCCAAAGAAGTCACACTTGACTGTGGCCAAGGGTCTTCAACAACATGTCTAGAGACTCTCAGGGCCTTTCCAAAAGGGATCTTAGAGTCCCCACTTCTTCCATTCAGAGGATTAGGAATTTTGTAGCCAAGTATATGAACTCATGCTCTCCAGGCTTCACAAGGGGAGGGGCAGAGTTGGGCTCCTGGCTCCCAGTCCCTTCCTCGCCCATGCCCAACATGGCCCAGTGGGCCTGTGATCCCCACAAGAGCACTCTGTGCATTTTTTCTTAACTGATACATAAGTATACATATTTATGGGGTACATGTGACAGCTGGATGCATATATACAATGTGTGTGATCAAATCAGGGTAACTGGGATATCCCTCACCTCGAACCTTTATCATTTCTTATGTTGGAAACATTCCAAATCTTCTCTTCTAGGTATTTTGAAATACACAATAAATTACTGTTAACTAGAGTCACCCTACTGGGCTACAGAACACGAGAACGTATTCCCTCCTATCTGGCGATATGTTTGTAATAAACTTTGTTGTCTTCTCCCCTCGTCCCACACTTCCCAGCCGCTTTGTGCATTTCTGCGCTCAGCCCATTGGACAGGTGGGAAGAGGGCTCAGAGAGGCGAGCGATGTCTCAGTACATGGTGGGGTTGGGCCAAGAACCCAGCTCAGCAGACATTCTCCCACACAGCCTGCCTCTCTGCATTCTGGGGAAAGAGTTTGATCCAGCCTGGAACGTGTGTGAGCAGAGCCTTCAAGAAAGGCTTTCCTTGAGCTTCGGAGGGGGGCGTCTGTGACCAGGTAGAAGGGATGCCTTCCTTTGGGTGGGAAGAAGGAAAGAGGAGAGGGAAAAGGAACGCAGCTGATGTGGTAGCCCTGGAGCCAAACTTCTCCGATTCTCGCTGCAGCAAAGCTAGGGCAGTGATCTGGAGGCATCTGTGATGGCAATTCAGATGAGGGGGTTCGCCCCAACTGTTGTCATGGGAAACGGTCAGGAACCTGGGTGCTGCATGGGAAGGCTCCCATGAGGTGTAAGTTCTCCCCAGTGGCTCTGGGTTATCCAAGAGGCCAGTGCCTAGCTGGGCTCATTCCCAGGCGTTAGGCTTCGCCCGGCCAAGGCCCATCTCCTGCGTCTCCGCATGCCTTTGGGAACCACTGCAGATCACCAAGTCTCCCGCATGCCAGGGACACGGAGTGGAGGCTGTGCCCCTGCGTTTTGAAACTCTGCTCAACGCAGGAACACTGGAGGTCACCTGGGCACCTCTACACATGTGGGGATGGGCTCATGGACTCTGGACAGAAACACTGGAGGTCATCTGGGCACCTCTGGGCACCTCTGCAGATGTGGGGATGGGCTCGGGGACTCTGGGGTCCCCATGATAAGATAGCAGAAGAGATTGTGCCTGTCCAGGCTGAGAAGTTCTGAAAATGCGTTCAGATGTAGAATGCCTTGGGGAGGGGAATGGTAAGTAAGCCTTCTCCCTGGGACTTATTTCCACCTTGCTTCGCACTTGTTGATAAAAGGAAACGTCCCTGAGCTCACACATGTGCGAACTTCCGTTGCAGCCACCCTGAGTTCTGGGAGCAGGCTGTGTGGCGTGGCCCGGCTGCTTGCAGGATGAAGCGCAGGTAGGGTCTGGCAGAGGGGACGGAGGGCACAGGAGGACTCACCCAATAATGCTTCCTCCACCCCTCCACCCCTGGGTGACTTATGGGGTCACCAAGTCAGAAGGGATTCTCACAAGGACCCTTTCATTCAGCACCTTAGGAAGCACCCCTCTTCCTGCAGTCCCAGCATGGCTCAGGACACCTTGGGGTGCAGGGCCCAGCTCTGTGTGCAGAGAGAAGAGGCCAGAGTGAAGGGGGCCCAGCTCCTCCAGACTGGGGGAGAGCAGTGTCTCCATGGGAAAGGAAGGAGGCAAAGCCGGGAGGGAGTGAAGGCCCTGAGAGGGGAGGCCAGAGACAGCGAAGCCAGGGACATGTTCTGGCACCAGCTCGTGCTAAGTAATTCAGGCATTTTGTCCCATTGTCTCCTTCCATCCACGCTCCAGTGGAGAGCGTATGGCCCTGCCTTACAGGGGAGGATCAGAGGAGCTGGAGACTTGCCCAGCGACACACAGCATGGGGCCCAGGCCCGGGCAGCATCACGGATGCCCTGCCTGCCCTGCACCACAGCCTGTCTGAAACCCAACACACACACCAGGCCGCCCCGTGCCTAGGTCCCCATCCAACTGGGATGTGGTCCTGCATGGTCGGGCAGGCGCTGTCACGCAGAGCCCCACACCCACACTCCCACACCACCCCAGCCACAAGGAGACCACAGACCCGCGGCTGGGCCTTCCAGCTGGGCTGGGCCACCGCCCGCTCCCCCAGCAGCAACCCTGAGAACGGAGGCTCCATGGGGAACTGAAAAACAGTGGCACGGTCCAGCTGGAGTTGGGGAGCCCGGCTCACGGGGACTTGGCCTGGGGACCCGGTTAAACCACGTCCATGTTTGCGTTTTGCTCACCGACCTTTCCTCCAGGCCTGCCTTTCCTGGTATCTGCGCGCCCCTCGAAGGCCTGACCGTGTCTTCTTTCCCCACCTGTCTGTCCCCAAGCTTCCCACAGAGCCTGGCCACCGGGAGACAGTGGGCTTGCCCTTGTCAACCAGCTCACTGCAGCTGCAGACTTGGGGTTCAGGGACACTAAGAGGAAGACTGAGGGAAGAAGAGACGAGGCCTCTGGGACCTCCTCTGGAAAACGTGGTCCAGGGACCAGGGGCACTGTCCCATGCTCCCTCCCGTTGGCTCTGAGCCTCACATGGCATGCTGAGTGCTGGGCACAGAGGCCTCAGTGGCACTCGGGAGAACGAGTCAGGAGACACAATTCCGTCCCACCTGCCCTTGCCCCACACGTGCACCTGAGATGCACCCCAGCACCTGAGATGTTCCTTCAATCACATTTCACCCCCTCTTCTGGGACCTCCTCCATCAACGCACAGCCCGCATTCAATAACTGAGGAATCCTGTTTCGCTTCGTCTCAGGGGCACACCGGGCACCGTGACAACTGCTCTCGAGTGTTCTGGACAGGCTTCTGGACCTGCTCTGCTGGGTGCGGCACTGCTCACCACCAAGGACGGTGGGCTTGGTGCTCCGGGCCCAGAGCGGAGCTCTCAGAACAGCGCTGGAGCACATCACAGCCTGGCCAACCCTGCTGCCCTCCCCACCTGCCATGGGGTCTAACTCATCTTGGTCCCTACTCTCTACTGATCCACCCCAAGTTCCATCCTGGAAGAGGTGGTGCCCGCCACTCCATGGGAAGCCACCTGTGAACATGGTTCAGTGGCTTCTGAGTATTAAAGGACAGAAAGCCAGCGCCCCGGACCCCCCAGGAAAAGGACCCCAGGCCACACTGGAAACTGAACCCCTGGGTCCAGCCTGTGATTTATCAGCCATGTCACCTGCCTGAGTCACCCCTGTGGCTATTGGAGGCCCGAACAGTAAGCCAGGGCCAAGGCCTTCTCACGAGAGCAGGGAAGGATTGAACTCAAGGTCTCCTTAAGTTGCCAAGCTCAAAGATTCATGAGTCTGACTTACATAACCACCAGGGGCCATTTCCTCATTCGAAACAGAGGGACTTGCTGAGGACCCCAAGCACTTCCACTTCTAGAAGTCGAAGCCATTCTCGGAGGAGGCGTAGGAGACACGGGCGGATCCACAGGAGCTCCAGGGCATCCCCTGGAAACGGAGGTTCCTTCTGTCCTTCCGAAAGCCTGACGTCCATGTGCTTTCTTACAATTTGCCTCTTTCTCCTAAAAATAGAATTTTTCTAATTCCCTTATTTGAGGTTTTACTTCATGATAAACTCTAAGAACAGCATTCACTCCTATTTTTTCCAAGAAACACTTTGGACTCCAAAGCCAAAGTCAAATACATAAGCACCCGTCCTAGTCCCTCTTTCATCCTGAGAGCTTGGATAGAAATTCAAACGAGCTCAAAAGCCAGAAATCTGTTTTGAAAATAAGGTTTTCTGCCTTCCTCCTATAGGTTTGGGGTTTTTTTATTTCAAATTTTAGATACAGGGGGTACATGTGCAGGTTTGTTACGTGGGTATATTGTACCCCGGTAGTGAACATACTACCCAATAGGTAGTTTTTCAACCCACGGCCCCCTCCTCCCTCTCCCTGGTAGTAGTCTTCAGTGTCTATCCTTCCCATGTTTACATCCATGTGTGTTCAAGGTTTAGCTCCCACCTTTAAGTGAGAACAAGAGGTATTTGGTTTTCTGTTCCTGCATGAATTTGCTTAGGATAATGGCCTCCAGCTGCATCCATGTTGCTGCAAAGGACAGGATCTCATTCTTTTTTATGGCTGCATACTATTCCATCGTGTATAAGTACCACATTTTCTTTATCCAGTCTACAATTGATGGGCACCTGGGTTGATTCCATGTCTTTGCTGTTGTGAATAGCGCTGTGATTAACACATGTGTGCCTGTGTCTTTTTGGTAGAATGATCTATTTTCCTTTGGGCATATGCCCAGTAGTGGGATTGCGGGGTTAAATGGTAGTTCTATTTTTAATTCTTTGAGAAATCTCCAAACTGCTTTCCGCAATGGCTGAACTAATTTACATTAATCCTTTTAATAGTGGCCTTTGAAATAAACTTTGAAGTCGAGAGTTTCACGGGCATTGATTGCGTCTGCTCCTCCCAATTCCAAGGTGGAGCTCATGATGCCCATTCGACAGGAGAGTCACCTGGCCTTGAGGAGCTTAAGGGACAGTCCCGGGACCATGACACCACCACCTCCAGTGGACTGTGTCTCCCAGCTCTCAGCCTGGCGTGTACTCTCCTCATAAGCCATGCCCCGCAAGGGCTGATTCTGGGGTCTTGGCTGAGACCAGTTTCAGGAAGCTGTGCTTTCCAATCCCTCCAGGTGAGCTTGCGTCACACGCCTTGCTCGCCCCTCTAACCTGCTCCACAGCCACTGACATTGTTTCTAAAATCTGGTCTCCAACAACAAAGTGCCGTGTTGCAACAGCTTCTCAAGGCACAGAGTGGTGGTTCTCTCCTCTTGACCCACTTCTCCATATTCAAATTGTACTCAGCTCGCTGGAGAATATGAAAGATTCAGAACAGCGAGGCCACTGGACCAGCCCAGCAGGTCTTGGAGGAGGGGGGCACAAACGATCTGGCGTGATCACCGCAGGTCCTGGCGCTCCCAGGTGGCTTTCTGGTAGACCCATTTGCTTCCACGACTGTGGTCTCTTGTGTAATTGTGACATAAAGTTCACACACCTGGCTGTGGATGCCGTATCCCACCACCTGTCCTCCGGGGTGGCACACCTGTAGCTGGCTTCCAGACACACCTCTCAAACTCTCCTAAGGGGCCTTTGGATTCCCGTTTCCCTGGGTAGGGTGTCATGTGCCCCAGTGCACGTGTGCACCGCATCACAGCCAGAGGGCCAGGGACTTGCAGCACAGCCGATTACATTTCTAGACCAACAGGAGCAGTGAGGGCAGGGCAGCTGGCCCCAGCTCCCACCAGCTCACCAGAGCCCATTCTGTGCACCTCATTCCAGCTCCTCATCAGTGACGCCGTGGCAGTGACATGAAATCGGCCACAGTGGAGGGTTTGCCACCATGTGATGAGCAAGCCCTGGACAATCGGAGCTTTCCCCGAGCGAGCTGATTGTTAGGGTCGCCAGCACATCACCAGCGGAAGGAGCCCCGAGCAACTGCTGGGCTGCTTTGCATTCACCTGTCCCAGCAGAGTGGGGGTTCCATGATCCCCAAGACACCTTCTGGTTTCTGAACCAACGTTCTCTACTGCACAGCAGAAACGGGCTCAGAGGAAGGGCCCAGAAGCCCAGACTTGCTGCCCGGGTTTCCCTCGAGACCTGCCTTTCCTCTTCTCCAAGACGCTCAGCCCCCGACAGGGACAGGGCTGCTCAGTGTCTGTGTGGGGCTGTTTGACAGGTTCACTGAAACAGAGCCCCTCATCCTCCCTCTCCAGCCAAGCGGGACTCGACCTGCCGAGTGCTTTCTTGGCTGAGTATTTATTTTCTGCTTATGATTTATAAGGGACACCCTCTCTTCCAGAAAGGCCAGGGGGAGCCTGGTACCCCGACAAGCAGCACCTGCCACTGCAGAGAAGAATCTGGAATGTGGTCCCCGGGGTGGCTGGAAGCCGGGTTGTCCTCTCCAGGAGGCCTCGTGGGGTGACATTTGGTCCCCTGTCCCCAGTCCTGCTCCAGAATCTGCTAGCCTCAAAGACGCAGAACTGAGTAGAGATCCTGACCCAATAGACAAGCACAGGGAGCCAGGACCTGCTGACTTGGTGATCGGCATTGAACATTCTGCGTGTCACAGCCTGGAATACACCTGCCAGGGTTACCTGCACAGTCTCTTGCTTTGAAATGTCTGTGCAGAAGCCAGGTCATAAACACGCAGTTTCTTGGCGAGCTCGGGGTTAGACAGCAGGAGCTGCATGAAGCAGACACCCCATAGCCTCTGCTGAGATGCCTGGGCCTCCCTCCTACGACGGCCGGTCGCTCACAGCCAGCAGGCCTGGGACACCGCGCCGCAGTGCCGACACCTGCTGCCCAGGCACGACCTGGTGGGACAGCTGAGCTCCTCCCCCTGCATGGAGCCGCCCTTGCCTCCGCTATGCCCATGTCCTCTGGGGTCCTGCCAGAGCATGCGTGCCTGGAAGCCACTTCCAACTTTTGCTGACTTTTGTCTCTGCACTGGTCCAGTCGCCTGACACATGTTCGAGTGCTGGTCAAGGCTGCCCAGGTTCCAGCCCTGGCTCTGCCTCCTGCCACTGGTGGACGTGGGGCACACCACACACTGCCACCCACCTCTGTGTGCTCAGCCTCAGGTCGGGAGGGTGCTGGGCTCACCCGCTAGGCCTGGAGGGCTGCGTGAGATGACACTTGGCAGGCACCTGGAACAGCACCCAGCACAGGGCAAGGACGTACAACAGGAGGACCGGTGGTTCCTGAAAGGGATCAGAGTTGAGCTCAGAGGGCAAAGCTTTTTCCTTTTCACACTCCTGAGGAGTGGTTCAGGAACTCCTCAGTGGACAGGAGCTCCTAAGCTCTCAATTCTTGGAGATACATTGAGTTGCAGGCGGTTGCCCCCCAAACCCATCCCAAATACCCAGAGAAAATCCATTGCACCACCCCGTTTGAAGCTGCTGATGTTGAAACCTGGCTCCTGCACCTGCCCTGGGCCCACAGCCGCTCAGGCTACTACTCCCTTCTCTGCATGGCGGCCCTCACATGGCTCAGGGTTGCAGCCCTCACCAAGCCCCCTTCGCTGCTCCTCACCCCTCACTGGCTTGCTTGGGTCTCTGGACTCCAGCTGCACCCTGGCTGGTCAACTCCTGGTAAGCAGGGGAGTTTCTCCTTAGGCAGAAATCAAGAGCACCACCCCATCCCCATCCCCATCCCCATCCCCATTCCCAGCGGCCCCCACCATTAAGCACTGAACCAAATGACGTGTGAGCTGAAGGGCAGTCTGTCACTTCCATGCATTCTCATCAAAGTGAAAGAGCTGGCTCTGTCTCCCCCTCTTCCCCTCTTGCTGGTTTGAAGGCAGACACGATGGCTGGAGCCTCTGCAGCTGTCTTAGACCCTGAGGTGCTGTGCTAGAATGGCAGAGGAGCACGAGAAGAGAGAGCAGGCACTGTGGACCATGCCATGGTCAGCCCTGAGCTGCTGCTGATACCTGTGTAGTTTTCTTGTTTTAATATGATGGGGGGAAATGGCCTGTCTAGAGAAAAAACACAGTTCCTCTCTCTCTTATCTTTCCTATTCTTCCTTCCCTCCCTCCTTCCCTCCCTCCTTCCCTCCTTCCTTCCCTCCCTCCTTCCCTCCCTCCCTCCCTCCCTCCCTCCCTCCTTCCCTCCCTCCTTCCCTCCCTCCTTCCCTCCCTCCTTCCCTCTCTCCCTCCTTCCCTCCCTCCTTCCCTCCCTCCTTCCCTCCCTCCTTCCCTCCCTCCTCCCTCCCTCCCTCCCTCCTTCCCTCCCTCCTTCCCTCCCTCCCTCCTTCCTTCCCTCCCTCCCTCCCTCCTTCCCTCCCTCCTTCCCTCCCTCCCTCCCTCCCTCCCTCCTTCCCTCCCTCCTTCTCTCCCTTCTTTCATCTTTCCTTTTCCCCTTTTCTTCCTCCATCCCTTTCTGCCTCCCTCCCTCCTTCCTTCCTTTGACACAGCCAAATCTGATTCTGATACTCAGCAGGCATTGTTTCCATCTCTTCTACCCAGCAGACCAAGTGGAACAAAGTGACTGGTGCCATCCCACCACCTTCTCTGCGGGAGAATGCCTCCCATCAGAAGAGGCGGGCTGCATCCAGTCAAGCCAGCCACCTGCTGCGGAGGAGCAGGGACCCCACCCTGGGTGGGAGGACAGCCCATTCCTCTCCCACAAGCCCCGGCTGGGCCAGACCTGGTGAGCTTGGTGCCCCGCCTCTGGCATCCGCTGCGGCCTGGCTGAGGGCAGAACAGCCCTCTCCCTCACTGACTCCCTCACCACCGGGGTGAAGGAGACCTGTGCTGTGACCTGTGCTGTAGCTGCACGCGTCTGATTTCAAGAGTGGGAGTGAGGGGAAAGCGGCGGAGGTGAGCTCAGCCCTGGTCTGGAGCCCGGGTGTTACGCAGCCCCCACCCCTAATCTCATCTGGGGCCTTGGACAGCACACTAAACCCCGGTGCCAGAATCTCCCCTGACTCGAAGGGAAATGAGGAACAGGATCTGGCATCATCCCAAAGTACCTCTCCCCGAAAACATATTAAAACAAAGGGAGGAAGCACGTTTACCACGGAGAAACCCAGAAGACGCCATGTGCACTGGGCAATGAAAGCTGGTGCCATCACGCTGGACAGACCCCACCATGTGTCCCCAGGGTGAGCTGAGAATATCTCAGCCTCCCTTCTGTGCTTTTCCAGCCAAAATGCATCACGTGGATCCCATCATGAGGAAACATCAGACAAAACCAAACTGAGGGGCATTTGACACAACACGAGCCTGTCATACCCAAACAGGGCAAGGCCACAGATACCAGGAAAGACAGGACTGTTCCAGACAACAGGAGGTGAGGGAGGCGTGGCTATGGGACCTGTGCCCCAGAGGGGATGGGACTGCAGCAGCAGGCGCCCGTCTATTGAGAAATCTGAGTGGGGACTCTGGGGATGGGGATGGGGAACACAGGAGTTCTCTGAAATAGTCTTACAACCTTTCCGTAAGTTCAAAATGGTTTCCAGATAAACAGTCACAATAAATGGAAGGAGAAAAAAATAAAAACAGGCGGAACAGAGAGTGACAGAGCTGCGGTGCCTCCTGACAGGACGAGGGGGATGGACACCACTTCTGCCGTGTAGTCGCTGAAAGCTGTCCCTGAGTCAGAACGCCCTGGGGACAGGCGGCCACCAACAGGCACCTGGCAGGTCCTCCATGCGTGTCCCGCGTGCGAGGCGCCTCCAGATGGCGGCCCAGCTTCCTCAATGAAAGGCGGCTAGAAAGAAAGAACTGAGGGAGATTTAAGACACAAATCGACCTTTTTGCATCTGAATTCAAGCAAACCAGCAAACCAACTTCAGGAAGACATTCATGAGAAAATCAGCGAAACCTGAATGTTGCCTGGATATTACATGATATGAAGGAATTATTGTTAAATGGTCTAGATGGAATGATGATATTGCTGTGAAGGTTGTTTTTTCTGATTTTTGTTTGTTTTGGTTTTTTGTTTTTTGGGGTTTTTTGTTTTGTTTTGTTTTGTTTTTGAGATGGAGTCTTGCTGTGTTGCCCAGGCTGGAATGCAGTGGCACGATCCCAGATCACTGCAAACTTCACCTCCTGGGTTCAAGCAATTATCCTGCCTCAGCCTCCTGAGTAGCTGGGATTACAGACACGCACCACCACACCCAGCTAATTTTGGTATTTTAGTAGAGATGGGGTTTCACCATGCTGGCCAGGCTGGTCTCGAACTCCTGACTTCAGGTGATCCGCTCGCCTCAGCCTCCAAAAGTGCTAGGATTATAGGCGTGAGCTGCTGTGCCTGGCCTGTTTTGGTTTTTTGAGACAAGGTCTTACTCTGTCTCCCAGGCTGGAGTTTAGTGGTGGGATCACAGCTCATTACAGCCTTGACCTCCTGGGCTCAAGCAAACTTCCCACCTCAGCCTCTTGAGTACCTGGAACTACAGGTGCACACCACCTCACCCAGCTAATTTTTTAATTTTTTGTTGAGACAGAGTCTCACCATGTTGCCCAGGTTGGTCTCAAACTCCTGGGCTCAAGTGATCTGCCCACTGCAGCCTCCCAAAATGTTGGGATTATAGGCACAAGCAACAGTACCTGGCCAGTTTTCTTTTTTTTTTTTAAGCCTTCATCTCTAAGACTATTTGGACACATTCATGGATGAAACAAGACAATGTCTGCAACTTGTTTAAAAACACCAGCATCAAACCACACAAATGTCTGTCAACAGATGAATGAATAAACAAAGGGTGATATAGTCAGATATTCAGATGGTGGAATATTATTCAGCCTTGAAAAGGAAATTCTGATACATGCTATGACCTGCATGAACCTTGAAAACATTATGCTGAGTGAAACGAGACAAACAAAAAGGACAATACTATGATTCCACGTATATGAGGTTCCTAGAGTAGTCAAAATCGTAGCAGCAGAAAGTCAAATGGTGGTGTTCAGAGGCTGGGGGATGGGGAATGGGAGTGAATGTTTAATGGGGACAGAGTTTCAATTAGTAGCAGAAGGTAGGGTTCAGAGGCTGAGGGACGGGGAATGTTAGTGAATATTTAATGGGGACAAAGTTTCCATTTCAAAGATGAAAAAGTTCTGGAGATGGACGGTGGTGCTAGTTCCACAACAGCGTAAACGTGCTTAATGCCACTGAAGTGTGCACTCAAAGAAGGTTGAAATGGTAACATTTAGGCTATGTCTATTTTGCCACAATAATTTTAAAAATACCAGGGTGGGCGAGCGCTATGCCAATCATCGTTGAAACTGGGTGTGGGAGCATGAGGAGCTCTTTTGAGTATCCACCACATTTTTGTGTGTGTTTGAAATCTTCCATACGAAAATGCTCCCTTTAAAACTTCAGAGTAAAACAGCAATCCAAATCCATCAGGGCTGATGAGGAAATGCATGAAACGGCATGTGAAACGATCATGGGATTGTGTGGGCAAAAGTCTGGCTACCCAACTATGTCTATGATATGATTTCAATTATATGCAAAAGTAGGCATTAGGGGGAAAAGTCTGGAAGGAAATATACCAAAATTACAATAGCTACGGTGTTCAGAGAGCGGGATAAGCGATCATGGTTTTTCTTTTTCTGAACTTTCTCTGACAGAGTTCCTTGTAGAGTTTGTTTATTTGTTTGTTTGTTTGTTGTTCTTGAGATGAAGCCTGGCTCTGTTGCCCAGGCTGGAGGGCAGTGGTGCGATCTCGGCTCACTTTAACCTCTGCCTCCCAGGTTCAACTGATTCTCCCGCCTCAGCCTCCCGAGTAGCTGGGACTACAGGTGTGCACCACCACACCCGGCTAATTTTTGTATTTTTAGTAAAGATGGGGGTTTCACCATGTTGGCCAGGTTGGTCTTGAACTCCTGACCTCAGGCGATCCCAAATTTCTGGGATTACAGTTGTGAACCACCGTGCCCAGCCCCTTGTAGAGTTTTATAAGTAAATTACGTCCACCCAAGGCAGGAACAGGAGAGAGGATGTCAGGAAGTAACCAGGGCAGGGATACGGCAACATCACTCCAGAGAGCCCAGCAGCTTCCTGGGAGAGGCAGGCTGGGGGTCCATCAGGACAGCCATAGCCCAGAGCAAGGAGCTCGGGGACTCTGCCACCAGCTGTCTGGCCCTCAGATTTGAAGGCTGGACTCCCATCCCAAATGGACATGGTGCTGGTTGCAATAGGAATGAAGGAGGGAGCCAGTCTGCAAAGGAGCCCGTCCACCTTCTGACACCAGCCTTGGCCTCTGCTGCCCAGGGACCCCACCACAGTCCTTCAAGCCTGCCCGGTCCTACCCACTCCTGCCCACATTCTATTCTCTCAGAGGTCCATCCTTTGCAGCTACGGCTTGTTTAGGCCAATCGCTGCTGGCTCCTGGGGGTGCGATGGGCCAGGTCTGTCCTGAGAAATGGCCCTGGCAGGGAGGGGCCTCAGCGCCCACCCAGCTGCAGCAGGCCCCGTGGAGGGCGCTTCCTGCCCCTTCGCCTCCCGCTGCGGCGTCCATGGGCTTGTGGTTGCCTCGGCCCCAATCTGGACTCCGAGTTGCTCAACCGGCCATGCTTTTCCTGTTCCCCTTTTCCCAGGCGGGTGCAGCTCCTGCCGGTGTGGTCCCGGCCTCTGTGGGCTCACCGCAGGGAAGCACAGCCCCTGCACGGTGGCCCCCGGGGCTGTTTCCACGTCTCTGATTGCTTTTTCCCTGCCTGGGTTGCTAAACAGTTGATGAAAA
Organism: Homo sapiens; assembly: GCF_000001405.40. Taxonomy (NCBI): domain Eukaryota; kingdom Metazoa; phylum Chordata; class Mammalia; order Primates; family Hominidae; genus Homo; species Homo sapiens. The sequence continues at coordinate 85,829,727 of NC_000016.10, read as the reverse complement.
AAACCCTTTCATTTGCTTTTTTATTTTGAGGAAGGAGCCCAGTTTGTCTGTCTGGGAAGACGTTAAAATGGTCCTAAGGACAAGCCCCCAGCAGACCCAAGAGCCACTGGAAGCACCTCTCCTCCCTGTCCCTGGGTGATGGTGCCCAAGCGTGCCCGGAGGCTGCGCAGTCATAATTGCTGGTGTTTACAGAGACTTCCTGTTCACTCAAGGAGAGAGTGCCATCCCATCCCACCCTCCCGGGAGTCCTCCAAAGGGGTGCCGCTGTGACGCTGGGTGTGCTGGCAAGATAACTGTGTTGAGCTCAGGGAGGCGGATGGAACCACTTCCCCAGGCAGAACCACCTAGCATCTCACCAGGTGCCCACAGGTGCCCACGTACCGCCCAGGCCACACAGACGTGGGAGGATCCTTTGGTGAGTGGAGACTCATGCCCGAGTTCACCCATTTCGGAAGGAAATACCGAGGGGCAGAGAAAAACACCAACAACCAAAAACACGTGCAACCAAAAACACCTGCAACCAAAAACACCTACACCCAAAAACACCTACAATAAAAAACACCTACACCCAAAAACACCTACAAACCAAAAACACCTGCAACCAAAAACACCTGCAACCAAAAACACCTGCACCCAGAAACACCTACACCCAAAAACACCTACACCCAAAAACATCTACGCCCAAAAACACCTACAATAAAAAACACCTACACCCAAAAACACAACCAAAACACCTGCAACCAAAAACACCTACACCCAAAAACACCTACAATAAAAAACACCTACACCCAAAAACACCTACACCCAAAAACACCTGCACCCAAAAACACCTACACCCAAAAACACCTGCACCCAAAAATACCTACACCCAAAAACACCTGCAACCAAAACCACCTACACCCAAAAACACCTGCACCCAGGAGAATCCCTTCTGTGGGGAGGGCGGGGGCGAGATTAACACTGGGTCCCGGATAATGTGGCATTCTTATACCAGCTGATGGGTCCATGGGGATTCACTGTATTACCCTTTATACATTCTGTGTGTTTGAAATCTTTTATAATAATTTTAAAGCAAAAAACTTTACATAATAATATAATTATATAATAATCATATAATTTTAAAGCAAAAAACTGTACAGTTTTCCTCCCTAGCACTGAAAAAATACAAGGAAGAATATTAGCCAAGTGGCTGGTGATCTTTGCATCAAAGACACTGGGCTCCACTATTTATCCCAAAACACACATTCGGGATTCAAGTACCCAACATACAGCGTTGGGCCAGGCCCGCCCTAAGGTGTCACCATGGAATTGGAATCGTGGGTTTATCGAGGGTCCCGCCACAGCCCCTCCGGCCTCCAAGGGCCATCTGACCCCACCTTCTGCCATCAGCCTGTGCAGGTCACTCCCGAGGCCCATCCCCCAGCCTCCACCACCAGCTGTATAAAAACAGCAACCCTGACTTGAGGAACCCGCTACACTTTTCAAACCCAAAGAAAGAAAAATACAGGCTGCTCAGACACCTGAAACAAACACTGACTTGGCTTTTCTGACCCTGAGTTCCACAAGGATCTTTATTACATAAACATCTGAAAGATCCGTTCTCTGGAAACGGACAGAATACATAATTCACTCACAGCATAAACAGCCCAGCCTCCCGCTGCTCCAGTCCCCAACTATCTGTTATTATTATTTTTATTTCAAAAACTTCACGAAGGGTTTCATGGCCAGTGACCAACGCTCGTCTCCACGAGCAGAGATTGGGCGGCAGCTGCTCTGCAGGGAGAGAGTGTGGAGAGAGCCTGGAGTTGGGGTGATAACTTGAGGCCCTGGGGGCCCCCACCCCCATGCCCACTCTCAGCCCCCTCTTGTGCATCTGGTGTGGGGTGGGTGCTAGATTCTGAAGTTTCAAATACTGGGGTTGCTTCAACTTGAAAATGCTTTCACAGGACCAGAAACTATGCTTTACATCTTTATTTTTTTGAGACAGAGTCTCAATCTGTTGCCCAGGCTGGAGTGCAGTGGCATGATCTGGGCTCATTGCAACCTTCGACTCCCAGGTTCAACAGATTCTCGTGCCTCAGCCACCCAAGGAGCCGGGATTGCAGGCATGCACCACCAGGCCCGGCTAATTTTTTTTATTTTTAGTAGAGATGGGAGTTCACTATGTTGGCCAGGCTGGTCTCGAACTTCTGGGCTCAAGTGATCCACCCGCCTCGGCCTCCCAAAGTGCTGGGATGACAGGTGTGAGCCACCACACCCAGCCTGCTTTACATCTTAACAGGTCAGTTCTCTGAGCCTGGGGTCTTTCTGTCCATGACACGGGTGGGTGGACTGGATCAGTGCATAAAAGGTCCCCCACAGATCCAAGATGTCCACATTGATCTCGTGAAGTGCATCGGCGTTAGAGGTCTTTGGTCACAAGTAACAGAAGCCCGCCCACCCTGATGAAGTAAGGGAAAAAGAAATGTATGGACCCACATAACCAGGAAGTCCCAGAATGGACCCAGTGTGAAGGGGTGTAGAGACTCGTCAGTGGGTGTACACATCTGTGCCCGTGTGTGCTTTGTGAGTGTGTGTGCATGTGTATGGTGTCCATGTGTGTGCTTTGTTCGTGTGTGTATGTGTGTAAACGTGTGCATGATTTGTGCATGTGTGTGCAAGTGTGTGCTTACTGCGTGTGTGTGCATGTGTGTGGCATCCGTGTGTGTGCTTTGTTCATGTGTGTGTCCACGTGTGTACGTGTGTGCAAGTGTGTGCTTTGTTCATGTGTGTGCACATGTGTGTCCACATGTGTGCATGCTTTGTGCATGAGTGTGTGAAGCCCGCAGCGTGGCGAGGCCTCTGGACGCAAGATTTTTGGGGATTGAATTGTGCTGCCTGGAGCAAACCCGTGCAGGACAGTTTTTCTGTGTTTGCTTCAGAGAACGAAAACATCTCAGATACAGTGGGGGCCCCTTCATTCTCCCAGTTCCGCTCCCTGCCCTCCTTTCCCGGGGTTGGTATGGATTCCACATGCCTGTATTTCTTCTGCTGCAGCTGAAGGCATCTGTAGGAACGGTCTATTGCCACCTTCTGTTTAACATTTGTCAGTAGAGGCTTCCTATGGCACAGACCCTCAGCAGCCTCTCTTCTCATGCCCCCTGCATGTTTCCAAAATCCTTCCTGTTGACGCAGGTACATCTGCTGCTTCCAGATTAACTGCAGGATGCGACTCTCGGGTGTAGCCCTGCCGCAGTTCATTTCTCCATTCCTCCCTTGATAAACACTCGGGCAGGGACCTCCACGGCCAGCTGTGCCCGGCGTGGCCAGACAGCCCCGCAGCGTGGTCACACCTGTTTACTCTCCTCCTGCCCGCATCTGAGAGTGGGGGACATATTTCTACTCAAAACAAGGTGAGCAGGGGACGCTGCAGTGAGGAATGACAGAGAAGAGGAAGGCGCCCACACCACGGCAGGAGTTGGAGACACGGATATCCCACGCTTCCACTGGCTTGGGGATGCCTGGGAGGAACAGCCTGCCCATCAACAGCCCGTCCTACCAATCTCCCAGCCCAGAAAGTCTCAGGAAGCCGCCAGCGCAGGCTTCCAAGGACTTTTCAAACATTTTTAAAAGTAAATTTTAGCCTGAGATTCTTGGTACCTTGAAGGTCCATGGAAGAGATCCACGGGCCTAGCAGCTTGAGTGCAAGAGGTTCTGTGATCTTGCATGTACTTCTGGGAGAGGATTGTCAGCTTGTGTTGGATTTTCAGGGGCTGGGAACTCCAAAAGTCTTAGGATCTGTGTGTTAGGTCAGGGCTGTTTCTCTTATGAATGATAAAAAAAAAAAAAAAAAAAATCCAACCTAAACTGTCTTGAGTGAAAAAAGGAGAAAAAATGGAAAGTATTGTCTCAAATAAGCAAAAGTTCCAGGGGTAGCAGGGCTTGCCAATCACACGAGAAAACAGGGTCTCCGAGGGCTTCACCTCCAGGCGAGCGCCTTCCACCTGGGGTCCCCCAAACGGGTGCACACACACACCCTTGCATCTCCACACGCAGCAGAAAGTAATGCTGTCCCTCAGTCACTCCAGCAGAAGTCCTGGAGTCCAGTGAACCCATATACATCACATGCCCATCCGTGAACAATCCCTCTCCCAGAAAATTGGGATGTGCAGGTGGCTCGGGCCGGGTCCCACGCCCACCCCTGGCCTGGGGGATGCTGAGTCACCTGCCCCCACGTGGCTGGGCAGGGGAAGTGTGACTTCCCACCAGAAATCCAGGTGATGCTCTGCCGAAGGGGTTACAGAGCAGGGCAGGGCATTGAACAACCCTTGTATTCTGGAACAGGCAAACTCCTGAGCCTAGAGCTGAGCTCTCGGGTAGTTTACTATGGCCAGTCCTGGACGAGGCCTGGTGACTCTGGTGCCCTGTCTGCAGGGATGTGCGGTGGAAGGCAGTGCCATCTGTCGTGGGCTGGATTGGGTCCCCCCACCCCAGAAGTATGTTAAAGTTGTTGAAGTCCTGAGCCAATGGATATGACCTTATTTGGAAATAGGGTCTTTGCAGATGTAATCAGGTTAAGATGAGGTCATGCTGGATTAGGGTGGGCCCTAAATCCAATGACAGCTGTCCTTATAAGAAAAAGCAGAGAGGGATTTGCAGGCACCAGGGGGACGGCCGTGAGACAATGGAGGCAGAGACTGGGGTGAAGTGGCCAAAGCCAAGGAACGCCAGGGAGCGCCAGAAGCTGGGAGAGGCCAGGCAGCCCCTCCCCCGGAGCCCGCAGACAGCGTGCCCCCCGGCAATGCTCTGATGAAGGCTCTGGCCTCCAGGACCGTGTGGAACACATCTCTGTTGTTCTAGGCCTCCCAGAGTGGGGCCGTTTGTTACAACAATCCCAGGACACTGTCACACCCACTGTCCAGTCCTGCCATTGGCTCTGACCAGGCGGTGCACCCAGGCAACCCGACGTGGGTGCACGGTCACCCTGGCTCATATCCCTCACAGCCCCAGACCACTGGCTCCTCCACACCCATGAGGATCCCAACCTGGGGTTTTCCAAAAAGACCACGAGGAGGTTTGAGGAAGTAGTGGCCCCAATGGCTGGGAAAGTCCTCTGGGCAGCCTCATGACTCTGCTTCCCAGGTGACCCCAGAGAGTCTGAAGACGCGTCCTCCCCCAAATCCCCAGAAGGCTCCTGATCAAAGGGAAAACCCCAGGGACCCCCCTCCAGCCCAGCACACCCACAGCTTGTGTGGGATGCCTGGGCAGCACCAGAAGCCTACATGGCTATTAGCCAGGAAGCCCGCACACAGAATGACTGCCTGAGTCCCCTGTTGGCCACACCCTCTGACCACATGTGGTCACCTCCAGTTGGCACTCTCTGGTATCTGGACATGACTTGCCTCGATATCCAGTGGAGGAGCCAAGCCACAGCCACCCCTGACCAAGTTGGCCTCAAGGGCTTGCTCCCTCTGAGCTCAACTCTTATCTGAAGTCTGTGCTATTAGCCAGGCTACCATGGCTCAAGGCTGAACACCCTGGCCCTGGAAGTGGACAGACTTGTGTCTGAATCCCGGTCCTATCACCTGTTTGACATACAGCCTTTGGAAGTTGTTCGGCCTTTCTTGGTGTCTCCATCTGGAACAGAAAACCATACCTCCTATATCTTAGGGTTGCAGGATTAGGTGACACAATGTACAACATAGCTGTTAGCATGATTTATGATGACAAGGCATGCATTAAGTGTTTATTGAATGCCTAATATGTGCCAGACAATATCCTAGAAGCTAAGGTTACAGGAGAAACAGAACAGACACCATTGTCTTTAAGCCTATGAAGATGACAATGGTGATGGTGGCAATGACGATGAGGATGAAGATGCTGATGGTGATGATAATGGTGATGGTGACAGTGATGATGATCATGATGGTGATTATGGTGATGATGACAATGATGGTGATGATGGTGATGATGGTGGTGATGATGAGGATGGTGATGGTGATGGTGGTGATGTTGATGGTGATGGTGATGTTGATGATGAGGATGGTGATGGTGATGGTGATGTTGATGGTGATGATGATGGTGATGGTGATGATGATGATGGTGATGATGATGTTGATGGTGATGATGATGATGGTGATGATGGTGATGATGTTGATGAGGATGGTGATGGTGATGTTGATGGTGATGATGATGGTGATGATGGTGATGGTGATGATGATGTTGATGGTGATGATGATGATGGTGATGATGGTGATGGTGATGATGAGGACAGTGATGGTGATGATGGTGATGGTGATGGTGATGTTGATGATGAGGATGGTGATGGTGATGTTGATGGTGATGATGATGTTGATGGTGATGATGATGATGGTGATGATGGTGATGGTTATGATGGCAATGATAATGATGATGGTGATGGTGATGATGAAGGTGAAGCCAAGACTACTCTCTAGACCACAAGATCCTCCTGAACAGGAACTGTATCTCACATTTTCTGTCCCCTTCAGCATCTAGCACGGTGCCTTGCACATGGTAGGTACTCAAGAAATATGTGTTGATGGACTTATGTTTCTTCAGGTTGCTTTAACCAAAGGAGAACCCTCTCCCAAGAGTAGCTCAAGCTGGCCTGCAATGCAAATTTCTTTGAATTTGTGTATTTTAAGATTGACTTGGGCTTTTTATTTCATTCCATTGTATATCCATGTTTGTTTTACTTATAAACAACAAGAACTTTTTTCCAAAACTTTGAGTGAAAATGATACCCCAGGAAAACATGGCTTGTTTATATCTGTGGCTTTTGAGACACTAACCACCCCCACAGACTCACTGACCCTCCCACCCCAAACCCCTCGGGCTACCACCCCATACATCTGGAGGTCCACAGAGCCTTGGGTCAGATGCACAAACCCAGGCTGCTAAGCCACTCTGGAAAAAACACTTCTCTCTCCCAGTGGTGTTGGGGTGGGGCGAGCCTTTGAAGACAGGGGTCTCTTCTGCCAACTCAAGTGTCTCTCTGTGATCTGAATAGACAAGGAAGGTAGGCCTGGACGCAACCACTGTATTCGTAGAGCCAAAAGGATATCAAATAAGAAGGCCCTGAAAAGGTCTCTGGAAACTTTGTTTTCCCTTTAAAACCGGGTATTTCCAGCATAGCGGCCACATAAGGGGGCTGAACAGCTGCTGGATGACTTGGATGCAGCAGTGTGGGTTCCAGTATCACCTCCGCCAGACGGTCCACAAGAAGCCATCGCCTTAGTGAGCCAGCACTATCTGCAGCCAGCACAATGGGATCTGCTTTTGAATCCTCATAAGTCACTGCTGCCAGAAGTTCTATGACTAGGCCCCTTCCCGATGGTAAAAGTGAGCAGGAAGCGGTCAGGGCCCTCACCCAGGATGCGGGGCAGCCCAGAGCTCTGTCCAGAGCTGGGCCCCACCATGGCTCCCCTGCCGCCTGCCCCGCAGGGCCTGGCCTCTCTGCCACCTCCCTGAGTTTCTATTTCCCGGTTCCTAAAGTGAGGCCTTTCCTCGGCTGCCCAGATGTGTTCCGCTCTGTTACACATGCTCATCTTCAGAAGAGTGGGAGTGGAAAGCGCCACACAGATAATTTGATAACGACACGTGCTCAGAAGTAAATTGAAATTTATTGAGCAGATGAGAATGCTCTGGCTTGGCCCTGAGGATGGACGCCCTGTCCTTCCCCTAGCAGAAGTGTGGCAAAGATGAAGAAACAGGTGTGGGGAGTGCCCACCCATCTCATTTTCTCCCTCTTAGATCAGGAGGGAGACCTACACCCCAACCACGTGGATTGCACTTCTCACACCAGGGAGGCTCCATTCACCTCCGAGGGGGTGCAGGGCCAAGAAACCTGTAAAAGCAGGTGCATCTTTGGGAGCTGTGTCTTGTGGAATTTATGGAAATACTTATTTCTGTGTTAAAACAAACACAGCAGCGCACCATGGAGCAAAATGGGAAATTCCCATGGATTTTCGAGATCAAGGACAAGACTTTTAAAGGAACTTGACCTGTGTGGCAGGACCATCGGGTCACTGCCACGTAATCCAGACGGCGCAGGCTCCCTCTGCAGCTTCTCAGCAGCTATGGTTTCAGAAGAGAGATTAATTGGGGGAAGCGCAGCAGCTGCCGGGGCTCCAGGACAAGCGCGGGGCCCTAGCGCCACCTGGTGCTCACGCGGGATATGACCGCCAACTCCGCGCCGCGGGCCGGGAAGGTGGCCCAGATTCAAATGCGGGCAGGTGGGTACAGTCCTGGGGGAGGGGTTGATGTGTGGAGGGCAACCTTGCATTGCGGACCTCCCCCCAACTCCCGCCAGCCTTCTTCAGAAGAAGCTGGGCCCCCACCCCTTTATGAATGGGTTCCTTTGGCCTCAAGGTGTTCACCTGTGGGCTGTTAAGCTCAGATCTGTTCCCCCTGGAGATTCTGATTAAGTAGCTCTGGGTTGGAGCCAAGAGATTGGTGTTTTCAACCAATTTCCCAGGTGACTTTCGTGATCACGCAACGTGGGATGCATGCAGTGGCTTGAACCTGCATTAGAATCACCTGAGGGGAACTTGAAACTGTAGCTGTGTCTGGGGTGGCGCCTTGAAACAGTCGCCCAGGTGATTCTAACGTGCAGCCTTCACTGAGACACGCTGGCCTTGGGCCAACATGGTGTTTTGTTTTGTTTTGTTTTGTTTTGTTTTGTTTTGTTTTGTGACAAGGTCTCTCTCTGTCGCCCAGGCTGGAGTGCAGCAGTGCGATCTCGGATCACTGCAACCTTTCCTCTGGGGTTCAAACGATTCTCCTGCCTCAGCCTCCCGGGTAGCTGGGATTACAGGCACCCACCACCACGCCCGGCTAATTTTTGTATTTTTATAGAGACGGGGGTTTCGCCATGTTGGCCAGGCTGGTCTCAAACTCTTGACCTTGTGATCCGCCCACCTCGGCCTCCCAAAGTGTTGGGATTACAGGCACGAGCCATCCATGCCCACGCCCAGCCTGGGAATGGGATTCTTAACATCCATCCCAAAACGAGGTGCTGCCCACAGCACAGGTCTAGAAGTGGCTCGGGGGTAATTGGTTAGTTGGAGACCACTGGACATCTGAGTTATCTGCTTTCATTGTTGACCTTTGATTAGGTTTGGAGTAGTGGCAAAGGGACAAAAGATGAGGAAGTTATTTGAAAAGACCCTTAGAGGTTGGCCCATGCCGAGGGCTTGCATGTGTTCGTTGATTCAGTAAACACTTACCATGTGCTAGGTGCTCACAAGGTACTCCACCAGATTGGACTGACTGAATTCTGGGGTAGGCTGATGCAAATTCAAATCCCAGCTCCAGCTTTATTGGCTGTCTAACCTTGTGAAAGTCACTTAACCTCTCTGTGCTTCTGATCCTTAACTTGTAAAATGGGGATTAAAAACCCCATGGGCTATAGTGAGGAAATAATGCATGCGAGGCAGTGGGCCAGGGCTCGCATCCAGGTCTGTCAAGTCAGTGACCCTGCACTTACCCCTGTGCCAGGCTACTTCAAGAATAAAGTCCTCGTGCACTGTGAGTTAGGGCAGAGCAATGCCAGACGCTACATGCAACTGAAACTGGGAAAAGGCACATTTTTCCAGCATTGTAAGCCTGCCGCAGACCCTTATAAAAAGTGTGCTTGCTTTCAGGGGCTGTGCCAAGTCAGAGTCTGTGCAAAGAATTCTTGGTGGTGAAATTATGTTTCCAGCCTTGCAGAGCTGTGACCTGCTGCAAGACGTTCCTGCTGGCAAGGACCCTGTAGGAGGCAGAGCCCGGCAGCTAGAGGAGAGGGAATCACAGCAGCTGCCTGGTGAGTAATGGGTTTGGCCAGAGCCATCCTGCAAGTCCCCTGCCTGTGGGCAAAGTGCCACTGCAAGAAGAGATGCGGGCAGGCACGGTGGCTCACGCCTGTAATCTCAGCACTTTGGGAGGCCAAGGCAGGACAATCTCTTTAGGTCAGGAGTTTGAGACCAGCCTGGCCAACACGGTGAAACCCTGTCTCTACTAAAAATACGTAAGTTAGCCAGGTGTGGTGGTACGTGCCTGTAATTTCAGCTACTCGGGAAGCTGAGGCAGGAGAATCGCTTGAACCTGGGAGGTGGAGGTTGCATTGAGCTAAGATCATGTCACTGCACTCCAGCCTGGGCCACAGAATGAGACTGTCTCAAAAGAAAAAAAAAAAAGAGAGGAAGGGAGAGAGAGAGAGAGAGACAGAGAGACAGAGAGAGAGAGATGCGTGAAAAGGAGGGTGTGTCCTTCCTTTGCCCTCTGGGCTGGAGGAAGCTCCAAGGAGAAAGAAGCTCACTGAGCCCTGGGACCGGTTTCTGGACGTCCCCGCTCTACAAACAGGACGGGTTATGTCTCAGAGCGCCCTCTGCTGTCCAGACCTCAGAATGTAGCCCACAGAAACGCGAGTCTAACTCCAAGATGCAGGTCCCCGTGTCTCCCATTGCTGCAGTTTGAGACGCCTGCAAGTTGGAAACCCTTTAAGAGGCATCTGAGAAGTGTCTGTTCATATCTTTCGCCCACTTGTTGATGGGGTTGTTTTTTTCTTGTAAATTTGTTTGAGTTCTTTGTAGATTCTGGATATTAGCCCTTTGTCAGATGAGTACATTGCAAAAGTTTTCTCCCATTCTGTAGGTTGCCTGTTCACTCTGATGGTAGTTTCTTTTGCTGTGCAGAAGCTCTTTAGTTTAATTAGATCCCATTTGTCAATTTTGGCTTTTGTTGCCATTGCTTTCGGTGTTTTAGACATGAAGTCCTTGCCCATGCCTATGTCCTGAATGGTATTGCCTAGGTTTTCTTCTAGGGTTTTTATGGTTTTAGGTCTAACATTTAAGTCTTCAATCCATCTTGAGTTAATTTTTGTATAAGGTGTAAGGAAGGGATCCAGTTTCAGCTTTCTACATATGGCTAGCCAGTTTTCCCAGCACCATTTGTTAAATAGGGAATCCTTTCCCCATTTTTTGTTATTGTCAGGTTTGTCAAAGATCAGATAGTTGTAGATGTGTGGTATTATTTCTGAGGGCTCTGTTCTGTTCCATTGGTCTGTATCTCTGTTTTGGTACCAGTACCATGCTGTTTTGGTTACTGTAGCCTTGCAGTATAGTTTGAAGTCAGGTAGTGTGATGCCTCCAGCTTTGTTCTTTTGGCTTAGGATTGACAAGTTAATGGGTGCAGCACACCAACATGGCACATGTATACTTATGTAACAAACCTGCACGTTGTGCACATGTACCCTAGAACTTAAAGTATAATAAAAATATATATATAAATAATAATAAAAAAAATAAAAGGCATCTGAGCCCCAGCTCTGGGGTAGGAACTGGGAATCATGGGTGATAAAGGACACAAACACAAATGAACCTCCTGTGGTGACACTCCCTTTCAGAGAGCAGCGTGTGACTCTTTGTGGGGCCCAGGGACCCCTTAGGCGCAGAGCCCCACCTGACACCTGACAGCCACAGAACTGCACTCAAGGTCATGAGGACACTCCTCAGCATCCTAGGCCTTGCTGCAGGCTGCTCTCCACCCATGCCGGGACTTCTCAAAGAAATGGGAACCACATCAGCTTGATGGTGGAAACAAAATGGTGTAGAACACTTTGGAAAACAGTTCAGAAGTTTTTCCAAAAAAAAAATGACATATAAAACTGCTATATGGGCTGGGCACAATGACTCATGCCTGTAATCCCAGCACTTTCAGAGGCCGAGGCAGGTAGATCACCTGAGGTCAGGAGTTCAAGATCAGCCTGGCCAACATGGTGAAACCCCGTCTCTACTAAAAATACAAAAAAACTAGCCAGGCATGGTGGCGGTCACCTGTAATCCCAGCTACTCGGGAGGCTGAGGCAAGAGAATCGCTTGAACCCAAGAGGCAGAGGTTGCAGTGAGCCAAGATCACACCACTGCACTCCAGCCTGGGCAACAGAGCAAGACTCTGACTAAAAAAAAAGAATGCAAAAAGATATGCTATGAAAATAATAACCAAAATATTAGGCAAAATAGACTTTAAGACTAAAGTATTATTGGAGATAAACAGAATCACTTCATAATGACAGAATTTCAACTTTCAGGACATTATAACCAATTTTAATTTGTAAATGCCTAATGATATAGTCTTAAGTATATAAAGCAAAAATTTACCAAAATTACAAGGAAATAGATAAATAGACAAAAATTTGTCTCAGAAATAGAACAAGCAAACGAAAACATCAGTGAGGAATAGAACGAACAGACAAAAATATCAGTAAGAGATGACATATGCAGGGACTCACGCCTGTAATACCAGCACTTTGGGAGGCCAGGGCAGGTGGATTACCTGAGGTTGGAAGTTCGAGACCAGCCCAGCCAGGGGGGCCAGGGCAGAAGGATCACTTGAGGCCAGGAGTTCAAGACCAGCCTGGCCAACACAGTGAAATCCCATCTCTACTGAAAATACAAAAATTAGCCATCTGTGGTGGCGCACGCCTGTAATCCCAGCTACTTGGGAGGCTGAGACAGGAGAATCACTTGAACAGTGATTGAACAGAGGAGGCAGAGGTTGCAGTGAGCCAAGATCGTGCCACTGCACTCCAACCTGAATGACAGAGCAAGACTCCATCTCAAAAAAAAAAAAAAAAAAAAAAAAAAAAGTCCTGCAAGTGTGAGCTACAATTGCACCACTGCCACTCCAGCCTGGGCAACAAAGACCCTGTCTCTAAAAAAATAATAGGCGGCCAGGTGCAATGGCTCACACCTATCGTCCCAGCACTTTGGGGCACCAAGGCAGGAGGATCACTTGAGCCCAGGAGTTCAAGATCAGCCTGGGTAACATAGTGAAACCCTGTCTCTACTAAAAAATAGGCTGGGTGTGGTGGCTCACACCTGTAATCCCAGCACTCTGGGAGGCCGAGGTGGGCAGATCACGAGGTCAGGAGATTGAGACCATCCTGGCTAACATGGTGAAACCCCATCTCTACTAAAAATACAAAAAAAAAAAATTAGCTGGGCATGGTGGTGGACACCTGTAGTCCCAGCTACTCGGGAGGCTGAGGTAGGAGAATGGACTGAACCCAGGAGGTGGAGCTGGCAGTGAGCAGAGATGGCGCCACTGCACTCCAGCCTGGGCGACAAAGGAAGACTCCGTCTAAAAAAAAAATAATAATAATAATAATAATAATAGAGCTCTTTTCCAGTTAGCACAGTGGGAGAAGCCATGAGCAGCAAAGTCTCTCGCGACACCCTGTACGAGGCAGTGTGGGAAGTCCTACGTGGGAACCAGCACAAGCACCGCAAGTTCCTAGAGACAGTGGAGTCACAGATCAGCTTGAAGAACTATGACCCCCAGAAGGACAAGCGCTTCTCAGGCACCATCAGGCTGAAGTCCACTCCCCGGCCCAAGTTCTCCGTGTGTGTCCTGGAGGACCAGCAGCACTGTGACGAGGCCAAGGCCATGGGTATCCCCCACATGGACATCACATGGACATCGAGGCGCTGAAAAAACTCAACGAGAATAAAAAACTGGTCAAGAAGCTGGCCAAGAAGTATGATGCATTTTTGGCCTCGGGGTCTCTGATCAAGCAGATTTCACGAATCCTTGGCCCAGGCCTAAATAAGGCGGGAAACTTCCCTTCCCTGCTCACACACAACAAAAACACGGTGGCCAAAGTGGATGAGGCGAAGTCCACAATCAATTCCGAATGAAGAAGGTGTTATATCTGGCTGTGGCTGTGGGTCACGTGAAGATGACAGATGATGAGCTTGTATATGACATTCACCTGGCTGTCACCTTGTTGGTGTCATTGCCCAAGAAAAACTGGCGGAATGTCCGGGCCTTATGTATCAAGAGCACCATGACCAAGCCCCAGCGCCTATATTAAGGCACATTTGAATAAATTCTACTACCAACAAAAATTTTTTTAAAAATACTAAATAAATAATAAACATAAATAAATCACGTAAGTGGTTATTATGGGTGATCGTGAGTGGAGCCACTCATACTTCTAGCCACCGGCTCCCTGACCTGCACGTTCAGGCTCTAGTGGTCTCCCACGCAAAGCACAGTGCTGTGTGAAAAAAGAGAACACTCACCTTGACAGGGTGGAGGCCCTCGGGCCTGCATGATAGGGGACAGGTGAGGCATTGCCACCTGCATAACTGCTTTCGCGTCTGGGAATACACCCCAAAGAACTGAAAGTGGGGAGTCCCGCAGATATTTGTGCACCTGTGTTCGTAGCAGCATGATTGGCCATAACCAGAAGGTGGAAACAACCTGATTTCCACAGACAGACGAGTGGAAAAACAACATGCGGGATATTTTTGGGGTACAAAAATGTGGTCTATCTGTTCAATGCAGCATTATTTAGCCTTAAGAAGGAATGAAATTCTGACACATGCTACAACATGGATGAATCCTGAAGACAACTTGCTGAGTGAAATAAGCCAGGCGCAAAAAGCCACACACTGTATGAATCCACTGATTGGTGGTCCCTAGACTAGTCAAATTCGTAGAGACAGAAAGCAGGATGGGGGGTGCCAGGGGCTGGGGAGGGGAAATGGGGAGGGAGTGTTTGGTGGGGACAGAGTTTCAGTTTGGAAGATGAAAAAGTTCTGGAACAAGTGGTGATGCTTACACACAAGGAAACGGGGCATGTCCATGATGCCTGAGAATTGTGTGCTTCTAATCGGCTACCCTGACACCTTCAGTAGTGAACAAGACAGAACAACTTCTTAAAGATGCATCTGAGCACACAGGTGTGAAACTCAGTGTCCGAACCTGGGGCTGTGCTTTCTTATACTCTAGAATACATGAAGACAAAAGGAGGCTCTAATGAAGAAGTTGTTCAAGATGGAGTCAGAATGTTCATCGAAAAGAAGGTATAGCTAGGGCTGGGCGCAGTGGCTCACGCCTGTAATCCCAGCACCTTGGGAGGCTGAGGCGAGCGGATCACTTAAGGTCAGGAGTTCCAGACTAGCCTGGCCAACATGGTAAAACCTGCCTCTACTAAAAAAAAAAAAAAGAAAAAAATTCCAAAAATTAGCTGGATGTGATGGCATGCACCTGTATGTAATCCCAGCTACTCGGGAGGCTGAGGCACAAGAATTGCTTGAACCTGGGAGGCAGAGGTTTCAGTGAGCCGAGATCATGCCACTGCGCTCCAGCCTGGGTGACGGAGCAAGATTCCAGCTCAAAAAAAAAGAAAAGAAGGCACAGCTAACACTTTTAGGAACAGAAATGGACCATGTTGAAGACAAATCATCCAGCGAGTTTGTGTTCAGTAACCCAAACATCAGAGGAACTTATGGCCATGGAGAAAGCTGTAATATTTGAAACCTCAGGACACCTCGAGCCACGAGCTCCAGGAAAGCTCACGGAAGCACTAGGGCTTGCTGAAGAAATCCTGTGATTGTTACATGTTTAATGCGTGGCTACCTTGTAAGGAAAATTAAGTGATGCATTTTGAAAATGAAGAAAAAAAAAGGCTGGGCGCCTTGGCTCATGCCTGTAATCCCGGCACTTTGTGAGGCCGAGGCGGACGGCTCACGAGGTCAAGAGATCGAGACCATCTTGACCAACATGGTGAAACCCCGTCTCTACTAAAAATACAAAAATTAGCTGGGCGTCCTAGCTAATTAGCTAAAGTCCTAGCTACTTGGGAGGCTGAGGCAGGAGAATAGCTTGAACCAGGGAGGCGGAGGCTGCAGTGAGCTGAGATTGCACCAATGCACTCCAGCCTGGCGATAGAGCAAGACTTGGTCTCAAAAAAAAAGAAAATGAAAAAAAAAGGTTAAAATGGCTAATTCTATTTTCTATGTATTCTGCCACAGTTTTAAAAATTGGTATTTTTTACAAAATAATGTCCTGCATCCGGCGGGATGGTGCCCCAGCTCTTCAGAGTGTTAGCGTTCACTGGCCTGTCGCAGAGTGTTGGGATGACCATTTCAACTGGGCGGCTGCTTCCGATGAGGGCAACGGTGAGGCCAGTGGTGTCCTCACCACTGAGGCATGAGCCCTAACCCTTTACTCTCTGGCTGTGAAGTGAGTGAGCTTCTTGATTAGAGCGATGTGTGGGACGCCCAGACAGCAAATGAGGCATGCACGGTGCTGTTGCAGGGAAGGCAACTCCATTTCCAGAATATGGGCCTATTCTTGGAGGACAAATCTCTGCCCCTCCGCTGGAGGAGGGGGTCTAATGTCACCCACCTGCCACTGAGTGGCTGCCTGGTGCTCCCTCATGAAGCTGCCACCTCAGGGTACCTCAACAGCAGTGCCTGCAGGCAGCCCGGGGGAGCGAGCGGGAGCGGTAGGGAGGCAGTCTGTTGCGTGGCAAGAGTGATGCCATCTTGGAGCAAAACTGCCGTGATGACCAATGCTGGACTCCTGCACACCAAGCTGTTCTGCAGGAAAGTCTTTAAACAATGCCTTTGGCATTCATAACCGCTCCCAAAGATGCTTATCCAACCTCCCCAGTGGTAACGAGCTTTGGCAAGAAAGTCTGAGGCGTGATCAGCTGCCCATGTCTTTACCTCAAACGCCTGCTGTATAAAGGTGACTTTCTGGAAGGCAGGTATGGGGAGCCACTATCTGTTCGTAAGTCCCTATTTCTGTTCCTAAGTTCCTATTATTTCTTTCTGGTCAGGTGCAGCGGCTCACACCTGTACTCTGAACACTTTGAGAGGCCCAGGTGGGAGGATCGCTTAAAGCGAGGAGCTCAAGACCAGCCTGAGCAACATAGCCATTGGTTGTCTGCACACAAAAATTTTAGATTAGCTGGGTCTGGTGGCACATGGCTGTAGTCCCAGCTACTCAGCTACCTGAGGCAGGAGGATCGCCTGAGTCCAGGAGGTCGAGGCTGCAGTTAGCTATGATTGCACCACTGCATTCCAGCCTGGGGGACAGATGGAGATCCTGTATCTTAAAAAAAAAAATTATGTTTATTATTTCTGAGAAACTGAATTTGTCAGCCTCTTTCTTCGGCCTCTGGGCTCCCTCAGCCTTTGTGGATGGGTCTGCACAGACCTGTTCACGCGGAATAGAAACCCATGTGGCCCGGGCCATGCCATGCCTCCGTCCCTCTGCGATGGTTCCTTCTCCACGGCCCCAGCTCGTGTCCCCTGCTCTCGTTCTGAGCCCTGCCCATGCTCTCCTGCCGCTTTGTCTGTCTCTCCACCCCGGGATTTTAATCCGTTACAGCGCAGATTCTTCACTGCAGCCCAAACTCATTTTCCTGCATTTCTGGAAGGAGGCGGGGCTCAGGAAAACTTTCCTACTCCCAAGAGCTCCCGCTGGGGTTGTTTTCTTTTGAGGTTCAAAAGCATGGACCTGGCCTCTGGGATTTCGGGCTCTCTACACTTTCCCCACGAGAATCTGGATCTTGCCTGTACTTTCTTTGCCTGTCCTGGTCAGTCCCTTTCCACTGCCGGCAGTTTCTCTGCAGTGTGGATCCCTGCCCGGGGACGGTAGCCTGGGAGAGTGGGTATAGAGAGCGCTCCAGCCCCTTCGGGACCCACTGAGAAGCCCCACAATCGCCTGCTTCTGCACGGGGCGGCCTCTCAGCGTCACAGGAGGGTCGCTGTGCTTCCCAGTGAGTGCCCCGCTGCTGTGTCCCAGGTCCACCCGCCGTCCCTTTGCTTCCCTCCGCGTCCTGCTGCACCAAAGCAGATGCTGTGTCGGGCTGTGGCGCAGGTGACTTGTCCCCACGCATTTGTATTCCGCAGATCGTGAGGGGTTCGTGGGACTCTCTCACCTAGTATTGTCCATTGGGTTTATGGTTTTGCTATCTAGTTACTCTGTCTTTACATGGGGATTCAGGGAAATTCAAACACTCTGCCACCATCTTCCCGGAACCCCCTCCTCTTTGCTTTTTAAACCAAATTGCCCACCATTATTTTTACTGCTGTATTCAGCCAGTGCTTGAGTGGCTTTGCGTTCATGGTTTTCAGTTCCTTTGCCTACCATTTCTCCTGGCATCTCACTCCTCTTTGAGCAGTTTTCTTCTTCCTGAGCCACATCTTTCAGCACTCTTCTCAGCAAGGGCTTGGTGGTGGTAGACACTCTTCATTTTTTCCCTCCTCTTGGTTAAAAGCTTAGCTGGTACTATTAATCTAGAGGAAACCACTGCTCCCTTATCTTCCAGCTTCTAAGATGTCTTTTAATGTGTCTGCTGCTGTCCTGCCCTATATAGGTAATGATTTTTTTATAAGCAGTTTTTTTTTTAAGAGACAGGGTCTTGCTATGTTGCCCAGGCTGGTCTCAAAACTGCTGCCCTCAGCTGGGTGCAGTGGCTCACGCCTGTAATCCCAGCACTTTGAGAGGCCGAGGCAGGTGGATCACCTTAGGTCAGGAGTTCGAGACCAGCCTAGCCAACATGGCGAAACCCCACCTCTACTAAAAATACAAAAATTAGCCAGGTGTGGTGGTGTGCGCCTGTAATCCCAGCTACTCAGGAGGCTGAAGCAGGAGAATTGCTTGAACCCAGGAGGTGGAGGCTGCGGTGAGCTGAGATCACACCACTGCACTCCAGCCTGGGCAACAGTGAGACTCCATCTCAAAAACAAAAAAACAAAAAAAACTGCTGGCCTCAAGCAATCCTCCCGCCTAAGCCTCACAAGTAGCTGGGACTGCAGGCTCAAGCCACCACGCCTGGCCGTGAATTTTTAAATTCTGGAGAGTAGAAAACTGCCAACTGGGAGGAAGATGAGCAGAGAAGGAAGAAGAGTGACAAAGAGGGACACAGTGTATCTTAAATTCCAAGGAGCTTCAAGGTTAGGCTGGGGGGTGAGGTCTCTGTGATGGCCCCACGTGGAGATGCAGGCCCTGGACGGGTGAGGAGCCTCATCTCTGAGGCATCTTCCCTTGAGGCCCCGGCGTGGGGAGACAGGGCCCTCTCCAGCCTCCAGTGAGCTAAGTTGGGGTTGTCCCAAGGGCTCATCTTGCTCAAAGTCCTCCTGCCTCGTTAAGGA
Organism: Homo sapiens; assembly: GCF_000001405.40. Taxonomy (NCBI): domain Eukaryota; kingdom Metazoa; phylum Chordata; class Mammalia; order Primates; family Hominidae; genus Homo; species Homo sapiens. The sequence continues at coordinate 85,810,789 of NC_000016.10, read as the reverse complement.
GCCTCAATATTTTCCCTGAGCACCCTGGGAGGGGCAGTCCAGGGGTGAAATGAGACCCCGCACACACACACTCAGAAAGAGCTCAGTCCTCCTCTTCTTGTGGGCCGCAGTCCATGTGCCCTGGCATCTGAGCACCCCTGCCATACCCCCACCCTGCCTCCTCCCACAGTGCTTCTGCCTGGTGGCCGTCTTGCTGTCCTTTGAACACACCAAGCCCTGTTCTGCCTCCAGCGTCATGCCTGCTGTGCAGGCTTGGTGCTGTGTCCACCTGCCAGCCCGACCTCCCCTCAGGTTTCAGCGTGAGTGGCTCGGCTCATCTTCAAGTCTCAGCCGAAATGTCACCTCTTCAGTGACATCTGCCCAACCAACCCCCACCCATAACCTTTTCTCCCTGTGCCCCCTCCCTCCACCCTGCTGGATCCTCTACTTCTCTGTGTATTTGTTTTACTTGTGGTCTGCCTCCCTGTGAGCCTGGGAAAGTGAGCACCTGGGGTCAGGTCAGCATCACGTCCCCATGGCATGCGGGTGACCAGTGAAGGATCATGGGCTGAATCCAGCCATGAACCCCTGCGGCCTCCCAAATTCCCACTAAAATGGCAGTAAAAAGGGATTTTTATTTTTTTAAGCGTGAGGACAAAATCAGGATGGACAGCCACGTTTTGGAATCTGAATCCAATGGAAAAATGGCAGTTCTCTTAGCAAGGTCAAGAGCACAGCTTCCTAAGCAGTAGGAGGGAAAGGCCAGGAAGAGCCGGACTTCTCAAGGACTCACTCAAGGCTAAAAGTAGAGGGCTTGTACAGCAGGCTCGATTCCACAGACACCTCTGCCTTCATCCTGGGGTGACAGCTCCTTCCTCTCGGCCTCTCCTGAGGGAGATGCAGGCGATGATGAGCCTGGCCTGCTGCCTGGCCCAGGGCAGGCGGCTCCACCAGAGCCAGGCAAAGGGTCAGGGACCAGTGGGGCCGGGGTCAACTACTTCAGCTTCCCCTACCACCCCCAGGAGCCCACCCTCGGGCAAGGAACTGAAAATGGCATCCCCCAGAGGGCAGTGTGGGCTTTTGTAGTTAAACCACCAAGGGGTTCACACGAGTCCTCACGGCAAGACTCCACAAGGCCCTGTAGCCCCCTGCATCCCACTCTCCCGGGGGGCTCAGCTGGTCCTTCGAGAACAAGGGATCAAGGGCGTTTCTACAGCACTGGAAGGTGCTCGATTGGGGTGTATTTGACCTGCTCTTGATTTTGAACTGAGCCCAAACCTTCCAGCCAGCCAAGGTCTTTGTCCCATGTATTTCCTCTGGGCAAGATCTAAGGGTCCCCTTTCCCTTCCTGGCTACAGCTATGCTTCTCCGGGGCCATTCTCTCCCCTTGCCTCATTCCTATCCCCCAGTGCTGGCAGGAAACCCCTCTCTGCCAACCATCTCTGCTACTCTCAGCACACAGGCTGCAGATTTGTTCTCTTCTCCAGACAGGGTCTCCAGTTTGGGAACTGGTGCTTGGGTGGGACAGGTAAGAGGATGAGTCCTGGAGAGAGCTTGCCAGGGCCAGGATGATGCTCGTAAGACCACCGCTTTGACACTGGCCTTGTGACTACTTTTTAGATCAAAGAGTTGTGAGTAGCCAGGGAGCTGAGCAGGCCACAAGCAGTCCAAGGGAGACGGGGCCAGCACCCACACCTCAGTCAGACCTCAGAGTGGGGCTGTCCTCCCTGAACTGGTGGCCGCCCACCCTAGCCAACATGAAAACTGCAGGGTCCTCTCCCTCTCCCTCCCTCCCCCTCCCTCTCCCTTTCCCTCTCTTTCCATGGTCTCCCTCTCCCTCTCTTTCCACGGTCTCCCTCTGATGCCGAGCCGAAGCTGGACTGTACTGCTTCGATCTCAGCTCACTGCAACCTCCCTGCCTGATTCTCCTGCCTCAGCCTGCCGAGTGCCTGCGATTGCAGGCGCGCGCCGCCACGCCTGACTGGTTTTCGTATTTTTTTGGTGGAGATGGGGTTTCACTGTGTTGGCCGGGCTGGTCTCCAGCTCCTAACCGCGAGTGATCCGCCAGCCTCGGCCTCCCGAGGTGCCGGGATTGCAGACGGAGTCTCGTTCACTCAGTGCTCAATGGTGCCCAGGCTGGAGTGCAGTGGCGTGATCTCGGCTCGCTACAACCTCCACCTCCCAGCCGCCTGCCTTGGCCTCCCAAAATGCCGAGATTGCAGCCTCTGCCCGGCCGCCACCCCATCTGGGAAGTGAGGAGCATCTCTGCCTGGCCGCCCATCGTCTGGGATGCGAGGAGCCCCTCTGCCTGGCTGCCCAGTCTGGAAAGTGAGGAGCGTCTCTGCCCGGCCGCCATCCCATCTAGGAAGTGAGAAGCATCTCTGCCCGGCCGCCCATCGTCTGAGATGTGGGGAGTGCCTCTACCCCGCCGCCCTGTCTGGGAGGTGAGGAGCGTCTCTGCCCGGCCGCGACCCCGTCTGGGAGGTGAGGAGCATCTCTGCCCGGCCGCCCCGTCTGAGAAGTGAGGAGACCCTCCGCCCGGCAGCCACCCCGTCTGGGAAGTGAGGAGCATCTCCGCCCAGCAGCCGCCCCGTCCGGGAGGTGAGGGGTGCCTCTGCCCGGCCGCCCCTACTGGGAAGTGAGGAGCCCCTCTGCCCAGCCACCACCCCGTCTGGGAGGGGTACCCAACAGCTCATTGAGAACGGGCCATGATGACAACGGCGGTTTTGTGGAATAGAAAAGGGGGAAAGGTGGGGAAAAGACTGAGAAATCGGATGGTTGCTGTGTCTGTGTAGAAAGAAGTAGACATGGGAGACTTTTCATTTTGTTCTGTACTAAGAAAAATTCTTCTGCCTTGGGATCCTGTTGATCTATGACCTTACCCCCAACCCTGCGCTCTCTGAAACATGTGCTGTGTCCACTCAGGGTTAAATGGATTAAGGGTGGTGCAAGATGTGCTTTGTTAAACAGATGCTTGAAGGCAGCATGCTCGTTAAGAGTCATCACCACTCCCTAATCTCAAGTACCCAGGGACACAAACACTGCGGAAGGCCACAGGGTCCTCTGCCTAGGAAAACCAGAGACCTTTGTTCACTTATCTGCTGACCTTCCCTCCACTATTGTCCTATGACCCTGCCAAATCCCCCTCTGCGAGAAACACCCAAGAATGATCAGTAAAAAAAAAAAAAAAAAAAAAAAAGAAAACTGCAGGGAGGGAGGGACAGTCCCAGAAGAAAAGTGGTTCATAGGCCGGGCACACTGGCTCACACCTGTTATCCCAGCACTTTGGGAGGCCAAGGCGGGCAGATCACCTGAGGTCAGGAGTTCAAGACCAGCCTGGACAACATGGTGATACCCCGTCTCTACTAAAAAATACAAAAATTAGCTGGTCGTGGTGGTAGGCACCTGTAATCCCAGCTCCTTGGGAGGCTGAGGCAGGAGAATCCCTTGAACCCGAGAAGTGGAGGTGGCAGTGACCCAAGATTGTGCGGCTGCACTCCAGCCTGGGTGACAAGAGCAAGACTCCGTCTCCCAAAACAAAAAAAAAGGGTTGTGGTAACTCCTGCCGGTGTGCCTACGATAATGGGATTTTACTTATATAAAGATCTCTTGCCAAAAACCTCAAATTTCCTACATCAAGGAATTCTATATTTTCAGTTTTTATATAATGTCCCCTTATACAATTTAAGATACTAGATTTTTGCCATTTCATTTGCACCCAAAATATATTTACTCCAGACCCTTGGGAGAAACCTATTGTTTTAATTAGCTTTCATTTAGGTATCATTAAAGAACTGATCACAAAGGGTTTCAGGTAAACTGGTCATTTATTAGCAGTGGTACAACTGTTTGGCATAACAGGTTTCCAGTAAATAGGCATGGAGTTGCATGGCGGTGACAGAGCCAGGCGCAGGTGCAGGCGCAGGCCAGCATCTCTCACTTCTTCCACTCGTTCTTTTCGTAGTCCCACTTGGAGGCTAAGCCCTGGATGGGGTTCACCTTCATGTCCAGCATCCTCTTGGTCTGCTTGGCCACCCACTCTTTGTCAAAGCTTTGCGGGAGGGGGCCGTACACTACGGTGTGAGACAGGTTATGGGGCAAGACTATCTCAACAGGTTGTTTCTAGGCCAATCCCTCACACAGGTTAAATCCTCCCGACACACCAGCCACCAGGTCAGCAGAGCCACCTGCCACTCAACACCCGCTCAAACACACGGTTTCTGACCACTGACAACACTGACATTTTAAAATTAGCCCTTTGTTTGTAAAAAGTTAGCAACAAAATAAGCTAAAAGCAGAAGGTCCTCTCTAAAGGCTATGGATAACAGGATCTGACAAACAGAGCCCAAGGTGACCTGGAAGATCAAATAGATTCGGGTCTGTTATTAACCCACATCCACATTCAAACCAAAAGTACGAGAATATACCTATTCAGAATGCAAAAATGCCTGTTCTGCCTGGACAGAAAGAACCTCGGGGAAGAGTCATTACCACGAGCGAGCAACCCGGCAATGCCCACACACAAACTATCAGGTCGGGACCCCCAGATGCTGGCTGTTGAGATGCAGTCCTCACAACAGTCCAGACAGTCATTCAATGAATGAGTCCCCTTATCCTTGCTCGAACCTTCACGAAGTCATCTTTCGCTAAGTGACTGGTGAGCACATAAATTGCTACTGAAAACGTGGTGTGCTGTACAAAGTAGTTAAGGTATTTCACCACCCAACAAGCATGGCTATGAATAATCAGATGCTGGCTTATAAACTAACCTCCCACGACTTCAGTTCTCCAGGTCACCAAGGCCTGGAAACAATCCTGAGATGAACTCTGGAATGCAGTCCCTATCTCATAGCCTCAAGGTATGGAGGTCCCCGACAGCCCACCAATGGGCACTGCAGGCTGGAGCCCCAGTCCAGGCGCCCATGCCTTCCTCCCTCTCTACTCACCATAGTGCTTCTGCCACATGATAACGAGCGCGGTGAAACCGATGAAGAACATGGCACCGCCCACAACCGTCTTCCACTCGTTCGAGCCCCTGTTCATCTCAGCAAAGCTCTCCTTGAACTTAATGCGATACACTGGGGGCAGAGAGGACAGCCATTTACAGGCACAAAGGTCAGCAGCTCCCTCCTCTGCAACATTCAACCACTTCTCCCCAAAACCACACTTGTGAAGGAGGAAACACAGAGCTGAAGGATACACCAACCCAGGCCACATCATGTTCACGCACGTACGTGCACACACGTGCCCACGCAGGCATGTGACAGGGCAAGGAAAGAAGAAAATGCATACAGTTCGCTTCAGGTGCAAATTAAAACTGCAAAATTATTTCTTACTTGAATTACAGTATTAGGGTCTATTTAATCTTGTTATTTTTCTGCCCCTTTCATACCAAACACTATGCATTTTGCTGAGTTTCTTTCAATAATTTACAGTTAACTATGTCTTACCCAGCAGATATGCTGAGAGGCTACCTCCACTCAGCACAGAGAAGGGGGCCTAGCAAAAGATCCTGTCAGCTGGCAGAGCTAAGTGACTGGTGAGCACATAAACTGGGGCCCTGGCACAGTGACCCCGAAACCCAGCAGAGCAACCCTCCTGTGCAAGACTGCCTCTAGACAGTAGGCCCAGAAGTGAGCAGAGGCTCTGTCACACACACGCTTCCGAGAGCTGCTGGGCGCGCCTGTGGGTCCCTTCAATACCCACACTCGACTTTCTCATCCATGGAGAGGCTGCTCCAGGAGGCCTTCTCCTTCTCCTTCAATGCCTTCTGGCTGGCAGACAGGTGCTTGACATGGGCCACCTCCGGCAAGGGGTGGTCACGCCGATCCATATAAGCTGGGAGCGAAAAGTCTTCGCTCTTCACAACACTTTCTGAAAAACATATTGAATAAATCTTTGAAAATCCATGTAAGTTGAGAGTCACCCCAAGGTGATACTTCTGAAAACCGAAACACAGACATGTGCACGCCTTGAAACCCTGGATCATCTCAGGGGGTCACAGCCACTGTTTAAACAGTTGCAGGAGTGTGGTGGAGGGGGAACAGAAGCACTTCTCATCACAGCCAACAAAAACCCACCAGGGGCAACTGCTAATGAACCCTGGGGCCAAGGTGCCCAGAGGCAGCACTTCCTACATTAACAGTTACCTGCAGGGCTGGGCGCGGTGGCTCACACCTGTAATCCCAGCACTTTGGGAGGCCCAGGCAGGCGGATCACGATGTCAGGAGATCGAGACCATCCTGGCTAACATGGTGAAACCCCGTCTCTACTAAAAATACAAAAAATTAGCCGGGCGTGGCGGCACGTGCCTATAGTCCCAGCTACTCGGAAGGCTGAGGCAGGAGAATCGCTTGAACGCAGGAGGCGGAGGTTGCAGTGAGCTGAGATCGCACCGCTGCACTCCAGCCTGGTGACAGAGCGAGACTTCGTCTCAAAATAAAAAAATAAAAATAAAAAAACCAGTTACCTGCAGACGTGGGCCAAGGCCCTCAGGGCTCCCTGAACAGGTGACTGGACAAAATGAAAGCCTATCTGCAAGGGACTCAAACTAATGAGGAAGAACAAAAACAATAAAAAACTCAAAGCGTTTCAAGTTCAGAAACAAAGACACGTGAGAAGATAACCACAACAGCACTGTTCCAGGGAACCTGTGTCCAACCAGGACTGAGTGAGAAATCGTGCTAGCTCTTAGAAACGAGGATCATGGAGCCATTCATTCAGAGCACATTTACCAAGCACCCTCTACAGGCAAGGCAGGGTTCTAGAGATCTGGGATCATCAGTGAACAAATCAAACATTCCTGCCTAGTGGCACACTTCTAGAAGTGGAAAACAAACAATAAACATAACAAATGTGCAAATCACATGTTTGGAAAAAGTACTCTGGAGAAAGAGTAGAGCAGCGGGGCATCAGGAATGTGTGGATGGCACGAAACAAGGGGCAACGTCCACAGGACGAGGCCGACCTAGGAGCCCAAATGCAGAGGAAGCGTGCACTCAGGAGTCACAGAGCACGGGCAGTATCGTGCGCTTCTCCTTTCTGGAAATCACGTGCACATACTCACATACGCGTAACGAAACGCACAAAACAGACAAGGCAAGCCACAAACTGTTATACAGGTAGGAAGGAGGAAGATCTGAGTGAGGATTTCTGCTCTATCTGCTTCTGTTATTTTAGTGCCTTCAAAGCAGCAGGTATCACATGGAAAAAAGTTCAGAAATCAGAAAGGTAAGGAATAGCTTGGTTGTACTGAGAGTCTTCCCACTGTTAGAAGCTGTTTCTCCAATTCTGTCCTATGTCTGCAAGAACTCTTTGTATTACACACTGGTCTGGAGGTACAATGCCCGCAACAATGCTTCAACTCCATTAGCTCAGTCCCAGTGACTAAAATCACCCAAATCATGTGAACAGTAAATCAACATTCAGCTTTAAGCAAGTCGTATATAGACTTCTCTAGATGTTTCTCTTAGCCGTGCAAATGACTGGCATACTTACAAACTTATACTTGACACCTCATCCCAAAACTGAGCTGGGATTTGAGGGACAGGAGATGGAAATGGCCTAAATTACTTTCTAATTTTAAAACCCTAATTCTATGAAAATGATGAGTGAACTATAAAGAACACTTGTATACTGAATATTTTTATCAAGTTCAGCACCCCCCAGAAGTCTCTAAAGTTTAAAACACTCAGCTTACACATGAGAGTTATTAAAAATAAATGTAAATATGGGTGATGAGAATGTTCTAGAACTGACTGTGGTGCTAATGACAAAACTCAATGAATATACTAAAAACCACTGGAGCATACACTTTAAATGGGTGACTGTTATATGAATTACATCTTGTAAAGCTGTTGTAAATGCCATGACAGGGAGACTGGGGGGAAAAAGCTATTATAACGACGTAAACCCTCAAAACCTTGGCGCATGCAAACCTCAAAATTGCATCTTCCAGAATAAGAATGGCCAATTCATGGTTTCAGGGGTTCTTCAGAGCTTCAGGCCTGGTCCCCCAGCAATTAAGGGAAAATCAATGGTTAATATACCAAACATTTCTTTTAGAGAGAGAGAAAAACAAAGACTCCAGATTGTAAGGAATGTTTGTCACCGCTTCAACATGGACGGATTTCTGTTGAGCCTCTGCTGGGGAGATCTGGTATATCTGGGCACCCCTTACTCAGGTGCATCACCACACAAATATCCCAACTGACTTCAGTGACGGCTGATGGTATTCCAGACTGCTTTAATATCTTATGTTGAGAACACATTCATGTATTATTCATGTATGACTTACGTAAGTTATAACTTAACAGAGAAGACTTGTCTAAGAGCCTGCAGTTCGTCTTCATCTGCCTCCTATGTGCTGGAGATACGGCAATGAGTAAGACAGGCAGGCTCCCTGGCCTCAAAAGGCTTACACTCTAAGAGGCTGAGACAGCAATACTCAAATAGACATGCATTCATGAGGCATCCAGTGTTATAAGGAAAAGCACAGCAAGGTGAGGTGACAGGGAGCTTCCTGAGAAAGGATGGTCAGGAGAGGCCGTTCTAAAAGCACATTTGTATCGAGGGTGAATGATTAGACAGGAGCGACCACCCACAACTCGGGGCTCTACGGGAGGAATGGAGTAAGGCCAGGGGGCTGGGGCAGTGAGCAAGTGGGGATGGGTGGTTCTGATGGTAGTTTTTGGGTTTTGAGTACAACAGTCAGTAATAAGATCGGAAAGGCAGGCAAGACCAGCTCTAACCAGGCAGGGTGTAGACTCTACTAAGGCAATGAAAAGACCCTGGAGAGTTTCCTCCAGAAGCCTTCCCTGAAACCCACATCGGGCTAAATGCTTCTACCCAGGAGCCATCTCTTAATAAAACACTGTCTTCACCCATCCGTCCCTCTTCAGATTGCAAACAGCCTCCTGGAAAGTGTGTGTATTTCATATTCTTTTTCTTCTCGGTGCCTAACAGTGTCTGGTACAAAGTAGATAGACGCCAGATACATGCAAAAGTAAATGTGCTGTATGCCAGACACAGAACTAAGCTCTGTCCATATACTTCAGGTGAGCAAAGAGATTCCTGAGCTTCAGTAGCTAGTCCTTGATAGAAATGAGATGAAAACCCAGCTCAGGCTAGGAAGTCCAGGCTCTTTCGTTTCCATTGCCTCTATAATGTAAACAGAGGTGATGCAAATGGTTGGGAGTTGTGGGGGCAAGGTGGGGAGGGAGGTCATTAAGGTCAGTCAGTTATGGTGCAGAAGATCTTTTGAAAGGGGTAGATCTCGAAGCTTAAAAAAGTGGAACGGAAGGGAAGGGTAAGTGGGGAAGTATCAGTATAACCAAAGATCCAGAAGAGATTCAATTTGACTTATAAACACTTCTTAATCTAGAACCAAGCCCTGTGAGAACATTTATATCTCCCCTAAAGACCCTCAAGAGCCGAATTAAGGTCTTTAAAACTCCAGCACAGGGCTTTATACACAGCAGGAGCAAAATGAAATTAGTTCAGCCTATTTAAAAGTAAGAAAAGTCACACTTACCATGAGCTCGTACACACACAGAGGTGGAAATTGCTCGCTTGCCAACTAGGCTAAATACCCTGGTAGCCAACATTCTGAAAGATAAAAATGTACACCTTCTCTATGAATAAGGACAAACAGCAAGGAATTAGTCTTCTTTTTGCCCCAGAGCATTTTGGAATTTTTTTGTTTGCTTCTCCCCAACGCAAATGATCCATTCTTTATCACTGTCTCTGAATTCACAAAATGACCTAGGATGAGGTTTTTCTTAGTAATTGGCATGCTTTTAAGGAGCTTCATTATAAATCAACTGCCATAATATATACGCGCTTCAGGTAATTAACAGAACATTGGTCTTTTTAAAAAAACAAGGAGAGGCCGGGCGCGGTGGCTCACGCCGGTAATTCCAGCACTTTGGGAGGCCGAGGCGGACAGATCACCTGAGGTCAGGGGTTCAAGACCAGCCTGGCCAACATGGTGAAATCCCGTCTCTACTAACAATACAAAAATTAGCCGGGCATGGTAGTGGGCGCCCGTAATCCCCGCTACTTGGGAGGCTGAGGTAGAAGAATCGCTTGAACCCGGGAGGTAGAGACTGCAGTGAGCCGAGACCGCACCACTGCACCCCAGCCTGGGCAACCAGAGCAAGAGTCCGTCTCAAACAAAAAAAGGCAAGAAGAAAAAATGCTAACAAGGTGACTCTGAAAAAGCTAGAGATCATTAAAGCACTGTGCTGCCGTGACAGACTCCATTCTTCAGGGAGCGGTGGGGGGAGGTGACAGCTCACAGGGACCGTGGCACGCATCACATTCAACTGAGTGTTTAAAACCTAATACCGCCTGTACATAGACTAGAAGGGGAAATTGGAGAAGGCTGCCAACACAGCCCCGATCAATTTCCAATCCCTGAGGAGAGCGGAAAACCTATGAGACCCCCCCTCACCCGGGCCCTCCTCTATTCAGGCCCATCAACCTTACACGGCCCCCTTTAAATCGACCCTTCGGAGGACTGGTGAGAGTGATGTGGGGAAATACCCTCCTTGGGGCAGAATAAACAAGCATGACGTCAGGGCTGAACGCCCGCGTCTAGCTTCTCTCCTTGGGCCTAGCCCTTGCGTGAGCAAACAATAGGCGCCTTCCAGGCTGGAAAGCCGAGCGCCGCCCGGGAGCCCCGCAAAACCCGGGAGGGGTTGCACAGGGACCTTTTGAAGGAGCAAGGGCGGAGGCTGCAGGCACAGAGCGCGGGCCCGCCTCCCCGCAGCCTGAGCCCTCGGCCAGCGGGCGCTCCAAGGTCAGTGCCCGAGGCCGGTCCGCAGCCGCTGCGAGACCGGGTAAGATGGACCGGGCACTTCGGGGCGGCCCCCCGAGCCTGGAGCCACCGAGCCCGGAGTCCCCACGGGCCGGCCTCAATGTCACCTGGCTCCGAGGCCCATTCGGTGCTTCCTGCTGAAGCCGAGCGGCCAGGCTGCGGACGTGCAGACTTGATGGCTCCCGGCCCCCCGACCCGGCCCGGCCTGGCGGCGCCGCACCGGCCACCTCCTGTCTCACCTGCCGCCACTGCCCGCCGCGACCGCCCTCTACACCCGGTGTCCCGCGACCGGAAGAGAGCAAGGCCGCGCCGCGGAGCACCACGGGATCGAGGAAGACTCCGCCCGCACCCGGCCGCACGGAGGTCACCGTGGAGCGGAAAAGGGTAGCGCTGCGAACGTCGTAAAATGCCGGGCCGGGCTGCTTTCCGGCAGGCGTTGGAGAGGCTGCTTTCCGGCGGCGCCGGGCGAGAAGCGCGACTGGAGTCTGGGGCTGCGGCTTCCCAGAGGCGCGAGTCGCTTTTCCAGGAGCCGAGGCCCAAACGGGGCCGGGCCTGAAGGGTCCCCCGCCAGCCCGCGGCCGCGCCATCAATCGCCGCCGCCTCGTCCCGCTTCTCGGCTGAGGCGCCGCGCGGCCAGGCAGCGGGTCCAGGCCTCAGCCGCGCGCCCAGGGGCCTCCGGGGCCCTCCCGGGTCAGCATGCCCGGGGTGAAACTGACCACCCAGGCCTACTGCAAGATGGTGCTGCACGGCGCCAAGTACCCGCACTGCGCCGTCAACGGGCTCCTGGTGGCCGAGAAGCAGAAGCCGCGTAAGGAGCACCTCCCCCTGGGCGGCCCCGGCGCCCACCACACCCTCTTCGTGGACTGCATCCCCCTCTTCCACGGCACCCTGGCCCTCGCCCCCATGCTGGAGGTGGCTCTCACCCTGGTAAGCGCGGAAAGGGCCCCTTCCCCTTGCAGGCAGCCTGGCCTCCCCTCAGTCAGCAGAGAGGAAGCTGGCCCAGCGGTCGCCCTCCAGCAGGCTCCTAGGACCCGCTCCCTAGGGTTGCCGTGGCCAGGAATGGGGTGATCCACGATGGCGCTTGGGTCTTGGCGCTGAATAAATAGCGTCCCGTAGTAGCAGCGACTTTAACCGTCGTGGATGCTTTTAGAGGCACTTTAAGGCGACGAGTTATACGTTAGTTTCCTGAAATCAGTAGCCTTTGTAGAAACAAGTCATCGTTCACTTGGTGGGGATTCGACAGAGTTTCCCTTGAGGATTTCGAGTTGCAGGAAGTGTTCACGTTGTTGGGACATTAATCGCTAGGATTTGGTTCTTCGCACCTTCGCAGAGCCGATTCCTTATCTGGCAAAGTGTAAATGCTTCTTTGGCTGTCGGTACTCGGGCACCCCGGAGCTCAGACACTTGTAGAAAGGTAGTTGCATGGTCAGATCTGTGTGATGCATCTTAGGCCTGGCTCCCCTTGATTGAATGTGCCTGAGCTTTGTGTAAAGAGAATTTGTTCCCGTTAATGGTTAACAACTTATCTAGAATGTTTCCATGGCTTTTAAAAGCTAAAGAATTTCTGTGGGGCCGGGCGCGGTGGCTGACCCCTGTAATCCTAGCACTTTGGGAGGCCGAGGCAGGCGGATCACCTGAGGTCAGAAGTTTGAGACCAGCCTGACCAACATGGTGAAACCCCTTCTCTACTAAAAATACAAAACTTAGCCGGGCGTGGTGGCGGGCGCCTGTCATCCCAGCCACTCGGGAGGCTGAGGCAAGAGAATCGCTTGAACCCAGGAGGCAGAGGTTGCAGTGAGCCGAGATCACGCCACTGCACTCCAGCCTGGGTGACAGAGCAAGACTCCGTCTCAAAAAAAAAAAAAAAAAAAAAAAAACGAATTTCTGTGACATTAAACAGCAGGAGCAGACGATCTGTCCAACACGCTTTTATGTTTTTGTTTGCAATGACAGCTTTATTGAAGTACAGTGGGAAAAAAGATGTAGCATGCAGGTAGACTAGTTGGTAAGTGAATTTTAGGCAGTAGCTTTTCAGTTCCGGTGATCAATGAAGGGAAAAAGACCATCTATAAATTCCATCGAGTTGTTAAAACCTGAAGGAAAAGTAAACTGTAGCTTCAGACCTGCATACCTGAGCTGAGGTGCTGTTTGTTTTTCATTTAAGAATAAACTGTGATGCTAAAAAATAGTAGCTAATTGATGTAAGAAGTAGCTAAGCTTGAGAAGGTGTAAGTAGAATTTCTTTATCTGTGTCCCTCCTCCACCAAGTAAAACGAAGCCATTTCATAATCTACCATTTATAACTTAACTAATTATGACACCCAAGTCAGTTCTGGGCAAGCAAGAAGTATCTCTGGGCAAAGAGTCCTGGCGTAAGGTTCCTGGGCACATCTTTGAGTGCCTGTTAAAGTTAAACTTCATATCATTTCCGGGTAGGATTCAGATGATTATAATACTTAGATGATATTTATAAAACTAAGTATTTTAGCTCTTGAAGATATCTGCTGTCATTACTGAAACACCACTGGGGAGTGTGTGTGTGTGTTTTAATCCAGGTCTTTCCAACCATCTTTTTGTTTTTTTGAGATGGAGTTTCGCTCTTGTCACCCAGCCTGGAGTGCAATGGCATGATCTCGGCTCACTGCAACTTCCACCTCCCAGATTCAGGTGATTCTTCTGCTTCAGCCTCCCAGGTAGCTGGGATTTCAGGCGTCCACCACCACACCCAGCTAATTTTTGTATTTTTAGTAGAGATGGGGTTTCACTGTGTTGACCAGGCTGGTCTTGAACTCCTTACCTCAAGTAATACGGCCACCTCCGCATCCCAAAGTGCTGGGATTCCAGGCATGAGCCACTGCGCTCAGCCTTTCCAACCATCTTAATTGTTCTGTTGTCAAGAGAATTATTGGATCTGTGAAATGCATTGACTTGCAGGGAGCTAGATTCATCAGTAGCATTTATGCGGGATTATTCACTTTTCTAATAAATGTTTTTGAGTATCTGCTTTGTGCCAGGCCCGTGCTGAGGAGGGATATGGCTGTGGATGAAACACAGTACCTGCTTAGCACTTGAAGGTGCAGCAAGCCAGCAAGCACAGCACCTAAACCTCACAGGCGGAGCTTAGTAAAAAAGTGGCAAGGGATTCGAGAGAAGTCAGCCAGCCTAGGCTTGGGCAATCAGGGCAGTCAGGTTGCCCAGAGAAAGGAACATGCAGGCAGCGGGCCAGCCTTTGACCCTCAGGAGGTGGGGGATGGAGGGAGAACATTCAAGGGACCAGCATGTGCAAAGAGCAGGAGAAAATAGTGGGCGGGAGAGGAGAGCGAGTGGGGGAGTTTGGAGAGAGCAATAGGATGGAGTGTAAAGGGGCAGCGGGCAGAGAGAGTTGAGTGGTGGACAGATTGCTTTGTAGTGACCTTGTAGATCATGCAGAGGCATTTGGGCACCATCCTGAGGACAGAGGGAAGCCACTGGAGGAGAGTTGCGTGATCAGATCAGTGCCTTCGAGTGATGGCCCCAGCCTGCAGCAGAAAGGATGCTGGAGACAGGAGTACACCCAAGACTAGAGGCAGGGAGGTGGCAAAACTGAGTGCAGCATGGGTACGGAGAAGGGGACAGAAGAGAGAGCAGGTGGGAGAATCCACAGGTCTTGGTGACTAATCGTGCATGGACCTAGGGGAAAAGGAAGTAAGGGTGTTACCTAGGTTCCTGGCTTGTGCGCTGGGACGATGGTGCACTGGTGCCATTTGTTGAGGGAAGAGGCAGAGAAACAGGTCTGGAGGGGAGGTGATTACTTCTGTTTGGGGTATGTTAAGTTTGAGATGTTCAAATGAAGAAGTCCTAGGTTGAAAGGTGAAGAATGGGTCTGAGTACAGAGACCAGAGATGGATGTAGATTGAGAACCAGTGGTGTGCCGGTGACTTCTGAAGCCATGAGAGCAGGTCTTAGCACTTGAGGACTGCGTAGGGAAAAGCTCTCCAACCGCGTGTGTCCTCTGCTCTCACCGCCAACAGTCAACACAGAAGAAGACTTGTGTGACCGGATGTATAGGAGTTTCCCCACACACCAAGCAGCGGCCACCAGCTAGGTGTCTCCGCATTCTGTTCTGACACTGCCTACCTGGAGATAGTGTCAGAGCCCACGGGTTGAGGGCTCAGCAGCAAGTCCAGGCTCTGGAACCTCTGACCCACCAGCTTCAAGGTGGGGTTTCCATGGCTTCCTGTTTGGATTTGATTAATTTGCTGGAGCAACTCACAGAGCTCAGGGAAAACCTTATGTTTATGGGTTTATTATACAGGACACTGCAAAGGATACAGATGAAGAGACACATAGGGCGAGGTATGGGAAAGGGGCATGGAAGCTCCCCGTCCTCTTGGGTTTTTATGGGAGCTTCATGACATCAGCATTCCTTCCCCCGAGGTCTAGGGGGGACCCTCTCCTGGAGGTCTTAAGACCCACCGTCAGAAAGGCGGAGAGGGAACAGTGGAGTGGAAGGAGGGCAGGAGAAGGTGGGGTCCTAGCGCCCCTGAGGCTCACGCACCTGGCATTCTATCAAAAGACTAACCAGGGCCGTGAGGAGCCAGGAACGGGGAGGAAAACCAGTGTCTCTCATCACACCCCAGGAACGTGGCTTGGGGCACTCTGGCTTTTATGGGTTGAGTGGAGGAGGAGTCACAGAGCAACTGAGGACCAGCCCAGGAGTGGGAGAAGAAGGTGTGGTGGCTGCTGGCCATGTAAAATCCTGTCAGAAACTTCTAGGAGCTTCTTGAAGACAAACTTGAACCTCATTTGGAATGTCAGATGTTGCTTATTCTTCTCATTCTTAAGTAACCTTGACAGAGTTAAACACTTCTGTTCCGACTATGGGATGTGAATGCAGTACTTGACAGAGTTAAACACTTCTGTTCCGACTATGGGATATGAATGCAGTACTTGACAGAGTTAAACCCAGGAACTATAAACAACTGCATTCAAGTCACCTGTACATGAATTTTCCACGGGGGAGCAGGGCTGCCTCCCAAACCACTTACCAGGGAGGAAAGATGCCCAGAGGGGACAGTGACTGCCTGCTACCTGAGCGTGAGAGGGCACCGGGCACCGCAGGGGCCCACTCTGACCTTGCTCCCGCGCCTCATTCCTAGTTACAGTCTGCACTGTAGACATCCAGCCTCCAGCACCTCCCCCCACCACATGAGTCCCCATCCAGCAAGTAAGGTCCACACTTGACTCCCTGCGGTAACTACTCTTCAGCAGTGAAAACAAGCAGCAAGTTTTGCCAGGCAATAGTTATTTATACTGACTTTTCCGAGATGGAGTCTCACTCTGTCACCCAGGCTGGAGTGCAGTGGAGCGATGTCGGCTCGCTGCAACCTTGGCCTCTCAGGTTCAAGCGATTCTCCCGCCTCAGCCTCCCAAGTAGCTGGTACTACCAGCGCACACCGCCACGCACGGCTGATTTCTTTTTTATTTTAGTAGACAAGGTTTCACCGTGTCACCCAGGCGGGTCTCGATCTCCTGAGCTCAGGCAGTCCGCTCGCCTCGCCCTCCCAAAGTGCTAGGATTACAGACGTGAGTCACCGCACTCAGCCCTGACTTTTCTCATATTCACAAAAACTCATTCCCTCAGCAGTGGGCAAATATGAAAAAGACAGCAATCCAGTGCCCATGAAATAACTTTCAGAGGAAAGTTACAGGGGAAAATTTGCAGCTGGAGTCCATCCACAAATTTTGTACTTCAGTTAAGCTATTAAATTTATATTATTCACTTTTTGACTTAGTGACTTCCTAACCTGAAGGCAATGAAAACTCTCAGTGTTTAGAGCCATAGTTTATGAGGTTATCAGCCATAGAAGATGCAGTTTTCACAAAGCATCTAAATCCATGCAGCTGTGTAAATGAGGCCTTGTTCTCATGGCTCTGTTCCATTCAGAGAGCTTCCTATTGGAATTGTTTTTGATAAAGGGGAAAGACCATAGACTGTCTATCAAAGGACAACATTAGATTCCTTTGAAAGGCTTTTCATTATTTTCCATTAAAAAAATCCTTGCATTTGTGCATGCTTTTTGCATGCTTTTTATGTTTTTTTAAGTACTTACGCCTATTAACTTATTTATCCTTATAACCCTTTGACGTAGGTAGTGAAGGAATTATTCCTAATAGCAGAAACCCATAAAATGTTAGTATGGAAATTAGCTTGAACCCGCTTCTCTAATCCCTTTCTGCCCTTTTCCCCTTGTTGATTTCTAGTGCGGTGGAGTAGCTTTCTGTTACATTCTGCGCAGATGACTTGCTGGCTTGCTCACTGGCCTCATCACCATGATTTCAGGCTAGAATTCTTGCTGTGGCCTCCATGTGGGCCTGTCCTCTGCTCCTCTGCACGGCGGCTGCCCTGGAGCTCTCCCATGCCCCTACTCCCTCCTGCCCTTTGTTCATCTCCAGAACATTCACGTGCCACCTTGGGGATGGGGAGAGGGATGCTGTGGTTCCCCCTTTGAGTTCTTCCCCCTGAACTTCACCCTCTATCTCGGTCCCATTGACCTCCCAAGCTCTTCTTTCATGGTTCCCACTCCTTCTCATTCCATAGAAAGATCAGCAGCTGACTTGAGAAGGAACTTTCCTTCTCAGTGAAAATAACAGTTGCTCTACTTCTGAACTCCAAGGCCTACTTTTTGCTGCAGATAGGAAGGCTCAGCAGGTTACCCTCATCTTGTTGGTAAGTGGCAAGTTGTGGTCCCTGCCTCGCCTTCTTTACGGTTATTGTACAGTCACAAGGGGCGTGGGGGGATAGTGCAGATTTTAGCAAGGCTGCTGTGAGAAGCTACTGCCTCTGTGCAAAGAGTCTAGTTGGGAATGAAAGGGGTGGCCCCAGCCCTTTTAATAGTTCTCTTCCATGTCTGGAACAGAAGCAGCCAAAAAGGACATTGAGCAGAGGGTGGTAGACTCCTGCCAAGGTGAAAATGTCCTTTCTCTCTAAAAAGTAAATGAAATTGCATGAGTAAGTGCAGAATGCGGAAGGTGTCTATATCAGAGTCAGTTTGACTACATTGACAACAGTCTCCACAGAGTTTTCTCCTGACCTTTTATTTTCATCTTGATTTTTCACAAGATGCACATCAGGGTGTGGGGTGTCGTACAGCGAAGCAGGGACATGGAAATGGATTCATTGGGAACAGAGGTTGAGTGGCTTCTCGGCTGTGCCTTGTCTTGCCTCGCTTCGGAGGAAGCTAGTTGCCTTGACTCCTAGCTGCCACTTAGATCCACCGCAGCTTTTCATGCAGGAGCCATTTGGGCTGAGGGCAGGATCCTGCAGCCACTGGAGACCTGGCTGCCACACCCACACCTACACCACCAGCAAGCCCCATCCTCTTCCCCCAGCCCACTCCACTCCAGGGCACTCTCACCTGATGCCTAGTTCCAGATTCCGGACTGTCACAGGAAACTACCCTTATTAGAACTCATCCACCCTGCCGCTGTGAGTGCTGAGGCTTGGCCGAGTCTCCGTTCCTCCCTTCGAGTTCTCCATTCCTCAGTTGGTGAACGGGCTGTGTGCACCCCTCATAGCCATCCATACAGCTAACTTGGTTATTCTCATGTGTGTCATTCAAAAGTTCTAAATTCTAAAGCCAGGCCAGAGCTTTTGTGACCTGGTTCGCTTTAAGGGCAACCTCTTCAAAGAGGTTCTACTTAAAGTTCCAGGTCATGACATTTTTCTGCTGGAATTTGGTTGGGCCCTTGGAGTTTTCTTACAGGAATTTGTCCCTCAGCAGGCAAAATGTAAGTTGAGATATACATGTGTTTGTCATAGGAATCATCTTTTGTACCAGGTGGTTTCTGTGCTCTGAGAGTGGGTACAAGGTGATACCATATGTGTTTACTGGGCTATGAGTCCTAACCAGGTGGCTTCAGCCCAGGAAAGAGATGGAGTAGCCAACTGAGACTGCTGCTGGGGGTCTTCAGGAAGTTGCCTGTAGCTAAGTAAAAAATATGTCCTATGGTTTTTCCTAGAAAATGTTGTATGGTATGGTCAGCTGAGTAATAACCCCCCAAATATGTCCACATCCTAATCCCCAGGCCTTATGTAGCAAAAGGGATTTGTAGATGTGATTAAGTTAAGGGCTTGAGGGTGGAGAGAATATCCTGGATTACCTGGGTGTGCCTCATGTAATCACAAAGACCTTTGTAAAGGGGAGGCAGGAAGGTCAGAGTGAGAGGAAGAGATGGATGATGGAAGCAGAGGTCAGAGTGATGTGGCCATGAGCCAAGGAATGCGGGCAGCCTCTAGGTGCTGGAAAAGGCAAGGAAAAGGATTCTCCTCTAGAGCATCCTGAAGAAGCACAGCTCTGCTGACCCATTATAGACTTCTGACCAGTAAGATAAAAAATTTTGGCTGGCATCATCCTCAGCAAACTAACACAGCAACAGAAAACCAAACACCGCATGTTGTCATAAGTGGGAGTTGAATAGTGAGAACACATGGACACAGGGAGGGGAACATCACACACCAGCGCCTGTCAGAGCCGGGGAGCGAGGGGAGGGAGAGCATCAGGACAAATAGCTAATGCATGCGGGGCTTAAAACCTAGGTGACGGGTTGGTAGGTGCAGCAAACCAGCATGACACATGGATACCTATGTAACAAACCTGCATATTCTGCACATGTATCCCAGAACTTAAATAAAAATTAAAAAATAAAACATGCACTTTAATCAAGTACGGTTTATTTCAGAAATGGAAGAAATTAGGGAATTTGAAGTTAGAAAATCCAAAAAATGTATGCATTAAAAATTCTAAGAAAAACAATCATATGATAATCTCTATGGATGGTGAAAAATCCTTCAATAAAATTTATTTCTTGCCTTAAAAAAAAAAAATTGGGCATGGTGGCTTGTGCCTGTAATCTCAGCACTTTGGGAGGCCAAGGCAGGAGGATTGCTTGAACCCAGGAGTCCAAGATCAGCCTGGGCAACATGATGAAACCTTTGTCTCTACAAAAAATTTAAAAATTAGCCAGACAGGATGGCGCACACCTGTAGTCCCAGCTACTCAGGAGGCTGAGGTGGGAGGATCACTTGAGCCCAGGAGTTCAAGGCTGCAGTGAACTGTGATCTCACCACTGCTCTCCAGCCCGGACAACGGAGCGAGACTCTCAAAAAAAAAAAGTGTTGTTTTAAGCCACTAAGTATGTGTAACTTGTCACAAGGGCAATAGGAAACTAAGACAGTGGCCAATCTGACTGTGAAAATAAGGGCAGGCTACACTGGAGAGCAGGGATAGGGACACCCGGGGGGCAGAGATGTGGGTCACCTTAGGGGAGGACACACTCAGGAGGCCGGCCCATGATGGCACATGAAGGCTGGGAGCACGGTGCTCAAGGATCAGCTCATCAGGGAACTTGACCAAATTTAGAGCAAGCCCCTTTGATAGTGTATAGAGATGTTTGTTCTAAGCAGCAATAGAAAGCTTCTGGAATCTGTTCCATTAAGAGGTGATAGAAACAAAATATGAGTCGTTTTGGAGTTGTTTTCAGCAAAGTCACAATGATAGCACCATTATAGATATTTTACAGACATAATCCTGATCTTTTGGGTGGATGACCAGAATGTCTAGTTGGTTCACTGAGCCCTGGTTTTGACCCAATATGGTAATTCGTGAACTCTTAGGAGGCCAGAAATATCCTAATCCTGTGCAAGGCAGGGACCCTTGGACTGTAACTGTCTTGTCTGCTTTTGGTCGTGAAGGAGACTCAGAGGCCCAAACAAGAATTTAGGAAAAAGAGCAATAGGATTGTGTTTAAAAAACACACACATCCATTTTTAACCAGTTTATTCCCTACAAAAAAAAAAAAATCAAGGTACCAATTTTGTTTCCTCTTGTGCAGACTGAGAATAGACTTTATTACAGTGTATTCAAATTCCATTATGCCAAAACAGGATGAGCTTTTGTTGTTTTGAATAATGGCCTTAGACCTGCAGGAAGCTGCATCTGGTGAGAAACATGGTACCATAAAAGAAACCCAAAAACTTCAAAGGTCTGCCACCTTGCTTCCATTTCAAAGCACGCCGGAGAGAACTAAGGACATGTGCACGTGCCCCTTCCTAACTTGGGACCTCTTTACCCTACACCCCAACTGAGGGGTATTTCATGATGCGGTGCTTAGAATGCTGAGATGGAGTATAAAAGACTTTTTTTTTTTTTTTTGAGACGGAGACGGAGTTTCACTCTTGTCACCCAGGCTGGAGTGCAGTGGCATGATCTTGGCTCACTGCAACCTCCCCCTCTGGGGTTCAAGTGATTCTCCTGCCTCAGCCTCCCGAGTAGCTGGGATGACAAGCGCCCACCACCACGCCCAGCTAATTTTTGTATTTTTAGTAGAGATGGGGTTTCTCCACATTGGCCAGGCTTGTCTCGAACTCTTGACCTCAGGTGATCCGCCCACCTCAGCCTCCCAAAGTGCTGGGATTACAGGTGTGAGCCACTGTGCCTGGCCTAAAAGACTTGTTTTGAAAGAGACTGAGATTCCCTTCTGGCTCTGTTTCTATCTGGTTGTGCAAACTTAGAACCTCTCTAAGCTTTGTTTCCTTAACTATGAAGGATAATGATTTAAATAATTTTAAGCATTTCTAAAGCCCCAGTTCTTTATAGTATAAGAGAAGGTAGGTGAAGGTCATCTTCCCTCTGACTCTCTGCAGCACTGTACCAATCCAGTACCTGTAGACAAAGGGTCTTCTCGCTGGGACTGAGGAAGATAGTCATTCCTTATGTTCAAAGTCCTGCCCTTCCTGACCATTTTTTCCTGAGTCCTACCCTTTCTTCTGGGGTGTAGGGTATGAGGATTAAGATTCTGTCATGTCTTGTCCCAGCATGTGGCAGTGAGATCTGTGGTTTTTACGACTTGATATTTAAGGGAGAGTCATTCATCTTTTCCCAATTTTTGTTCCTCTTTCAGATTGATTCATGGTGCAAAGATCATAGCTACGTGATTGCTGGTTATTATCAAGCTAATGAGCGAGTAAAGGATGCCAGGTACGTGGATGCAGAACCCTCTGTGGGCGAGGAAGTGAGCACGTGTTGGGCAGACCCCGTCTCTCGTGTGCTTTTCGGCCAGATACGAAACCTGTGAGACCTACACCCCTTCCCTCTGTGCTTATTTGTAGTATTTGAGGCGAACTGTGGTGTGGATAATTCCAAACAACAGAAATTCCAAACATTTCTATTAACTTTGGAATTCTGTTTTGTGTCTTCTTTATTTTGCATGAAGGGAATTCATACAATGAAAGCGACAGTTGGCTTCCGACTTCTGTCCCTGCTCAGCTCTGCCTTGCTTCCCCTTCCCAGACTAGGGGTGGTGTTGGGCAGAGCACTGGGAAGGAATGTTGCTCTATTTGCCGGTAAATAGACCAGCCTGTAGGTTTGGGGTCAGTACTCTGATGAAAATGTGGTATTTGCTGCCCCCTTTATACTGGCTCCTTCTTTCTTTTCCTTTATCCAGATCCTTCCCCAACTGGGGCTCTCGCTAATAACAAAGCTGAGAATTTTTCTATATGTCTGCGTCATCTTGGTCCCAACAGAAAAACAGATGACACACTCAGGTGGTGATAATCTGAGGAGGGCTTAATAAGCAGGCTGTTGACAAGGCCTGGGCCGTAGATAACGCACAGGGGGTCGTGCTGTAAACAAGGCTGGCGACAACAGCCCAAAGGGTGGGGAGGAAGGAGCTGGGTAAACAAGTCCACCTTGAGAAAAGCAGTGCCCTTGGGCAGGTGGCCACAGCCAGCCTGACGTGGCCTCCCATTAGGGGAGAGGTGGCCCAGAGCAGTCAGTACATGATGTCCCCCTTCCATTTTCCTTTGGCTGAACCGAGCCAGAAGCCAGATGGGCAGCTGGAAAGTCCACGCCGTATATAACGGGCATGCGTCAGGCTGCCCTGACGTGGCTTCCTCATGTTGTCAGATAGAGCCGACCCTCCAGTGTCCAGGGAGATGGGGGTGCAGTGAAGGGCCCTGCCGTTGGGTCCACTTGCTCAGCACAGATGAGAAGGTGAGCTCAAGCACTTTGGAAATAATACAGTAAGCTGGTGACAGCATTGCTATCACTGATGAGGCACCAGTGTTTCTGATGAGAAACATGGTATCCTAAAAGAAACCCAAATTTAGAAACATAATTATCTTACCCTAGGAGGGCTGGGTCCAGGCACAGGATCCTGAGGGAGGCAGATGTCCTAGGAGATGCTGCACTCAAAGTCAGTCCGCTGAAGCCTCTGCCAAGGCGGTTGGGAGTGCGTGGAATCCCCATGCACATTGGCTCTTCTGCTGCTTCCTCTGAGCCCACGAGCAGCACTGGCCTCTCCGCCTTCAGCGCATCTCTTCTGACTCTCACTGGGATGTCCTCTGTTTGATATCGCCTGCCTCCCTTTGTTGATGAATCAGTGCCTCCCCTCTCAGTGCCTTCACTGAGCGAGAGCCTACCCACGGGGCCACATCCATCTTAGTCTTTGTTACATGAAAGACTAGGCGTGGGCTGAGGAAAGCGCAGCCCTCTGGCCCTTGCCCTCACGTGGCTGAGTTGAACATGAAGGACAGTGCAAACACAGGCTGTGGTGCAGGACAGCGGCCCCTGCAGGGGGCTTGGTGGCAGGGGCCGGGAGACTTAGACCTGGTAGGATGATCCCAGAAGTCCAGGGCATGGTGTCCTGTAAACCAGGCCCTCGAGAGTGAGCAGGGCCTTGTCAAGTGCAGACGTGGAGACCAGGAGGTCAGCATTCCTGGTTGGGGGGACAGCAGACACAGGTGAGGACGTGGCAAGGGCTGGGGCCGTGCCCACATGGAGGGAGATGCTAGGAAGTGAGGCTGCACAGGTAGGTTGGGCCACAGCTGAGGGCTCCTCTGTGCTCAGAAGCATTTTGAACTTCACCTTGCAAGCAGTGGGGAGCACCCTTGGCAGGAAGGTGTTCCTGGACCAAGCAGTGTCTGCCGTGGCTGTCCCTGCAGAAGGGAGAGGAGACTGGGCAAGTGGGAATGGCACCAGGTTGTCAGATGAGGGCAGGGGCCTCCCTTTCCTTAATCCCCCACCTGCAAATCCATGCCTGATGTGGTCGCCCCACATGGACCTGCGCAGGCTCTCCTATGCTCCTCTCTGCGCATGCCTCATCTGGCTCACAGCTCTCATGTTCTTACCTCTGTGCTGACCTCGTTACAGCCCAGCCTGGAATTATCCTACTCGGACACAGTTTTCCTGCTCTCCATACCTTCCTTCTAGAATGTCCTCCCTATCCTCACCTAGTCCACGTCCTTCTGCGTCCTCCAGGAGGTTTTGCAGTCCTTCATTAATACTGACTTTTAAATGCATCCGGAGCAGCCATTTGTCAGATGTGTAGAGAGGATAAACCTTAGCTAGGAGTCTGCCACCCTGGAATAGGGAATCCACCTCCCCCTCCCCCGCTGTGCCCAGTTGTTTGAGGAGGACACCTCAGGTAGGTAATGCCGTGCTATCCCTGGGCTCTATCGGGGTCATTTTATTTCATCCTCACAGCAATGCACAAGTGAAGAAACCAGCCGGAGAAGGTGGCTTCTCAGAGGCCACACAGCTTGGGAGCTCAGGAGCTAGGATCATGCCAACTTCTGACTTAAGTATGGTTTTGCTTCTGCCTGGAAAACCTTCCCCTCTCTTCAGCCAGACCTAGCTGAAAATTTGCTCTTCTTATTCTAGAAATATTGCCTCATTCACAGTGTCTTGCAGCATGATTTGGAGCCAAGTAGACCTGGATTCAAATTCTAGGTGACTTACTGATTAACCTCCTTGGGCCTCTGTGGCCCTGTCTGTAAAATGGAGCTGAGCTCATGCCTCAGAGAGTAGTCATGAGGACAGAATGAAATTGCGCAGTGTGTTTGTCCTTGTGCTTGGTTTACAGTAGTGGCTGGTGCTGTTACTAGTGCTGTGATGACTTTTTCTATTACTGTTCTAACGTAGTGTTTATAACTTTTATGAATTTCCTAAACTTTAGGTCATTCCATCAAGTTTTATTATATGATTCATTGTTGGCCAGTGTTTTGCTTCATAGTTAGCATTTGATATGAGTAGGTTTCGGTGCCCGGCAGAGAGCCCTGGCCTGAGGCAGACACTCAGGAGGAAGCTTTTAGATACACATTGTAAGATGGCACCTACACGCTGGCCCGACATGGTGCTGTTGAGGGTGAGCAGAGTGGTCTGCCTTCAGGGTGCCTGCAGTTTCAGTTGGCAGCTGGCTCTTCCTAGGAACAAGGAGTTCCTGACTAGCAGGAACCACAGCGTGGCAGTCTTCATTCAGGATCAAGTGGATCAGTATTGGAGATTCAGTGCCTAAGACAGAGAAATGCAAAGTTGGCAGCTGTTTCAAATACTTTGACAGTTCATTAACTACACATTTTTTTTTTGGCGGGGCGGTGGCAGAGCAGACAGAGTCTCACTCTGTCACCCAGGCTGGAGTGCAGTGGCACGATCTCGCCTCAATGCAACCTCCACCTCCTGGGTTCAAAGTATTCTGCTGTCTCAGGCTCCTGAGTAGCTGGAATTACAGGCACCTGCCACCACACCTGGCTAATTTTTGTATTTTTAGTAGAGACGGGGTTTCACCGTGTTGGCCAGGCTGGTCTCGAACTGCTGACCTCAAGTGATCCACCCACCTTAACCTCCCAAAGTGCTGGGATTACAGGCATGAGCCACCACACCCGGCCAACTACAAATTTTTAGACTTCTTTTAAAATAATAAATTTTAGGCCAGCCATGTTGGATCACACCTGTAATCCCAGCACTTTCAGAGGCCAAGGCAGGAGGATTTCTTGAGCCAGGTGTTCAAGACCAGTCTGGGCAACATAGCAAGACCTCATCTCTACAAAAAAATACAAAAATTAGCTGGACATGGTGGCCTACGCCTGTGGTCCCAGCTACAAGGGAGGCTGGGGTGGGAGATCACTTGAGCCTGGGCAGTTGGGGCTGCAGTGAGCCATGATCTCGCCACTGTACTCCAGCCTGGGCAACAGAGCAAGACCCCATCTCAAAAATCAGTGAATAGAAAGACAGATGTTAAGAGTTCTTGAGCATCTGCAATGGTAGTTTTTCTTTTTAATGAGTGTTTCCTTACCCTCTCCCCAATAAAAATCAACAACCAGCATGATCAGTGTTAAGTAGGAGGGTAAGGGCTTTGCAAGCTCTTCATGGCAAGCGGCCCTGCCTTTTGCTTTCCAAGTTCCTCAGCAAATGCAGGAGCAGGCAGAGGTGGGTACATGGGCAGGCCTCCTGAGGGCTCTGTACCCACTCTTCACCACTTGCCGTTAGTGCTGTGGGGACCTGGCGCCCACCGAGTCCTGGTCAGTGCAGTGAAGCACTGCCTTCCCTCTGCGCTAGGAGCCACCATCGCACTGCTTTCTTCAGTACGATTGGCTTCTACCTGAAAACCTCCCCTTCCCTCTTAAGTCATATTTTTCTTAACACAGTCACATTTTTAAGTCATATTTTTCTTAATACTGCAGATTTATAATCAGTACATCACTTTGTCAATTTTGAAAACGAAAATACAATAATCATATAAAATAATTTGTTTTTTAAAAACATTATTAATTTTTTTTAGCCTAATCACAAGGGAAGGATTGTAATTGTATATAGTGTGCTTTGTTAAATAACTCACAATAATGCATGTATTTTTATGGCTGTTAAAAGAAAGATGGGGCCAGGCGCGGTGGCTCACGCCTATATTCCCAGCACTTTGGGAGGCCATCGCGGGCAGATCACGAGGTCAGGAGATCGAGACCATCCTGGCTAACACGGTGAAACCCCATCTCTACTAAAAATACAAAAAATTAGCTGGGCGTGGTGGCGGGCGCCTGTAGTCCCAGCTACTTGGGAGGCTGAGGCAGGAGAATGGCGTGAACCCGGGAGGCAGAGCTTGCAGTGAGCCGAGATCGCGCCACTGCACTCCAGCCTAGGCGACAGAGTGAGACTCCATCTCAAAAAAAGAAAAAAAAAGAAAGATGGATGGCTTGGTCCCTGCCACAAAAAGCTGAAAGCCTTGATTGTGCAGGGCAGACAGGATGCACAGAAGGAAAGCAGCACGTGCCATGGACTCTGTGTTAGAGCCTCTTAGAAATAAATCCTCAGAACTCCAGCAGGGCAGGGGGTCTCATCCAGGGTTTAGCAGGGCTTTGTGGTGAGGGTGGCATGTCTTCTGGGCACTGAAAGAGGGGAAGCAATTCAGTAAGGAGGCCTTGGTGTGGAGGGCCAGACGGGACAGTGTGAGTGAAACAAGACGGGCATGTGAGGCAGATGACATGTAGGCAGATTTCCTGACATTGAAGACACAGCATTGCCCCTGTGGCTGCACACGGTAGCTCAGTTCACCGTAACGAAGGCCTGCCTCTGCCAGCCTGAGAATAGCAGCCTTCATCTTGCAGGCAGTGGTGAGCAGTAGTCTGTGGGGCTGTGAGCACCAGGGGACGTGATGGAAGTTCTGTTTTAGGAAAATTTAGTTCAGGAGAATTTTCAGGTTACATCGGATAAGAAGAGCCTAAGCTGAGCTTCGTAGCACGTGCCTGTGGTCCCAGCTGCTTGTGAGGCTGAGCAGGAAGGATTGATTGAGACCCGGAGTTTGTGGCCATGATCACACCTGTGAATAGCCACCATGCTCCAGCCTGGGCAACGAAGCGAGACTCTGTCTCTTTTTTTTTTGACGTGGAGTCTCACTGTTGCCCAGGCTGGAGTACAGTGGCATGATCTCAGCTCACTGCCACCCCCGCCTCCCGGGTTCAAGCGATTCTCCTGCCTCAGCCTCCGGAGTAGCTGGGTCTACAGATGTGCATCACCACACCCAGCTAGTTTTTATATTTTTAGTAGAGACAGGGTTTCACCATGTTGGCCAGGCTGGTCTCGAACTCCTGACCTCATCAGGTGATCCACCTGCCTCGGCCTCCGAAAGTGCAGGGATTACAGGCGTGAGCCACTGCACCCAGCCGACCCTGTCTCTTTAAAAAAGAGAGCGAGCGAGTGACCGTAGAAATTATGAGACCGGTTAGGAAGCAGTTTTAGAAGCCCCTGCCTAAGGTGAGAGACTGAAGGAAATAAATGACAGGGAGAATGCAGGAAAGGAGGGCAGAGAAAGGACCTGTGGCCTGCAGGGTGGGGAAGAGCAGAGGGAAAGGTGGCCTCAGGTCGGAGAGGCTGGAAATGGACTGGCCTGCCTGAGAGTGGTGGGTTCCCGCTGGGAGGCTTTTGAGGGGGTAGCAGTCTTGGGGCCATCAGGCAGTGGTCAGGAGACTTCCGGAGTGCTGCTCTGCAAGGGAATGGGTTAGATGGCAGATTGCACAGAGCTGTGGTGAGGACATGGAGCAAGACTAGCGGCTTGTTAAAGAAGTTGAAGAAACAGTCATGGAAGGGAGGAGGGAAGCTGGACAGCAGCTAGAGGGAACCGGTTCAATGCTTTTGTTTTTCCCTGAAAATAAAGACTTACACAGATTTGAAGGCAGAACTGGGGCTTGGGCACAGAAAGAATATAAATAAGGCCCCCGAGGAGAAGGCCCCTTCCTGGCATAGGATAGAAGAATAACTTTGTGTTTGGAGACATGGTGCAGGAATGGTGGAGGAGCTGCTCTATTATTAGCTCTATTAACTTAAGGTAGAAAGGTGTCATTTATCAGGGTTGGGTGGCGGCAGGGCCAGAGCCAGCAGTGGAGGCTCATGAGCGTGGAGAAGATGTGGAAAGGCTGAGGAATTTCTCAGAGGGTGACGGACTGCCAGCTGCCCTGAGGTTGCTCTTACTTGTTACAGTGGACAAGCTGCTTTGCTAGCGTGCAGATGGAGAAGGCGGGCCCGGGAGGCTTGGAGTTTGGCCCAGGAGCTGGCAGGTGCCCAGCAGCAGTTTCACTGCCCGCTTCAGGCGACTCTCCACTGGCTTCCTGGGAGCCTTCCGTTAGGAGATGCTCTCTCAAGATCCCCGTCACCAGGGCTTTCTGGTTGGAATGAGGCAAGGACCTGCTTTACACGGTGCGCCCCATTACCCAACAGCGTTTCCTGTCCTTGCTGGCCACAGCCATCACAGTGGGGCTGTCATCAGCCACTTTAAACAGGCAAAACGTATTTACCTGTCAGGGAAAATACCAAGATCACAAAGGTGGTTTTCCCAGGGCAAGGTTCGTCCATTGCACTCCAGATGTGCTGACCCCTGCGATTTCTTCATATGTGGGGAACTGCACTCACACTCTCCCCAGCAATACAAATAAATAAGTAGGCTGGGCACAGTGGCCCATGCCTGTAAGCACTTTGGGAGGCCAGGGCAGTAAGATTGCTTGAGGCCAGGAGTTGAAGACCAGTGTGGGCAACATAGCAATACCTCCTCTCTACCAAAAAAAAAAAAAAAAAGCAAAAAAAAACACTAAAAAGTAACTGGGTGTGGTGGCCTGTGCCTATAGTCCCAGCTACTCAGGAGGCAGAGGTGGGATTGCTTGAGCCTAGGAATTTGAGGTTACAGTGGGCTATGATTGCGTCACTACACTCCAGCTAGGGCAGCAGAGCAAGACCCTATCTCTACCAAAAAATTAAATAATAAGTAAACCAGCGAAGCGAGCACGTGCAGCCTGTTGGCTCTGCCAGTCTTTCTGTCATTGCTTGTTAAGTCTCAGTGGTGTTGACTGTGCCTTTTGTAAACAGTGTTGAATGGCATTAACTGGAATGTGGTAGCCTATTTCTTTGACAGTCCAAACCAGGTTGCAGAGAAGGTGGCCTCCAGAATCGCCGAGGGCTTCAGCGACACTGCGCTCATCATGGTAAGTCGCTTCTGTGCAGCATGTGGGAGGCCCTTGCGCCTCCTCTCACCAACCTGGAGCTTGCTCTGCGGCGGTTTCCTTTCCGCTAACCCCTTCACTCATTTATCTGCTTGAGACCATTGCCGCCTCTTGCAGTTTTCTCTCAGCTGCAGACCAGTTGAATCCCAGGCCATGGCTTCTGTGCTTCCGCATCACTACACAAGTGGGAGTGGGGTCCCCTGCCAGCCGCAGCACCTGGGAACTTGTTAGAAATGCGAATTCCCAGGCACCCACCCCAGACCCCACTGAATCAGAAATGCGGGGGTTTAGCCCAGCAGTCCATGTTAAGACACCTTCTAGATGATTCTGGTCTGAACATGCCAAGTGTGAGAAGCACAATTAGAACAGCCAGCACAGCCTCTAGGGGCACAGGGAAGGAAGGTCCTTGTATGTGAGCAGATGACATCAAGGGCCTTGCTGAACAGCCTTGATTCAGACAGAATCCTAGGATGAGGGAAGAAGTCATGTTTGGAAGCTTCGCTTTTGTGAAAAAACAATGAAGGACTTGACGTTTTCCTGCATGACACAACAGTTTTCCTCAGGCCAGACACTCGCGCCACTCTGCATACAGGCTCTGTCGGAAGAGTCTCTGCCCCAGCCAGCGTGGGCACGGCTGCAGGGAGAGCCCCGAGGAGGCGCCTGCCGCTGCTGTTTGGCTGGCATTCTGTTCACTCTCGTGTCCTTTGCCTTGTGCTCAGGTAGACAACACCAAGTTTACGATGGACTGCGTAGCGCCTACGATCCACGTGTACGAGCACCATGAGAACAGATGGCGGTGCAGAGACCCACACCAGTGAGTGCGCCCCATGCTGCCGCGCGGGCTGGGCTCCTTCAGCGCCCGGCCACGTGAGAGCCACTCTCACCCCGCCTGTGTTTTCAGTTAGCGTTTTCTCCAGAAGCATGATACCAAGCATATTCCCCGGCTCCTGTAGGCCCCAGTGTTCCAGCGCTTCCAGGCAGTAGAGGGAACCTCAGTGGTACCCACAGGTCTTCCCACCCCAGGCGCTAGAGCACAGACACTCTTCCCAGGCCTGTGCTTTGATGTATCTGTGGCCACTCAGAAAGCTTCAGTCATCTGCCTCCAACTTTCTCAGAATTCCACGTGAAAGGCGTCCCTTCCATGTATTAACCATGTCTTCTATGCTCTGTATACCTCTTCATGCGTTTGAAATGCACATGTTTCTCAGTACTCTGCACCATCTCTGTTCATACCACTGTGCATGTGGCTGGCCTTCTCTCTTGATGCTGTTACAAGCCGCCCGTTTTCACTGTTAGATGCTGACTTCTTCATGTTTGACCCGTAGTGACTACTGTGAAGACTGGCCAGAGGCACAGAGGATCTCAGCCTCGCTCCTGGACAGCCGGTCCTACGAGACGCTCGTGGATTTCGATAACCACCTGGATGACATTCGGAATGACTGGACAAACCCAGAGATCAATAAAGCTGTCCTACACTTGTGCTAGGCAGGCACCGCTGTGACTGGGCTCCGGGCCTTTCCACTACGTTGAAGAAGAAAACCTATTTTTAAATGTAAATAAAATATCTTGTAGCCTGTGTGGAAAGCTGACCGTTTTAAGAAGTGGCATGTGCCTTGAAAGGGGGCAGAATGTTCAGTCGGTCGTGTTTTTAACACAGAGTCTCTAGAAGAGGTGCAGACATCCCGTCTGACTGTCCCTGTGGACTCTCTCAGTTGTATGTTGCTATAATCCTCCAAATCAAAGCTCTTTCTGCTTGTGCAAGATTGTTCCTATTAAACAGTTTTAACTAACCTTTTATAATCTGGAGAGAATACTTTTTAAGGCTTTTGAACTATCTTTTTTTAAAAAAAAAAAAAAAAGCCCACATCTTATACTCCAATGAGTGTGTTTGTGAGTTTTTATCCTGTTTGAATTTTGATGTCGTCCAGGCGTCCTGGGATCAGGGTAGACACGTGGAGTGCTGGTGCTGAGCTGTTTGAGAAGCTCTGTGTGGGTGTTTCTGTGGTCAGGTAGGCTGGGCTGTGAACAGCACTGCTCCACATGGTGTCGGCTCACAGAGCCACCGCAACTCTGCCCAGCGGGAGTGACACCACTGATGCCACAGAAGCCTTTATCGTTAGGGGCAAAAGCAGACATCTCTGGTAGCAGGAGCTCAGTGTGGTGCTCTTCAGCCACGCAGAAAGCTCACGTGCCTGCAGGGCCAGGAAAGGGAAATGATCGTTTCTTTTGTATTAGGAAAAACAAGACTTAGACTTCCCGAGTTGTGCAGAGTGACGTCTGTACTTTTTATACTTAGAACATTTGGTCAAGTTTTGTAACCAAACCTTAGGGAATTGAGAGGGAAACTTTATGGTACGTTTACCTTTTTTCCTTTTTATATGAATTATTTTGTACAAAGTTCAGAGAGCGGTACCTTTCCTACTGTCTTTTCTTTGACTCCATGGAGGAATTTGTAACGATCGGTGTGACCTGAAAGGGTTTGTGATACAGCGGTCACTATTTTCTCTTAACACATAGGAAAAAAGTTCAGACATCGCTACAATAAATGTGCTTTATTTGATCCACCAAATTCTCTCTTCCCCTTTCTTCAAATACCTCTTACTCTTGATTTTTTAAACTGGCGTTCTTTCACGTGGGGAGCACAGGAAAGCGTGAGGTGTCTGTGCAGCCCCTTCTCTCCCCTGCCCTTGGATGCCAAAGCATCACAGCTGGAGCGAGGTGGGCAGTCTTGTTCCGAATGGGCTTGGGTTTGTTTCATAAAGGGAGAAGAATCACCTCCAGCATTTGCACGTAAGAAGCTGTTTTGTCCTGAGACTGAAACAGCAGCGTAGGCCCCTCCAGTTAGAAGTCCAGGGCAGCTGGCAGAGCTACTTGGAATGAAGGTTGGTGAAGGCTCGTTTGGGAGGCATTTTAACGACACAGCCCTCCTAAAACCCTTCAAGGTGGCTTTCCCTCTGCCACCTCCCTGTGGAATTCTTTTCCTTGGTTCTCCTCCTGCCTCCCAGGAGCATGTGCTGTCCTAAAACCCTTCAGGGTGGTTTTCCCTCTGTGTCACCTCCCCGTGGTATTCATTTCCTTGGTTCTCCTCCTGCCTCCCAGGAGCATACGCTGTCCTCTATTTTGGATTTAGGCCAAAGCTTAAGCCACATAACCTGTTCCCTGTCTATGGCTGAGTCAGGCTTAAATTTTCTAAAGAAAACATATGAGATACCCTGAAGGGAAGGATATATTTGTGAAAAGCCAAAACAGATTTCCAAAGTGCAGATACCTGCTCCTGTATTCCTTGTAAAAATAGCAGAAGCCTCTGCTGAGCCCTTAGACCCTGTGCTGACCCCTCTCTCTTGGTCTACACACACTGTGCTGTGTGGCCTGTGCTGCCTCCCTCTTACCACCTCCCCAAAAAGACAGAGTCTGGCCCTCAGCTTAGGCTCTATCTTGCCCCACCCAGGGTGAAAGAACAAGCCTGTTGCAGAGCCACCTGAAACTTACTCACACTCTGCTTTTTTGTAGGAAAGACAGGAGCAACACAAAGTATGTTTGTATGTTGAAAATCTGCCCTACAAAATGTTGAAGCCAGGATCCAGTGCTGTGCACCTGTGGTTCCAGCTACTTAGGAGGCTGAGCAGGAGGATGGTTTGAGCCCAGGATTTTGAGGCCAGCCTAGACAACTAGCAAGACCCTGTCTCTTAAACTAAATCTGAGAGGGGTTACACCTATGTTGACGTGTGTTTAGAGACACCTGCCTTTAGAGCCAGCCATCTGCTTACAGTCATTCTGGTGGCCATTTTCATCTTTCATAGCATCCATCCGTTAAGAAGTAAGACACATATATTATTAGTTTATATGAAAATGTCATATTCTATTTCTAGTCATGGTTACCTTTAAGATCCGAGGGTACTAAACATGAAAGATAGGCAGTAACTTCATAAATACTCTAAAAAGCAGTGCACTTACTAAGGAAAAGTCAACTTTGCTAATGAAATTGGATTGCTTTAGAGCAGAAAACTAAGACATCTTAGTTAAATTTTCAAGTCAGTTTTCCATGGATCTGGTATTTGTAAGCCTCCTGGATGTAAAAAGTCCTTGTATAATTAGCTTTGGTTTATTTTATTTTTAGACAGGGTCTCGCTCTCACTCAGGCTGCAGTGCAGTGGCAGGATCATAGCTCACTGCAACCTTGAACTCCTGGGCTCAAGTGATCCTCTACTCCATCCTGATATTACTTTAATAGCGTATTTTTCTGGTAGTTGTCTCGAAAAACCTATTGTTTCTGCGAAGTGCGTTTCTCAGCTTTTCACATCAGCCTTTTTTGTTTTGATTTGCATTGGCAAGACAGTGTTTCCAAAACCTCCTTTTTAGCATTACACTTCTCTTGCCACAGTAGCTACTTTATGCATCATGGTAAATAGAAGCAGAAAAATAGCCTTGAGCAGCAAACTCTATTCCATACGGACATTTTTAGCAATTTTAGTGAAGATAGCCGAACTTAAAAATAGACTTCCGCTTTAGTAATTGACATTTCTTGAGGCTTCCCATCAACTCTTAATGCCTCTTATGCATTGGACTTTTTTTTTTTTTTTTTTCAGTTCAATCAAATGCCTGGTAGGAATTGCTAGCGTTGCCCCTGCCAACTCTCAGGTATGTGGTGTCTTAATCTGACTTCATTTCCATACATCTCAGAATCCAGGAGATAATGTAAATATTTTCATCCTCATAAAGTTGACTCGTTACTCTTTAAAATCCTCACAATATTCTTGAATGGGACATAATATCTAATCGAGTTTGTTATTTCTTAGAAGTGAATCACCTGCTGGGCGTGGTGGCTCATGCCTATAATCCCAGAACTTTGGGAGGCCGAGGGGGTTGGATCACCTGAGGTCAGGAGTTCGAGACCAGCCTGATCAATATGGTGAAACCCCGTTTCTACTAAAAACACGAAAATTAGCCGGGTGGGGTGGAGTGCACCTGTAGTCCCAGCTACTTGGGAGACTGAGGCAGGAGAATTGCTTGAACCCAGGAGGCAAAGGTTGCAGTGAGGCAAGATCACACCACTGCACTCCAGCCTGGGCAGCAGAGTGAGACTCTGTCTCAAAAAAAAAAAAAAAGAAGAAGAAGAAGTGAATCACCATTCTTCTGAGGAGCCTTTTTTCCCTTTTAGGATTAACTTCTTGGAGAAGATGTTTCCTTGCAGGTTTCTGAAGTGCTGCCATTAGAGAAGCCATCTGAAGACTTCTGTGGAATAGGAGATCTAGCCCAGCTTTAGAACAGCCGAGAATCATGTTCTTGGTCTTTTGCTTTCAGAGCCAAGTGACAGGCACCCGTACGGCGGCCACTTGAGTTTGACTAGAGGAGCCCTTCAGCTCTCACTTGCTGTGTTACCTTGTAAAGCAGAATAGCATCCTGTATTTAGAGCTGGCTGAAAAAATTCTAGATTCCATCAATACACCTAAAGAATTGCAGTTCAGAATACTCATGACGTTCTGTGGCCCAAGTGCCTGCCCTCTCGGCCCCCGGAGGCAGGACCCCCAAGTTCCACCAAGCACCCTGGGTGCCCACCCTCACTGAGGAGTTCAGTGAAACCTCTAAGGTGGGCCAGGATTCAGTAGCCTCCAGGTTCTCTTCTCTGCATTCCCTTCATTACTAAGAATACAGATTCTTCTTCAAGGCTGGACTTTCTCAAAAAGAATCTTGTTCTTGCTTCCAGCAGTGCCTGTTTCCCATTCTGTGTGTGTGTGTGTGTGTGTGTGTGTAAGACAGAGTCCCTCTCTGTCACCCAGGCTGGAGTGCAGTGGTGTGATCTCGGCTCACTGCAACCTCCGCCTCCCAGGTTCAAGTGATCCTCCCACCTCAGCCTCCTGAGTAGCTGGAATTAGAGGTGCCCACCACCACGCCTGCCTAATTTTTGTATTTTTGGTAGAGACAGGGTTTCACCATGTTAGCCAGGCTGGTCTCGAACACCTGACCTCAAGTGAGCCGTCCACCTTGGCCTCCCAAAGTGCTGGGATTCCAGGCATGAGCCACCGCACCTGGTCCCCATTCTTAAGATAACCCGGCAGAGCTGCGACAGCCCCTGCGGTTTCCACTAGCAGGGGGAGCTAGTGTGGTTGGGGGTTAGGGTGCTGCTCCCAAAGCCTCCTGGGGGCAAATCCCAGCTCTACCACTTTCTAGCTCTGTGGCCTTGGGCAAGTTACCTCGTAGTGATAACACCTGCTTGCATGGGTGTTACGGAGACCACAGCGCTTTTGCTAATACTTAGAATATTCGAGCCATGATGAAAAAAGTTCTTAACTGGTTTGTTGTTGTTGTTGTTGTTGTTGTTTGGTAAATATAGAACATTCTGTTGACCAGACTGACCTGAGAGGTACTTACTCATAGGAAACCTTCAGTGAACATTTATTGAATGAGTGAATCAAACCATTCATTCCCAAATGAGAGCAGTTTACATCTGCCTTCCCAGCAACCCTATGACAGTTCCAGTTGACAGACAAGGAAATCAAGGCCCAGGCTGCAGAAGTGACTGCCTGAGGCTGCACACCCAGTAAGCAGCAGAGGCTGTGGCAGAGGACTGCACAGGGCAGCCCCACTGCTGCCAGCAAAAAGCCATGTCTTCCTCCACTTTCCATCCTCCCCTTCCCCATTCTTGCTCACCCCCCACCCCAGTTTTAATACATTTTCTTCCTTTCTACAAAATCAATGTATGTTCATGGTAGAAAATCAAAGAGAAAATAAAAATATCTCCATTCTCCCATGCCCGCTCCTTCACTAGACAAGTGTAAGGAAGACAGAAAGTAGTCGAACCAGCAGGGATTTTGTGAACACCTTTATTGTCCCAGATCCTGAGATACAAAGAAATGGAAAGCATGGCGCCTGCATTTGAGGAGCTTACAATGTAATCTAAGAAGTAAAAGGTGGGCTGGGTGCAGTGGCTCACGCCTGAAATACCAGCACTTTGGGAGACCGAGGTGTAAGGATCACTTTAGGCCAGGAGTTCGAGACCACCCTAGACAACATACTGACATCCCATCTCTACAAAAAAAAAAAAAAAAATTAAAATTAGCCAGACATGGTGGGGCACACTGTAGTCCCAGCTACTCAGAAGGCTGAAGCAGGAAAATTGCTTGAGCCCAAGAGTTTGCGGCTGCAGTGAGCCATGATCATGCCATGGCACTCCAGCCTGGGTGATAGAGCAAGACCCCATCTGTCTCTCTCGCTCTTTTTTTTTTTTTTTTTTTTTTGGTAACAGGGTCTTGGTATGTTGCCCAGGCTAGTCTTTAACTCCTGGGCTTAAGCAGTCCTTCTGCCTCAGCCTCCCAAAGCGCTGGGATTACCTGAGCGACCACACGCAGCACCCCGTTTCTTTAAAAAAAAAAAGCAAAAGGCATAAATACCAGTAAAATATTACAAAGTTTGTGCAGATTCCTGGGCTCAGGTCCAGAGAATTCAGATTCGTTGAGATTTGGGGCCCAAATCCTGCATTTTTAGCAGGTGGATTCAGGCCATGCTATAAATAACCCTGATCTTTAGCCAAAACCTGCATTTTACTATGAAGAATTTCATTTTATTATTATTATTATTATTATTGAGACGGAGTTGGTCTGTCACCCAGGCTGGAGTGCAGTGGCACAATCACGACTCTATAGCCTTGACCTTCCAGGCTCAAGCCATTCTCCCACCTCTGCCTCCCAAGTAGCTGGGACCACAAGTGCATACCACCACACCTGGCTAATTTTTTTTATTTTTTATAGAGACAAGATCTCACTATGTTGCTTAGGCTGGTCTGGAACTCTTGGCCTCAAGCAATCCTCCCACCTCAGCCTCCCACAATGCTGGGATTACAGATAGGAGCTACCGCACCCGGCTTGCGAATTTCAAATATGCAGAAATAAGCAATTTGGCCAATGGCACATGTTCAGCCAGGAACTGAAGAATTGGGGCATAAGGTTGAATGCTATGAAATTGCTAATTTAGTAAGTCAAAACCTCAAACATCAGCAATTTCATAGGAGTCGACCTAACAGAATTCAGACCTCCTGAATGAACGCTGTTATCTGTCTCCACAGGAGGCCATCTGATTTTCTGCTCTTTCAAAATTTATTGCACAAAGAATGTGTGAATGTGATCTCGATTAAGAACAGTGGAGCAACATGGGGGCGCGGTGGCTCACGCCTGTAATCCCAGCACTTTGGGAGGCTGAGGCAGGTGGATCACCAGGTCAGGAGATCAAGACCATCCTGGCTAACACGGTGAAACCCCATCTCTACTAAAAATACAAAAATTTAGCTGGGCTTGGTGGTGGGCACCTGTAGTCCCAGCTACTTGGGAGGCTGAGGCAGGAGAATGGCGTGAACCCAGGAGGCGGAGCTTGTAGTGAGCTGAGATCGTGCCACTGCACTCCAGCCTGGGCGACAGAACGAGACTCCATCTCAAAAAAAAAAAAAAGAACATTGGAGCAATATAAAGCAGACAGATTGTGAGCCATCTCAGCCCTGGAGCCAGGACGGCAAGAAATGACAGGGCTTTACACTGCTTTCTGTCTCCCAAAGCATCCTACACATAGAAGACCTAGTTGTTTATTGGTGTTTTTTTGTTTGTTTTTTTGGGATGGAGTTTCACTCTTGTCACCCAGGCTGGAATGCAATGGCGTGATCTCAGCTCATTGCAACCTCCACCTCCCGGGTTCAAGCGATTCTTGTCTTTGCCCACTGAGTAGCTGGGATTACAGGCGCCCACCACTACACCTGGCTAATTTTTGTATTATTAGTAGAGATGGGGTTTCACCATATTGGCCAGGCTGGTCTCGAACTCCTGACCTTAGGTGATCCGCCCGCCTTGGCCTCCCGAAGTGCTGGGATGACAGGCGTGAGCCACCGCGCCCGCCCGTAGTTGTTATTTTTACTTAATTTTTCAGAAGTTGAATCTCTAGTCTGTCACGTACTCCCCACTTCCAGCAGGCAGCTCTGTAGCAAGGCCTCTCTGTCAGCTGCCTGTCTGGTCTCTGGGGCCCTGGCCCAGTCCCTGTGTGTGCAGGACATGCCCCCAGAGACAGGGTATTGATCCCTATTTCCTTCAAAATAGCTCTACCTTTGTCACCAGGATAATGGCTTGTTGGTTTTTTTTTTTTTATCCAAACACAAAAAGGTACAAACTAAAAAAGCAAAATCACCTAAAATCCCCCCAATGGCTGAATATCCTTCTAATCATCTCTCTCCTAAATGTTGGGATTCTTTATTTTTGGCTTGTGAAGTCTGACATTTAAATTTGTTGATAGAGTTGTATGGTACAACACTTTTTTTTTTTTTTAGACGGAGTCTCGCACTGTCACCCGATTGGAGCACAATGCCGCAGTCTCGGTTCACTGCAACCTCCGCCTGCTGGGTTCAAGCGATTCTCCTGCCTCAGCCTCCCGAGTAGCTGGGATTACAGGCGCCCGCCACCACGCCCAGCTAATTTTTTGTATTTTTAGTGGAGACAGGGTTTCACTATGTTGGCCAGGCTGGTCTCGAACTCCTGACCTCGTGATCCACCCGCCTCGGGCCCCCACAGTGCTGGGATTACAGGCATGACCCACCGTGCCTGGCCGGAACACTTTTTTTTTTTGAGATGGAGTCTTGCGCTTGTTGCCCAGGCTGGAGTGCAATGGCACAATCTTGGCTTACCACAAACTCTGCCTCCCAGGTTCAAGCTATTCTCCTGCCTCAGCCTTCCAAGTAGCTGAGATGACAGGCATGCGCCACCATGCAGGCTAATTTTGTATTTTTAGTAGAGATGAGGTTTCTCCATGTTGGTCAGGCTGGTCTCGAACTCCCAACCTCAGGTGATCCACCCGCCTCAGCCTCCCAAAGTGCTGGGATTACAGGCGTGAGCCACCGCGCCTGGCCTTGAATTACAATCTTGCCAATAAAAGTGTTCCACCACCAGGAACACATGAGATGCCTCAAAAAAAAATTGTAATTGATATTTTCAGGATTATGTAAACACTTCATTTCCAGAACCACTGTTTGGACCCCCACTATGTGAATACCCTAAATTTTGTTTGTATCCTCATCTTAGTTGTATTTGGCAGAGGGTGTTTTTGAAAATAAAACTTATTTATTGACGTTTAAGAGGTACCCAGAAAAGGACACAAATCATAAGGGTATAGCTCAGCGGAGGTTCACAAGGTAAGCAAAAGGACAGGCTCCTGGAAGCACCACCAAGCTCAAAAAACAGGCTCTAAGACGCCCCAGCACCCAGGAGCCCTTGTGTCCACACCCTGGACTAGTTCTGCCTGGCTCTGAGCCTGTGTAAGCGGGAGCAGACAATAAGTATTCTTACTGTGCGTGTGAGATTCACCTGTGACCTGATATGTAGCAATCTTTTATTCATTTTCACCGCTGTGTGTTATTTTGTTGTATCAATGTACCCCAATTTATCCATTTCTATGTTGATGGATATTTGGGTTATTTCCAGATTTGGGCTAACACAGCTGATGCTGCAGTTAACATTCCTGCACGTGCCTTGCCACACACCTGTGTATGCTTTTCTTTCAGGATATGTAGCGTGGACTTGCTAGGGGTGTGTGTGTGTTCGCTTTTCAAGATATGTTGCCAGTTTTACAAAGTGATTGTACGAGCTGAACTTCCCACCCGCAGTGTCTGAGAGTTCCCATGTCCTCAGATCTTCAGAACTTTGTGTTATTAGCCTTTTTTTTTTTTTTTTTTTTTTTTTTTGAGACAGGGTCTCACTCTGTCGCCCAGGCTGGAGTGCAGTGGTGCAATGATAACTCACTGCAGCCTTGACCTCCCGGCTCAAGCAATCCTTCCACCTCAGCCTCCCAAGTAGCTGGGACTACAGGTGTGCGTCACCACACTGAGCTACTTTTTTGGTAGAGACAGAACTTTGCCCTGTTGCCCAGGCTGGTCTCAAACTCCTAGGCTCCAGTGATCTGCCTGCCATGGCCTCCCAAAGTGCTGGGATTACAGGTGTGAGCCACTGCACCCAGCCATCAGTCTTTTTTATGTTAGACATTTTGGTAGTATGTAGTAGTATCTCACAGATTCTTGGTCAAAATATGAAAAGTAAAACGATACATCTTCTAGACAATAACAGGAGGATATATTCATGACCTTGGGCTTGGCAAAGATTTTTAAACAGGACACATAAACAATAAGTTGTGCTACATTAAAATTAAGAACTTTTGTTCATTAAAAAACAGGGTGGTAAAAAGGGAAATCCCACAGTGGGAGATATTTGTAATACAATTACCCAACAATTATCCAGCAAAAGACTTCTTTCCAGAGCCGGGTGCCATGGCACACGCCTATAGTCC
The DNA here is from genome assembly GCF_000001405.40 of Homo sapiens. NCBI lineage: Eukaryota > Metazoa > Chordata > Mammalia > Primates > Hominidae > Homo > Homo sapiens. The sequence goes on along the minus strand of NC_000016.10, from coordinate 85,769,885 downwards.
CAGCTAATTGGGAGGCTGAGATGGGAGGATCGCTAGAGCCCAGGAGTTTGAGGTTGTGGTGAGCTATGATCACACCACTGCACTCCAGCCTGCATGAGAGAGTGAGACCCCATCTCCGAAAAAAACAAAACAAGGCTTCTTTCCAGATTAGGCACATCTCAAAAGAAGATATCCAAATGGCTCATAAACATATGAAAATTGCCTCACTAATGTCATCAAAGAGAAGCCAAGTGAGAACATGAGTCTGTTTTTGTTTTTGTTTTTTTGAGACAGGGTCTCACTCTTTCACCTGGCCTGGACTGCTGAAGTGATCCTCCCGCCTTGACCTCCAAAAGTGCTGGGATTACAGACTTGGACAATGGCACCTGGCCATGAGTCTGTTTTCTTCCCTTTCTTTCCTCTTTTTTTTTTTTTTTTTTTTTTTTGAATAGTCTCGGCCAGGCGCAGTGGCTCACGCCTGTAATCCCAGCACTTTGGGAGGCTGAGGCGAGCGGATCACCTGAGGTCAGGAGTTCAAGACTAGCCTGACCAACATGGAGAAACCCCATCTCTACTAAAAATACAAAATTAGCCAGGCGTGGTGGTACATGCCTGTAATCCCAGCTAACAGGGAGGTTGAGGCAGGAGAATCGCTTCAACCCGGAAGGCAGAGGTTGGGGTGAGCTGAGATCGCGCCACTGCACTCCAGCCTGAGCAACAAGAGGGAAACTCTGTCTAAAAAAAAAGAAAGAAAGAAAAAAGAAATAGTCTCCCTCTGTTGCCCGGGCTGGGGTGTAGTGGCGCAGTCTCGGCTGCAGCCTCTGCCTCCCGGGTTCAAGGAATTCTCCTGCCTCAGCCTCCCCAGTAGCTGGGATTACAGGCGTGCACCACTATGCCTGGCTAATTTTTTTGTATTTTTAGTAGAGATGGGGTTTCACCATGTTGGCCAGGCTGGTTTCAAACTCCTGACCTCAACTGATCCACCCACCTCGGCCTCCTGAAGTGCTGGGATTATAGGCGTGGGCCACCACACTGGGCCATCAGTCTGTTTTTTAATGGGAAGAAAATGTTTAGAAGCAGAATCCTCTTTGTGTGCACAGTCCAAGTGCCCTGGATACCCCAGGACAGTTTCACACGTGTGACTGAGCGTCAGAATGCCTTCAAACAAACAGCAGCCTCCACTGCCTCTTTCAGTCCTAGGCCTGAATATTCTTGAAATTCTTGGCCTCGGTACCTGGCCTGGGCACATAGGTAGCAGTGGTTCTTGGTCTGAGGGTTTCAGCCGTGGATCTCTCCTGCACTGTTGAGTGGTTTTCCTCTGAGGGGCTTTTAAGAAAGGCTATATAGTCCCACCCTGGATGTCATCACCTACTGCCTCTACCAGCCTGGCCTCCCACCAGTCCTGCCCTGGAGCTCAGAGCAAGACCTCCCAGAATCTGATTGTTCTGTTAGTCACCTACGGTGCCTGGAATTCTCTCAGTGCCAGCTTTCTGAGGAGCTCAAAACCATTTGCAGATCCTGCTGGTAAAATGGCTGCCCTGAGGTCAGCTGAGCTCTGTGCTAAATTACTTCTGCAATAAGAGGCAATTTTCCAAACTGTGCCTGAGAGTCCCATAGACCCAGAGCTCCTCACCCACTGGAGGCCTTGGGAGGAAGGCAGTGTTTAAACAGACATCCTGGGACTCTCCCGTCAGGGTGGTGGTCTCCATAGTTACTGGGATATGGTTCTCACGGTAGGTAGAGCGTCTGCTCACACAGCCCCTCCGCCTTTACACCTGGGCAGAGGGAAGCAGGCAGGACTGCATCTGGGCAGGCACGTAGGCTGGAAGTAGAAAAAGGAGGGATGCATTTTCACTAGGGGACCCGTGGAGCAAAGCGGGTGGGAAAAAAAAAGTCCAGGACCCAAAGAAAGTGCCAGCTTACCTGGGTATCTCCCCATCTTCAGCAAGGGGTCCCTTGGCTCACTTCCCATATGCACATCCCAAGCAGCCCACCCTGACACAGCCCTAGGTGTTCTGAAGATCCCATGTCTTCCCTGAACCTCCAGGAATGTTGGGCATAGCTGCTCTGAGCTCTGCCCCACCCAGACTCTGCCTTCGAAAGTCTTACCCAGGCTGACTCACTGTCCTATTACTCAGCCTTTCTGGGTGCTGTGTTTGGGATAACGGAAAGCACGAAGGGTAGCCTGGGGACTACGGGCAGTGTTGAGAGAGTAATGGAGTGCAGGGAAGGCCGCAGACAGGAAGGAACCTGAGTGCCTGGAGGGGCAGGGAGGTACCCGGGGAGGATGGAGCGCCAAGCAAGAAGGGTCACAGGTGGGGCTCCCATTTGCAAGTCCGGGTGGCAGGGAGGTGACAGTCTGTGGGGGTTTGGGCAGAGAAGGTCAGGAGAGGCGGCTGAGATGGCACAGGAAGCCCTTCTTGCCCCTAGCTGCTACCTCCTGCGCCGTGGTTCCACGGAGCGTCACTCCCTCGTGACTTCTGGGTCAGCCGATGGGGATGGACAGAGTCTGGCAGTGGGTACAGGAACCCTCGCCACAGTGGGTGGCCTTGAACTCCTGAACTCAAATGGGCCACCTGCCTCAGCCTCCCAAAGTGCTAGGATTACAGATGTGAGCCACCGTGCCTGGCCATGAACTTTATCTTAATTTTAAAATAAGGTGGCGTTCGGTGGCTCATGCCTGTAATCCCAGAATTTTTGGAGGCCGAGGCAGGTGAATCGCTAGAGGTCAGGAGTTTGAGAGACCAGCCTGGGCAACATAGCAAAACCCTGTCTCTATTAAAAATATACAAATTAGATGGGCGTGGTGACGTGCATCTATAGCCTCAACTACTCAGAGGCTGAGGTGGGAGAATCACTTGACCCCGGGAGGTTGAGGGTGCCATAGAGCCATGATTAGGCCACTGCACTCCGGACTGTGTGACGGAGCAAGGCCCTGTCTCAAAAGAAAGAAAGAAAGAAAGAAAGAAAGAGAGAGAGAGAGAGAGAGAGAGGGAGGGAGGGAGGGAGAGAGAGAGAGAGAAAGAAAGAAAGAAAAGAAAAAAAAGAAAAGAAAAGAAAAGAAAGAAAGAATAAAACAATAGTGGAGCATCAGGAAAAGAGATCTGGGAAGGGGGCACAGGGAAGGGGGAACCCTCCTGGGCTGCCTGAAACCCCAGTATGGGGATCACCACCAGCCACCACCTCTCTCCCACTGCCATGTTAAGGGTCCCAGCTGGGCGTGGGGGACTGGATTCTGCTTTTCCTCCCTGAGGTCCAGCCTCGAAGAGCCGAGGCCACACACAACTAGTTCTCATGAGGAAACTGGAAACTCTCCTCCAAGCCTCTCAGGGTTGCAAGGAAATGAAACAGGCATCAGATCCAACCTCTCCAATAAATCCAGTGCAGCGATCAGCCCGTGCCTAACCCGCGACGTTCGGGGAACTCACTGGGTCTTGAGCAGCTCAAGCCCGCTGCTGATTGCCAGAAATTTCCCCCTATGCTGTATGGAAACCATTTCCTGAATCTCCCATACTAACCCCAGTGTCACCCTTAGGGTCCCCCAAGATCCCCACACCTGCCTTACCCAGGACAGATTTGCAGAAGTGCTTTCCTCTTCCCGGGAACACGCCCACCGTCAGTCTTCCTCCCTGGCAGTGGCTTAGTTCCCCCACCACATGGGCTTCTGTCTTCGGCATGGGCTCGGGTTGGTCCATTCCTCTAACCTCAGCCAGACAGTGGGATATGGAACAAGGGATTAAAGCTTCCCACAGCCACGCGGGCAACGGCAAGGCCTGAGCTTAAGGATAATTTCCCTTCTCTGCAAAGGCCAGGCATTTAGTCTGAATGGGCAGAGTCTGCAAAGAGTGGGCCAGGAAGGGACGGGGAGCAGCCACAGCCCAGATGGCCCAGAAGAGCGAGTGACTGTCCCCAACCTGAGCGAGGTCCCTGAGACCCAAGGTGGCTACTGATCTCTTATCCCCAGAGGTAGGAGGGAAGGTGGGTGGGAGCCTGGGAGGGGGCTCCGGGCAGAGCTCCTGTGTGTGGCGGGGGAGCAGCCTGGTCTCCTCCCCTGCCCCAGGTCCCTGGGAGGTGTGGGAAGAGCTTCCTCCTCTTTGCCCTCTCTCTTCACCTCCTCTCAATACTTAATGCCACCTTCTGGGTGCCCACTGTGTGCCCAGCACTTTCCTGTACCCCTTTTTGGTGAATTTTCAAAAATGCTATCTTTAGTTTCTTACAGCAGAAGTCATATGTACTCCAGTTTGTTTGCAATGTAAGGATCACAAAAAATCTATACGGACAAAGCAGTGGCTGCGCTATGGGTTCCCTCCCACCCCCACCTCTGCCCCCACCCCCACCCAGGCACGGTGGAGTATGAGTCATTCCAACTGAAATTAAATCAGATATTGAAATTAAATGGCATGTAGAGAAGAGAGTTCATTTTCTTCACACCGTTGGCTGGCAGCGCCTGGAGGGAAGATCGCGTTCATTTGATGCACAATTCATTTGCTCATGGAGGAGAAGTCACTGCCGGAAGAGAATTTCTGAGCATCCAGCTTTTTTCTCGGGAGCTGCAGGGGAGCTGTAACCACCCTCCATCCTCAGCTGAGGCAGCCAGGGGCTCCTGGGGAGGTGAGCTGGCTCTCCAGGCTCCCAGGACAACTTAAGGGCGGGCTCTAGGACTCAGGGAATCCCCCTTCTGTGCAGACACCACTCTGTCAAATATTTTTATGGCTGAAAGATGGAAAGATGGGGCGATTGGTTGTGAAGTCCTCAGCAACCTTTGATATGCGGATGGACCCTGGTTTGCCGGGGTTCCCTTCCAGAGATACTGGGCCATAGGGAGAGGGCCCAGCCCCGAGGCTCAGCCGTAAGCCGTCAGCAGCCAGCGCAGGTACCACCTGCCTCTTAAGGGGTTAGCCTAGGCACCAAGCGCCAGTGGGTGATGTGGCACCTGTAGACTTTAAAAATAATTTTCAATCTCTGGAAAAGGAAAGAAATGAGCATTGATTAGAGGCAGTATACAGAAGGGGGTAAAAATGCAAATTCTGAACCCGACTGAGTTCAAATCCTGGCTCCGCCACTTACCTGGCTGGTAACTCTGGGCAACTTACTTCACCACCCTGTGCCTCAGCGTCCTACTTGTAAAATGGGAGCATAATGAGTGTCTGCCTTTTATGCGTGCTGTGCTTACGTGGCTTTTTGGTGTCTAGCACATAGCAAGCTCTCGCTAAATGTTCACGACTGCTAATGATGAGGGGCTTCCGTTTCCAGATGCTGGTCATTAAAACATGGCTGTATTTTTGTCCTACATCAAAATAGTTCCACTGACATAGGTACTGTCATCCCTCTTTTTCAGACGTGGGAACTGAAGTACAGGGAGATTAGGTGGCTTTCTCAAGGTCAGTCATTCTTTTTTTTTTTTTTTTTTTGAGACGGAGTCTCGCTCTGTCGCCCAGGCTGGAGTGCAGTGGCGTGATCTCGGCTCACTGCAAGCTCTGCCTCCCGGGTTCATGCCATTCTCCTGCCTCAGCCTCCCGAGTAGCTGGGACTACAGGCACCCGCCACCACACCCGGCTAATTTTTTGTATTTTTAGTAGAGACGGGGTTTCACCATGTTAGCCAGGATGGTCTCCATCTCCTGACCTCGTGATCCACCCGCCTCAGCCTCCCAAAGTGCGGGGATTACAGGCGTGAGCCTGGCCTAATTTTTGTATTTTTAGTAGAGATGGGGTTTCACCATGTTGGCCAGGATGGTCTCAATCTCGACCTCGTGATCTGCCCGCCTTGGCCTCCCAAAGTGCTGGGATTGCAGGTGTGAGTCACTGCGCCCGGCCAAGCCTGGAATTATATCAGGGTCAGCTCCGCGACTAGGCAGAGATCCCCTCGGTAAAGGGTCTGGGTGTCCCTGTGTTTTGTATTCCTAGACCTAGACCTGCACTGTCCTGACTGGCACAGGTGGCTCCAGAGCCCTTGACCCCTGGCTGGCTCGAGTCAAGGTGTGCTTTAATGTAAAATACACACCAGCTTTCCAAGACTTAAGACAAAAAGAAGAGAAATGGAAACTATCTTATTTTAATATTTTAATATTAAATCAAATATTAATATTGATTTAATATGAAAATTAAAATAATTTTAATATTGATGACATGCTGAAATGATAATTTTTGGATAAATTGGGTTAAATGAAAGATGTTATTACAATGAATTTCACCTGTTTCTTTTTACTTTTCTTTTTTTTAACATGGCTACTGGGAAATTGTAAGTGGCACTTGTGGCTTGAGCTAGATTTCTATTGGCCGTAGGCCTTGCCGGCCTGGCACCCCACAGGAGGTGCCCAGGAGGGCTTCGTAAGTGGATGAATGGATGAATGAATGAAGAAGCGAGTAAGTGAGCGAATGAAGGAGTGTGGGAGGGAACAGACCCTTGAGAACAGGACCACGGTGCGTCAGAGTCCCAGCTGGCCCCATCCCTGGTGTTCTCAGACTGTGCAGAGAGGCAGGTCCCTTGGTGAGGGGCCTGACGTGAGGTGAAGTGAGTGAATGGGCTGAGGAGCCATGCCCATGAAGGACTGCCCGAGCGTTCCCCAGCCAGCCTACTCCCTGGGCAGGGCCTCACGGGAAGCCCCACGCTGACCCGGGAAGCAGCATCCTGCAGAACAGCTCAGGCCCCTCTGGGGTCCGGTGTGCACCCCTGGCCCCTCCCAGCCCCTGGCCAATGCATGTGACACCCCCATGCTTCTAGCACTGCCTCCCATGTGTTCATCCAAAGCCCACGGGGGGCCAGGACCACACTGTAGCAGGCTTCGAGCCACCTGCTCTGCCTGCCCCAGAGGCCTCACGGAAGAAGAATGCCAAAGCTGTGCTCAGCCCCCAGGGCACGGTGCCCAGGCCAGCCCCAGCAGGGGCCTGCACACCATGGCGCCCACTGTGATGCTCGAGAAAAGTTAACTTTGAAGCTGCCGGTCCGAGCAGCTGAGCCAGGCAGGCTTTAGGAAGAGTGTTAAGGCTTCTAACCCTGCAGCCTCTGGTTCACCCATGTACAGTTGGGGCACGTGGTCTGAATCTCGCAGGGAAGCCCGCTGGACTCAACAGCACTCCCCTCTCTTTTCAAAGATGTGCGGAAACCCTACTCATTTGGAACACTTGGGAAAAAATATTTTACTTAAGGTTTCAGGTACCTGACTTTTAGCCCCTTAAGCACAATGCTTAATTAAACATGGTAATGGTTTTAGGGGAGAAATGTCTAACAATGGCATTTATCCTTTTCTTTATGACAAATGGTGGTGTAGGGAGGTACGAGGCTGGACTCTGTTGGACCAAAATGCTCTTGGCACTACTGGGCGTAGAGCACTGGACTGGGAGTCCCTCCACAGCTCTCCCAGCGGCCACCCTGTTTGGATGTTGGGGATCCTTTTCACAGTTCTTCATTCTCCTCCTCTGGTCATCAGCTCTCGCTCCTGCTGCGTCAGGGCAGGGCGGCGTGTTCAACCTCCTTCCCTGCAGCCCCTTCCCCGCAGCCTACCTAAACCATCTTCAGACGGCTGCTTCTGCTACACTCAGCTGGAAAAGCCAAGCTTATTCAGCATATGTACAGTTAGGCCAAAAGTTTGGGCCAGCTCTTGCCTCTGATCGCTGGGTGGTCTTTGGTGCCAGGCTTTGGGTCCCCCTAGGCTCCTCTGCTGCCTCCTGATTCTCTGTCGAGGTGTGGACAGGTGAGGTCCCCAGGTGTGCCCTCAAATAAATGTCATTCCTGTCCTTCTCGGGATATAATTGGTCTATGAACAGAAATGCCTATTGCTTGAAGGCAACAAGTTCCCTGCAGTTAGCAAAGTACCAATCTTTGTGTCTTCGAGATGGTTTCAACATCTGCTACTTCCTGAATTTGGCAGGAAATAATTAATTCAACAAAGCAAGCTCACCCATGGGCTGAGTGGGGCACAAGGCTGAAATCTGGGAGCTATGCTTCATCCCTATCCGCCTGGCCACAGATCCCATCCCTGCCCCTACCCCACCCACCCCACGTCTCAGGGACTCACTTTACCTCTCCACTCCCCGACACACCCATCCCATCTTTCCATACCACGATGTCAACCCCAAGCAAAGCTGGGGCCTCCAACTCTCTTGTTTTGGGAGGTCCCACTCCTGAGCCCAGCAAGCTTATAAAAAAATCCCACCCATTTACACCATTAAATACCATTTGTTCTGGAACATTTAAAAACTAATTTTTATAATTTTGCATTTGAAATTATTTGGCTAAAGTTAACTTAAATGTAATGGTGGGCTGGGCGTGGTGGCTTATGCCTGTAATCCCAGCACTCTGGGAGACCAAGGCGACCTCACCTGAGGTCGGGAGTTCGAGACCATCCTGACCAACATGGAGAAACCCCATATCTACTAAAAATACAAAATTAGCCAGGCGTGGTGGCACATGCCTGTAATCCCAGTTACTTGGGAGGCTGAGGCAGGAGAATCGCTTGAACCCAGGAGGCAGAGGTTGCATTGAGCCGAAATTGCGCTATTGCACTCCAGCCTGGGCAACAAGTGCGAAACTCCGTCTCAAAGAAAAAAAAAAGTAACGGTGGCCGTGACTGCTTGGCAATCACGCATATTCAGGAAGATTAGTGAAGCTAAACTTCATTTGGCTTCTAAACATACTGAAATCGTTGTGAAGACTACACTTAATGACAAAGTTTCTGTGTCTCAAGTAAACTTTCATTAGCTTGGATTTTGCAGTTTTCTCCATATTGTAGAACCCATAAGGTTTTTGTTTTTTTGTTTTTTTGTTTTTTAACTTTTGGACTAGATAATACATTTTCATGATCCAAGTTGCAGGAGGAACAAAGGACATAGAGAAAAAGTCTCCCAGGACCTCTGCCCACCCCATTCCCTTCCTCACAGGCAGCCAAAAGCCCTGGTTTCCATCGGAACCTTATGGAGATGTTTTATGCTTCAGAAAGTGCAGATCCAGGTTCTCCTCCCTTTTTATTTTTATTTTTATTTTGAGACGGAGTCTGGCTCTGTCACCCAGGCTGGAGTGCAGTGGTGCGATCTCAGCTCATTGCAACAACCTCCACCTCCCAGGTTCAAGCGATTCTCCTGCCTCAGCCTCCCCAGTAGCTGGGATTTCAGGTGCCCACCACCACGCCTGGCTAATTTTTGTATTTTTAGTAGAGACGGGGTTTCACCATATTGGCCAGGCTGGTCTTGAACTCCTGACCTCATGATCCACCCGTCTTGGCCTCCCAAAGTGCTGGGATTACAGGCTTAAGCCACTGCGCCCAGCCTCTCCTCCCTTTTTTATGCAATGATTGAACATTTGTATGGTCTTCTGCACCTTGCATTTTTTCACTTGGAGATCTTTCCATATCAGAACGTAACAGCCCAGGCACAGTGCCGTGCACGTGTAATCTCAGCACTTTGGGAGGCTAAAGCAGGAGGATCACTTGAGACCAGGAGGTTGAGACCAACTTGGGCAATATAGTGAGACCCCGTTTTTACAAAAAATGAAAACAATTAGCCAGGCATGGTGGCGTGCTCCTGTACTCCCAGCTCCTTGGGAGGCTGATATGGGAGGATCGCTTGAGCCCAGAGGGTGGAGGTTGCAGTGAGCTATGATATGCCACTGCACTCCAGCCTGGGCCACAGAGCAAGATCTCGTCTCAAAAACAACAACAACAACAAAAAGACAGGATATAAAAGCTTTGTCATTCTTTATTTCTTTATGGCTACGAAGCAATCTTTTGCTTTTAGTTTTGAGGGTTTTTTTTCCGCTCTGGAACATCTTTATAGGCTCCTGGGGAGCTCACCGACCCAGGCATTGCCCACCTCCCAACACAGCCCCCGTTCTCCTGACTGAGTTCTCTGTGCCCCAACAGCCCTGCCCTGCGCCCACTCACCCCACCAGCAGGTGGAGCCGGCTTCCCAGGCAGCCACTGATCTGACCGCCCGCCCCTGCTGAAAACGCCTCCGTAGCCAGCTGCTAGCATTGGCACAGAGTTCCAGAATGGGACCCCAGCACCTGCAGGTCTCCGAGGATCACACTGCCCATGCCCTCGGGTCCAGTCCATCAGCCTCCTCACCTGCTGATCCTGCCCTCCCGGCCCTGCCCTCTCTAATCCCAGCCCTGCCATCTGCCCCTCCGGCCCCTCCACTTTGCTTCCACACCCGCCTCACACTCACCATCAGTCAGGGTCTCTGCCCACGGCCTCAGGCTCCATGAGGCAGGGGTCTTGCTTGTCTGTTCCCCAGACTGCCAGCACCTGACCAAGTGTCCAGCACGTATGAGATGCTCAGGAAATAATGTCAGGAATGAATGAGCGAGTGGGAGACTGCCATAATTCTTCCTGTCCCAAGCGTGGGCTAGGAAATTTGAGACCTGACTCCTAATCCCAAATGCCCCCACTCATGGGGGACCTCCGGCAGCTCGCTCCTCACGTGACAGCTTGACCCTCCTTGCTTGCATCAGTGGGGCACCCCCAAGGCCCGGCACGGCTCCTCCGTCGTCTTCAGCGCCCCACCTGTCTCTTTTCCTCCCCTTCATCTCCTGCTGTCCCATGGCTTCTGCTTTCTGGCTTCCTTCCTCTTTCCGTGTGAATCTTTTTGTTTTCTTAGCACCAACTTTGCCCTCATACCTCCTCCCTGCAGGAGGGCTGCCCCCCACCACCGGGGGCCAGGCTGTTCCTCTTTCTATGTGTGTTTTTGAGACAGGTTCTCACTCGGTTGCCCGGCCTGGAGTGCAGTGGCGCGATCGTAACTCACTGCAGCTTTGAACTCCGGGGCTCAAGTGATCCTCCCACCTCAGCCTCCCGAGTAGCTGGGACTACAGGCATGCTCCACCATGTCCAGCTAATTTTTAAATTTGTTTTCTTCCCATGTTGCCCAGGTGTGGAACTCCTATCCTCAAGCCATTCTCCTGCCTAAGCCCTCCAAAGTACTGGGGTTAGAGGTGCACACTGCCATGCCCAGCTATGTTCCTCCCTCTCTGCTGCAGAGCCAGCCTTTGGGACTGCGGGGCCCATGCACCCTCGGCTCTGCCACAGCAGTGGGGCTGCCTGGCATCTGTGGCATCTGTGGGTTATGTGGTCATGTCAAGGCCTGGCTGCTGTGCTGGGTGAAGCACCCCTTCCCTCCCTTGACCTCCCTTCCCTCCATTATTGTTTTATTACAGCCTCAATGAGGAGCCCTTTTTTTTTTTTTTTTTTTTTTTGAGACAGAGTCTCGCTCTGTCGCCCAGGCTGAAGTGCAATGGCGCAATCTCAGCTCACTGCAACCTCCGCCTCCCGGGTTCAAGCAATTCTCCTGCCTCAGCCTCCTGAGTAGCTGGGATTATAGGAGTGTGTCACCATGTCCAGCTAATTTTTGTATTTTTAGTAGAGATGAGGTTTCACCATGTTGGCCAGGCTGGTCTCGAACTCCTGACCTCGTGATCTGCCCACTTTGGCCTCCCAAAGTTCTGGGATTACAGGCGTGAGCCAGTGCATCTGGCAAGGAGGCATTTTCATGTCGTAAAATTCACCTGTTTTAAGTATTCGATTCAATACTTTCAGTGAACTGACAGGTCTCTCTGCCCCTTTGCAGGCTCTCCTCCTTCCCAGCCCCAGTCCCAGGTAACAACCCATCTGTTCTCTGTTGCTAAGGACTTGCCTGTTCTGGGCATTCCATACAAATGGAGCCATACAGTATGTAGTGTTGTGTGACTGGCTTCCTTAAGCATAATGTTTTTGAGGTTTATCTACATTGTAGCATGTATCGGCACTTTATTTCTTTTATGGCTGAATAATACTCCATCGTAGTCCTGGCACGGGTGACCACATCTATAATCCCAGCACTTTGGGAGGCCAAGGCGGGCAGATCACTTGAGCCCAGGAGTTCCAGACCAGCCTGGGCAATATGGTGAAACCTCATCTCTACAAAAAAATACAAAAATTACTGTATTTTTATATACAAAACGCTGTGGTGGTGCAGCATGCCTGCAGGCCCAGCTACTCAGGAGGCTGAGGTGGAAGGATCACTTGAGCCTGGGAGGTCAAAGCTGCAGTGAGCCAAGATCATGCCACTGCACTTCAGCCTGGGTGACAGAGTGAGACCCTGTCTTCCCAAAAAAACAAAGACACCCGCCATCATCTGGCTGGACCACATTTGGTTTATCCGTTCATTCGTTGACCCACAACCCACAGTTGGGTTGTTTCCATTTGTGGCTACTGTGAGTCAAGCACTGTGAACATGAGTGTCTAAGTCTTTATATGAACATGTGTTCTCTTGGCTAGTACCTGAAGTGAAATTGATGGATCGCATGGTAAATAAATGCTTAACTTTTTAAGATTCTGCCAAACTGCTTCCCAAAGTGGCTGTATTATTTTACATTCCCAGCAGTAATTTAAGCATTCTTACCCACCCTTACCAATATTTATTTTCTTTTTTTAAAAAATCACAGCCATCCTAGTGTGTATGAAATGGGATCTCACTGTGGTTTTGATTTGCATTTCCCCGATGACTAATGATGTTGAGCATGTTTTCACGTGTGTGTTGGCCATTTGTATATCTTCTTCGGTGAAATATCTACTGAAATCTTCTGCCCAGTGGTGTTTTTGTTTTTGAGACAGGGTCTCGCTCTGTTGCCCAGGCTGGAGTGCAGTGGTGCAGTCATAGATCACTGCAGCCTCGACCTCCTGGGCTCAAATGATCCTCCTGCTTTAGCCTCCCGAGTAGCTGGGACCACAGGCACATACCACCATGCCTGGCTACTTTTTTACTTTTTGTAGAGACAGGGTCTCCCTGTGTTGCCCAAGTTAGTCTGGAACTCCCAGGTCAAGCCATTCTCCCACTTTGACCTCCCAAATTGCTGGGATTACAGGCATGAGGTAGTGCGCCCAGCCCAGTCTTTTGGGGGTTTTTTTTGGTTTTGGGGTTTTTTGTTTTTGTTTTTGTCTTTGAGATGGGAGTCTCACTCTGTCACCCAGGCTGGAGTGCAGTGGCGCGATCTCAGCTCACTGCAACTTCTGCCTCCTAGTTCAAGCTATTCCCTGCCTCAGCCTCCCGAGCCTTTTTTTTTTTAAGACAGGGTCTTGCTATTTTGATGATGTGGCCAACTATTCTTGGGACTTCCCCTCTGTTGGGAGACGCTTTTTGTGCTAGGTACAACAGCCTGGGCTTGAGTCTGTTTCCTGTCGTCCCTTTAACACCTGGGTGGCCACTGTGTGTGACTCTGATCCATGTCCACTGAGGGACAGCACGGTGAGAATCCCAATCAGACTGCCTAGCGGGAACCCAGGCTCTGACCCCCACTCACCTGGGGCAAAAGTGAGGACACCGCTCTATGCATCAGTCACTTCATCTGCAAAAGGGGAATCAAAATAGTACTGACCTCAGAACTCTATGCAAAGTTTGTATTTGAAGCAGTGCCTGGAACTTAGGCAGCTCACCACAAACACTAGCTATGATTCGTCTGGTTCCCTCGACTTCATGGTGAATTAACATTCACGCTCACTCCATCTTCACAGCGGTCCTCTGAGTGGTTCTCCTCAGCCCATGCTGGGGTGAAACACTGACACTCAGAGAGGCCGAATGATGTCGCTAAGGTCTCACACAGCCCGTGAGGGGCTGCCGAGGCTTCAGCCCAGGTCAGGGGATTCCAGATCCCCTGCCACCTCGCTCCCCGACGTTTGCTCCCAGAAAGACAAAGTGAGGTTCATTCCATCCGTCTGAAATCTCAGGCAGAGGCTGTTCCGACGTCCCTGGGCCCCACGCTGATGCTGCTCAATAAACCAGTGCCTGCCAGGGGCCCGGGCATAGGGCTCAGTGGTGAGAGACTCAGCTCCCGCTGCTGCAAGAGGAACCCTTGGCCCTAAGGGAGGCAGAGCTGTGGGGGGCGGGGATAGAGGGCGCCGGTGTTTGGGGACACACTCAGGAGGCCGGTGTGGGGCATGAGGAGGGGGCATCTCAGAGCAGGGGCTGCAGAGCCACAGGCTGAGCCTCCTGCATGGATGGGGTGTCCCTGCCTGTCCCCTTGCCGCCAACCCCACTCCTGGGGCCTGTCTCCCCAGAGCCTGTACTTCTTTTTTTTTTTTTTATTTTGAGACAGTCTCACTCTGTCACCAAGGCTGGAGTGCAGTCACATGTTCTCGGCTCACTGCAACCTCCGCCTCCCGGGTTCAAGCGATTCTCATGCCTCAGCCTCCCGAGTAGCTGGAGCTATAGGCATGCGCCACCAGGCCTGGCTAATTTTTGTATTTTTAGTGGAGACA